>NC_000019.10:52240874-52865874 GCF_000001405.40 Homo sapiens
CTACTAAAAATACAAAAATTAGCCAGGCATGGTGGCGCATGCCTGTAGTCCCAGCTACTGGGGAGGCTGAGGCAGGAGAATTGCTTGAACCCGGGAGGTGGAGGTTGTGGTGAGATGAGATCGTGCCACTGCACTCCAGCCTGGGCAACAGAGCGAGACTCCATATCAAAACAAACAAACAAACAACAAAAACCATAATCATAAAGATATATTCACAAAAAATTCTTATGGAATATAGGAGCCAAATATGAAATAATTTATGCTGATTTCATTTATATCAAGTAGCAAACAGACAAATGTGATTTAATCTCTTAAATACTGGAATAAATGTAAACCAGTATCTTGACAGCAACACTTCTACAAATAGTTCCAACAGAACGACAGCCTTGAGGATAGTGACTTAGCACAGAGGAACTTCTGGTGAACTGGCAGTATTGTTTCCTCATCCATGTGCTGCATAAAGAGTTATGTTCTTTTGTGAAATTCCAGGGAACTGTGATTTATAACCTATAATAAGTCTTTGACTTAATCAAAATACATATCACTGGAAGCCATTATCCTCAGCAAACTAACACAGGAACAGAAAACCAAACACCACATGTTCTCAGTTATAAATGGGAGCTGAACAATGAGAACACATGGACACAGGGAGAGGAACAACACACACTGGAACCTGTCGAAGAGGTGGAGGGGAGGTAGAGCATCAGGATAAATAGCTAATGCATGCAGGGCTTAATACCTAGGTGATGGGTTGATAGGTGCAACGAACAACCACGGCACACATTTGCCTATGTAACAAACCTGCACATCCAGCACATTTATCCTGGAACTTAAAATTTAATTTTAAAAAAACTATTAAAAAAATAAAAAATAATAATACATATCACCGAAAAGAGTTAAAAGAAGTTCAGGGTGGGGATATTGGTGCTAAGAATGTGTGTGAGCTTCCACTTGTGTCTGTACCAGATAAAATTTATGAAGACGCAGGCACAGGTTAACAGCCACAGCAAGAAACATAAGAGAATAATACCAATGCTATATATGCTGATTCTTTGATTTTTGTCCTGAATACAGAAGAAAACTATCCTATCTTGTTTTGTTTGTAATGTTTCTGCTGCTGTTTGGCAATCACACGCATAGGGTAAAACCATATTTATCAGCATATTCAAGGTCCAGTAGAGGAAAATAGAAAGCTCCATATACTTAGGATAGTTTATGTTAAATTCTATACATCTGGAGTTCCTGGGGCTCATCATGATGGCTTGAAACACTGCAGGCACAGGTGGTGCCAACGGTCACACCCTACCAACTCTGTGAGGATAGCAAATCAGAATCCAAAATCATGAAGGAAATTATTCAATATAAAATCTGACATTGATTTGGTGCTGCATACAGAGGTGTGTCTTGGGGATACCCTTAAACAGAATGCGTAAGAAGTGGCTATAATCAGGTGCTTCCAATTCAAATCTGTGGTCCTCAACCTGCATCCTGTTAAGTAAAAGAAGACATAATAGTAAAGAAGACAGAAACTCTTCAGGATTCCAACAAAATTCTACGACAAGTAGATCATTCCTATTGCCAACTCCCTGGAGGCCATTCTGCGAGTTCCCAGTGACTGATATTCATCTTTAGAGCCAGAAGATCCTGCAGAGAACATGAAGTGTAGGTGAGGTGATATTATCCATTAATAATATCAATGGAAAAACCCGTATTCTACTGAGAAACATTTAAAGTTTTGTTTTGCAAAGAGGCTTTCTAGGGTTGAATGTATAACATTTAAAGAGCACTTACGATATGGGAATCACTGCTGTAATGTGATATGTATACCTTCTTTGATTTTTGTAACTGTATGATGGATTCACTGGCATACTTTTCCTTGTAGAGACAAAAGGAACTTAAGATACAGAGAGGTGCAGTGATTTGTGGAAATTCACAAGCTGCTTAGGAGCTGAGAGGAGACTTGCACCTGACTAGGGTGTCTGCAAAGGTGATTGCTAAGGCCTGTGCTATCCTAACAGACCATTCAGCTGTGTTTTCAAAAAATCTGGACCTAGTTAGTTTTGTTTGTTTACCATGCCATTTTATTTTCCATCTCTGGTATTTTATTTTATAATTTTGTTCAAAACAAGTTTCCATTCCTGTGTAAAGAATTACTGCATAAGTCAATATCCAATGTCAGTAACCTTTGAAATCCCAATACACTGTTGGTGCACTATTTAGAGTATAATCCTGAAGGAAACTTCCCCTGGTACAAGTTGGATTTACTGAATGCAAGAATGGCTCAATATTACTTTGGTAGCAGAAAAACTCATTAACTCATCCAATAGGAGGAGAAAATACTACAGCATTTATCAATGAAATTATTGAAGTATATTACTCTGTTTCTAGACTGTTAAACATGAAATACTAACAGGTAATAAAACAATATAGATAGAAACTCAATTATTGGTAATTTTTGATCAGTCAGAAATCAATATGTTAATGTACAAGTTATGTGAAACTATTAGCAGGGTAGTGTAATTTGTAAAATACATTAAAACAGAAGAAATATCTGCAAAATGGAATCTGGAGAACACAAAATCTTGAGCATTATGGATGTTGAAATCATAGTAAAGTGAACTTTTACAACTCAATAGCAAAAAATAACTCCTAAAACAAGAAAGTAATAGATCAATTTTAAAATGGGTTAAAGGCTTGAATAGCATTACTCCAAAGAAGACATTCAAATGCCCAACAGGTGTATAAAAACATGCTCCATGTCATTGATTCTGCAGAAAATACAAGTCGAAACCAGAGTGAAGCATCACTTCACACCTCTTATAATTACTATTAGCAAAAACCCAAAACAGCAAGTGTGGCAAAGAGGCAGAGAAATTGTAACTCTTATACGCTGTGGCTGAAAATGCAAAATGGTGCTGTCTATATGGAAAATGATACAGATGTTCCTCAGAAAAATTAAAATGAAGCCAGATGTGGTGCACGCCTGCAGACCTGCAGTTACTCAGGGAAACTCTGTCTCTAAAATAAAATAAAATAATAAAATAAAATAGTGACAATTACCATATGATCCAGCCTTCCCACTTCTGAGTATATAGCAAAATAACTGAAATCAGGACCTCAGAGATATCAGAACTTCCATGGTCATTGCAGCACCGCTCACAATAGCTTGGATGTGGAAACGACCTAACTATCCATTGAATGATGAATGGACGAAAAAAATGGGATGTGTGAATATACAGTGGAACATTATTCAGCCTTTAGAAAGAAGGAAATTCTGCAAGAGATGACGACATGGATAAATCTTAAGGACGTTATGCTAAGTAAGTAAGGCGGTCAGTGAAGGACAAATACTGCATGATTCACTTGTGTGTGTAATCTGAAATAGCCTCATAGAATGAGAGAGTAGGATAGGCCGGGCACCGTGGCTCATGCCTGTAATCCCAGCACTTTGGGAGGTCGAGGTCGGTGGATCACCTGAGGTCAGGAGTTCGAAACCAGCCTGGCCAACGTGATGGAACCCTGTCTCTACTAAAAAAAGTGCAAAAATTAGCCAGGCATGGTGGCATACATCTGTAATCCTAGCTACTCGGGAGGCTGAGGCAGGAGAATAGCTTGAACCCGGGAGGCGGAGGTTGCAGTGAGCCAAAATCACACACTCCATCTGGGGCAAAAAGAGCAAAACTATCTCAAAAAAAAAAAAAATTAAAGAGTTATGCAGAATATTTTTGACCAGGAAAAATAACACAAGATACAGTTGATCCTGACTACTGCTGTTTGCAACTCTTAATAGTAAAGTTACCCTTCCCTTAAATGCTACTTCCCTAACCTCAAGAGGGAAAGCAGCCTCACCATAATCCTAAGAGCACAGAGGTTTTCCGTGGAGGACAATCACTGTCTCCATTAAGCGCATCATTTATACAGAGTTAGATTTCTTAAAAAACAATTTTATTCTGGAAATGATTTCAGATATATGGTTTCTGCACAGGATAAGGTAATTTTTCTAGCTCTATCCTACTCTTCATTATAATCATGGAGGCAGTATAAGCATATTATTAAAAATACTGTAAATGTACTGTGTGATTCTTATGAGGTGTGTGAACAACATATATATTTATTTACTACAATCCTTGAGCACCATAAATCTTATTTAATTATTACTGGAATTATTCACCAACTCTCATCCTAAGTGAAGATTTTATTAAGTTACCTTCGTTTTGTTTGGTTTCTGAGATGGAGTCTAGTATTGTCACCCAGGCTGGACTGCAGAGGTGTGATCTCAGCTCACTGCAACCTCCGTCTCCCGGGTTCAAGTGATTCTCCTATCTCAGCCTCCCAAGTAGCTGGGATTACAGGCGCCAGCCATCACACCCAGCTAATTTTTGTATTTTTAGTAGAGATGGGGTTTCGCCATGTTGGTCAGGCTGGTCTCAAACTCCTGAACTCGAGTGATGTGCCCGCCTCAGCCTCCCAAAGTGTTGGGATTACAGGTGTGAGCCACCGTGCTCGTCCGGATTTTATTATGATAGCTTTGTATCCATCAGGGATTGGTATAAGGTTTAGGCCTCTCATCTCTCTTTATTGACTCAGCCCATAAGAGAGTAATTATTCCTCCTCCCTGTCTGGCTTTGCTACTGACTTTGTTTCTACAAAAGAGAAATCCCTTTCCAGACATGACCACTTGGACTTCTTTTCTTGCAGATTCTGCCTGCCAGACTGAAACACAAAAATACTCACCTGATTCCTTCCCACTGCCAGGACAGCCCAGTTTGTGTGACGGTCATAACAGCACTGTGTGGGAAGGAGGCAGCCAGACCCTGAGATAAAGGTTTGTGAGTCTGTGACCTCATCTTCCCTCAGAAGTGCAATTATAATTTTACCTGTAGCAGCAATGACAGCTGACTTAGGGAGTTGATAACTTTTTGAAAAACTTTTTGCAGTTGCTAATTACCAGAGGCAATTACAACTTTCTCATAAATGTCTCCAAAGAGACCACTGAAGTATCCAAAAGAGGCTCTTACTTTTTCACAATCCCTGAAGACTGCAAGGAGCAGAAAATATTGAGGTTTGATCTGTGAGGCACTTGTAGAGAAGCATGTTTGTCTCACTGGATTTCCTAATTCTATGAGATACTCTTCTTCCTAAAATCAAGCTCATCCTTAATTTGCAGATCCATTATGTAAGTATTCAGCAGGTAACTGGAATCAGATAAAGGATCTAGAATGGATTAATAAAAAATGAGATAAATGTGAGAGAAAAGCATGGAGTAATTTGCATTAGAAATCGCTGGACTCATTTGTATAATTAAATGTAAATTAATTTAGAAATGATAATATGGACACGTTCTAGGAAATATACTTTACTATTGTGACCTCAGCAGTGACAGAAAAAGTCTGGACATAAAAATATTCTAAAGAGAAAGATGTGAAAAAAAAAAAGTCTCTCACAAATAAAACACAAGGATCACATGATTTAACAGCCAAATTCTACCATTCTTTTTTTTTTTTTTTTTGAGTTGAAGTCTTCCTCTGTTGCCCAAGCTGGAGTGCAGTGGCGCAATCTCGGCTCACTGCCACCTCCACCTCCCCGGTTCAAGCAATTCCCCTGCCTTAGCCTCTCAAGTAGCTAGGATTACAGGTGCATGCCACCACACCTGGCTAATTTTTTTATATTTTTAGTACAGATGGGGTTTCACCATGTTGGCCAGACTGGTCTTGAACTTCTGACCTCAGGTGATCCGCCCACCTCAGCTTCCCAAAGTGCTGGGATTGCAGGCGTGAGCCACCATGCCCAGCCATTCTTTTAATTATTAGATAAACCTAGGCTATCTTCTCAATTGAACAGCAGTAGATAGGAAATTTCTCTACATTTACCATTCCTGAATTTTTAGTAAAAAGCACTAACCAGTTATGCCATTAATTTGGAAGTTTAAAATAGAAGAGCCGAAAATGAAACTTTGGTTTCCCAACACACAAATCCACAATTTGACCTAAGTCCACTCTCCATTCTCCTAGGAGACATTTGAGGTAAACTGAGAAGTTACAGGAAACATAGTCCACACAAGACCACACTCACTTCAGATGCCCACTGCAATTTCAGTGCTTCCCCAAATCACCCTAAAGTTGGACAATTCACTGGAAGAACTCATGGAACTCCCTGAAAGCTGCCATGCTCACAGTTACAGTTTATTACATGAAAAAGATCCAGGGTAGCATCAGCCAAGGGAAGAAGCAGTCAGGGCAGAGTCCAGGATAAGCACCACATTTGGAGCTTCCATTTGTCTTCTCCCTGCAGAGTCATAGGTGAATTCCTTTCCAGGAACCAATACACGACAACACCTATGGGATATTGCCAACCAGGGAAGCTCATTCAAGCCCTAGTGCCCAGAGTTTTACTGAGGTGTGATCACATACTCTCCATAGCTGACCATTAGTTTCCAGCCCCTCCCAGTGTCCAGCCTTATATATAGATTTACAGTTCCTCCAGAGTTCAGAATTGATATGGTATATCCAAAGCCCTAATAAAAAATCAAAACGTATGGCCAGGCGCGGTGGCTCATGCCTGTAACCCCAACACTTTGGGAGGCCGAGGTGGGTGGATCACGAGGTCAAGAGATCGAGACCATCCTGGCCAACATGGTGAAACCCCATCTCTCCTAAAAATACAAAAATTAGCTGGGCATGGTGGCGCATGCCTGTAGTCCCAGCTACTCAGGAGGCTGAAGCAAGAGAATCGCTTGAACCTGGAAGGCGGAGGTTGCAGTGAGCCGAAATTGCACCACTGCACTCTATCTCAGAAAAAAAAAAAACAAACAAACTTAGTGTTCAGGAAACAAGTCTGAAAGTAAACGGAGATACTCCTACTAGACATGGCATTTTAAGAGCACGGACACCACTCCCTAAGCACTTGGGGGTTACAGGATGCAGTGTGTTTAAAGGGCTCTGCTGGGTTTCAGTGTAGCATGAGACAGAGTGTGCAAGGAAGTTAAGGGAACTGCACACATTCTGCTCTGAGGGACTACGGGGTGCAGTGGTTATGGGGATAAAAGGGATAATGGAGAGGGGACACTAGGCAGAAATGAGGGATGGGCAGGGGTGGGTAAAACAACCAGGAAGGTTTATGTCCATCAGGGTTAAAGACACAAGGAGAGAAAGCATATATGTGGGATAAGATTTAAATATTTTTTTCAAAGAAAGACACAAGACAGTGACACTTGGAAAGAAGAAAGGCAGAATTCTGTTAGTTACAGCTTCAAAGGACAGAAAAATGTCAAAAGAGCCACGCAGGGCGTTGCACCAAGGGCTAAGTAACAGCACGCTGGAGCAGTAGGGGGGCTTATGATGAGTGTCGGAGCTGGAGGCTGAGCTAGTGTTACATGACGCCTTGTGAGTTGGCTATGTTGAATTATTTCATGGACTCTGGGCCAAAGCAGCTGTCCCTGGTAAGCTGGTACATAGCTCTATGGGGATTAGGGTACATCGTGGCTTTAGGGTGTGGACACAATCAGCTGCTCAATAAGGGGAACTAGCCAACCCTAGCCAGTAACTCACATCTGTGTCAAGACAGGATTACAAATAAAAGGAAAAAAATCTGCTTTAAAATCTAATAATGGGATATGGATGTCCTCAGAGTAGTTAATATTCCAAGACAGAGACAGAGGCCAGGAGGGGGAGCTCCAGCCTAACAGGGGAGATAAGTAACACGGTGATATGATGAATAAGATGCTAAGGGCTGGGCGCGGTGGCTCACGACTGTAATCCCTGCATTTTGGGAGGCGGAGGCGAGCAGATCACCTGAGGTCAGGAGTTCAAGACCAGCCTGACCAACATGGAGAAACCCTGTCTCTACTAAAAATACAAAATTAGCCGGGCGTGGTGGCGCATGCCTGTAATCCCAGCACTTTGGGAGGCCGAGGCAGGTGGATCACGTGGTCAGAAGTTTGAGACCAGCCTGGCCAATATGGTGAAACCCCATCTCTACTAAAACTACAAAAATTAGCAGGGCATGGGGTGGGCGCCTGTACTCCCAACAACTCCAGAGGCTGAGGCAGGAGAATCGCTTGAACCCGGGAGGTGGAGGTTGCAGTGAGCAGAGATTGTGCCACTGTACTCCAGACTGGGCGATAGAGCAAGACTCGGTCTCAAAAAAAAAAAAAAAAAGAAAAGAAAAAAGAAAGAAAAAAGAAAATGTAGAAGGTTTGGGTGGATGGGGGTGGGGCAGGTGTCAGTAAAGGGGTTATAGAAGGATGGGACAGAGAGAAGATTAGGGGATGAATAAGCCCTAAACGGCAGTGGGATGATGGTCAAGGTATGGATAGTGGTGGATGGGATTACATCTTCAAAGTCTTTATTTCTATAAAGGTCGTGTGCTGAGGTACTGGGGGTTAAGATTTCAACATGAATTGGGTGGGGGAACACAATTCAACCCATAGCAGAAAGTGCATGTTGATGCCATAAAAGGCATATTCTCAAAATGTAGATGAGATATTTCAAGATAATGAGAAGGGGGCTTAGAGGAGAAGAGAAGAAAATCCTTCTTTCCTAGGCCAATGTGGAGTACCAGGTGAGATGCTGTGTCCTCTCTTCCTCAGGAAATGCCATGTCTTTAGAATTTGAAGCTCTTTACTGATTTCTGCTTCTGAGATACTGAGCCTAGAATAGAATATGTTAGTTGTGTGTACGATATTGAGCCTAGAACATTATATGTTAGTTGTGTGTGTGTGTGTGTGTGTGTGTGTGTGTGTGCGTGTGTGTAGACAGAGAGCAACTTCAGATCCAATTTCAGATTGAATATGTATTCAATCCTCAGAGGGAGAATACACCTTAATACCAAAAATTGTTCCTTCTGGAGATCCAAATAGTATCAGTCATGGATTATTAATGAACAATTTGCCTTTAATTTATTATTTAAATATTTTCCCATTAAATTTGTATCTATGTATATTCCTTTTTTTTTTTTTTTTTTTTTTTGAGATAGAGTCTCCCTCTGTCACCCAGGCTGGAGTGCAGTGGCATGATCTCGGCTCACTGCAATCTCTGCCTCCTGGGTTCAAGGGATTCTCCTGCCTCAGCTTCCTGAGTAGCTGGTATTGCAGGCGCACCACCATGCCTGGATAATTTTGGTTGTATTTTTAGTAGAGGTGGGGTTTCACCATATTGACCAGGCTGGTCTCGAATTCCTGACCTCAGGTGATCCGCCTGCCTCAGCCTCCCAAAGTGCTGGGATAACAGGCATGAGCCACCGTGCCTGGCCTAGTACTATTTTTACATAGTATATACTATGTGTTATCATACGTAAATATCCTGAAGTTCATTAAGATAAGCATGCACATCGCATTCTTGATATTATATAATACATATTATATTAATTCATTATGACAGTTCATTTTATGTGTCTGCTTGACTAGGCCAAGGAATGTGCAGATGGAACATCATTTCTGAGGGCGTCTGTGAGGATGATTCCAGATGAGATAAGCATTCAAATCGATGTTCTCAGCTGAGAGGATTGCCCTCCCTAGTGTCCCTGGGCATCATCCAATCAGTTGAAGGCTTGGATAGAACAAAAGGTAGAGGAAAGAAGAATTTACCTCTTTTTCCTCCTGCCTTCCTGCTTGAGCTGGGACATTGATCTTTTCCTCCTTTGGTCTAGGACTGGCACCACGGACTTCCTGGTTCTCAGGCCTTTGGGCTCAAACTGGAATTACAACACTGGCTTTTGTTGGTCTCCACCTTGCAGATGGCAGATTGTGAGACTTCTCCATAATCTCATGAGCCAATTCCTCATAATAATATTTTTCATATATCTATGTACACACACACAACTACTGTTTCTGTTTCTCTGGAGAACCCTATGTGTGCAATTATGCACACATTTTTTGTCTCCTATGCATATTCTTTATTTTTCTTTAAGAGATGGGGTCTTACTTTGTCACCCCAGGCTGAAGCACAAAAGTGTGATCATAGCCCACTGCAGCCTCCACCTCCTGGGCTCAAGTGATTCTCCTACCTCAACCTCCTGAGTAGCTGGGGCTACAGGTGCATGCCGCTGGGCCTCACTGATTTAAATTTTTTTTTCTTGTAGAGAGGGGTCTCCCTGTGTTGCCCAGGCTGGTCTTGAACTCCTGGGCTCAAGTGATCCACCCACTTCAGCCTCCCAAAGTGCTGGGATTACAGGCTTGAGCCACAGCACCCAGCCTCTTATGAATAGTCTTTTTTTTTTTAAACTTTTATTTTAGGTTCGGGGGTAAATATGGAGGTTTGTTACATAGGTAAACTTGTATAATGGGGGTTTGTTATACAGATTATTTCATCACTTAGGTACTAAGCATAGTACCTGATCAGTATTTTTTTCTGGTCCTCTCCCTCCTCCCAGCCTCCATCCTCAAGTAAGCTCCGGTGTCTGTTGTTCATTCCCCTCCATCTGTCCATGTGTTCTCATCATTTAGCTCCCACTTATAAGTGAGAATATGTGGTATTTGATTTTCTCTTCCTGCATTAGTTTGCTAAAGATAATGGCCTCCAGCTCCATCCATGTCCCTGCAAAGGACATGATCTCATTCTTTTTTGTGGCTGCATAGTATTCCATGGTGTATATGTACCACATTTTCTTTATCCAGTACCATTGATGGGCATTTAGGTTGATTCCATGTCTGTTATTGTGAGTAGTGCTGCAATGAGTATATAGGTGTGTGTGTCTTTATGGGAGAATGATTTATATTTCTTTGGGTAGATACTCAGTTATGGGGTTGCTAGGTCAAATGGTAGTTCTGTTTTTAGCTCTTTGAGGAATTGCCACACTGCTTTCCACAATGGCTGGACTAATTTACACTCTCACTAAGTGTATAAGTGCTCCCTTTTCTCCACAACCTCACCAGCATCTGTTATTTTTTTGACTTTTTAGTAAGAGCCATCTGACTGGTGTGATGATTGTGGCTTTGATTTGCATTTCTCTAATGATCAGTGATATTGAGCTTTTTTTCATATGATCATTGGCTGTATGTATGTCTGCTTTTACATGTATGTCATCTTTTACAGCTAATTAATGAGTGCAGGAATGTTGCAAGGTGCAAAGTCAACATAAAAATTAGTTGCATTTGTACATACTAACAATACACTGTCTGCAAAGGAAATAAACAATCTCATTACAGTAGCACCAAAAATACTTGAAAATGAATTTAAACACGTGGGTGAAATATCTGCACCCTTAAAACTATAAGACATTGATGGAAGAAATTGGAGAAGACATAAGTAAATGAAAATACATCCCATGTTAATGGATTTGCAGATTCAGTATTTCTAAAAGGTCTATAGTATAATGAGTGATCTACAGATTCAGTTCAATTCCTATAAAAATATCGATCGTATTTATCACACTAATGAATAACCAATCCTAAGATTCATATGGCAACAGAAAAAGAACTTTCTACTGAGAAATCACAAGACCTACAAATTCAGATGGGAGAAATCATTTCTTATAAAGGGTTACAGGCTACAAGGTGGCCATTCTGACAGACTGGGAAGTGTAAATTCCAGTAGAGCTCCCAGTGGAAAAGAAATTTATGCTGAACGAGTTGGCCAAGTATACATATTCAACAGGTAACAGGATGAGCTATGACTATTCATGCACGGGGCCCCAACGCATGCATTTTGAACAAACATGCATGCTACCTGTGTCTCATGCTAACCTTGAGATGGAGGTTGAACATTTAAATGTATTGCAATTAGGCCCTACAAGTCAAAAGGTGAAGGTGCTCTGTGTGCAGCCTCTGTAAAACCCACCAGAAGCAGTCCATGGTTGGTGGTCTCTTATCAGGAGAATGTTACCAAAATCAGTCTCTTGTCCAATCAAAGCTATAGTTATGGCTTGTGGAACACGGGGCTCTGGGTCAGTATCTGGTGATGGATATACTGCAATTGTTTTAATATTGCTTGTTTTGAGGCCAATGCACTTTATTTTTGCTGCTAGAGAAAAAGAACAACCGTATGGCAGTTAGAACATAGTTTATTCTTTAAGTGTAGGGGTGTGTGACTTAACCCTTGCCTGGTGTGGCTTTAGGTCTTGTTCATAATTTGGTATCTCATTGCCCCAAAGAATCCATTCTGTTGGTCTTGTGATCTCGATTTATTTATTTATTTATTTATTTATTTTTGAGATGGAGTCTTGCTCTGTTGCCCAGGCTGGAGTGTAGTGGCTTGATCTCGGCTCACTGCAACCTCTGCCTCCCGGGTTCAAGCGATTCTCCTACTTCAGCCTCCTAAGTAGCTGGGACTACAGGCGTGCGCCACCACACCTAATTTTTGTATTTTTAGTAGAGATGGGGGTTTCACTATGTTGCCCAGGCTGGTCTCAAATTCCTGACCTTGTGATCCACCCGCCTCGGCCTCCCCAAGTGCTGGGATTACAGGTGTGAGCCACTGGGCCTAGCCATGATTTCTATTTTAACATTAATGTTGGTCAGTTGTTGTGTTTACGCCACAAAAGGAGGGTATAACGAAATATCTAACCTCCCATCCTGTCTTGGCCTGAACTCAGTTTTTGTTGTTGTTGTTGTTGTTTTCTGTTTTTCTTGAGACGGAGTCTCACTCTGTCGCCCAGGCTGGAATGTAGGGGTGCGATCTCGGCTCACTGCAACCTCTGCCTCCCGGGTTCAAGTGATTCTCCTACTTCAGCCTCCTGAGTTAGCTGGGATTACAGGCGTGCACCACCACGCCTGGCTAATTTTTTGTATTTTTAGTAGAGATAGGGTTTCACCGTGTTGGTCAGGCTGGTCTCGAACTCCTGACCTCGTGATCCAACCTCCCAAAGTGCTGGGATTACAGGCGTGAGCCACTGTGCCCAGCCTAGAACTCAGTTTTTAAGGTTCCTCTGGGGTCCCCTTGGCCACAGGTGGTTGGAGCGCTTAGGATTTTATTTTTAGCTCTCAGAACCCAAATAGCCAAAGCAATCTTGATCAAGAAGAACAAGGCTGGACAACAATCCCACCACGGCTCAGGAAAGCAGCCAGGGCAGATGGACTCTAAGTGAGTTTCACTTGCACTGAAGGCTTAAGGAAGGACCTAGAGAGCAAGCTACCCTGGGTTTCATACCCTGGGGTCACATGAACAATGGGCTAAAGCATTGAAGGATATCCAGTGTCTAGCAAAGACTGAAACAGAACCCAGGCTGTTCCAGCCAGCCCCTCCCTATCTCAGGAAGCTCCATTTCCAGAACACTCTACAGTTATTCTTGAGAACTATAGCAAGAAAGGGAGGAGAACTGGGTCAGTCCATGATCACTTGAAGAACTATCCATTGGTTACTTCTGTGATTATGTTATGTTACATGGTAAAAGGGATTTTGCGATTGTAATGAAGGTTACTGCCCAGCTATTTATTTATTTATTTATTTATTTATAGAGACGGAGTCTTGCTCTGTTGCCAGGCTGGAGTGTTATGGCGCCATCTTGGCTCACTGCAACCTCTGACTCCCTGGTTCAAGCAATTCTCCTGCCTCAGCCTCCTGAGTAGCTGGGATTACAGGCACATCCCACTACGCCTGGCTAATTTTTGTATTTTTAGTAGATCTGGAGTTTCACCATGTTGGCCAGGATGGTCTCAATCTCCTGACCTCAAGATCTGCCCGCCTCGGCCTCCCAAAGTGCTGGGATTACAGGCGTGAGCCACCATGCCCGGCCTGCCCAGCTGTTTTTAAGACAGGAAGATAGCCCTGGATTATCTGGTAGACCCAGTGTCAGTCCCAATTACATGAGCCCTTAAAGAGGGAGAATAAGACAGAGAGATGCAGCAGAAGAGGAAGTCAGAGATAAGCAACATCAGAGGGGTGGTATACATTATTGCTGGTATTGAATATGGTATGGATATACCTGCACAAAGAAACTCTCAGAAGTAAATAAATTTTTGCCAACAATCTAAAAGATCTTGAAAGTGGATTGTTTGTCTCCCAGTGTCTCGAGATGAGAGCCCAGGCTGGCTGATCCTTGATCCAGCCTTTTTACACCCTGATCAGTGTATCCGGCCAGGCCTTGAGATTTCTGATCCAAAAACAGCAAAACAATAAATGGGTGTCATATTAAGTTGCTATGTTTGTGGTAAGTTACATTCTTCCTATAAAACAAATTTAATGCTAAAATATTTAAATAATAAAAATAAAGATACATTGTTCATTAATACCATGACTGATACTGTTTGGATCTCCAAAAATAGCTATTTTCTTTTCCTTTGAGACAGAGTCTGCCTCTGTCACCCAGGCTGGAATGCAGTGGCACCATCTCGGCTCACTGCAACCTCCGCCTCCCAGGTTCAAGCGATTCTCATGCCTCAGCCTCTTGAAGTTTCTCACTGTCTACACACACACACACACACACACACACACACACACCCATAACATAATCTGTTCTAGGCTCAGTATCTCAAAAACAGAAAGGTAAATATCTTCAAATTATAAAGACATATCATTTCGTGAGGAAGAGAGGACACAGCATCTCCCCTGGGACTCCACATTGGCCTGAGAAAGAAGGATTTTCTTCTCTTTCCTTCTAAGCCTCTTTCTCAGTATCTTGAAAAATCACAGTTGCATTTTGAGAACAAGCCTTTTTAAAAAAATGTTATCAACCTGCATCTTCTGCTGTGGGTTGAATTGTGTCTCCCCAAAATTCGTATATTGAAATCTTAGGACAGGCATGGTGGCTCATGCCTGTAATCCCAGCACTTTGGGAGGCCGAGGTGGGTGGATCACCTGAGGTCAGGAGTTCTAGACTAGCCTGGCCAACATGGTAAAACCCCGTCTCTACTAAAAATACAAAAATTAGCTGGGCATAGTGGTGTGCGCCTGTAATCCCAGCTACTAGGGAGGCTGAGGCAGGAGAATCACTTGAACCCAGGAGGCGGAGGTGGCAGTGAGCCGAGATTGTGCCACTGCAATGCAACCTGGGTGACAGAGCAAGGGAAAGAAGAAAGAGAGAGAGGGAGAAGGAAGGAAGGGAGGGAGGGAGGGAGGGAAAGAAGGAAGGAAGGAAAGAGAAAGAAAGAAGGAAAGAAAGAAAGGAAGAAAGAACGAAAGAAAGAAAGAAAAGAAAGAAAGAAAAGAGAAGGAAAGAAATCTTAACCCCCAGTACCTCAGCATGTGGCCTTATTTGGAAATAGGGTCTTTGCAGATGTATCTCCATCCCCCAATCTCCATAATGCTTCTTTGTCCACCTGAATAACCCCCCCTTGATGTCCACCCCACTGCCTTTTAGGTCTTTATTCGTCCCCTAGTCCTCTCCTTGTCCCATCACTCTCCAACCCATTTGTCTATATCTGTTCCCCTGCCCCCTCATCCATCCAAACCTTCTAGATATTCTTACCCCACCTAAATTCAACACCAATTTGGATTCCTTCCTCTGTCAACTTTATGCCCTGCACAATTACGGGGATCTCAGCCCAACAGTCCCCCACCCTTTTAGGACCGTCACACCCTTCCTCTTGACTTCTAGTTTCTCCCATTCTTGTGCCCATGGCTCAATTTCCACATTCTCCATGTCTTCTCCCTTGAAATCCCAGATCTCAATCATAGGTTGCCATCAGCTCCCTCTGTCCCTCACCCTTCAGCATCCTCAAGTCCACCATCCTCACCACCTTATTAATCACCAGAAATCATTTCGTCTCCCCGTGTCCATTATCTCTCCTGCAAGGCTTGAGCTCCCCCTCCTGGCCTCTGTCTCTCTCTTGGAATATTAACAACCCCCAGGACATCTGCACTCCACCGTAAGACCTTTTTTTTTTTTTTTTTTTTTTTTTTTTGAGACAGAGTCTCGCTCTATTGCCAGGCTGGAGTGCAGTGGTGCAATTTTGGCTCACCACAATCTCCGCCTCCCGGGTTCAAGCCATTCTCATGCCTCAGCCTCCCGAGTAGCTAGGATTGCAGGCATGTGCCACCATGCCCATCTAATTTTTATATTTTTCACAGTGATGGGGTTTTGTGATGCTGCCCAGGCTGGTCTCAAACTCCTGACTTCAGGTGATCTGCCTGCCTCAGCCTCCCAAAGTGCTGGGATTACAGGTGTGAGCCACCGTGCCCGACCAGATTTTACAGTATCCTTTTTGGTTAATGCTGCCTTGACTCAGATTTGAGATACTGGCTAGAGTTGGCCAGTTCCCCTAATTGAGTAGCTGTTTAAGTCTACACCCCCAGGCCACTATGTACCCATTTTAATCCTCTCAGGGCTATGTACCATGTAACCTGCCACGATCCCTGGTGGACTGAACAAAAGGGGCAAACGCAGGAATAAAAGACAAAGAGAGTATATTTGGAAAAGGGGGAAACTTGCCTCTAGTGGAAAAGGCTCTGAGCTTTTTCAGCCCTCCAAATTTATTAGGTAAAAGAGATAACGAGAAAGAGAGGATGATTATTGGGTAATTGTCAGTCGGCAATTTTGGTTCACAGCAGGCTTGAGAGACTGCATCCTTCAAACCATAGGTGCTAGATTTCCCAGTAGATAACTTCAAGGAGCCCGGCACCAGGGAGTGATGGCCCTCAGCAAACCTCCTGGTGGCAGGTGCAGTCATGAGTTTTCTCACGTCCTGTAATCATGATAAACACTTTGCTGTTTGATCATATAGCCTCCAGTGGAATGCTGAGTTGGTCACAATCCCTTTGGCCTTTTCGGCTCCCAAACAGTACCAGATTACTAGGTACAGCCACTTTGCCTTGAAGCCCTTGAAATGGTTCAACTTAGCCAACTCACAGGGTGTCCTGCAACACTAGCTCAGCCTCTCGCTCTGCTTGCCCTCATAAGCCCCGGTACTGCTCCAGCTTGCTGTTACCTGACCCTTGCTGCAATGCCCTCCATGGCTCTTCTGACATTTTTCTGTCCTTTGGAGCTGTAGGTAGCAGAATACTGCCTTTCCTCTTTCCAAATGTCACTGTCTTGTGTCTTTTCATGAAAAGAATCTTTAAATCTTATTCAACATATACACATCTCCATCCTCCATGTTCTTTAAGCATCTGTGGACTTTATCTCTCCTGGGTGTTTTACCCACTCCGCTCCATCACTTACTTCTGCCTATGGTCCCCTCTCCATTATTCCTTTATTCCCATGCCCACTGCATCCCTCAGTTCCTCAGAGTTCACTGTGTGTTATTCCCTAACTTCCTTGCACACTTTGTCCCATAGTGTCCTGAAAACCCGCAGTGCCCTTTAAACACATTGCATCCTTTAGCCGCAAGTGCATAGGGAGCGGATCTCCGTGCCCTTAAAAAGCCGTGCCTGATACGAGTGCCTCTGTTTGCTTGCAGGCTTACCTACTGAACACTAACACTGTGATTTTTGATTAGCGATTTGGATAAACCATATGAATTCCAAATTCTGGAGGAACTGTGCAAGGCTGGACAGTGAGGAGGGGCTGGAGATGAAAGGTCAACCATGCAAAGTATTTGACCACATTCCACTATAACTCTGGGCACCAAGGCTTGAATGAGCTTCCCTGGTTGGTAATATTCCATAAGTACCATCATTTATTGATGCTGGGAAAGTAATGCTTCCATGACTGCAGGGAGAGGACAACAGGAAACTCCAGATATGGTGCTTTTCCTAAATTCTGCCCCATCTGCTTCTTCCCTTGTGGATGTTAACCTGTATTTTTCCCTGTAATATACTGTAACCATGAGCGTAACAGCTTTCAGGGAGTTCCGTGAGTTCTTCCAGTGAATCATCCAACTATAGAGTGACTTGGGGAAATTCTGAACTTCCAGTTGGTGTCTGAAGTGAGTGTGGTCTTGTGTGGACTGTGTTTCCTGTAACTTCTCAGTTGGCCTCAAATATTTCCTAGAAGAATGGAGAGTGCACCTAGGTCAAATTGTGGATTTGTGTGTTGAGAAATCAAAGTTTCACTTTGGACTCTTATATTTTATTTATTTTCTTTGTTTTTTCTGAGACGGAGTCTTACTCCATCGCCCAGGCTGGAGTGCAGTGGCGGATCTGGGCTCACTGCAACCTCCGCCTCCTGGGTTTAAGCGATTCTCCTGCCTCAGCTTCCCGAGTAGCTGGGACTTGACAGGCGCCCGCCACCATGCCTGGCTAATTTTTGTATTTTTAGTAGGGATGGGGTTTCACCATGTTGGCTAGGCTGGTCTTGAACTCCTGACCTCGTGATCCACCCACCTCAGCCTCCCAAAGTGCTGGGATGACAAGCATGAGCCACTGTGCCTGGCCCTATTTTCTTTTTTTCTTAAGACTAATCAAGTGCAGTAGTGACAAGGGGGAAAGAGTAGAATAAGGAGTTCCATCTGTAACTGACTGTGAACAATCCATTGAGATAACTGACTATCTTCGGACCTGGCTCTTACATTTTCACTTCCCAATTGATTACATAACGGATGAGTGCTTCTTTCTAGAAATTGAGGAACAGTGTATATAGAGAGTTCTGGTAACTATCTACTGCTGTTCTACCTATTAAATAATGCAGTAAGCAGCAGATGGTTACCTATTATCTAATTTTACCTATTATAAATATCTAATAGGTAAAAGAATGGCAGAATTTGCCTGTCAAATCATGTGAATTGGTACTTTATTTTTGATGGGCATTTTATTCAGCATCTTTCTTTTTAAAATATTTTCTTAATTTTTAAATTTGTTATATATAAATTATATAATATATAACATAAATTTTATACACACACACACACATACACACACACACACACATATATATATATATATATATATAATTTTCTTTTTAAAGACAGAGTCTCACTCTGTCACCCAGACTGGAGTGCAGTGGCACAATCTCAGCTCACTGCAACTTTCGCCTCCCTGGTCCAAGCAATTCTCATGCCTCAGCCTCCCAAGTAGCTGAGATTACAGGTGTGAACCACCATACCTGGCTAATTTTTGTATTTTTAGGAGTGACGGGTTTCACCATGTTGGCCAGGCTGGTCTCGAACTCCTGACCTCAAGTGATCCACCTACCTCCACCTCTCAAAGTGCTGAAATTACAGGTGTGAGCCACCACACCCAGCCTTATTTTTTATTTGTATTATTATTTTTGAGATGGGCTCCGGCTCTGTCACCCAGGCTAGAGTGCAGTAGCACAATCTCAGCTCACTGCAACCTCTGCCCCCCAGGCTCAAGCGATTCTCATGTCTCAGCCTCCTGACCTCCTGAGCTGGGACTACAGACACATGCCACCATGCCCAGCTAATTTTTTTGTATTTTTGGTAGAGATGGGGTTTTGCAATGTTGCCCAGGCTGGTCTCAAATTCCTGAGCTCAAGCGATCAGCACGCCTTCCAGAGTGCTGGGGATTACAGGCATGAGCCACTGCCTCCGGCCAAGAATATTTTCATGTTTAGACTTTTTCTATCACTGTTGGGGTCAAAACAGGAAAGTATATTTTCCTACAAAACGTCCATATCATCATTTCTAAATTAATTTCTGTTTATACAAATAAGTCCAATGATTTCTAATGCAAATTATTGACATCATGTTTTTCTTTTGCACTTATTTCATTTCTTATTATTAATCCATTTTAGATTCTTTCTCTGATTCCATTTACTTGCTGAATACTTAAATAATGGAGCAGCTTAGGATTCTGGAAATTAACAGTGAACTTGATTTTAGGAAAAATATCTCAGAGAAGTAGGGAATCCAGTGAGATAAAGGTGCTTCTCTGCCAATTCCTCAGGCATCAGACCTCAATATTTTCTGCTGCTTAAAGCCTTCAGGAATCTTGAAAAGTAAAAGCCCCTTTTGTATACTTTAATGATCTCTTTGAAGACAGGAGAAAGTTGTAATTGCCTTTGGTAATTGCAACTGGAAAAAAAAGTTTTTCAAAAATGTTACTGTCTCCCAAAGTCTGCACTGTTATTGCTGCACCAGGTGAAATGATAATTGCAGTTCTAAGGTGAGGTGAGGTCACAGGATCACAAAACTTTATGTCAGGGTCTGGTGGCCTCCCTCCCATATTTGCACAAGTTGTTGTAATCTTCACACTGAACCAACCACTCTGGCAGTGGGAAGAAGTTAGGTGAGTATATTTGTTTTTCAGCCAGAGAGGTAGAATCTGCAAGAAAAGAAGTCTTAGGGCCAGGCATGGTGGCTCACACCTGTCATCCCAGCACTTTGTGAGGCCAAGGCGGGGGGTCACCTAAGGTAAAGAGTTCGAGACCAGCCTGGCCAACATGGTGAAAACCCGTCTCTACTAAAAATACAAAAAATTAGCCAGGCGTGGTGGTGGGCACCTGTAATCCCAGCTACTTGGGAGACTGAGGCAGGAGAATCGCTTGAATCCAGGAGGTGGAGGTTGCAGTGAGCCGAGATTGTGCCATTGCACTCCAGCCTGGGTGACACTAGCAAGACTCTCTCAAAAAAAGAAGAAAAAAAGAAGTCTTAGTAATTGATTATGTCCAGAAAAGGGGTTCCTCTGAGGTAGAAACAGAACCAGTGCTAAAGACAGACAAAGAGGAGGAATAATTCCTTATGTATAAGCTGAGCCAGTGAAGAAAGATGACAGTCCTAAACCCTACACCAATCCCTGATGGATACAAAGGTATCTTAACAAAATCCTCACTTGGGATGATGGTTGGTGAATAATTCCAGTGATAATTAAATAAGATTTATGGTGCTCAAGGATTGTAGTAAATAAATATATGTGTTGTTCATATACCTCCCAGGAATCATACAGTAAATTCATAATATTTTTAATAATATGCTTGTACTGCCTCCATGATTATAATGAAGAGTAGGATGGATCTAGAAAAATTACCTTATCCTGTGCAGAAACCATACATCTGAAATCATTTCTGGAATAAAATAATTTGTTTTTTTAAGAAACCTTGCTCTGTATAAATGATGCGCTTAATGGAGACAGTGATTGTCCTCCACAGAAAACCTCTGTGCTCTTAGGATTATGGTGAGGCTGCTTTCCCTCTTGAAGTTAGGGAAGTAGCATTTAAGGGAAACGTAGCTTTACTATTAAGAATTTCAAACAGCACTTGTCAGGGTCAACGGTATCTTGTGTTATTTTTCTCTGGTCAAAAACGCTCTCTATAACTTTAAAATTTTTTGATTTTATTGTAGTGAGATTACTTACAATGAGAACTATCCTCTTAACAAATATCTTAGTGTACATTATAGCACTGTTACCTATAGGTCCAATGCTGTGCAGGGGATCTCTGGAAGTTATTCATCTTGTTTTCCTGAGACTTCTTGCCTCTGAATTAGCAACTCTTCATTAACCCCTCCCCGCACTCCCTGGCAGCCTCCGTCCTACTCTCTCGTTCTATGAGGCTATTTCAGATTACACATACAAGTGAGATAATGCAGTATTTGTCCTTCACTGACTGCCTTACTTACCTAGCACAGTATCCCTACGGTTCATCTATGTTGTCATCTCCTGCAGAATTTCCTTCTTCCTAAAGGTTGAATAATATTCCATTGTGTATTTATACACCAAGTTTTCCTCACCCATTCATCATTCCACGGACAGTTCGGTGGGGGCTATTGTGAGCAGTGCTGCAATGAGCATGGAAGTTCTAATATCTCTTGGAGGTCCTGACTTCAATTCTTTTGCTAAATACTCAGAAGTGGGAAAGCTGGATCATATGGTAGTTCTTATTTTATTTTGTTGTTTTTTTTTTTAGAGATGGAGTCTTGGTATGTTTCCCAGGCTGGCCTCAAACTCCTAGGCTCAAGCTATCCTCTTGCCTCCGTCCCCTGCATAATTGGGTCTGCAAGCATGCACCACCTCATGTGGCCTCATTTTAATTTTTTGATTAATGTCTATATTGTTTTCCCTACAGGCAGCACCATCTTACATTTCCAGCCACAGTATCCAAGGGTTCCAATTTCTCTGCATCTTTGCCATACCGGCTGTTTTTGCTAATAGTGATTGTAACAGGTGGGAAGTCATACCTCATTGTGGTTTTTACTTGTGTTTTCTACATAATCAGTGACATTGAGCATGTTTTTATATAACTGTTGGGCATTTGAATGTCTCCTTTATAATAATGTCTATTCAGATCTTTAGCCCATTTTTAAATTAGGTCTATTTTTGTTTTGTTTTGTTTTAGGAGTTATTTTTTGCTATTGAGTTGTAGAAGTTCATTTCCCTATGATTTCAACATCAATAATGCTCAAGATTTTATGGTCTCTGGATTCCGTTTTTACATATTTCTTCTATTTTATTGTATTTTACAAATTATATTTCCCTGCTAATAGCTTCGCATGACTTGTACATTAATATATTGATGAGTAAATGATCAAAAATTAGTAATAATTGAGTTTCTATACCGTTTTAATACATGTTAGTATTTCATGTATAAAAGTTTAGAAACAGAGTAATATTGTTCAATGATTCATTTGATAGATACCATTGTACGTTTTCTCCTGTTGGGTGAGTAAATGAGTCTTTCTGCTACCAAACTAATATTGAGCCATTCTTGCATTCAGTAAATCCAACTTGCATGTGAGGAAGTTTCCTTTAGGATTTTAATCAGTGCACCGACAGTTCATTAGTATATCAAAAGTTATTGACATTGGATATTGACCTATACAGTAAATCTTTACACAGAAACAAAAACTTGCTTTGATCAAAATTATAAAAGAAAATACCAGTGATGAGAAATCAGTGGCATGGTAAACAGACAAAACTAACTAGGCCTAGATTTTTTAAAAACACAGCTGCCTGATTTGTTAGCGTAGCAAGTCCTTAGGTTGTTGTCTTTGCAACCACCCTAGTCAAATTCGAGTCTCTTTTCAACCCTGAAGATGCCTGTGAATTTTGACAAATCATTGAACCTCTCTGTATCTAAGTTCTTCTTGTCTCTACAAGGAAAATTATGCCAGTGAATCCATCATACAGTTACAAAAATCAAAGAAGGTACCATACATACCACATGATAGGCACGATTCCTATATTGTAAGTGCTATTTAAATGTTATACATTCAACCCTAGAAAGTCTCTCAGCAAAACAAAACTTTCAACATTTTTCGGTAGAATACTGTTTTTCAGTTATGTCATTAATGCAATCTACACCTCGTGTTTTCTGCAGGATCTTCTGGCTCTCAAGACGAATGTCAATCACTAGGAACTGGCAGAGTGGCCTCCAGGGATAGGAGGAATGGTCTATTTATCACAGAATATTGTTGGAATCCTGAAAAATTTCTGTCTTCCTTACCATTGTGCCTTCTTTTATTTAGCAGGGTGCAGATTGAGGTCCACAGATTTGAATCAGAAACACCTGATTATAGCCACTTCTTGCTCATTCTGTTTAAAGGTGTCCCCAAGACACACCTCTGTATGCAGCACCAAGTCAATGGCAGATTTTAGGTGATATAACTTCCTAAATGATTTCAGATTCCAATTTGTTTCTGTCCTCACAGAGTTGGTAGGGTATGACCGTTGGCACCACCTGTGTCTGCAGTGTTTCAAGCCATCATGATAAGCCCCAGGAACTACAGGTGTGTAGAATTTAAAATGAATTATCCAATGTATATTGGGCTTTCCATTTTTCTCTGCTGGACCCTGATACATTGATAAATACGATTTTTTCCAGCCGGGTGCAGTGTCTCACACCTGTAACCCCAGCACTTTGGGAGGCCGAGGTAGGCAGATCACTTGAGGCCAGGAGCTGGAGACCAGCCTGGCCCACATGGCGAAACCCCATCTCTACTAAAAATATGAAAATTAACCAGGCGTGGTGGTGCAGGCCTGTAATCCCAACTACCTGGGAGGCTGAGACACAGGAATTACTTGAACCCGGGAGGTGTAGGTTGTAGTGCGCCGAGATCGTGGCACTGCACTCCAGCCTGGGTGACAGAGTGAGACTATCTCAAAATAAAAAAAAAAAAAAGGATTTTTCCCATGTTTATAATTGCCAGATATAGCAGCAAAAACATCACAAAGAAAACAAGATAGGATACTTTTCTGCTGTATTCATGACAAAATCAAATCAGAGGGTCAATATCTACAACATTGTTATTATTCCCTAATATTTCCTGTGTTTCTTAATCTGTGCCTGTGGCTCTATAAGTTTTCTCCTGTACAGACACAAGTGGAAGCTCATTCATGACCTTAGCACCAATATTCCCTACCCCCACCAAAATTATTTTAACTCCTTTTGGTCTTATGTATTTTTATCAAATTAAAGAGCCATCACAGGTTATAAATCACAGCTCATTGGAATTTTGCAAACAAACATAGCTCTTTATGTAATACATAGATACAAAAACAGAACACTGTTCTGTTCACAAGAGTTCACAAGAAGCTCCTTCTTTGCACTCTAAGTCACTACCTACAACAGTATAATTCTGTTGTTTCTATTTGCAGGAGTGTAACTCTTGAGATTTTGGTTTACATCTCTTCCAGTATTTAAAGGATTAAATTATTTTGGCCTGTTTGCTACTTTATATAAATGGAATCAACATGAATTCTTTTATATTTAGCTTTTATATCTATTCCATTAGAATTTTTGTGTGTGACCATACCTTAATTATTGCATTCTATTAATGGTACTCATTAGCATTGCTTCCTATGATTCCATTGTATGAATAATCAGATGATCGAGTCATACTATTTTTTTGTTTGTTTTTTACTTTTGTTTGTTTGTTTTTGAGATAGAGTCTTGCTCTTGTCACCCATGCTGAAGGGCAATGGCGTGATCTCGGCTCACTGCAACCTCCGCCTCCCGGGTTCAAGTGATTCTCCTGCCTCAGCCTCCTGAGTAGCTGGGATTACAGGCACCCGCCACAACA
Organism: Homo sapiens; assembly: GCF_000001405.40. Taxonomy (NCBI): domain Eukaryota; kingdom Metazoa; phylum Chordata; class Mammalia; order Primates; family Hominidae; genus Homo; species Homo sapiens. Next base: position 52,265,599 of record NC_000019.10, read on the forward strand.
CCCAGCTAATTTTTTTGTGTGTTTTTGGTAGAGATGGGTTTTCACCATGTTGGCCAGGCTGGTGTCGAACTCCTGACCTCAAGTGATCCGCCCACCTTGGCCTCCCAAAGTGCTGAGATTACAGGCATGAGCCACCGCGCCCGGTTGAGTCATACTATTGTTAAAGGCCATGTGGTAATTTTGAGTTTGTGGCTTTTATGAGCAATGAATAGTCCTACCTATATAAACTATGTAACTTATCTTTTGTTGATATATATATGAATTTGTGATGGATAAATTCATAGAAGTGAAATTATTGAAGCATAAATTGACATCTGGTAGGCTTATGTAGCTGCTACCAAACAGTTTTCCAAAATGTTTGTATCCATTTCAGCACCCACCAGCAGCGCATGAGTTCTTGGTTTATTCACAACCTTGCCACACTTAATATTTCCTGTCATTTTCTTTTTTCTTTTTTCTTTTTTTTTTTGAGACAGAATCCCATTCTGTCGCCCAGGCTGGGGTGCAATGGTATGTTCTCAGCTCACTGCAACCTCTGCCTCCTGGGTTCAAGGGATTCTCCTGCCTCAGCCTCCCTAGTAGCTGGGATTACAGGCGCACGCCACCACGCCTGGCTAATTTTTGTATTTTTTGTAGAGATGGGGTTTCACCATGGTGGTCTTGAACTCCTGACCTCAGGTGATCCACCTGCCTTGGCCTCCCAAAGTATGGGATTACAGGCGTGAGCCACAGTGCCCTGCCTAATTTTTTGAATTAGCTGAAATTTTCTTTTGGCCAATATTAAGGTCACTGGTGAATATTCTATGCATGCCTTATAGGGATAAATACGAAATAAAAATGAGAGCCTGCATTCCTCCTTTGAAAATATGGCAAGGCATTTCTCTTCCTCCTCTTTTTGTCAGAATATTTACCTTAGAAAACTTGTGAGTACTTTCTCCCGAAATGTTTATTTTTAGAAACTAAATAAACCTTTTGTCAGCATAATGACCTAGGGATATCTTTCTCAAGGACTTGGGAGACATCTCTTTCAAATGTCAACATCACTAGAGATAGCACCTGTATCTCTCTGTTTCTGTGGGTTGGTAGGAGCCTATCTACAGTGGGTACCTGGCTCCATTTTGTAAAACTACCACCTGTTGTAAACATATAAGTTAGGGTTTTCCCCCCTGCTTCTGAATAAAGCTAATTGGCTAACATAGATGGTCTCCCCAATTACCATGTAAGGTCAGGATGAACAATGTATAAGCAATAGCGCAATCAAGTTTTTGAGGCTAATCAGTGCTTATCTCAAAAACCAGTCTATAATGGGTTGTATAGAAATTATTCTTTTTCCTATCTCCTAACGGATTGCCTCTATTGCGTATGATATTCCTGTTAAATGTTTATTCATCAATAAAATTGTTGGCCAGGTGCAGTGGCTCACACCTGTAATCCCACTTTGGGAGGCCGAGGTAGGAGGATCACTTGAGGTCAGGAGTTTGGGACCAGCCTGGTCAACATGGTGAAACCCTATCTCTGCTAAAAATACAAAAACTTAGCTGAGTGTGGTGGCACGCGCCTGTAATCCCAGCTACTCAGAAGGCTGAGGCAGGAGAATCACTTGAACCTGGGAGGCGGAGGTTGCAGTGAGCCGAGATTGTGCCACTGCACTCCAGCCTGGGTGACAGAGCGAGATCCTGTCAAAAAAAAACAAAAACCAAAAATGTCCATGCTGATCCCTTGAAAATTTTAGAAGCAACAAACTCCCCATATACATAATGGGTTTATAACTTTAAGCTATAATCAGCTTATCCTCTACTTTTTAGTTTCATGAAAAGCTCTGCAATCAACTCATTTCTTTGCTTCAGATCATAAAAGTCAATGCTAAAAGTTGTTTCGTGGCAACATAGCTATTTAGCAATATTGTGTAATATAGACATCTATCTTGTACAGATCCCAAAATCTATCCCAGATACTGCATCTTCAAAAAATAATGCTGACCTAGGCCACCATGGAGTGTGCCTGGAGTCCTAGCTACTTAAGTGGCTGAGGCAAGAGGATGTCTTGAGCCCAGGAGTACATATGCAGCCTGGAAAACACAGTTAGACCCTGTCTCTAAAAAATAATAATAATAATCGAAGTAAAATATGCTGATATGGGCCGGGTGCGGTGGCTCGCGCCTGTAATCCCAGTGCTTTGGGAGGCCAAGGTGGGCGGATCACGAAGTCGGGAGTTCGAGACCAGCCTGGCCAACATGGTGAAACCCCGTCTCTACTAAAAATACAAAAAATTAGCTGGGCATGGTGGCAGGCGCCTGTAATCTCAGCTACTCGGGAGGCTGAGGCAGGAGAATTGCTTGAACCCGGGAGGCAGAGGTTGCAGTGAGTGGAGGCCATGCCACAGCACACCAGCCTGGGCAACAGAGCGAGACTCCAACTGAAAAAAATAAAAATAAAAAATGCTGATATGTCATCTCGTATCCATCTTTGTGACATATCACTATATCCTCATTTTAACCTGCTAATATTTTAAATATGTTCATTTTCATATCTAAACATGATCATACTTCAAGATGGATGAAGGGATCCAAAAATAGGGATATAAGGCCGGGTGCGGTGGCTCACGCCTGTAATCCCAGCACTCTGCAGGCCAAGGTGGGCAGATGATCACCTGAGGTCAGGAGTTTGAGACCACCCTGGCCAACATGGCAAAACCCCATCTCTACTAAAAATCCAAAAATTAGCCAGGCGTGGTGGCACGCGCCTGTAATCCCAGCTACTCGAGAGCCTGAGGCAGGAGAATTGCTTGAACCCAGGAGGTGGAGGTTGCAGTGAGCTGAGATCGTGCCATTGCACTCCAGCTTGGATGACAGAGTTAGACTCTGTCTTAAGAAAAAAAAAGTTGGGGGGGTGAGATATCAGAGAAAAGCATACTTATTAGTACCTGTTAATTCAAAAATATTGCCATAAAATTATTGCCGGCAGACGTAAGGCTATTTAAAATTTGATAATCTAGTTTTACTTCTATCAGGGTTCTATAAAAGAATAATCGGCCTACCAAATACACTTAGAATTACTGCAGAGTTATTCTTTAGATCAATAAATACAATTGTCTTCTGAAGACTATTTTAAGGGCTTTGTTATCTACAGGGGCCAGTACATTGAAGAAGAGAAAACAAACAAGATTTAAGAGATTATAATTTTTAAAATAAAAAGTATGTTTACTTATTACTTTCAGAATGCACCTAAAGTGAATCTGAAATTACAGTATTTTTAGAAAATATTGACCTAAGCCTCAGCCTCCCAAGTAGCTGGGATTATAGGCGTGTGCCATCACGCCCGGCTAATTTTTGTATTTTTAGTAGAGACGGGGTTTCTCCATTTTGGTCAGGCTGGTGTCGAACTCCTGACCTCCAGTGATACGACCGCCTCGGCCTCCCAAAGTGCTGGGATTACAGGCGTGAGCAACCGTGCCCGGCCTCTATTGCTTTTTTAAAAGCAATAGCTGGTGACCTGACTTCTCACCGGCCTTAGCACTCCACGCCCCAGATGTGGCCCAGGAAACTCTTTGGAACTCTCTACTCCAGAGTGAATGGGGAATAGAAATGGAGAGGATTTCTATGCTATTCTGTGGGGCGTCAGCGTGAAATTACACATTCTGCACAGGTTGAGTTTGCATATTGTATTTTAGTTTGCATTCCTTTCACAGACAATTTAAGGGATTTTCAATTAAATTTCTAAATTTTAATTGAATTCCTTAATTTTAATTGTGGGAACTTTCCTGGATCCAAACAACAGACGTTGACCCTCCTAGTGAGATCCCAGGTCACAAACCGTGGAGCGGCTCCAGCCTGACTGGCAAGTGTGGCTTGCAAAACGCGGAAAACCGAGACACGCCCAGAGATAGGAGGAGGGAAGTGCAGGCCCCGTCCAATAAGTATTCAGGCCCCGCCCGCCACGTCGCTGGCCACGCCCCGGCCCGGCCTCTCCGTTCGCGCGCAGCCGCCTGCAGACCCGGAAGTGGATGGCGTGGAGATATGGCGCAACTGCGGCGCGTGAGTTTTCCTTTGTTTAGATTAAGTGTTCGCTTAGCGGTGCCCTCACGCTTCTGTACCCGGGATGTGGGGGGCGGTACAGACCTTGAAATCCCCGCACCGCTCTCTCCACCCCGAGTAAATTCATGCGTCCCGTCAGAGTGTTAAAATCGCCCTAGGGCTGGTTCTGTCTCCGGTCGTTCTGCCGTAGGGCTGCGTAGGCAGCTGCTTTCGCGCCGTTTTCCTGCTTAAAACCCTTCAGTGACCCCTCCGCCAGCCCCGCGCCACGTAAAGTCCCCGCCTGCGAGGCGGATCCACGCCCTCCGGGTCCCAAGCCTCGTCCTTGTCGGCCCCTGGGGCGCAGCGCCGCAGCCGCCATTCGGGAGGGGCCGCGTCCTCTGCCTGGTCTGGGGATTCTGCAGACCCCACCCCTGATCTGCCTGCCGCCGTAGTCCTCCTTGGGCCGTTCCCTTCTGTCCCCAGGCCTTTTCGCAGTCACGGCTTCTCCGGATCCTGTGTTGGGGGAGGTGGCCGGGACCTATCTCAGGGCACCCAGTGTTCTTCCGTCCCAAATTCCTCCCATTGGAAACTGTGCTCTTGAGGAGGTGGGTATTTTATTCCAGTCCCCTCCCTGTGAATGTGAAGTGAAAGAGAGATGGAGAGCGAGGTAGAGGAAACAGAAAAATTTAGAGAGAAAATAATGAGGAAGATCCATAACAAGACGGCAACGCAGAGGGAGGGTGAGAGATTTGCAAAGTGAAAGAAGCACCCCAGGAAGTAGCAGGGAGAGAAAAGCAACTCGAGAAATGTAGAGAAAAGTTCTATTTCTAGACAGATGAAGGACAGCAAGGTAGGGAGAGGGGCAGCAAAGCGGGAGGCTCCTCAGACAAAGTTGGGGAGAGGAGGAGGGATTTGGAGCCAGGGCAGACCGAGCAGCGTGGTGCTGGCACAGCAAGAGGGGGCAGCCGGTGACAAGGAGGGCAAAGGGAGAACCACCCCAGAGATCTGGGGTTGCCAGACAGTAGGGACAAGGGGGCGTGACAGAGAAGAGGGAATTTAACAGGAGGAGCACAGATGGGAGAAGAAAGAGGCAGAAATATATGGAGATTGGAGACAATCAAAAGATTGGAGAGAAAGAGCAACAAGAGGAAAAAAATTGCAAGATGGAGCAGATGAAGTGGAAAAGAAGGAATAGAGGGAAGAAGGGGAGAAACTGCGGGAGAGGAGAGGGGCTCAAAATCTCGGCTCACTGCAACCTTAGCCTCCTGAGTTCAAGCGATTCTCCTGCCTCAGCCACCCGAGTAGCTGGGACTACAGGCGCCCGCCAGCTCGCCTGGCCAATTTTGTATTTTTAGTAGAGACAGGGTTTCACCGTGTTGGCCTGACGGGTCGTGAACTCCTGAGACCTCAGGTGATCTGCCCACCTCGGCCTCCCATAGTGCTGGGATAACAGGCTTGAGCCACCTTGCCCGGCCTCCTCACATTTTATTAATTTGCTGGAATGGTTCCCAGAACTCAGAGAAAATTTTACTTAGGTTTACTATCAGTTATAAAGGTTATTACAAAGGATACAGGTGGAAGAGCCATCCTAGCAAATCAAAATAGAGGAGTGTGTTTTGGAAACCGTTAATTTTATCCATATCTGAGGTGAGGGGCAGTCTTGTGGGACTGAGTCCTTAACTGGGATCTGATTCTATCTCCAGGTAGATACTATCAAAATTGAGTTAAATTGTGGGTCATCCAGCTGGGAGTGTGCCAGAGAACTGGTCAGTATGCGGAAAAACACGTGCACATTTCCATCTCAACCAGTAAAGGGAAGAGATCTCCAACCGGCCCACCCACCTGTCTCAGGGCCTGTGATCTCTACTCAGTAGTAACTGGGAATGGTCTGTCCCTCCCCCTGGCTGTTGCTGACCCTGCGATTGTGCACCAGGTGCCAGCCCTACTCACAGTCTCAGGACAGTGTGACATCCTTCCTCTGGCATCACCAATATTTACTTCAAGGGATTACTTTGGTTAGTGCACCCACATGGAGGTATTGTCCATGAAAACACACACAGACACACTGGCTGGGTGCGATGGCTCACGCCTGTAATCCCAGCACTTTGGGAGGCCAAGGCGGGTGGATCACTTATGGCCAGGAGTTCCAGACCAGCCTGGCCAGCACGGTGAAACCCCATGTCTACTAAAAATACAAAAATTAGCTGGGTGTGGTGACACGTACCTGTATTCCCAGTTACTCCGGAGGCTGAGGCAGGAGAGTCACTTGAACCCAGGAGGTGGAGGTTGCAGTGAGCCGAGATGGAGGTTGTAGTGAGCTGAGATCATGCCACCGCACTCCAGCCTGGGTGACAAGAGTGAGACTGTCTCAAAAAAAAAAAAAAAAAAAAAGCACAGATGAAGCCTTCATTTTCTTGCCACTCCTCCATGATTAAAATAAAAAATATTCTATTAATTACATCTCTCCCTGTAGTGAGTACCCCTCTTCAACGCTCCATTTGAGAACACAGTACACTAAAATCTTGTTTATATTTCTGTCTTCAGTCTTGCCTCCAGTTCTTGATTTACCCCCTTCCAATTAAGCTTTCACCTCCACCATTCCTTTGATCCTTTTTTCCCAGAGGTACCAGTGATCTCTGTGTTTCGAAGTCCAATTTTGAATTTCCTATCCTCATCTTTTCGTCTTAGCAACATGTTGCACAGCTGATCATTCCCTGTTCTTTTTTCTTAGCTTTGAAGACATCTCTAAGTTTAATTACTTTGTTTCAGATTTTTGTGTTACCAGTTTCCTCTGCTGGTGTCTCCTGAAGCTGTCTTCTCTGAATGTGGGAGTGTCCCATGATTTAGGTCTTTTTCATTTTTGTTTTTGTTTTTAAGACACGGTCTCAGTCTGTCACCCAGACTGGAGTGCAGTGGTGCAATCATAGCTCCCTGCAGCCTTGAACTCCCGGGCTCAGGAGGTCCTCCTGCCTCAGCCTCCCAAGTAGCTGGGACTCTAGGTGCATACCACCACACCTGAGTAATTTTTTTATTTTTTAGTACAGACTGGGTTTCCCTATGTTGAATAGGCTTGGATCTCAAAACTCTTCTCATCTCTTTTCACACACACTACCCTTCCTTATCATCTCATCTCATGGCTTTGAACCCCATCTACCTGTCTCCATGTGCCCTGCAGACCTCTGCCCTGAGGTCTAGAAACCTGTGTTCAGTTGTCCCCTCACTTCTCTGCTGGGACATCTAACAGGCATCTCCACCTTCGTATGTGCCACTTTCTGAACTCCCCCAAATGCATTCCCCTGCAGTCCTGCACATCTCAGATGAGGGTGACCCTGTACTTCCTGGGGCTTAGCTGAACTTGTCATATGTTCAAAATATGTAAGATGTTACATTGTAAATACATTAATATATTTTTTTTTCGAGACGGAGTCTTGCTGTGTCACCAGGCTGGAGTGCAGTGGTGTGATCTTGGCTCACCATAACCTCTGCCTCCCGGGTTCAAGCAATTCTCCTGTCTCAGCCTCCCAAGTAGCTGGGACTACAGGCGTGCACCATCACGCCCAACTAATTGTTTGCATTTTTAGTAGAGATGGGGTTTCATCATGCTGGCCAGGATGGTCTCGATCTCTTGACCTTGTGATCTGCCCGCCTTGGCCTCCCAAAGTGCTGGGATTACAGGCATGAGCCACCATGCCCAGCCTATAAGTACATTAATTTATAACATAAATAATTACATAGTTACTAAAACAGATGAGGAAATTTGTTGTTTCTGAAATTCTTTGGAGGTATGGGAGAGAAATGTTGGTGGCCTCATCCCTGTGTGATCTGCATCCCAGGACCTCTCTGAGCTCATCTCCTCCCTGTGTCCCCCTCGTTCCCTCTGCCGCAGCCACACAGACCTCTTTCCTGGGGCCAGGGTTGCTCCTGCCTCAGGGCTTCCACCTGGGCTGTCCCTCTGCCTGGACATCTCTAGCCTGTCAGCTGCAGGTGCAAACACCTTTTCTTCCCCAGGTCTTTGTTCTGATATTACCTTCTTCATGGAGGGTTCTGTGTTCCTCTCCACCCTACATTTAACACTCCAGCTACACCCTTACCCCTACTGTGGTCCACATTGCCTGCTCTGGATGTTTCTTTCTGCTCTTTTGCTGTCCACTACGTAAATCCTGGTAACAAGACCCAAGGGTAGAGCAGAGCCAGAAGGTGGGGGTGTGCTGGGCTTGCCCCGTCTGAGTGGAGCTCACCCCTGTTTTCACATTGGAGTGCAGATACACATCTTGTGCCCCCAGCCTCTTACCTGAGATTCCCATTCACATACTCAGGTTGGGCCCAGCCTTAATATTTGAAGTTGATTCTACAGTAGTTTCTCCTTATCTGCCAGTGTACTTTTTGAGGTTCCAGTTACTCATGGTCAACCACAGTCCAAGGTATTACGTGGAAAGTTCCAGAAATGAAGAATTCACAAGTTTTCAATTTCTCATCCTTCTGAGCAGGATGATACAATCTCTCACTGTCCCACTCTGTTTTGTCCAGGACTTGAATCATCTCTTTGTCCTGTATGTCCCCCTGTATAGTCATCCCTCGGTATCACGTAGGATTTGCTTCCAAGATCCCCCCAAGACTACCCAAATCAGATGATCTTCAAGACCCTTATATAAAATTGCATAATACAGTCACATGCCACATAAGGACATTTCGGTCAACAGCAGCCCACACCTGTGATGGTGGTTCCATAAGATTACACTGGAGCTGAAAAATTCCCGTTGCCTAGCTACCTCAGAGCAGTCATGACATCATAGTGCAGTGCATTCCTTGTATTTGTGGTGATGCTGGCGGAAACAAACCTAGTGCGTTACCAAACAGCTTTAACCTGGATGTGGAGGAGGATGACATTGAGAATCTCTTAGAGGTGGTTCATGAGGAATGGGTTAATGAGGAGTCATTGGAACTGATACAGGAACATGTAGCTGAAGAAGAGGCAAGAGAATAGGGAACTGGCTGGGCACGGTGGCTCACATCTATAATCCCTGCACTTTGGGAGGCCGAGGCAGGTGGATCACTTGAGGTCAGTAGTGTCAGGAGTGGTGGCACATGCCTGTGGTCCCAGCTACTTGGGAAGCTAAGGTAGGAGAATCACTTGAACCCAGGAGGTGGAGGTTGCAGTGAGCCAAGATCACGCCACTGCACTCCAGCCTGAGCGACAGAGTGAGACTCCATCTCAAAAAAAAAGAATGAGCCAATAGGAAACTGAAGGAGAAAAAGAAAGTACTCTCAAGGCAATTCACAGTTAAAGATATAGCAGAAGCTTTTGCAGACCTTGACAAGCTCCTTAAAAGGTTTGAAAACATAGGCACCAACACCTAAAGATTTTCATTAATAGAAAGGAGCGTCCATGATGCATTATCCGCTCATAAGAACATTTAGGAAGACAAAAGAAACAAAGCAAGCAAACCACCATGGACGTATTTCTGAAAGGAGTGACGCCTCTAGAAGAGGCTCAGGCAGGTCCTTCAGGAGGCGTCTGGGAGAAACCATTGTTACCATAGGAGGACTTTCTGGTGGGAGAAGATGTGGCACTGGAAGACAGTGACACTGATGGTCCTGACCCTGTGCAGGCCTAGGCTGATGTGTGTGTTTGTGTCTTAGTTGTTGACAAAAATGTTTAAAAAGGTTAAAAAAAAATTAAAAACAAGAAAAAGTTTAGAGAATTAAGGTACAAAGATAAAATATTTTTGTATAGCTGTACAACATGTTTGTGTTTTAAGCTGTTATTGCAAAAGAATCAAAAAGTTAAATTTAAAAGTTTATACAGTAAAACAGTTGGAATAAGTAAGCTTAGTTTATTACGGAAGAAAAAAGTATTTTTTGTGAAGTTAGTGCAGCCTAAATGTGCAGTGTTTATAAAGCCTGTAGTAGTGTACAGTCATGTCCTAGACCTTCACATTCATTCATCACTCACTCACTCACCCACAGCAATTTCCAGTCCTCCAAGCTCCATTCATGGTAAGTGCCCTAGACAAGTGTACCATTTTTTAAACTCTTATACCATATGACTACTATATTTTTTCTTTCTTTTTTTTTTTTTTTTTGAGACAGAATCTCACTCTGTCACCCAGGCCGGAGTGCAGTGCAGTGGTGTAATCCTGGCTCACTGCAACCTCCGCCTCCTGGGTTCAAGTGATTCTCCTGCCTCAGCCTCCCGAGTAGCTGGGATTACAGGCACCCACTTTCATGCCTAGCTAATTTTTGTGTTTTTAGTAGAGACGGGGTTTCCCCATGTTAGCCAGGCTGGTCTCGAACTCCTGACCTCAGATGATCCACCTGCCTTGGTCTCCCAAAGTGTTGGGATTAGAGGCATGAGCCGCCGTGCCTGGCCTTACTGTACCTTTTCTATATTTAGATATGTTTTGACTTACGAGTACTTACCGTTGTTACAGTTGACTATAGTATTCAGGACATAGCATGCCCTACAGGTTTTTAGCAGTAGGCTGTATTATATATACCAGATGTGTAGTAGGCTATGCTATCTTGGTTTGTGTAAGTTCCCTCTGTAATGAAATGGTCTGAAAATGCGTTTCTCAGAACATGTCCCTGTTATTAAGCGATGCGTGACTGCATTTGCATGTAACCTATGCACATCCTCTGCACCCTCCCATATACTGTAAACATCTGATTACTGGTAATACCTAATTAAATATAAATGCTATGTAAATGCTTGTTATACTGGGTTGTTTTCTTGTATTATTTTTATTGTATTGCTATTTTATATTGGTATATTGCTTCCTTTTGTCTTTTTTAAATTATTTAAGTCTGTAATTGGTTGAATCCATGGATACAGACCCCATGCACTGTATACTCTGTCTGCCCATCAATCTGTTAATAGTCTTCTTTTTTGTTTTGTTTTGTTTTGTTTTTAATAGTAGTCTTTTTGATCAGATCCAATTTTGTGGTACCTCATTGGTTTTGTTTAAGTGATCCTTATTTTACTTAACATGCCCCCCAAGCACATGAGCATTGATGTTGGCAATTTGGATATGTCAGTGAGAATCTGTCACAGGCATCCTTTAAGTGGAGTAAATAGGGTTCAGTACTGTTCCAAGTTTCATTCACTCAGGGTTTTGCAACGTATCCCCTTGGATAAAGGGATTTTACTGTATTCTGTATCCAGCATTGAGCACCGAAGCCGTGTTCTCATTTCTGAAGGCTGAGTTCAGCCTCTGATTCACAAAGAGGTGAGGGGGTGCTGTGCTCTGCATGGGGTTTGGTCAGAGCCAGGTCTGTGCCCTGAAGGGGAGCTTAGTCCAGCCCAGCTCCCCACTGCTGCAGTGTGTGTGTGGGCTTCTCCAGGAGGGGAGCGGGTTCTGAAGAAAGGGGCCAAAAGCTCACTTGTTCTTCCTGTAGGAGTTTATTGTCCCGGCATCAACTCTGATGCAGTGGGCAGCAGAGGACCGTATTTCCACAGGGTGAGGTCTTCCCTGCGTGTGTGGTTGTGGCACAGGAAGAAAGTATGTTGATTCTAAACCCTAAACAGCATATTTTTGACATTCAGGATTGACTTCTAAAGAGTCATGTTGGCCGGGCGCGGGGGCTCATACCTGTAATCCCGGCACTTTGGGAGGCCGAGACGGGCAGATCACGAGGTCAGGAGATCAAGACCATCCTGGCTAACACGGTGAAACCCCGTCTCTACTACGAATACAAAAAATTACCTGGGCGTGTTGGCGGGCACCTGTAGTCCCAGCTACTCAGGAGGCTGAGGCAGGAGAATGGTGTGAACCCGGGAGGCGGAGCTTGCAGTGAGCTGAGATCGGGCCACGGCACTCCAGCCTGGGTGACAGAGTGAGACTCCGTCTCAAAAAAAAACAAAAAAAGTCATGTTATGTGAAGGAGAAGCCCAGAAGAGGAAAGCAGAGGAGTCAGGCATGCCACTTACTCAGGTAAAGTGATATTCTCAGTAGATTGTTCTGTTTCTTATTTCTTCCTGAAATGCCGGGTGCTGGAGTTGAGAATCTTCTCTGAGTCTGAAGCATCCTGCCTGACAGGTTTGCTCACACTCACCCATGCCTTCCTTCAGTCCCTCTCATCTCGCTTAGATTCCATCTCTTGTGACCCAGTGACATGAACTTGGGAAGAGGCTGCACTGGGCGTGATCCTGGGAAGGGCTCACACCCAGACGTGGGTGGAGACGGGGTGAGGGCCCCGTGGTGTCAGTGCTGTTGGGCAGCAGGGATTGTTCAGGGGCCACATCTGGATGCTCTGTCAGCTCTCTGTGGACCAGGATTAGAGAAGCTGCCCACAGAAATCACCTATTAATGTGCACAAGTACCTGGTAAATTCTGCAATAAAAATTCAGGAAATCTTTTCTGCCTTTTTTTTTTTTTTTTGGAGACAAGAGTCTTGCTCTGTCGTCCAGGCTGGCATACAGTGGTGCAATCTTGGCTCACTGCAACCTCTACCTCCCAGGCTCAAGCAGTCCTCCCACCTCAGCCTCTTGAGTAGCTGGGACCACAAATGTGTACCACCACGCCCGGCAATTTTTTGAATTTTTGGTAGAGATGGGGTTTCACCATCTCCACCCACCTCAGCCTCCCAAAGTGTTGGGATTACAGGCGTGAGCCATCACGCCAGGCCTTTTCTGACTTTTAGTAATAGCCATTCTGACTAATGAGATGGTATCTCATTGTGGTTTTGATTTGCATTTCTCTAATGATCAGTGATACTGAGCTTTTTTTCCATATGCTTGTTGGCTACATGTATGTCTACTTTTGAGAGGTGTCTGTTCATGTCCCTTGCCCACTTTTTTCGTTTGTTTGTTTGAGATGGAATTTCGCTGTTGTCGCCCAGGCTGGAGTGCAATGGTGTGATCTCAGTTCACTGCAACCTCTGCCTCCCGGGTTCAAGCAATTCTCCTGCCTCAGCCTCCCGAGTAGCTGGGACTACAGGCCCCTGCCAGCACACTCAGCTAATTGTTGTATTTTCAGTAGAGACGGAGCTTCACCATGGTGGCCAGGCTGGTCTCGGAACTTCTGATGTCAGGTGATCCAACTGCCTCAGCCTCCCAAAGTGCTGGGATTATAGGCATGAGCCACCGCACCTGGCCCTTTGCCCACTTTTTAATGGGGTTTTCTCTTGTAAATTTGCTTAAGTTCCTTGTAGATGCTGGATATTAGACCTTTGTTAGATGCATAGTTCGCAAAAATTTTCTCCCATTCTGTAGGTTGTCTGCTCACTCCGTTGATAGTTTCTTTTGCTGTGCAGAAGCTCTTAAAGTTAATTGGATATCACTTGTCAATTGTTGTTTTTGTTATGATTGCTTTTGGTGTCTTTGTCATGAAATCTTTGCCCATTCCTGTGTCCAGGATGGTATTGCCTAAGTTGTCTTCCAAGGTTTTTATAGTTTGGGGTTTTACACTGAAGTCTTTAATCCATCTTGAGTTGATTTTTGTATATGGTATAAGGAAGGGGTCCAGCTTCAATCTTCTGCATGTGGCTAGCTGGTTATCCAGCACCGTTTATGAAATAGGGAGTCTTTTCCCCATTGCTTGTTTTTGTCAGCTTTGTCAAAGATCAGTTGGTTGTAGATGCACGGCCTTATTTCTGGGCTGACTATTCTGTTCCATTGGTCTTTGTGCCTGTTTTTGTACCAGTACCATGTTGTTTTGGTTACTGTAGCCTTGTGGTATAGTTTGAAGTTGGATAACTTGATGCCTCCAGCTTTGTTCTTTTTGCTCAGGATTGCCTTGGCTATTTAGGCTCTTTTTTGATTGCATATGAATTTTAAAATAGTTTTTTCTAGTTCTGCAAAGAACGTCATTAGGATTAGCTTTCAATCTGTAAATTCTTTGGGCAGTATGGTCATTTTAATTATATCGATTCTTCTTATCCGTGAGCATGGGATGTTTTTCTGTTTGTGTCTTCTCTGATTTCTTTGAGCAGTGGTTTGTAATTCTCACTAGAGAATAAATTTTAATGGACAAAGCAATGGGTTAGTGCAGTAGTATAAGCCTATAATTTGAGCTTCTTGGGAGGCTGAGATGGTAGGATCTCTTGAGTTTGAGACCACCCTGGGCAACATAGTAAGACCTCACATAAATTTTAAAACATATTATATTTATATATTTGAAAATAGGTATTTGTGACTGGAGTTCAAGTTTCTATGTTTTTTTTTTCATGATTTACCTTTTCTTTTTTTTTTTTTTTTTTTTTTTTGAGACGGAGTCTCACTCTTTTGCCTAGGCTGGAGTGCAGTGGTGTGATCTCGGCTCAGTGCAACCTGCATCTCCTGGGTTCAAACAGTTCTCCTACCTCAGCCTCCCGAGTAGCTTGGATTACAGGTGCCCGCCACCACGCCTAGCTAATTTTTGCATTTTTAGCAGAGACGGGGTTTCACCATGTTGGCCAGGCTGGTCTCGAACTCCTCACCTCAGGTGATCCGCCCGCCTCAGCCTCCCAAAGTGTTGGGATTACAGGCGTGAGCCACCGCTCCCAGCTGGTCTACTTTTTTTAAATAGCTTAATATACAATAATGTTTATAAACTAAACTGAGTACTATTTATACATTTTTATTGTTGCAAAGATGCTGAAATACACATTAGCAAAAATAATAATGACTGCCAGGCAGTATGTGCACCGTTAGCCCCAGTTTCTTGGGAGGCTGAGGAGGGAGGATCATTTGAGATCAGGAGTTCAAGGCTGTACTGTGCTATGATTACTCACTGTACCCCAACCTGGACAACATAGCAAGACCCAGTCTCTAAGAATTTTTTTTAAAAAAGATGACAAATATCATCTAAAAAATAGGTCATTGAGAGACAACTCCTTATTTCATCTGATGTGTAAATTGTATATGTGTATTACTTTATAAACTAAGTGTGTGTAAGTGTATACATGTGATGTGTTTGCATGAGTGCATGGATAAGCAAGCCTATAGTTAAGCTACAACATCATTTTATAAGAATTTTTTAATTTTAATTTTAATTTTATTTTTCATTTTTTTGAAACTGAGTCTTGCTCTGTCGCCCAGGCTGGAGTGCAGTGGCGTGATCTCAGCTCACTGCAGCCTCCGCCTCCTGGGTTCAAGCGGTTCTTCTGCCTCAGCCTCCCGAGTAGCTGGGACTACAGGCATGCACCGCCACACCCAGCTAATTATTATATTTTTAGTAGAGACAGGTTTCACCATGTTGGCCAGGATGGTCTTGGTCTCCTGACCCCATGATCCACCTGCCTCGGCCTCCCAAAGTGCTGGGATTACAGGTGTGAGCCAACACTTTTGGCCGTGCGTGATGGCTCACGCCTGTAATCCCAACACTTTGGGAGGCCTAGGCGGGTGGATCACCTGAGGTCAGGAGTTCGAGACCAGCCTGACCAATGGAGAAAGGCCATTTGTACTAAAAATACAAAATTAGCTGGGTGTGGTGGCACATACCTGTAATCTCAGCTACTCGGGAGGCTGAGGCAGGAGAATCCCTTGAACCTGGGAGGCAGAGGTTGTGGTGAACCGAGATCGCACCATTGCACTTGAGCCTGGGCAACAAGAGCAAAACTCCATCTAAAAAAAAAAAAATTATATTTTGAACAGTTGAAATTACATCTGAAATACTTGCCATGACCTTATAAGTGTTCTACACTATTGGGCCGGGTGCGGTGGCTCATGCCTGTAATCCCAGCATTTTGGGAGGCCGAGGTAGGTGGCTCGCATGAGGTCAGGAGTTCAAGACCAGCCTGAGCAACATGGTGAAACCTTGTCTCTACTGAAAATACAAAAATTAGCCAGGTATGGTGGTGCGTGCCTGTAATGCTAGCTGCTCGGGAGGCTGAGGCAGGAGAATTACTTGAACCTAGGAGGCGGAGGTTGCAGTGAGCCGAGATTGCGCCACTGCACTCCAGCCTGGGTGACAGACTGAGACTCTGTCAATAAAAAAAAATGTGTTCTACACTATCACGTTAATGAGTTAATGGCAGTAAGAATAGTAATGTATTATGAGGAGGATACATGTGTATGCATATAGAATGACCTTTTACGCAGATTCAGATTTTTGTCCATGAACTTAACTTTACTCAGTTAGGTAATTGTCAGTTTACTTTTAATGCTGATCTGTTACTTAACTGCTTGATTCTTTAGGTTTGATTCTAATGCCCAGACACAAAATTAACCCACAATTCTATAGAAGTGTTAGGTATTATGTTCGACACACCAAGTGATATTCATTGTCTACCTGAGCTAGAATACAAGTAGTTGGCGTCTTCAGAGACACTTGTATGCTAGCTCAGGTAGATATTGAATGAAAAATCTACACTAGTTTAAAGAATATCATAACTTTTTATGGAAAAGTATAATAAAACTCAATCACAGACACATAACTAGCTCAAAAATACCTTAATGTGGATATGTCAGAATGTTCACGTCAGCACTTCAGTTGAGTCAGTCCTTACAACCCTCTTCTCATTTCGTGTGAACATAATTACTCTCTCCTTACCCTGTTGGTCAAATACATCTTTTATTTTAGGGACACTTGACATTCAGGGACGTGGCCATAGAATTCTCTCAGGAGGAGTGGAAATGCCTGGACCCTGTGCAGAAGGCTTTATACAGGGATGTGATGTTGGAGAACTACAGGAACCTGGTCTCCCTGGGTAAGGATAATGCCCCTCCAGAAGTTGGGGTCTGCCCTTAGTATCTCTGCATTTTCCCTTGTGTGCCTCTTGGGAGCCCCTGCATTGCTTGACTGAGATTGAAACCCTGTTGACTTGGCTGGGCACGGTGGCTCATGCCTGTAATCCCAGCACTTTGGGAGGCTGAGGTGGGTGGATTGCTTGAGGTCAGGAGTTCGAGACCAACCTGACCAAAATGATAAAACCCCATCTGTACTAAAAATACAAAAATTAGCCAGGTGTCACGGTGCATGCCTGTAATCTCAGCTACACGGGAGGCTGAGGCAAGAAGAATTGCTTGCACCCAGGAGGCAGAGGTTGCAGTGAGCTGAGATCATGCCACTGCACTCCAACCTGGGTAACAGAGCAAGACTCTGTTTCAAAAAAAAAGAAACCCTGTTGACTCAGAAATGAAAAGCTCCCGTATGCTTTCTGGTCTTGAAATTCCCCCTTTCTTCAGACATTCTGTATCCTTCATGATACACCTTTGGGTGGTACCTGGGCTTAAGTGTGCATAAAACCTTATGACAAACTTTTAAAATATCCAGTTCCCTGTTTTCTACCCCTGTGCTTTTGATTCTATAGTTCTTGGAAGAGAGTTCGATGTCCAATTATTACACAGTTCCCTACGCATTCAGAAGCAGACAGTCTGTGGGTGAATTTGTGAAATGTTTTTCTTGAATTCTTGATTAGTTTTTTTATTTATTTATAGTAGAATGACTTATAATCCTTTGAGTATATACCCAGTAATGCGATTGCTGGGTCAAATGGTATTTCTGGTTCTAGATCCTTGAGGAATCGCCGCACTGTCTTCCACATGGTTGAACTAATTTACACTCCCACCAACAGTGTAAAAGTGTTCCTGTTTCTCCACAGTGTCTCCAGCATCTGTTGCTTGCTGACTTTTTCATGATCGCCATTCTAACTGGCTTTAAAGGATTAATTTTTAATATCATCTCTGCTGCCTAAACAGAGGGCTTGGATTTTGGAGACATCACAGCACATCTTGATTCTTTCTTTTATAAACAGGAATCTGTCTTCCTGACCTGAGTATTATCTCCATGATGAAGCAAAGGACAGAGCCCTGGACTGTGGAGAATGAAATGAAAGTAGCAAAAAATCCAGATAGGTGGGAAGGTATCAAAGATATCAACACAGGTAAGAGCTCAGATGGACAGAGTGAAAGCCACACTTTTTTTTTTTTTTTTGAGACAGTCTCTGTTCCCCACACTGGAGTGCATTGGCCATCATAGCTCACTGCAGCTTTGAACTCCTGGGCTTCAACAGTCCTCCTGCTTTGGCCTCCCAAAGTGATGTGATTATAGGCATGTGCCCCTTGCCTACCAGAGCCACACTATTAAATCGTGTTTATAAGTGGGAGAATTGTGTGGAGAAATAAGAGTTTAAAACCTGTGAGTTCTTAAGAGAAATCTTTCTTTACCCCCACCTGTCACCATGTCCTTTATGTATGTATGTATGTATTTATTCATTTATTTATTTTGAGATGGAGTCTTGCTCTGTCTCCAGGCTGGAGTGCAATGGCGTGATCTCAGCTCACTGCAACCTCCGCCTCCCGGGTACAAGTGAGTCCCCTGCCTCAACCTCCCAAGTAGCTGGGATTACAGGCGTGCGCCACCACGCCCAGCTAATTTTTGTATTTTTAGTACAGACGAGGTTTCACCTTGTTAGCCAGGATGGTCTCAATCTCTTGACCTCGTGATCCGCCCGCCTTGGCCTCCGAAAGTGCTGGGATTATGGTGTCAGCCACCGCGCCCAGCCCACGCTGTCGTTTAGATGTGTAATAGTTTTATGTTTTTGCCCTGCAGTGTTACTGCAGCCCAAACAGAGGCAAAAGCAAAGGCTTTTATCATGATGGACAATACCCTGTCATGTGGCTTCTGTCAACTCTTTAGTCCTTGATTCTGAGGGTCACAGAGAGCGCTGCTTCAAAGGAGTCCCTTTTCCCTGTGGTCTCTTCCTGTATGGGATTTTATCTGATGCTCAGTTCTCTGTCCTTATACATCAGAGCTGAGGTCTGCATAGACCTGCCTCCTTGACCTATTCATGATCTGCCCATTTCCTGTACTGGGAAGACCTGATGGGGAGATGGGAAAACACAGGCTGCTGTCTTTTGCATCTGGGTCCTGGAAACTGCATGGAGCTGTTTCAAGCCCTCTTTGCCTGTTCAGTTCTGTTTGAGGTGGGAAAAAGTCAGTGATTTTCCTACTCTCACATGCTACTTGGCACAGAATGCTTCATTTCTGGTCACCAAAATGTGTGGAGATTTCTCCCCACCAGCAACCAGTTTTGGGGTTTCCTGCAATTCATTGGTGACACTATCTACCTGAGTTAGAGTCGCGTCCCACAGGCTAAGGGTTGAGTTCCCAAGCCTGTCCGCCACCAATTGCCAGTAGCGGGTTGTCACCTTTCCATCTGACCAACCAGCCACAAGTCAGGGTTCCCTCGACCCCCTTCTTCTGTTTGGTTACTTTGCTAGGGTGGCTTACAGAACTCAGTGAAACACTTCGTTATGTTTATTGGTTCATGAGGAAGGATGTTTCCAAGGATACAGATGGACAGCCAGATGAGGAGATTCACAAGGCGAGGCACATGGGAAGATTCACTGGGTGTGCCGCCCTTGAGGCCCACCGCACGTGTTCAGCATGTGGAAGCTCTCAGGAACTTTTATGGAGGCTTCATTACTTAGGCATGATTGGTATTAACTCAGTCTCCAGCCCCTGTACCCTTCCTGGAGGATGGTGGTTGGTGCTGACAATTCTGTGCTTCTAACCATGGCCTGGTCTTTCTGGGCTTTCTATACCTGCAGATATAGAAACCATGGATATGAAGGCCAATAGTAAGGGACTTGAGCATCACACATTTTGGTATCTCAGGGTTTTTTAGCACAAAACTCGCAAACCATGTTTTTCCTCTGCTCTCACACCACCACGACAATTATCAACACAGAAGAAGACTTCTCTGACCAAAGGTGTGGGGGGTTTTCCCCATACACCAAGCAGCAGACAGCAGCTGGGTGTCCTCCAACTCACTTCCAACACTGTATCTGGAGATAGGGCCAGGTCCCACAGGTTTAGGGCTCAGTCTCCAAGACTTGCCCCCCTTCCCACCAGTTGCAAGTCTGGGTCTCCAAACTTCTGACCAACTGGCTTCCAGTTGAGGTTTCCACAATCCCATCTTTGGGCCCAATTAGTTTGCTAGAGCAGCTCACAGAAGTCACAGAAACACTCAGGTTTACCGGTTTATTATGAAGGATATTGCAAGGGTACAGATGAAGAGACATGTGGGACAGGTATGGGGGAAGGACTGTGGAGCTTCCAAGCCCTCCCTGGGCGTGCCACTCTCCAGGAAGCCGCCATGTGTTCAGACATCCTGAAGCTCTTGGAACCCAGTCCTCTTGGGTTTTCATGGAAGCTTTGTGACATCAGCATTCCTTCCCCCAGGGTATACAGCAGGAACCTCTCTGGGGAGGTCTTAAGACCCGCAATCAGAAAGGTAGGGGGAAAGTTAGAGTCCTGCCTTAGGGCAGGTGAAAGAAGAGGAGGAGAAGGTTGGAGAGGTTATTTTTCTTAAGGTCTGCAGAGAAGGTCTAACCCAACATTATACCCAAAGACTGTAGCAAGGGCTATGGGAGTTATGAGCCAGGAACTGTGGACAAAAACCAAGGTATATGTGTATCATAACACCACACAGAGGAGCCTGGAACGTGTCCTCCCTGGATACCAAGGGAGGGATTCTGAATCGAAATAATGGATGTGCACCCAGTCAGTAATCAATGAAAGAGAGTTAATAAGCACAAGTGGGTACCACTGCATTTAAATGATATAAGACCAGAGAGTCAAGAAAGACCTGGATCCCGGAAGAGCTCAATTAAAAAAAAAAAAAGAAAGAAAGAAAGAATCCAAGTGGGCTTTTCCCCCCTAATTATAAAGGAAAAGCCTTCATTCTTTCAATATTGAGTATGATGTTACCTTTCGGCTTTTTATATATGGACTCTATTATGTTAAGTAAGTTCCTCGTATTCCTAGTGTGTTGAGTGTTTTTCTTTCTTTTTTTTTTTTTTCTTTTGGGGGAGTGTCTCATGCTGTCCTGATCTTGACCTTGGCTCACTGCAGCCTCCACCTCCCAGGCTCAAACAATCCTCTCACCTCAACCACATGCCTGGCTGATTTTTGTATTTTTTGTAGAGGTGGAGTTTCGCTGTGTTAGCCAGGCTGGTCTGGAATTCCTGAGCTCAAGCGATCCTCCCGCCTTGGCCTTCCAAAGTGCTAGGATTACAGGCATGAGCCACCGTGCCTGGCGAGTGTTTTTATCATAATTGCTAAGGTTTTTCAAATGTTTTTCTGCATCAGCTGAGATTATTGCATGGATTTCTTTTTCTTTATTCTGTTATTGTGGGATATTACATAGACTAATGTTCCAAAGTTGCATCCTTCTTGCATTCCTGAAATAAATCTTACTTGGTCATGAGGTGTGATCCATTTTAATATGCTGCTGAATTTATTTAGCTACCATTTTGTTGAGGATTTTTGCATTAGATTAATCAGGAATATTGCTCTGCAGTTTTGTTTTGTTTTGTTTTAAGATGGAGTCTCACTGTGGCCCAAGGTGGAGTGCAGTGGCTTGATCTCGGCCCACTGCAGCCTCTGCCTACTGGGCTCAAGTGCTTCTCCTCCCTCAGCCTCCCAAGTAGCTGAGACTACAGGCACCTGCCACCATGCCCGGATAACTTTTATATTTTAATAGAGACAGTGTTTCACTATGTTGGCCAAGCTGGTCTCGAACTCCTGACCTCAGGTGATCTGCCTGCCTCAGCCTCCCAAAGTGCTGGGATTACAGGTGTGAGCCACCGTGCCCGACCTGCTCTGCAGTTTTCTTTTTTTTTTTGAGACGGAGTCTCGCCCGGTCGCCCAGGCTGGAATGCAGTGGTGTGACCTCGGCTCACTGCAACCTCCGCCTCCCGGGTTCAAGCGGTTCTCCTGCCCCAGCCTCCCAAGTAGCTGAGATTACAGGCGCGTGCCACTACGCCTAGCTAATTTTTGTATTTTTAGTAGAGACGGGGTTTCACTGTGTTGGTCAGGCTGGTCTTGAACTCTTGACCTCGTGATCTGCCCGCCTTGGCCTCCCAAAGTGCTGGGATTACAGGCGTGAGCCACTACGCCCAGCCTGCTCTGCTGTTTTCTTTAGGGCCTTTGCCTCTGCTTTCAAGGTAACACTGGCCTCATTGAATGTGTGTAGAAGTGGTTCACCTCCTCAACCTTACGGCAGATTTTGAGGATTGGTGTTAAATCTTTTTTCAATATTTGATAGAATTTTACACTGAGGTCATCTGGTCCATTGCTGTTTTAGTTGGTAGGTATTTAATAACTGATTCAGTCTTCTTATTTGTTACTGGTGTGTTTAGATTTTCTACTTCATTGTTAAGTCTTGGTAAGTGGTGTCTATCTACAAATTTATCCATTTTTTTCTTGGTTAACATATTTTTTGTTATATAATTGTTGAGTCTCATTTAATTTCCATTTTTATTTGTGTAGACTTGTTTGTAATGTCCTCTTTTACCTTTCTAATTGTAGTTATTTCGGTCGTATGCTTCATGTTTCTTTTTTCTAGTTTAGGTAAGGCTTTGTCAAAAGTCTTACCCAAAGAGTGAACTCTTACTTTCCTGACTTTCTCTAGTGCTTCTCTGCTGTTTTCTTTGTTTTCTAACCTTTATTTTTTCTTTCTGCTATCTTAGTGTTCATTTTTTTCTTTTTCTTTTTTTTTTTGAGATGGAGTCCTGTTCTGTCGCCCAGGCTGGAGTACAGTGGTGTGATCTCGGCTCACTGCAACTTCCGCCTCCCAGGTTCAAGCAATTCTCCTGCCTCAGCCTCCCAAGTAGCTGGGACTGTGAGCACATGCCACCATGTCCAGCTAATTTTTTGAATTTTAGTAGAGACGGGGCTTCACCTTGTTGCCCAGGCTGGTCGCGAACTCCTGAGCTCAGGCAATCCACCCGCCTTGGCCTCCCAAAGTGCTGGGATTACAGGTGTAAGCCACCGTGCCTGGTCGTGTTCATTTTTTTCTTTATTGAGATATAAAGTTAGGTTGTTTATACGTTATTTCATTGTAGTTTAGTTATTTAGTTTTTAAGAGATAGGGTCTCACTGTGTCACTTAGGCTGGAGTGCAGCAGCATGATCATAGATCCTGGAATCCAGTGATGATCTCACTTTAGCCTCCTGCGTAGTTGGGACTACAAGCACACGACACTGTGCCTCACTAATTAAAACTAATTTATTTTATTTTATTTATTTATTTTGTTTAGAGATAAGGGGTCTCACTTTGTTGCCTAGGCTGGTCTGCAACTCCTGGCTTCAAGAGATCCTCCCACCTCAGCCTCCCAAAGTGCTGCGATTATAGGTGTGAGCCACCACACCCAGCCGTTTTTTTTTTTTCATGTATGCATACATCATTACAATATCCCTTCCAGCACTATTTTTATTGCATTTCATGAGTTTTGCTGTGTTATATTTACATTTTCCTTTATATCAAGATATTTCCTAATTTTCCTTTTATTTTATTTTTATTTATTTACTTTTATTTATTTATTTTGAGATAGAGCCTTGCTCTGTCACCCAGGCTGGAGTGCAGTGGCACGATCTCGGCTCACTGCAACCTCTGCCTCCCGGGTTCAAGTGATTCTTCTTCTGCCTCAGCCTCCTGAGTAGCTGGGATTACAGGCGCACGCCACCACACCTGGCTAATTTTTTTTATTTTTTTATTTTTAGTAGAGATAGGGTTTCACCATGTTGATCAGGCTGGTCTTGAGCTCCTCACCTCATGATCCACCCACCTTGACCTCCCAAAGTGCTGGGATTACAGGCGTGAGCCACCGCATGTGGTTTTTTTTTTTTTTTGAAACGGATTCTCATTCTGTCACTCAGGCTAGAGTTTAATGGCACAGTCTCAGCTCACTGCAACCTCTGCCTGCCGGGTTCAAGCAGTTCTCCGGCCTCAGCCTCCTGAGTAGCTGGGATTACAGGCACACACCACCATACCCGGCTAATTTTTGTATTTTTGGGTGGAGACGGGGTTTCACCATTTTGGCCAGGCTGGTCTCGAACTCCTGACCTCAAGTGATCCGCCCACCTCGCCCTCCCAAAGTGCTGGGATTACAGCCACCACACCTGGCCTATGCAGCTGCTCATAAGTGTCTTATTTTCCCTAAGAGACTCATCCTGCTTTTTCTTAGAAGCTTTCAATTTCTGTTGTATTTCTCTACTCATAATCCCTCTCAAACTCACCTGTAATCCTCCTGAGTCCTGTAGATTCCCCATTGCTCCATTGCATCACCCTACCTTTTGGGTTTTCTCCACTGCCAGTGTGATACTATGCTGATATTTCTTCCAGTGTCTGAATCAGATGAGGCAGATTCCAGTTCCTCCATCAGGGTCTATACATGCCAGAGTCCGGGCGCGGTGGCTCACACCTATAATCCCAGCACTTTGGGAGGCCACGGCGGGCGGATCACGAGGTCAGGAGATCGAGACCATCCTGGCTAACACAGTGAAACCCCGTCTCTACTAAAAATACAAAAAAATTAGCTGGGCGTGGTGGCGGACGCCTGTAGTCCCAGCTACTTGGGAGGCTGAGGCAGGAGAATGGCGGGAACCTGGGAGGCGGAGCTTGCAGTGATCCGAGATCGTGCCACTGCACTCCAGCCTGGGTGGCAAAGCCAGACTCCAACTCAAAAAAAGTGCAAAAAACATGCCAGAACCATGGGTTCAAATTATACTCTTTACTTGCTTTCCTAGGGAGGAGCTGTGCAGTGAGAAGCAAAGCAGGAAACAAGCCTATTACAAATCAACTTGGATTAACCTTTCAGTTACCTCTGCCAGAACTGGAGATATTTCAAGGTGAAGGGAAGATTTATGAATGTAATCAAGTTCAAAAGTTCATCAGCCACAGTTCTTCAGTTTCGCCACTTCAAAGAATTTACTCTGGGGTCAAAACCCACATATTTAATAAACATAGGAATGATTTTGTTGATTTTCCATTGCTGTCACAAGAACAGAAAGCACACATTAGGAGAAAACCTTACGAATGTAATGAGCAGGGCAAAGTCTTCAGAGTGTCTTCAAGCCTTCCTAATCATCAAGTAATCCACACTGCAGATAAACCTAACAGATGTCATGAATGTGGTAAAACCGTCAGGGACAAGTCAGGCCTCGCAGAACATTGGAGAATTCGTACAGGAGAGAAACCTTACAAATGTAAAGAGTGTGGCAAGCTCTTCAATCGAATTGCATACCTTGCACGACACGAGAAAGTGCATACTGGAGAGAGTCCTTACAAATGTAATGAGTGTGGCAAGGTCTTCAGTCGAATTACATACCTTGTACGACATCAGAAAATTCATACTAGAGAGAAACCTCATAAATGTAACAAATGTGGCAAGGTTTATAGTAGCAGTTCATACCTAGCACAACATTGGAGAATTCATACAGGAGAGAAACTTTACAAATGTAATAAATGTGGCAAAGAATTTAGTGGGCATTCAAGCCTCACCACCCATCTGTTAATCCACACTGGAGAGAAACCTTACAAATGTAAAGAATGTGACAAAGCTTTTAGGCACAAGTTCTCCCTGACAGTTCATCAGAGAAATCATAATGGAGAGAAACCTTATAAATGTCATGAATGTGGCAAAGTCTTCACTCAAGTTTCACATCTTGCACGACATCAGAAAATTCACACTGGAGAGAAACCTTACAAATGTAATGAGTGTGGCAAAGTCTTCACTCAGAATTCACACCTTGCAAATCATCAGAGAATCCACACTGGAGAGAAACCTTACAAATGCCATGTGTGTGGTAAGGTCTTTAGGCACAGTTCATGGTTTGTACAGCATCAGAGAAGTGTTCATGAGAGAGTCCTTACAAACTGAGTTTGGCAAACTCTATCATAAGTTCTAGCAGTAATCAACATCCGAGAGTCTATACTAGAAAGAAATCATTTAAATGTACTATATGTGGCACAGGCTGTATCGAGACCTACCAAATCACTAGACATCGAAACATTCATCTTTGGTGAAACCACACAAATGGATTGTGTGTGCCAAGGCCAACAAGTCAAAATATGTTGAACCTAATGATATGATGTGTATAAAGGGTGCAAGGACACGTGGAAATGATCTGTAATATTCGGGTTATTAAAAATGTAATTGGCTGGGCGCAGTGGCTCACACCTGTAATCCTAGCACTTTGGGAGGTTGAGGCAGGTGGATCACAAGGTCAGGAGTTTGAGACCAGCCTGGCCAATATGGTGAAACACCATATCTACTATAAATACAAAAAAATTAGCCAGGCGTGGTGGCACATGCCTGCAATCCCAGCTACTCGGGAGGCTGAGGCAGGAGAATTGCTTGAATCCAGGAGGCAGAGGTTGTTGCAGTGAGCTGAGATCGCGCCACTGCACTCCAACCTGGGTGACAGAGCGAGACTCCGTCTCAAAAAAAAAAAAAAATTATTTGGGTTTGAAAGGCCAGGGGCAGTGGTTCATGCCTATAATCTCAGCACAATAGAAAGCCAAGACAGGAGGGTCACTTGATGCCTGGAGATCAAGATAAGTATGGGCAACGTAGCAAGGCCCATCCCTACAAAATAAAAAAAATAAGCCAGGCCCTTGGCATGTGTCTGTAGTTCCAGCTACTCAAGAGGCCGAGGCAAGAGGATTGCTCAAGCCCAGGAGTTTGAGAGTTTGAGCAGTGAGCTCTGATCTTGCCATTTGTACTCCAGCTTGGGTGACAGAGCGAGACCCTGTCTCAAAAGAAAAAAAAGGCTAGTTTTTATGACTTCAACCTGAACTTTGAAATTTCTTCATGTGCCTTCCCTACAGGCCTTTCACTGTGGTCTGGGAAAGAATCAGTAAGATGACAGGGCTGACTTCATTAGATGAGGAGCGTTTCTATCCAGTTTCCTGGAGGAATAAGGACACTGCCTTTTCAGATTAAAGATTGTCTGATTTAGAGACCATGGAGGTGGACAGAGAATAACAAAACCGTGATGGCAGTCATCATGCTTATTGCAGTTAGCACACACTTTTCCTGACAGGCACAGTGCTGCTGTGCTCTACAAATGACCATGAAATAGAGCACGCCATGACTTTAGGACACAGGGATTTTTATGGGAAGAGAGTTCATCAGGGACTGATTACGTAGGAGAGACGATGCAGGGGAAATGGTGGCCACCGTCTCCATTGAATAGCAATAGCTGCTGTTTAGCAAAGACTGATTAAAAAGTACTCTGATTTTTCAAATGGAAGAGAGAACAGTTAAATCAGAGTAGAGAGTTTAATCAAAACTACCAGTGGAACATGTTCTTGAGTAGGATTCACATTTAACTGCTGGCATAATTTGCAACTGTTGGATTTTCTCATGTTTGGAACAATAAAGTTGAAATTTTCCAAAGTGTGAATGATTTACCTTCTTTCTACCAATATTGTTTTATCTCGTCTCAGGAGGATACTTTATAGCAGACAATAATAAGGCACCATTAGGATTTTTAAATTAATTTATTTTTAAAATTAAAGTTCTAGTGTACATGTCCACAACATGCAGGTTTGTTACATAGGTATACATGTGCCATATTCGTTTGCTGCACCCATCAACTTGTCATTTACGTTAGATATTTCTCCTAATGTTATCCCTCTGCCAGCCCCCCACCCCCCGACAGGCCCCGGTGTGTGATGTTACCCGCCTTGTGTCCAGGTGTTCTCATTGATCAATTCCCACCTATGAGTGAGAACATGGGGTGTTTGGTCTTCTGTCACTGTGATAGTTTGCTGAGAATGATGGTTTCCAGCTTCATCAATGTCCCTGCAAAGGACATGAACTCATCCTTTTTATGGCTGCATAGTATTCCTTTTTTTTTTTTTTTTTTGAGATGAAGTTTTGCTCTGTCACTCAGGCTGAAGTGCAATGGCACGATCTTGGCTCACTGCATCCTCTGCCTCCCGGGTTCAAGTGATTCTCCTGTCTACACCTCCCAAGTAGCTGGATTACAGGCATGCACCACCATACCCGGCTAATTTTTTTGTATTTTTAGTAGAGATGGGGTTTCACCATGTTGGCCAGGCCGGTCTCGAAGTCCTGACCTCGGGTGATCCAGCCACCTCGGGTTCCCGAAGTGCTAAGATTACAGGCATGAGCCACGGCGCCTGGCCAGGATTTTTAAGGTTGAAGCATCCACAACAATTTTGTGTGTGAAATGAAATGACATGCACTTTTGGGTATATACACTTGGGTAAGTATGATTTTGGGTAATAATACTTAGTACTTAAGTTATTCTCTCTACTCTTTGTTTTTGTTTTTTGTTTGTTTTGTTTTGTTTTGAGATGGAGTTTCGCTCTTGTTTCCCAGGCTGGAGTGCAATGGTGTGATCTCGGCTCACCGCAACCTCCGCCTTCCAGGTTCAAGTGATTCTCCTGCCTCAGCCTCCCGAGTAGCTGGGATTACATGCATGTGCCACCATGCCCAGCTAATTTTGTTTTTTTAGTAGAGACAGGGTTTCTCCATATTGGTGAGGCTGGTCTCGAACTCCTGACCTCAGGTGATCTGCCCACCTCGGCCTCCCAAAGTGCTGGGATTATAGGCATGAGCCACCACACTTGGCCTACCTCTCTACTCTGCCCTAAGATGCTTTTGTGGGTAAAGTGAAAATCACATAACAGTGCAGCTTCATCATCATATGCCCTCAATGTTCATCACTGTTGATAAACATGCACTGTATTATGTTTCTGTGTGCCTTTTTCTTGTGTGCCAAGTAAGACCCATGGCAGGCACCTTCATTTTCAGGAAGCGAAAATACAGATACAGTAATATGGAAAATAGGACAAAGTGTGGACTTCAGGATGAAAATATTGTAACAATCTTGCTGTTGACCTCGTAGCGCTCAGTGACATAATTTGAAAAAATATTAATGTTCAGAAATGTTCTCTTGAGGATGAACACACAGATTGGGAATTTCGTTTTGCTTTGGTAGATTAACTAGAAACTTCACATTTTCACCCTTATAACCTTTTTGGTAATTTGAACTTTTGATCATTCTTCTGGAACTGCTTTGACATCCACCTGAAGTTTGGTTTGGGTATTGAGAATGATGATGCCATTCACTAATGTGATCTCAAAATGTTTACTCCATAATGAGGCTTTCTGGGGAGAGCAGGGTAGACTTCCCCGGTTGGTCCAAATATGACTAGGGAATCGGCATAGGTGACTGGCTTGGGGTATGATGATTGTTAAGGGATAGGGCTTGGGCAGGGGTGCCCACTTGTGGTTTGAACTTTCAGCTGGTGCCAAAGGAGTGGGCACTGAGGATTTTTCAGTTGACCAGATGGGCAGAATAGGAAGAGGGAGTGCAGAGGTGTAAAAGGCGTTGGTGTTCAGACATCACAAAATGCAGTCAACTCTAGGACAACTCTAGCTTCCTCTGGAAGCTCCTGCCATCTTGGTTAGGAAAGACTCTGATTTTCTTCATGATAATATCTTACGTTCCTTTTATAGTTACAGATACAGGTCTCATTGCACAATATGATTGTTGAAAACACTTGTGAAATTTTTTTAGTAAAATTGCCTAAGATACTTTTTATAGTAGACAATGAAAATTAGTGTGTGGGTTTATAATAAATATAATGTATTATATAATATGATTAAAATATATTTGTTATAAATATGATATTACTAGAAGAGCATTTTTCCAAAAGCTATGGAAATGTCATTTTCCCGTTACAGCATCAAGCAATATATTCCATGGTTCATTTTCAACTCTAATAAAATTATATTTTGTGTTTATATATGCACGTATAGACACATATATAATATTTTTTTTTTACTTTTTTCTTTTTCTGTACATTGCATCCAGATGCTATGCTTGTTTGTTTTTTTTTTTGAGACAGAGTCTTGCTCTGTCACCCAGGCTGGAGTGCAGCGGTGTGATCTTGGCTCATTGCAGCCTCCGCCTCCCAGGCTCAAGTGATTCTCCTGCCTCGGCCTCCCGAATAGCTGGGATTACAGACATGCACCATCACCACACCTGGCTAATTTTTGTATTTGTAATAGAGATGGGGTTTCACCATGTTGGCCAGGCATGGTCTTGAACTCCTGACTTCAGGTGATCCACCCGCTTCGGCCTCCCAAAGTGTTGGGATTACAGGCATGAGCCACCATGCCCGGCCAGATGCTATGCTTAATACATTTTTTCCGAATGTCACTCTAGTGAAAATTTTAGGGGACACAAAAATGAGACTGTTGTTTGGAGACAATATTTTTTGACAAGAGTATGCACAAGACAATGGCAGGTATAAACGTTTTATTGTAAATATGAAAAAGGAAAAAATGCTTTCACTATATTAGAGGACTTGAAGTAACGTGAAGTGATTCCAACCCTTTATCTTTATTTTATTTATTTATTTTATTATTTATTTTTTTGAGATGGAGTTTCACTCTTGTTGCCTAAGCTGGAGTGCAATGGAGTGATCTCAGCTCACTGCAACCTTCACCTCCCGGGAGCATGCTGCTCTATCTTTTTTTTCAGATGTTTGAGCTATTCCAGGTTTTTTGGGATTTCTGTTGGTTTGTTTTGTTTTTTGCTTTTCTACATAATTGTTTGGATAATCTTGTCAGTATCTACGAAGTGCCTTGATAGTAAATATATTAACCCTGTGTATCAATTTGGGGTAATTTCACATTTTTTTCTATGTTGAGTTTATCAATAAATTGATATTGTATATGTCTCTATCTGGGTGTCTTTGATTTCTTTCATCAGCATTTTGTAGTTTTAAAATCCTGAGAATGTTAAATTAACATATTTTTTGACTTTTTTTTTTTTTTTTTGAGACAGAGTCTTGTTCTGTTGCCTGGTCTGGAGTGCAGTGGCACAATCTCAGCTCACTGCAACCTCCGCCTCCCAGGTTCAAGCGATTCTCCTGCCTCAGCTTCCTGAGTAGCTGGGATTACACGCGTATGCCACCATGCCCAGCTAATTTTTGTATTTTTAGTAGAGATGGGGTTTTACCGTGTTGGCCAGGCTGGTCTCGAACTCCTGACCTCAAATGATCCACCTGCCTTGACCTCCCAAAGTGCTGGGATTACAGGTGTGAGCCACCTCGCCCGGTTAATGCTTTTTTAAAACCAACAATTGGTGACCTAAATTCTCACTGGCCTTAGCCCTCCATGCCCCTGGTGCTGTCACTAGAAAACTCTCTGGAGCTGAGCACAGGGTTACCTCTGTCCCTCCCGAAAGAACAGGGAATAGAAAAGGAGAGGATTTCTATTCTGCTTTGTGGGCCGTCAGCATGAAATTGCACATTCTGCCCAGGCAGGGCTTTGCAGTTCATGTATTAACTTGCGTCGCTTTCACAGACAATCCCAGGGCTTAATTAAATTGCTAAATTTAGTTTTTTATGTATTTATTTGAGAGACTGAGTCTCTGTCGCCCAAGCTGGAGTGCAGTGGCCGTCATAACTCAGTGTAAACTCGAACTCCTGGGCTCAAGCGATCCTCCCGCCTCAGTCTTCGGGGTAGCCGGGACTACAGGTGCCCGACCGCACGGTCGGCTTAAGATTAACTTTAATAGCAGGAATTTTCCTGGATCTAATCATTAGCCGACTTTGCTCAGTCCCGGCAAGAGTACAGTTCCGAGACAGCTGAGTTGCTCCAGTCTCCTTGACAGGTCTCCCCGGCAAAACCCGGAAAACAGAGGCACTGGAAGCGAGGCGGAGGGAAGCGCAAGCCCCACTCCGCCCCGCCCCCGCCCCCGCCCCCGCCCCCGCCCCCGCCCCCGCCCCCGCCCCCGCCCCCGCCCCCGCCCCCGCCCCCGCCCCCGCCCCCGCCCCGCTCGGACCCCTCCGCTGCGCGCGCAGTTTCCCACAAACCCGGAAGCGGATCGCGTGGAGTGAAGGTCACGCCGCGGCGCGTGAGTTTCCCTTTGTGTAAATTAATCTGCGCTTCCCAACTCCCCCGCGCTTCTGTACCCGGGATCTGAGGGGCCACACAGACCTTGAAATCCTCGCACCGCTCCCTCTACCCCGACCAAATTCAGGCGTCTCCGTGAGAGTCAGGCGGTCGCTTCCCTGTGTGTTTAAATCGCTCGGCGGCGGGTCCTGTCCCCCGTCCTTCTGCCACAGGGCCATGTAGTCACCTCCTGTCGCGGAGTTTTCCTGTTTCAAGTCCTTCAGTGATGCTTACATCCGCCCCGCACAGCGTAAAGTCCTCCCCCGCTAGGCGGATTCCGGTCTATGCGGTCCCCCAAGCCTCGCCTTTGTTGGCCCTGGAGCACAGCGCTCCAATCTCAATCCAGGAGAAGCCGCGTCTTCTGCCCAGTGCTGGGATTCTGCAGACGCCACCCATCTCTTGATCCAGACCCTACCTTTACCCTCCTTGATACGGGGCCCCGCTACTCCCCAGGCCTCCTCTTCCCAGACACCGCTTCTCCTAACCCTGCGTGTGGGGAGGTGACTTACTCTGTCTCTTGACATCCAGTGTTCTTGCGGGCCAAATAACACCCCACTGAAAAGGTGTTCTGCTTGTGGACATCGGATCCCAATTCCTTCCATGTGAATGTGTGCAGAAAGAGAGACGGAGAGCGAGGGAGAAGAAAGAGAAAAATTTTGAAGGAGAAAAGAAGATTGAGGGAGAGCCGTAAGCAGATGGCAAAGTAGAGAGTGGATGGAGGATTTGCAGAGACAGCGAATGAAGCCGAGAAAGTAGCAGGGGGAAAAAAGCAACTGGAGAAATGCAGAGAAAAGTTCCATCTCCGGAGAGATGAAGGACAGCAAGATAGTGAGAGGGGCAGCAAAGTGGGAAGTTCCTCAGTTTGAGAGTGGGGGAGAGGGGGAGGGATTTGGAGCCAGGGCAGACAGAGCAGCGTGGTGCTGGGACAGCAAGAGGAGTCAGCTGGTGACAACGAGAGCAGAGGGAGAACCACAGCAGGTGGAGGCCTGGGATCTCAGGGTGCCAGAGAGTGGGGACAAGGGGGTGTAACAGAAAAGAAGGGATTTAACAGAGAGAGCAGAGGGGGAGTAGAGTCAGGGGAAGAGGCAAGACCGGGCACAGTGGCTCACGCCTGTAATCCCAGCACTTTGGGAGGCCAAGGTGGGTGGATCACGTGAGGTCAGGAGTTTGAGACCAGCGTGGGCAACATGGTGAAACCCCATCTCTACTAAAAATGCAAAAATTAGCCGGGCGTCAGCGCGCGCGTGTAATCCCAGCTACTCAGGAGGCTGAGGCAGGAGAATTGCTTGAACCCGGGAGGCGGAGGTTGCAGTGAGCTGAGATTGCGCCATTGCACTCCAGGCTGGGCGACAAGAGCAAAACTCCGTCTCAGGGAAAAAAAAAAAAAAGAGACAAATAGGTGGAGAATGGGATGATCAAAGATTGAGCAGAAAGTTTGGAAGAGGGGTGAAACAAGTTGCCAGAATGGAGCAGAACAGGTGGAAGAGAAGGAATAGAAGGAAGAAGGGGAGAAACATCAGGAGAAGAGAGGGGCTCAAAATGAGCAGAATCTTAGGGGAAAAATAAAGGGGGAAAAAAGCTAGAGAAAGAAGGTGAGAATGAGAGATACGTACAGAATGAGGGAGGGAAACACAGTACCCAGAAAAGAGGGAACCCTGGGTGCAGATGAACGGTGAGTTGATTGGATATTATGATTAAGTTGTGACATTGATTTATCTATTTATAATTTGATAATATGAAATATACTTTAAAAATACAGATGAAAATGGATATGCAAAACTCCTGTCTGTAAGGCTGGTGCATTTTATAATTCTTGGCATCAGACTTTAGCTTCCACTCACATTCCCTATTCAGGCACAGGTCAGTGACTTGAGTCATTCAGGTGTGGGTCACCCACTTTCCTTTTCCTGGGATGGGGTAGGGTGTGGGCGAGTGTAAAAGATAGCAGGAAAACCAAAGTGTTTTTCCTACTCTTGCAGTCAACACAATAGTGAACACTCAACACAGAATGCTTCATATCTGATGAACAAAATGTGTGGGGATTTCTTCCCACCAACAAGCAATTCGTCAGACACCGCCTGGGTGATCCGTAATTTCAGTCAAGTTGACACTGTCTACTTGAAGTTAGCATCAGATCCCACAGGTTGGGGGCTCAGTTCCACAAGGCTGCCGCTACTTCACGTGCTGGTTGTAAGTTCCTGGTTGGGACCTGAACTTCAACCAAACATCTAAAAATTGAAGATTCCCTTGACCCTTTGCTCAGATTTTATTAATTTGTTAGCCTCATTCACAGAACTCAAGGAAGCATTTTGCTTAGTTTTACCCATTTGCTATGAAGAATATTGCAAAAGATACAGATGACTAGCCCGATGGAAGAACCCTCCTAGCAAATTAATCAAAAGAAGGGGCTTTGGGATACCCTGATTTTTTTTTTCTTTTGTTTTGTTTTGAGACAGAGTTTCACTCTTGTTGCCCAGGCTGGAGTGCAATGGCATGATCTCAGCTCACTGCAACATCCATCTCCCAGTTTCAAGCATTTCTCCTGCCTCAGCCTCCCAAGTAGCTGGGATTATAGGTGTGTGCCACCACGCCCAGCTAATTTTTGTATTTTTAGTAGAGACGAGGTTTCACAATGTTGGCCAGGGTGGAATAAATGGAGTTCAGTACTGTTTGAAGTTCCAGGCATCCAATGGGGGTCTTGGGACATCTTCCCCATGGATACGGGGATTCCAGTGTGTTCTGTCTCTGGTGCTGAGCACCAAGGCTCTGTGTCCTCCATTTCTGAGGGATTACATGAGCCTGGGATCCATAGAGAGGAGAGGAGGGGCTGTGCTCTGCATGGGGTTTGGTCAGGGCTGGGTCTGGCCCTGAAGGGGAGCTTAGACCAGGCCAGCTCCCCACTGCTGCAGCGTGCGTGTGGGCATCTCTAGGAGGGGAGCAGGTTCTGAAGACGAGTAAAAAACTCACTTGTTGTTCTTCCTGTAGGAGTTTCTTGTCTCTGCATCAACTCTGGTGCAGTGGGCAGCAGAGGACATCTTTCCGCAGGGTGAGGTCTAACCTGTGTGTGTGATTGTGGCACAGGAAAAGGGTGTGTTGATTCTAAGCCCTAAACAGCATATTTTTGACATTTAGGATTGACTTCTAAAGAGTCATGCTGTGTGATGAAAAAGCCCAGAAGAGAAGGAAGAGGAAAGCAAAGGAGTCAGGGATGGCTCTTCCTCAGGTGAGATGATATTCTCGGTGGATTGTTCTGTCTCCTTTCTTTCAGAAACGCTGGGCCTTCGAGTTGGGAGTCTTCTCTGAGTCTGAAGTGTCCTGCCTGACAGGTTTGCTCACGCTTACCTATGCCTTCCCTCAGTGCCGAGACCAGCTTGGTCGTGGGGACCCTAACCTAGTGGCACTAGAGGAATTAAAGACACAGACACAAGAATAGAGTGTAAAGTGGGATCAGGGGCCAACAGCCTTCAGAGCTGAGAGCTGCGAACAGGGTTTGACCCACATATTTATTGACAGCAAGCCATTGATAAGCATTGTTTCTATAGATTATAGATTAACTAAAAGCATTCCTTATGGGAAACAAAACATTCTTAGCAAGGAGTAGAGAAACAGTCTTTGGCTAATTATCTGCAGCAAAAACGTGTTAAGGCACAGGCCACTCATGCTATTGTTTGTGGTTTGAGCAGTTTTCCACTCCGGGCAGGCCAGGTGTTCCTTGTCCTGCTCCAGTAAGCCAACAGCTTCTAGCAGTGTGTGTCATAGCCATCACAAGCACGTTTCATTGCTGCAAAAATCCTGCTTATGGCCAATTTCTTTAAAGCCTGTTGCCAGCATGTTCCCCTTTCTGTTTTTGCAAAGTGACAAAGGCAAAGGCTGCTTTGTCACGGTGGGCTACTTCTCACAGGATTCGGGATTCGGGATTTGGATCTGCATGCTACACAAAGACAAACAACACAGATTAAAAGCACAATCATCATTGAAATCAGGGAGCCTCCAATTGTCTTGATCCATTTTAACGGGTTAATAGCTGCTAATCTGTCTGCAGCTCCTTCAAGCTCTTTAGTTCCTGGCATTAGCATCAGATGTGCCTGAGAGGCTTGGAATACTTGTTCCTTCAGTTTTGTAATATCTAAAGATAAATTTCCAGTATGACCCTTTAAATGTCTCTTAACTCTTTCCTACTCATGCTCTGTTTCATTATACAGATGAGGAGTAATGCAAAAATCAGAAGTATTCCAATCACATTGTATCTGCATTCTATATTCTAGACTAACTACTTGATCTCCTAGCCGCATTACAGTTTATCGGAGATCATTGATTTGATTAGCTAGTTTTCAGTCTGTGTTAGTTTGGGAATTCCACTGCAAAGTAGAATTTTTCTGCCAATTATTTACGTAGTCTGCTCTTTGTACTGTGGAATGCAAAGTAACTCCAGCTACCGTGGCAGTAGCTGTGACAGCAATCAATCCCATAATGATTAAAATTAAAGTGGCAATGAAACACCGAGAGTACCTCAAACTCTTTTGAAGAATTTCAGTAATGTATGCACAGAAGGAGAGGCTTCCCAAGGACAGGAAAGCTTTACAGGTATCCATACTCCTTCTCAGGCTCTTACCACTAAAATAGAATGATGAGTATTATACAGGGAAGAATTCAAGAAAACAATGTACATTCTTGACAAGTCACATGATGATTAGGGAGATCAAGTTTTAAATCACTTACTCCAAACAGAAAAGGAGGC
The DNA here is from genome assembly GCF_000001405.40 of Homo sapiens. Classification (NCBI taxonomy): domain Eukaryota; kingdom Metazoa; phylum Chordata; class Mammalia; order Primates; family Hominidae; genus Homo; species Homo sapiens. The sequence goes on from NC_000019.10 coordinate 52,302,000, forward strand.
CTTATTGTCAGTCTCGACATGGCTGCAACTGGGGGGTCCTCGGGTTCCTCCCAAAATCTCTTCCTCAGCATCTGGCTCATGATAAGGTTTCAGGTGTCTTAATGGTATCCAAATCGGCTGCTGGTTTTGGCCTGGAGATACACAAGCATAACTTCTACCCCAAGTTATTATTTTACCTATTTCCCAACTTTTTGTTATGGGATCTCTCCACCAAACCAGTTCTGCTTCTGTCTTTGCCGCTGATTTCTGTAAATGCTGTTCAGCTGCTGATAGCATTTGGCCTTTAGGCAGGCTCAAAAAATTTAAAGTCAATAATGCTAGATTCAGTTGCATAATTGCAGTTCCATAATCACTGTTCCCCCCTTTGTGTTTTTGTAATTGCTGTTTTAGGGAGAGATTCATTCTTTCCACAATGGCTTGTCCTTGTGAATTATATGGGATGCCAGTAATGTGTTTAATACTCTATATAGAGAAAAATGTAGCTAGAGCTTGGCTAGTACGGCCTTGGGTGTTATCTGTTTTAATAAAAGCTGGAATGCCCATCACTGCGAAGCATTGCAGAAAATGCCATTTAACACAGGCAGAAGAGTCCCTCGTTTGACAGGTAGCCTAAACAAAGTGAGAAAAGGTATCTACACATACATGCACATAAGCCAGTTTACCAAAAGAAGGAACATAAATGACATCCATTTGCCAAACAGAATTAGGTTCCAATCCTCGAGGATTAACTCCTCCTGTAAAAGATGAGGAATGCACCAATTGGCAAGTTGCGCATTGCTGGATAATAGATTTAGCTTCTTTCCAGGTAATGCTGTATCTATGTTTTAGACCAGAGGCATTAACATGGGTTAAATTGTGAAAGTGTCTGGCATTAGATATTGCAGTAGCAACTAGGCGATCAGCCATTTGATTCCCTGCAGTTAAAGGTCCTGGAAAGGGTGTATGAGCTCTAATATGAGTAATGAAAAAGGGTGCATTCTATTCCTAACTGTGGTTTGTAACTGGGTAAATAAAGTCATTAGCTGTTCATCTGTTGAAATCATAACTGAGCATTTTTAATTGTGTGGAATGGACTACATATGAAGAATTAGAAATTACATTGACAGGCATCTTAAAAGCAGTCAGTACCTTAATTACAGCTACAAGCTCCGATTTTTGAGCTGAAGTATAGGGCGTGTGGAAGACTTTAGTTTTTGATCCAGAGTAAGAAGCTTTACTGTTACTAGACCCATCTGTAAAAACATTTTCAGCACTTTTAATTGGTTTAAATTTAGTCATTCTAGGGAGCATCTAGTTAGTTTTAAAAATTGAAATAATTTTGTTTTTGGAAAGTGATTATTAAGCACTCCCACGAAATCAGCTAAGTGGTTTTGCTAAGTAAGATGATTTATAAAGGATTGTTGTATTTGTGCCTTTGTAAGAGGGACAATAATTTTTTCAGGGTCATATCCATGCAGTTTAACAATTCAAATTCTCCCATTCCCTATCAGAGTAGCAATTTGATCCAAATAATGAATTAGAATCCATGAATTCATATGTGGAAGAAAAAGCCATTCTACCAAGTCTGCTTTTGGACAGTAACACCAGTAGGTGAATGCTAAGTTGGAAAAATCAATAAATCTAAAGCCTTTTCTGGATCTATTCTATTTATTTGAGGTTTTATGTACTTGTTTTTCAATGAGTTGTAACTCTGCCTCAGCCTCCTTTGTTAATTGCTGAGGGCTAGTGAGACTAGGATCTCCTTTAAGGATAGAAAATAGATTACTCATGTCATAGGTAGGAATGCCTAGAGCAGGTTGTATCCAATTAATGTCCCTTAGTAATTTTTGAAAGTCATTCAGTGTTTTCAATTGATCCTTATGGTTACTTTCTGTGGCACTACTGTAGTGTCATTTACTAAGGTCCCTAAGTAGGAGTAAGGAGTAGTGGTCTGAATTTTTGTCAGGAGCTATAATTAAACTGGCATGAGAAATCGAATTTTTTAAGTGATCATAATATTGGAGTAATATTTCCTGAGTGGGGGCAGCACAAAGAATATCGTCCATATAATGAATAATATAACACTGAAAATTTTTTATGAGTAGGTTCAATTGCTTGTTCTACATAAGTCTGACAAATTGTTGGACAGTTTAACATGCCTTGTGGCAACACTTTCCAATGAAAACGCTTAGCAGGCTGCAGGTTGTTTACCGCAGGAATTATAAATGCAAACCGTTCACAGCCTTGCTCAGCTAAGGGGATAGTAAAGAAACAGTCTTTTAAATCTATGACTATTAAAGGCCAATTTTTTAGAATCAGCAGGAAAAGGCAGTCCTGGCTGCAATGTCCCCATAGGTTGTATAACTGAATTAATGGCTCTAAGATCTGTCAACATGCTCCATTTATGTGATTTTTTTCTTAATAACAAAGACTGGAGAATTCCAGGGGGAAAATGTTGGAGCTGTGTGTCCTTTTTCTAATTGTTCAGTAACTAAGTCCTCTAAAGCCTCCAGTTTCTCTTTACTTAGCGGCCATTGTTTTATCCAAGTTGGTTTATTTGTTAACCATTTTAAAGGTATAGGTTCTGGAGGCTTAACAATGGCTGCCATGAAAAATTATATCCTAAACCCTGGTGGGAATTTTGTCCTTCTGCTTGAAGTGGTTTCTTTAACCCTTTTAAATTTTTTTCTAATCCCATGCCAGGCACATACCCCATCTCTTGCATCGTATGCTGACTTTGAGGGCTATATAATTGTTCTGGAATGAACGCTTGTGCTCCCCATTGCTGTAATAAATCTCTTCCCCATAAATTTATAGGTACAGCAGTTACAATTGGTTGGCTGGGTGTGGTGGCTCAAGCCTGTAATCCCAGCACTTTGGGAGGCCAAGGTGGGTTGATCACGAGGTCAGGAGTTTGAGACCATCCTGGCCAACATGGTGAAACCCCGTCTCTACTAAAAATACAAAAAAATTAGCCGGGCATGGTGGTGGGCACCTGTGGTCCCAGCTACTTGGGAGGCTGAGGCAGGAGAATGGCGTGAACCTGGGAGGCAGAGCTTGCAGTGAGCTGAGATCACGCCACTGCACTCCAGCCTAGGGGATGGAGCCAGACTCTGTCTCAAAAAAACAAAAAACAAAAAACAGAAGTTACAATTGGTTGAATAGTCCCAGATTGTTCATTGGGTCCTTCACAATGCAATATATAACTGCTTTGATATACTTTAGGGGCTATGCCAACTCCAACTGTGTTAAATCGAGTGGGTTGAATTGGCCACACGGACAGCCAGTGCTGTAGAGAAATGATTGAAATGTCCTCTCCTGTATCTACCAATCCTTTAAATTTTTTTCCTTAATAGTTATTTCACAGGTAGGATGTTTATTAGTAATTTGATTCACCCAGTAAGCTGCTTTGCCTTGTTTATTCGAGCTTCCAAATCCTCCTGTTCATTTAGTTCATAGCACAGGAGCTTCCAAATCCTCTTGTTCGTAGCACAGGAGCTGTGCTATGGGCTCTCCTGGCTCTGCTTTCCAGGGAACAGAAGTAGATATAACAATTTAAATTTCCCCATTGTAATCTGAATCAATGACTCCTGCATGTACTTGCACTCCTTTTAAATTTAAACTAGACCTACCTAGAAGTAATCCTACTGTCCCCACTGGCAAGGGGTGCCACAGACTCCTGTTGGCACTTTTTGCGGGGGTTCCTCAGGCAGAAAGCTCACAGGTTTTGTGCAGCATAAATCTACTACCAGCTATGGCAGGGGACAGGTATTGTATGGGGGTGAGGGAGTGGCCTGAGCTGGAAATGCCCCGGTTTGGAATGAGGCCTGGGACGGGCCCCTCATGGCGTTTCCTGAAATCGGGTTCCCATCTTCATCAAACTTAGAGTGACACTGATTAGCCCAGTGTTTTCGTTTTTTACATTTTGGACATATTTCAGGGTCAGCAGATTTCTTTTTTCCCCCAACTGGCAGCCTGACTTGCTGGTTTTTTCTACATTCTTTTTCAATATGATCATGCTTCCCCCAGTTAAAACAAGCTCCAGGAAGTGGAGTATTTCCTTTACCCACTTTCAGTCCTGCCATTGCCTGGGCTAGCAGAGTAGTCTTATGCAGATTACCTCCAATACCATCACAAGCTTTAATATAGTCAACCAAATGTGCTTTTCCCCTAATAGGTCACAGAGTGGCTTGGCACTCAGGATTGGCATTGTCAAAAACTAATAACCACAACACTACGTCCTGAGCAGCTGAATCTGCAATCACCTTTTTAAGAGACTCCTGTAATCTAGCTATAAAATCTGCATACAGTTCTTTCAGTCCCTGCTTGACAGCACTTGAAGGGTATTGTTCCCTGCCTGAAGTGATTTTTTTCCCAAGCTCTAATGCACACTCCTCTAAGCTGCTCTATGGCATCATCCCACATAACCACTTGTGCATCTAAACCACCCCAGCCACCGACTCCCAAAAGTTGGTCTGCAGTTATATTAATTTGAGGTTGGGCCTGGGCGTTGTGAGCAGCCTGGATGGAAGCTTCATCTGCCCACCAAGTTTTAAATTGTAAGAACTGAGCAGGAGTTAGACAAGCTCAAGTAAGTGCATTGTAGTCAGTAGGAATCATTTGACTGGAGACAGCAACATTCTTTAACAGTCCCATTACAAAAGGAGAACCTGGTCCATATTGATTAATAGCTTGTTTAAATTCTTTAAGTATTTTAAAAGGAAAAGGCTCAAATGTAGCCATCATATTCCCCTGTTGATCAGGTGGGTGTATTCTAACAGGGAACTGCCAAGCATCCATATCACACTCTCATCTAGCTTGCTGGATTCCTGCCTGAATAGAACCGAGAGCAGTTGCTTGAGGCGCTGCTCGAACAGTCACTAGGGCAACTACTTTTTGTCCAGTGTCCTCTGGAAAAGAAAGACCTGGAGGGTGAGGCCACTCTTTTTCTTCAAAATGATGAGGGGGTGTAGACGGGTAGGGACAAACCTCTCCCTCCTTTGCTGCTTTAGCTGGCAAGGAAACCTTCTCTGTCACTTCTTCTGTACTTCATTACACTCCCCTTCTTCCTCTGATTCCTCTTCCTTATCATCTGTGTGGAAAGGCTCCAAGGTGGAATGAACCAGAGCCCACACTGACCAGACAGTTATAGGAATATCCTCAGCGCCATCCTTATATGACTTCTTCAGTGTGCTGCCTACCTTTTCCCAGACCTCTACATTCATAGTTTCTCAGTCCGGATACCAGGGGCAATATTTCTCTACCACACTAAAAACCTGCATGAGTCAGCTAGTGCTAACCTTTACTTTTCCTTTTCTGAGGAGCTGCTGAAGGAGACTCAAATAAGCCTCGTGTCTGCTCGACCCTTGTCCCATTGTTACCCTGATGCTTCTGAGCTCCCCTTCTTACTCACCGCAGGGATTGCTTAAGAGTACTTGGGTGTTCTCCAGTGTAGTTCCACGTTCTCCAGCCGTCACTCTGGTGACCCTTCGACAAGGGTTTGAGCCCCATGTTAGGCGCCACTTGCTCAGACCAGCTCGGTCGTGGGGACCCTAACCTAGTGGCGCTAGAGGAATTAAATACACAGACACAAGAATAGACTGTAAAGTGTGATCAGGGGGCCAACAGCCTTCAGAGCTGAGAGCTGTGAACAGAGTTTGACCCACATTTTATTGACAGCAAGCCAGTGATAAGCATTGTTTCTATAGATTATAGATTAACTAAAAGCATTCCTTACAGGAAACAAAACATTCTTAGCAAGGATTAGAGAAACAGGCTCTGGCTGATTATCTGCAGCAAAAACGTGTTGTTAAGGCACAGGCTACTCATCCTATTGTTTGTGGTTTGAGCAGTTTTCTACTTTGGGCAGGCCAGGTGTTCCTTGCCCTTCTCCAGTAAACCAACAACTTTTAGCAGTGTGCGTCATAGCCATCATGAGCACATTTCATTGCTGCAGAAATCCTATTTATGGCCAGCTTCTTTAAAGCCTGTTTATGACAGGCTTAGGGCCTGTTGCCAGCACCGCAGTCCTTCTAACCTCACTTAGATTCCATCTCCCGTTACCCAGTGACATGAACTGGGGATGAGGCTTCACTGGGCATGGTTCTGGGAAGGGCTCACTCCCTAGCATGGATGGAGATGGGGTGCGGGCCCCATGGTGTTAGAGCTGTTGGGCAGTAGGGATTGTTCAGGGGCCACATCTGACTTCACCGTCACCTCTCTGTAGACCAGAAGCTGCACGTGGAAGTCATGTATTATGCACAAGCACCTAGTAAATTCTAGGAAAGGAGTGAAGGAAGGAAAACGTTTTCTGCTTGATTTTTTTCTTCTTTTTTTTTTTTTTTTTGAGACCGAGTCTTGCTCTGTCATCCAGGCCAGAGTACAGTAGCGCAATCTCGGCTCACTACAACTTCTGTCTCCCTGGTTCAAGCAATTCTTGTGCCTCAGTGTCCCGAGTAGCTGGGATGTCAGGTGCCCACCACCACGCCCAGCTAATTTTTGTATTTTTATTAGAGATGGGGTTTCAACATGTTGTCTAGGCTGGTCCTGAACTCCTGAGCTCAGGTGATCCACCCACCTCAGCTTCCCAAAGTGCTGGGATTATAGGCGTGAGCCACTGTGCCCAGCCTTCCTGCCTGATTTTTACTACAGTTGAAGCTAAACGCCTTTCCCAGTTTTTTATGTCTACCTTGGTTCAGGGAGGACGTTCTCTCATCATTCTCAGCATGTGCCTCTCACAGAGACCGATTTTCCTTTGGGGAGTCTCCTGCACCAGCTGTGTTAAGCAAAAAATGTGATAATTTTGCTCAGAGATTGGAGCAGATTTTTTTTTTTGTCAGAGAGGAGGAAATCATATTCTTGTCCACGAATTATTATTATCATTTTTTCAACATCAAATTATGTATAAATTTGTCTTATAGGAAAACTCCAAATGTACAGGTTAGGCCATCAAATACAAAACATTCCCTGTCCTAAATGTCTATGTGACATGTAAATAATTGTTATGGGAGGGAGCCTTCCACCCTCTCTCAGTCTCACTGGGACCCACTCCTGTCACCTCTGTCAGGAGTGAGAGCAAGTCCTGTAGAATTATATGTATACAGCATTGTGGTGTTTTAAGTAAAATTCTCAGTGATTGTTTTATGATACTTTATTCTGTAAGTTGTGAAAATTTACTCCTTTACAACTTCATGTGAACGTTCTCTGAATTAACAATCAGTCACCTCTCTGTTTTTAGTGTCTGGCTTGGTTCAGGGAAGATGCGCTCTGGTCAGCCCAGCTGGAGACTCTGGAGGTCCCTCGCCTTGTCTGGGATGTGTCCTCTCTGGGCTTTGCTTGTTACCTCCTCACTGAAGGGGGTGACCAGGTTCTGCTGAGGAGTGTCCCTTTCTGCACCTGCTCTTCAGCCTGTGTGGGGCAATAGGAAGCTGGGGTCTGCACTGTCACCTGGTGTCTGCCTGCATTACTGCTGGCTCTGGTTTATACTGGTGCCTTTGTTCTCAGTGGCTTCCTGACCTGGGGCCCTGTTACTTCAATGCTTATGTTCAGACAAGACAGAAACTTGTCCCTTAGGCAGTTCCCTGAAAAGTCAGAAGGTTGGATAGACATTCCCATTGTTTTCCTCTCTCAGGAGATATCTGGAGTTTGTGGTATCCTCTGGATGATGGCATGTCATGCCTGGGCAGGGGTTCTGGTGGGCGTGTGTCACATTTTCACACTCAGCTCCCAGTAGGTTGACTTGGTACTGGTGCATCTCTGGGTGCAGCCTCCTGAGTGGCTTCTGGATTTCTCACAAAAGTCAGTTGGCCCACGTATTCTTGTTTAATTTGTGTCCACATGGATTCAAAATGGTCCGGGGCTTCCTATTCCTCTGTCTTGCTGACATTACTCTTTTAGTAGAGTTGCAGATTTCTAACACAGGTCTGGAATGTCTTCTAGTTAGGGGCCATTTCCTAAGGGAGATGTCAGATGTTTCTTTCCTGTATGTGTCATTTTATAAATAATGCTGCTAAAGAAGGAAATTTTTTTCAATATATTTTTTTCTTTTTTTTAAATTTATTTTCTTCTTTTAATTCATTTTTCTTTCTTTCTTTTTGAGACAGAGTCTTGCTCTGTCACCCAGGCTGGGGTGCCGTGGCAGGATCTCAGCTCACTGCAACTTCTGTCTTCTGGGTTCAAGCAATTCTCATGCCTCAGCCTCACAAGTAGCTGAGATTACAGGCACCCACCACCATGCCCAGCTAATTTTTTGTATTTTTAGTAGAGATGGGGTTTCACCATGTTGGCCAGGCTGGTCTCGAACTCCTGACCTCAAGTGATCCGCCTGCGTTGGCCTCCCAAAATGCTGGGATTACAGGCATGATCCCAGCACTGCACCAGGCTAATATATTCTTATTAGTTAATATGTTAAAATGACATTCTTTGTCTTGGTTAAAATAATTTTGTTAATTATATACATTTTTAAATCCAGCTTTTTCCTGCCTCCAACCCCAACTAATTTTTTTTTTTTTAACCTCTCTTTCTGGCCCCTGCCCAGGCATCCTGTGCAGTGGTGATTGGCTGCAGCACAGACCAGCCCCCTTTTCCCTGCCTTAAAGTCAAGGAAATGTCTGCCATGTTTACTGCTGATTATCATGTTTCATGAGACGTTCTTGCTTAATGATATGGTTGTTTTTGTTTTCAAATTTTATTTTTGTCCTTGTTTTTAATTATCTAGTAATTTCTTAAGATGTATACTGCTAGCCGGTCATGGTGGCTCATGCCTGTAATCCCAGCACTTTGGGAGGCCGAGGCGGGTGGATCACGAGGTCAGGAGATCGAGACCATCCTGGCTAACACAGTGAAACCCTGTCTCTACTAAAAATACAAAAAAAAAAATTAGCCGGGCATGGTGGCGGGCACCTGTAGTCCCAGCTACTTGGGAGGCTGAGGCAGGAGAATGGCGTGAACCCGGGAGGCAGAGCTTACAGTGAGCCAAGATCACGCCACTGGACTCCAGCCTGGGTGACAGAGCGAGATTCCGCCTCAAAAAAAAAAAAAAAAAAAAAAGATGTATACTGCTGAGATATTTTCTGTGACTTATTTTGTTGAATTATTATATCATATTAATAAATTTTCTGTCATGTATTAATGTTTTATTAATGGAATATATTGATAAACCCCATTGGGCTTTTGTAAATACCAAATAGATAAATTTTATGGACATAATTATTATATTTATGTAAGTCAGGGTTGATCACATGTGTGTAGAATCCCAGCTTCTTGGGAAGCTGAGGCAGGAGCATCCCTTGAATGCAGGAGTTTGAGACCACCCTAGGCAACATACTGAAACCCCATCTCAATTTTTTAAAATATTATATATAATCATATTTTTTATATCAATAAAGATGGGATCTTTCTATGTTGCCCAGGCTGTTCTCAAACCCCTGTCCTCAAGCAGACCTCCCACCTTGGCCTCCCAAAGTGCTGGGATTACAGGTGGAGCCACCATGCCCAGCCTACATTTATATTTTTGAATCTGGGTATTTAATAGAGATTGGAGTTCAACTTTCTGTGTTTTTTCATGGTCTATCATTTTTTAATGGCTTAATATACAGCAATGTTTATAAACTCAATTGAGTACAATTTATACATTTTTGTTGTAAACATGCTGAAATGTACATAGCAAAAATAACAATGACAGGTGGGTGCAGTGGTACAAACCTTTAGTTCCAGATACTTGGGAGGCTGAGGAGGGAGAAACATTTGAGCCCCAGGAGTTCAAGGCCATAGTACACTGTGAATAAGCCACCTCCATGCAACCTGGACAACATAGTGAGACCCTGTCTCTAAAAATTAAAAAAAAAAGTGATGACAAATGTCATCTAAAAAATAGGTTATTGACAGACAACTCCTATTTCAGTTGATGTGTATAAGTGTATATGTGTGCTAGTGTATATGGGTCTAAGTGTACATATATATAAGTGTGGACCGTGATGCGTGTTCATGACTGCACAGATGAGCAAGCCTATGGTTTTATTAAAGACATGTCATCATTTTTATGTATTTTTTTAACAGTTGAAATTACATCTGAAATATTTTCCATGACCTCGGAAATTGTCGTACACCATCATGTTAATGAGTTGATGGCTGTGAATAGTAACATGGGATACATGTGTGTACTCATATATAATTTTTTTTTTTTTTTTGACAGAGTCTCTGTTTGTCACCAGGCTGGAGTGCAGTGGCGCGATATTGGCTCACTGCAATCTCGGCTCACTGCAATCTCTGCCTCCCAGGTTCAAGTGATTCTCCTGCCTCAGCCTCCTGAGTAGCTGGGATTAAAGGCACGTGCCACCATGCCCAGCTACTTTTTGTATTTTTTAGTAGAGACTGGGCTTCACCACGTTGGTCAGGCTGGTCTTGATCCCCTGACCTTGTGATCCACCCGCCTTGACCTCCCAAAGTGCTGGGATTACAGGCATGAGCCACCATGCCCAGCCATAATGACCTTTTATGAAGGTCCATGATTTTATCCCTAAACTTGTTTTAACTTTTTTCTTAGGTAATTGTCAATTTACTTTTGATGCTGATCTGTTCATTGTTTGATTCTTTTGGTTTGGTTCTAATGCCCGGACGCCTGGGATCTGGTGCTTACTTTGCTGTTTTTAGTCCTTACACCTGGGGCGAGTTTCTTAGGGTATCTGTGACACAGTTGTCTTCTCAGTAAGACAGGGACAGGTCTTTCTTTCATGGGCTTTTGTTGTTATAGGAGTTAGTACATGTAAAGCATTTAGAATAGTGCCTGTCACATGGAAAGTGTTCAAAAGCTTCAGTCATTGCTATTGTTATCATCCCAGTTTTATAATTCTTTTTTTTTTTGAGACAGAGTCTCACTCTGTAGCCCAGGCTGTAGTGCAGTGGTGTGATGTTGGCTCATCGCAGCTTCTGCCTCCTGGGTTTAAGCAATTCTCTTGCCTCAGCCTCCTGAGTAACTGGGATTACAGGCACCCACCAGTACCCCCAGCTGATTTTTGTATTTTTAGTAGAGGTGGGGTTTCACCATGTTGGCCAGGATGGTCTTGAACTCCTGACCTCAAGTGATCTGCCCTCCTCGGCCTCCCAAAATGGTGGGATTACAGGCGTGAGCCACCGCGCCCAGCCTATAATTCTTTCTCTTTTTTTTTTTTTTTTTGTGAGATGAAGTCTCACTCTTTTCCCCCAGGATGGACTACAGTGGTGCAATCTCAGCTCACTGCAACCTCTGCCTTCCTGGTTCAAGTGATTCTTCTGCCTCAGCCTCCTGAGTAGCTGGGATTAACAGGTGCATACCACCACGCCCAGCTAATTTTTGTATTTTAATTAGAGACGGGGTTTCACCATGTTGGCCAGACTGGTCTCTAACTCCTGACCTCAGGTCATCTGCCCACCTCAGCCTCCCAAAGTCCTGGGATTACAGGCGTGAGCCACCATGCCTGGCCTATAATTCTTTTTTTTTTTTGAAGCCACTGTGGACATTGTCATCTCCAAAGACACCACTTGTCTTGTAGTGGTGGTGATATTGGTAGGTATTCAGATCAGGTAGATACTGAATATGACTTGGAGTGTCAAAAATAATAGCTAATGCTTCTATAGAGATAACCATGGGTTAATTTTTTATTTGCATTTCTTATATGTCCACAAAATGAGAAATCTATTTTGATTTTTAAAATATAACTTCTTTTGGAAAAGTATAATAAAACACAATTCACAGGCCAGGGTGGTGGCTCACACCTGTAATCCCAGCACTTAGGGAGGCTGAGATGTGTGGACAAGAGTTCAAGACCAGCCTGGCCAACGTGGTGAAATTCCATCTCTACTGAAAATACAAAAATTAGCCAGGTGTGATGGTGTGCACCTGTAGTCCCAGCTACTTGGGAGGCTGAGGCACAAGAATTGATTGAACCCAGGAGGCGGAGGTTGCAGTGAGCCGAGATTGCACCACTGCACTCCAGCCTGGGCAACAGAGTAAGACTCTGTCTCAAAAAAAAGAAAAAAAACACATTTACAGACACATAACTACATCACAGATACCTTAATGGGGATTCGTCAGAACATTCTCTTCAATCCAGTTAATCTTTACAACTCCCTTCTCATTTTGAGTGAAGATTAATACCCTTTACATATCCTGTTGGTGAAATGTGGTTTTCATTTTAGGGACACTTAACATTCAGGGACGTGGCCATAGAATTCTCTCAGGCGGAGTGGAAATGCCTGGACCCTGCACAGAGGGCTTTATACAAGGATGTGATGTTGGAGAACTACAGGAACCTGGTCTCCCTGGGTGAGGATCATGCCCCTGCAGAAGCCGGGATCTGCCCTTGGTTATTTCAGCATTTTCCCTTGTGTGCCTCCTGGGAGCCCCTGCATTGTTTGACTGACATTAAGCAGGAGAATCACTTGAACCTGGGAGGCAGAGGTTTTGGTGAGCCGAGATCACGTCATTGCCAGCCTGCCAACAGAGTGAAACTCCGTCCCAAAAAAAAAAAAAAAAAAAAAAAAACCAAAAAAACCCTTATTGACTCAGGCTGGGATCCGTGGCTCACACCTGTAATCCCAGCACTTTGGGAGGCCAAGGCAGGAGGATCACTTGAGGTCAGGAGTTTGAGACCAGCCTGGCCAACATGGTGAAACCCCATCTCTACTAAAAATACAAAAATTAGCCGGGCATGGTGGTGGGAGCCTGTAATCCCAGCTACTTGGAAGGCTGAGTCAGGAGAATCTCTTGAACCCGGGAGGTGAAGGTTGCAGTGAGCCGAGAATGCACCATTGCACTCCAGCCTGGGTAACAAGAGTGAAACTCCGTCTCATTAAAAAAACAAACAAACAAACAAAAAACTAAAAACCTTGTTGACTCAGAAATGAAAAGCTCCATAGTGTTTTCTGGAGTTGAAATGTCCTTTTTCTTCAGATGTTCTGTCCCCTTCATTATACATCATTGGGTGGTACCAGGGCGGAAGTATGCATAAAACCTTTTTTGTTTGTTTTTGAGATTGAGTCTTGCTCTGTTGCCCTGGCTGGAGGGCACGTGATCTTGGCTTACTGCAGCCTCTGCCTCCCAGGCTTAAGCAATTCGCCTTAGCCTCCCTAGTAACTGGGATTACAGGCACGTGCCACCACACCTGGCTAATTTTTCTATATTTCATTTTTACAATGTTGGCCAGGCTGGTCTCAAAGTCCTGGGCTCAAGCAATCCACTTGCCTCAGCCTCCCGAAGTGCTGGGATTACAGGCATGAGCCCCCGCACCCAGCTGCATAAAACCTTATGGCAAACTTTTCAGATACCCACTTCCCTGTTTTCTACTCCTGTGCTTTGTTTTATGTTTTGTTTTTTTTTTTTGAGACAGAGTGTTTCACTCTTGGAGGCTGGAGTGCAATGGCGCGATCTTGGCTCACTGCAACCTCCGCCTCCTGGGGTCAAATGATTCTCCTGCCTTAACTGCTCGAGTAGCTGGGATTAGAGGCATGTGCCACCATGCTTGGCTAATTTTTTTTTTGTATTTTTAGTAGAGACCGAGTTTCTCTGTGTTGGTCAGGCTGATCTCGAACTCCCGACCTCAGGTGATCCACCCGTCTCGGCCTCCCAAAGTGCTGGGATTACAGGTGTGAGCCACCACGCCCAGCCTCTACTCCTGTGCTTTATACTCAGTAGTTCTTGGAAAGGGGCTTGATGTCTGCATGTTATAATATTCCCTAAGCATTCAGAAGGAGGCAGTCTATGGATGAATTTGTGAAATATTATTCTTGATTCATTTGTGATATCCTGTCTCCTTCCTACACATAGGGCTTGGATTTTGGAGATGCTACAGCACATTTTGATTTTTTTTTTTACAAACAGGAATCTCTCTTCCTGACCTGAATATTAACTCCATGTTGGAGCAAAGGAGGGAGCCCTGGTCTGGTGAGAGTGAAGTGAAAATAGCAAAAAATTCAGATGGGAGGGAGTGCATCAAAGGTGTGAACACAGGTAAGAGCTCAGATGGGCATGGTGGAAGCCATGCTGTTGTTTGGGCTTTTTTTTTGTTTTGTTTTGTCTAGTTTTGGTTTTTTATGTTTGTATTTTTGTTTGTTTTGTTTTTGAGATGGAGTTTCACTGTCATGAAACAGAGCCTGAGAGACAGAGCGAGACTCAGTTTCAAATAAATAAATAATTTTTTTGTTTATTTGACTGGAGATCTTTCTTTCTCTCTCTCTCTTTCTCTTTCTTTCTTTCTTTCTTTCTTTCTTCCTTTCTTCCTTTCCTTTATTTGAGATGGAATTTTGCTCTATTGCCCGGGCTGAAGTGCAGTGGCGCTATCTCAGTTCATTGCAACCTCTGCCTCCCGGGTTCAAGGGATTCTGCTACCTCAGCCTTCCAGGTATCTATGATTATGGTCACCTGCACCATGCCTGGCTAATTTTTGTTTGTATTTTCAGTTAAGACAGGGTTTCACTATGTTGGCCAGGCTGGTCTCGAACTCCTGACCTTAAGTGATCTATCTGCCTCTGCCTCCCAAAGTGCTAGAATTACAGGCATGAGCTACCGCGCCCAGCTTCTTTTTGTTTTTCAGATACAGGGGTCTTGCTATGTTGATTTTGAACCCCTAGGCTTAAGCAATCCTCCTGCCTCAGCCTCCATAAGTACTCTGATTACCGGCATGAGCCATGATGCCTAGTCTTATTTTTTTATTTCGAATTTAGATTTAATTGATTTACCAGGAATATTTAACTAATTCCCCCGACAATTTCACTGTCTCCCCTCCCGCTTTCTTGTCTGTTTGTGTGAATTTCAGTATTTTGGATACTCAAATGGAATCACACAGTATTTGTCTTTTTATGACTGGCTTATCTCACTTAGCGTAGTGTCTTTCAGGTTCATCTATTTTGTAGCACATCAAGAAATTTGTATATTCTTTTAGGACTGAATAATATTCTTCTATTTGTCTGTACCACAGTTTGTTTAACTATTCATCCATTGGTGGACACCTGCATTGCGCCCACCTTTTTATTATTTTTGAATAATGCTGCTATGAACATGGGTTTTTGTTGTTGTTGTTTTTTGAGACAGTGTCTCACTGTCTCGCCCAGGCTGAAGTGCAGTGGCGTGATCTTGGCTCACTGCAACCTCCACCCTCTGGGTTCAAGCGATTCTCCTGCCTCAGCCTCCCAAACAGCTAGGACTACAGGTGCACACCACCATACCCAGCTAGTTTTTGTATTTTTAGTAGAGACAGGGTTTCACCATATTGGCCAGGCTCGTCTTGAACTCCTGACCTCATGATCTACCTGCCTCAGCCTCCCAAAGTGCTGGGATTATAGGCGTGAGCTATCGTGCCTGGCCTTGACCATGGGTTTTTAAGTATCTCTTCAAGATGCTGTGTTTACTTTCATTTTATTTTTCATTTGTTTGTTTGAGATGGAGTTTCGCTTTTGTTGCCCAGGCTGGAGTGCAATGGTGCAATCTCGGCTAACTGCAACCTCCACCTCCTGGGTTCAAGCAGTTCTCCTGCCTCAGCCTCCTGAGCAGCTGGGATTACAGGTGTGTGCCACCACGCCCAGCTAATTTTTGTATTATTAGTAGAGACAGGGTTTCACCATGTTGACTAGGCTGGTCTCGAACTCCTCACCTCAGGTGATCTGCCTGCCTAGGCCTCCCAAAGTAGTAACATTAAGGGTGTGAGCCAGTGCGCCTGGCCTTTTTCTTTTTTATCTTTATACCCAGATGTGGAATTGTTGCCTATACTGATCATTTGATTTTGGATTCTTTGAGAAAATGTCATACTTGTTTCCATAGTGACTGCACCATTTCAATTTTCCACCAACAGTGGCACAAAATTCTCCTATTTCTCCATATTTTCGACAACACTTGTGATTTTCTGGTGTTTCATTTTTTTCCCTTTTCTTGACAAAACGTATTCTATATGGGTGTGAGGTGATATTCTTTATTGGTGTGAGGAAAAATATTCAGTTTTCTATTTGCATTTCTCTCTAATGATTTGTGATATTTTGCATTTTCTTATATGGTCGTATATCACCTTTGGAAAAATGTGTATTTCTTTCCACATTTCTTAATTCGTTATTTGTTTTGCTTTGTAGGACTTATTTATATATTTTTATTTTATTATTTTAAATAATTATTTATTTATTTTTTGAGACGGAGTCTTGCTCTGTCACCCAGGCTGGATGCAGTGGCGTGATCTCGGCTCACTGGTACCTGCGCCTCCCAGGTTCAAGCAATTCTCCCACCTCAGCCTCCCAAGTAGTTGGGATTACAGGTGCACACCACCATGCCTGGCTAAATTTTTGTATCTTTAATAGAGATGGGGTTTCACTATGTTGGCCAGGCTGGTCTTGAACTCCTGACCTCAGGTGATCTACCTGCTGCAGCCTCTCAAAGTGCTGGGATTACAGGCATGAGCCACCACATCCGGCCTATATATATTTTAGATATTAAGTTTTTATCACAGATATGATATGCAAATATTTTCTCACATATGGTAGGTTTTCTTTACATTGTGGTAATTGTTTTCTTCTATCCACAATAGTTCTCAATTTTGTCATAGTGCATCGTGTGTATATTTACCTTCTTTCCTGTACTATCAATTTTATATCTGGGGAAATGTTGAATCCAATCTCATGAAGCTTTTTACCTATGGTTTTTTCTAGGAGTTTTATCGTTTTAGGTCATGAATAGACTTTAAGTTAATTTTTGCATGGGGTGTAAAGTAAGGGTTCAGCCTCATTCCTTTGCTTGTGGGCATCCTTTTTCTTCAGCACTATTTGATGAAGTGACTGTCCTTTCCTTGTTACATGGTCTTGACATTTTGATTGAACATTATTCTACCAAGTATTTGAGGGTTTGTTTCTGGCTTCTCTATTCTTGCTTTTTTTTTCATTTTTGCATGGGGGGATGGATTCTCGCTCTGTCATCCAAGCTGGAGTGCAGCAGTGAGATCTTGGCTCACTGCAACCTCTGCCTCCTGGGTTCAAGTGATTCTCCTGCCTCAGCCTCCCGAGTAGCTGGGATTACAGGCATGTGCCACCATGCCTGGCTAATTTTTGTATTTTTAGTAGAGATGGGGTTTCACCACGTTAGTCAGTCTGGTCTCAAACTCCTGACCTCAAGCAATCTGCCCGCCTCGGCCTCCCAGAACCCTGAGATTACAGGTGTGAGCCACCACACCTGGGTCATTTTTTACTTTAATGGAGAATTTTATCCTCTCATTTGGGTTACCAGTACTGTCTGGAATCCTTTTATTTCATTTTGAAGGGCTCCCTGTAGCATTTCTTGTTGGACAGGTCTAGAGTAGTAATGAACTTTCTTAGCTCTTCTTTATCGAGGAAAATCTAAATTTCTCCTTTATTTTTGCAGGTGACTTTTGCTAAATATAGTATTCTTGGTTGATTTTAAGCACTTTCAATATGTCATCTCACTGCCTTCTGGCAGGCAAAGTTTCCGCTGGAGAAAGTACATAGTCTTATACCTTTTCCTCTAAATGGCAAATATCTTTTTTGTTGCTCCTGTCAAAATTCTTCCTCTGTCTTTGATGTTTGATAATTTGCTTATAATGTATCTCTGTGTGAATGTCCTTGGGTTCATTTTAATTTGAATGGTCAAGCTTCTTGAATTGTATATTCAGGTCTTTCTTCAGAATTGGGATTTGGACAATTATTTGGACATTATTTCTTCAGTTGCAATTTCTGATCCTCTGTCTTCTCCTTGTGAACCTCTAATAATTTGTATGTTGTTGTGCTTGAGAGCATCCGAAAAATGTATTAGCGTTTATTTGCTTTTCTTCTCTGTTTTTTGTTTTTGGTCTTTGTAGCTGATACTGTGTTTTTTTTTTTTTTTTTTTTTTTTAAATTAGAGTCTTGCTCTGTAGCCCAGGCTGGAGTGTAATGGCTCCATCTTGGCTCACTGCAATCTCTGCCTCCCAGGTTCAAGCGATTCTCCTGCCACAGCCTCCTGAGTAGCTGGGATTACAGGTGCATGCCCCCATGTCCATCTAATTTTTGTATTTTTAGTAGAGACAGGCTTTCACCATGTTGGTCAGGCTGGTCTCAAACTCCTGACCTAGTGATCCTCCTGCCTTGGCCTCCCAAAGTGCTGGGATTACAAGCGTGAGCCACTGTGCCTGGTGGAGCTGATACTTTTGAATAACTGACCTTTAAGTTTGCTCATTCTTTTTGGTGCTCTATCCATCTGCTGTTGAGCACCTAATGAATTTTTACTTTATTTATTGTGTTTCAGCTCCAGAATGTTTTTTGTTTCCTCCTTTGTTTAATATCCTCCTTCTCATGTATTGTTTTTCTGATTTCATTTAGTTGTCTATCTCTCCTTGATATCTTTTAGCTCATTAAGAATCTTAAGGCAGTTGCTTTAAATATTTGTCAAGGGCCAGGTGCAGTGCCTCATGCCTGTAATCCCAACACTTTGGGAGGCCAAGGCAGGAGGATCACTTGAGCCAAGGAGTTCGAGACCAGTCTAGGCAATATCACGAGCCCTTGTCTCTAAAAGAACACAGAAAAAACTTGCTGAGGCTGGATGTGGTGGCTCACGCCTGTAATCCCAGCACTTTCGGAGGCTGAGGTGGCCGGATCATGGTCAGGAGTTCCAGACCAGCCTGGCCAACATGGTAAAACCCCATCTCCACTAAAAATACAAAAATTAGCTGAGCATGTTGGCCGGCACCTGTAGTCCCAGTTACTCGGGAGGCTGAGGCAGGATAATTGCTTGAACCTGGAGGTGGAGGTTGCAGTGAGCTGAGATTGCATCATTGTACTCCAGCCTGGGCAACAAGAGCAAAACTCCATCTTAAAAACAAACAAAAGAAATAACAAAAAACCCCAAAACTTGCTGAATGTGGTGGTGCATGCCTGTAGACCCAGCTACTCAGGAGGCTGAAGCAGGAGAGATCGCTTGAGCTGGGGAAGTAGATGCTGCAGTGAGCTACACTATACCACTGCACTCCAGCCTGGACGATAGAGTGAGACCCTGTCTTAAATAAATAAATAAATAAATATTTGTCTAGTAATTTAGAGAGCTGCCTGTCTTTTTCTAGGTTTGGCTTTATTTATTTTTTAGCCATATTTCTCTTTCCTTTCATAGGCCTTGTAATTTTTGGATTAGGTTTGGTAAAATAACTGCTTCTCTCAGTTGTTTTGTATAAGACTTGGTCAGAGGGAGATCTTTTCTAATTAGCCTGTTGTAAAGGGTGTGGGAACACTCACTCCTTTTCTGGGGATGTGCCTTTCCTAGCTTTGTGCATGTACTGTTATTATGTATACTGCTTCTCTTGAGTGTCTTATTTTCCCTAGAGACTTGTCCCTTCTTTTTCTCAGAAGGTTTCAATTCCTGTTCTATCTCTCTACTCATAATCCCTCTCAAACTCACCTGTAATCCTCCTGACTCCTACAGATTTCCCAGAACTCCAGTGCATCACCTTACCCTTTTCTATTTTCAGCACAACCAGCGTGATGTACAAAGTGTGCTGATATTTCTTCCAATGTCTGAGTCAGATGAGGCAGATTCTAGTATTTTCATCAGACTCTAAACATGCCAGAATTATGGGGTCTGAATTTTACTTTTTTCTTGCTTTCCTAGGGAGCAGCTATGCATTGGGAAGCAATGCAGAAGACAAACCAATTAAAAAACAACTTGGAGTATCCTTTCACTTACATCTGTCTGAACTGGAGCTATTTCCAGATGAAAGGGTAATAAATGGATGTAATCAAGTTGAAAACTTTATCAACCACAGTTCCTCTGTTTCCTGTCTTCAAGAAATGTCTTCCAGTGTCAAAACCCCCATTTTTAATAGGAATGATTTTGATGATTCTTCATTTCTCCCACAAGAACAGAAAGTACACCTTAGAGAAAAACCTTATGAATGTAATGAGCATAGCAAAGTCTTTAGAGTATCTTCCAGCCTTACTAAACATCAAGTAATCCATACTGTAGAGAAACCTTACAAATGTAATTCATGCGGCAAGGTCTTTAGTCGCAATTCACACCTTGCAGAACATTGTAGAATTCATACTGGAGAGAAACCTTACAAATGTAATGTCTGTGGCAAGGTTTTTAGTTACAATTCAAACTTTGCACGACATCAAAGAATTCATACCAGAGAGAAGCCGTATGAATGTAATGAATGTGGTAAAGTCTTCAGTAATAATTCTTACCTTGCACGACATCAAAGAATTCATGCTGAAGAGAAACCTTACAAATGTAATGAATGTGGTAAAGGCTTCAGTCATAAGTCATCTCTAGCAAATCATTGGAGAATTTATACTGGAGAGAAGCCTTACAAATGTGATGAATGTGGCAAGGCCTTCTATAGGATTGCGCTCCTTGTACGACATCAGAAAATTCATACTGGAGAGAAACCTTACAAATGTAATGAATGTGGAAAGGTCTTTATTCAAAATTCGCACCTAGCACAACATTGGAGAATTCATACAGGAGAGAAACCTTACAAATGTAATGAATGTGGAAAAGTATTTAATCAACTTTCAAATCTTGCACGACATCGAAGAATTCATACTGGAGAGAAGCCTTACAAATGTAATGAATGTGGTAAAGCATTTAGTGAGTATTCAGGCCTTTCAGCCCATCTTGTAATCCACACTGGAGAGAAGCCTTACAAATGTAGTGAATGTGGCAAGGCATTCAGACACAAGTTATCACTAACCAATCATCAGAGAATCCATACTGGAGAAAGACCTTACAAATGTAATGAATGTGGCAAGGTCTTCAATCGAATTGCACACCTTGCACGACATCGGAAAATTCATACTGGAGAGAAACCTTACAAATGTAATGAGTGTGGCAAGGCCTTTAGTCGCATTTCATACCTAGCACAACATTGGACAATTCATATGGGATAGAAACTACAAATGCAACAAATGCGTCAAAGAATTTAGTGTGCACTCAAGCCTTACTACCCATCTTTTATTCCATACTGCAAAGAAATTTTGCAAATGTAAAGAATATGACAAGGTCTTCAAACACAAGTTTTTCTAATAACTCATTAGAGAATTTATACTGGAGAGACTTCACAATTATAATAAATGTGTGGAAAAGTCTTCAAAAAAATTTCACACCTTGCAAAAGGAGATCTAAAAAACACAATCAGAAATGACAAAGGGGACATTACCACCAACCCCACAGAAATACGAAAAACCCTCAAAGATTACTATAAACACCTGTATGCACACAAACTAGAAAACCTAGAAAAAATTAATAAATTCCTTGAAAGATATAACCCCCCAAGATTGAACCAAGAAGAAATTGCATCCCTGAACAGACCAATAATGAGTTCCAAAATTTAATCACTAATTAAAAATCTATCAAACAAAACTCTGGACCAGACAGATTTATAGTTGAAGCCTACGAGATGTATAAAGAAAAGCTGTTACCAATCTTACTGAAACTGTTCAAAAACATGGATGCAGAGGGACTCCTCCCTATCTGATTCTATGAGGCCAGCATCATTCTAATACCAAAACCTGACAGGCACAATGAAAAAAGAAAACTTCAGGCTGGTACTCCTGACGAATATAGGTGCCAAAATCCTCAGCAAAATACTAGTAAACCAAATCCATCTGCACATCAAAAAGCTAATCCAACATTATCAAGCAGGCTTTAGTGTTGGGCTGCAAGGTTGGTTCAGTATACACAAATCAATAAATGTGATTTATCACATACACAGAACTAAAAACAAAAACCACATGACCATGATCATCTCTTTAGATGCAGAAAGGTTTTTAATAAAATTCAACATCCCTTCATTTTAAAAACCCTCAACAAATTACACATTGAGGGAACATACTTCAATAAGAACCATCTATGCTGGACTCACAGCCAAATTAATACTGAACAAGCAAAAGCTGGAAGCATTCCCCTTGAGAACTGGAAAATGACAGGGATGACCACTCTCACCACTCCGATTCAACATAGTACTGGAAGTCCTAAGCTTAGTGATCAGGCAAGATAAAGATATGAAAGGCATATATAAATAGGAAGAGGGGAAGTCAGTTTCTCTTGCAGAAGATATAATTCTGTATTTAGAAAACCTGTTGTCTCTGCCCAAAGGCTCCTAGATCTGATAAACAACTTCAAAAAAGTTTCAGGATACAAAATCTGTGTACAAAAATTAGTTGCATTTCTATACACCAGTAATGTCCAAGCTATGAACCAAATCAAGAATGGAATCCCATTCACAGTAGCCACAAAAAGTATAAAATACCTAGGAATACAGCCAACCAGGTAAGTGAAAGATTTCTACAATGAGAATTACAAAGCAGTGCACAAAGAAATCAGAAACAATAAAAATTGAAAAATATCTCATGCTCATGGATAGGAAGAATCAGTATTGTTAAAATACTGCCCAAAGCAATTTACAGAGCCAATGCTATTTCTATCAAACTACCAATGGCATTTTTCACAGAATCAGAAGAAAACATTCTGAAATTTATTTGGAACCAGAAAAGCCCAACCTAAATAGCAAAAGCAATCCTAAGCAAAAAGAGCAATGTTTGAGGTATCACACTACCCAACTTTAAACCATACTACAAGGCTACAGCAACTAAAACAGCATGGTACTGGTATAAAAAAAGACACATAGATCAATGGAATAGGTAAGAGAACCCAGAAATAAAGGCATATACCTACAACCATGTGATCCTCAACAAAACTGACAAGCAATGAAGTAAGAACTTCATTCAATAAGTGGTGCTGGCATAACTGGCTAGCCATATGCAGGATATTGAAACTGGACCCCTATCCTTCACGATATACAAAAATCAACTCAAGATGGATTAAAGACTTAAATATAAAACCTAAAAGTATTAAATTCCTAGAAGAAAACCCAGGAAATGCCATTCTGGACATAAGTGCTGGAAAAGACTTAATGATGAACACCCCAAAGCAATTGCAACAAAAACAAAAATTGACAAGTGGGACCTAATTAAACTAAATAACTTCTGCACAGCAAAAGAAGCTATTTGCAGACTACAGAATGGGAGAAAATGTTTACAAACTGCATCTGACAAAGATCTAATCCAGAATCTATAAAGAACTCAAACAAATCAACAATGAGAAAAACAACCCCATTAAAAACTGGGCAAAGGCCATGAATAGACCTTTCTCAAAAGAATACATACATGTGGCAATAAGCATATGAAAAAAATGGTTAATATCGCTAATCATTAAGGAAATGCAATCAAAGCCACAATGAGATACCATCTCAGACCTGTCTGAATGGGTATTATCAGAATGGGTATTATTAAAAAATCAAAACATAGATGCTAGTGAGGCTGCAGAGAAAAGCAAATACTTATACACTGCTGGTGGGAATGTAAATTAATTCAGCCATTGTGGAAAGCACTGCAGCGATTTCTCAAAGACATAAAAGAACATAGCATTCAACCCAGCATCCCATTACTGGGTGTATACCTAAAGGAATATAATCATTCCACCATAAAGACAAACACTTGTATGTTCATTGCAGCACTATTCTCAATAGCAAAGATGTGGAATCAACGTAAATGCCCATCAGCAGTAGACCAGATAAAGAAAATTTGGTACATATACACCATGGAATACTATGCAGCCATAAAAAAGAACAAGACTGTGTCCTTTACAGCAACATAGATGGAGCTGAGGCTCTTATCCTAAGTGAATTAATGCAGGAACAGAAAATGAAATATCCCATGTTCTCACTTATAAGTGGGAGCTAAACATTGATTACACATGGACTCAAAGAAGGGAACAGTAGACACGGGCTTATGGGTGGAGGTTGGGAAGAGGATGAAGATTGAATAACTGCCTGTTGGGTACTATGCTGATTACCTGGGGACAAAATTAACTGTACACCAAACTCCTGCAACATGCAGTTGACCCATGTACAC
The DNA here is from genome assembly GCF_000001405.40 of Homo sapiens. NCBI lineage: Eukaryota > Metazoa > Chordata > Mammalia > Primates > Hominidae > Homo > Homo sapiens. The sequence goes on from NC_000019.10 coordinate 52,325,883, forward strand.
ATACTCCTTGAACCTAAAATAAAACATGAAAAAAAGCAAATTTCACACCTTGTAAAACATCAAGGAATTTATATTGCAAAGAAACCTTACAAATGTATGTAGCAAAGCATTTAGTGTGCCTTCAAGTCTTAATATTCATCAGGTAATCTGTAATGCAGAGAAACCTTACAGTTGTAATGGATATGGGGCTGGGCATAGTGGCTCACTCCTGTAATCCCAGCACATTGGGAGACCAAGGTAGGTGGATCACCTGAGGTCAGGAGCTCAAGACCAGCCTGGCCACCATGGTGAAAACCTGTCTCTACTAAAAATACAAAAATCAGTTGGGCATGGTGGCATGCACCTGTAATCCCAGCTACTCAGGAGGCTGAGGCAGGAGAATCACTTGAACCTGGGAGGCAGAGGCTGCAGTGAGTAGAGATGAAGCCACTGCACTCCAATCTGGGCGACAGAGTGAGACTCTGTCTCAAAAAACAAACAAAAAAGATGTGGCAAGGTCTTTACTCAGAATTCAAACCTTGCAAATCATCACAGAATCCATGCTGGAGAGCAACCTTACAAATGCAACATGCGTGGTAAGGTCTTTAATCAGAATTCACACCTTCCACAGCATCAGATAATTCATTCACGAGAGTCCTTATAGAGTATGGAAAACTCTTCATTATGAGTTCTTATATTAATCAGCGCCAGAGTGTCGTACTAGAGAGAAATCATATAAATGTATGTGACACAGGCTTTATCCAGCCCCACCAAGTCACTGGACGTCAACACATACATCTTTGAGGAAACCATAGGCTGGGCGCAGTGGCTCACACTTGTAATCCCAGCACTTTGGGAGGCCAAGGTGGGCGGATCACTTGAGGTCAGGAGTTCAAGACCAACCTGGCCAACATGGTGAAACCCCATCTCTACTAAAAACACAAAAATTAGCTGGGCATGGTGGAATGCACCTGCAATCCTAGCTACTGGGGAGGCTGAGGCAGGATAATCACTTGAACCCAGGAGGTGGAAGTTGCAGTGAGCTGAGATTGGGCCATTGCACTCCAGCCTGGGAAACAGAGTGGGACTCTGTCTCGGGAAAAAACAAAACAAAACCATAAAGATGGATTGTGGATTGTGGATGCAAAGGGTATTAATCAAGGACCATAACTATTGAACATGAGAGCACTGAGCATTTACAGAAGAAATAACTCAGTCTCTAGTACTTCCGTATTAATATATGACATAGCATGTTGCAGAAAAATTACAAGCCAAAAGATACCAAGCCTCATGATGCAAGGGTATGTGGAAATTGCGATTTTTATTCAGGTTATTAAAATATTTAATTCCTTGGGAGTTTTGGAAAGGCTACTTTACTCTTTATGACTTTCAGCCTAAACTTAAAACTCTCATTATGTGCTTTTCCTACAGGCCTTTCACTGTGGTCTCTGGGAAAGAATCAACAGCATGACAGGGCTGATTTTATTAGCTGGGGAGCATTTCTATCCAGTTTCCTGGAAGAAGGACATTGCCTTTTCAGGTTAAATATTGTTTGATTTAGACAGCATGGAGGTGAGCAGAGAATAACAAAACTATGTATCAGTCATCCTACTTACTGTGTTCAGCAAACCTTTTTCCTGACAGGCACAGTGCTATAAACCTGTACAGCAGGTTACACTACTGAATACTGTAGGCAATTGTAGTAAAATGGAAAGTATTTCTGTGTCTAAACATAGAAAAGTTACCATAAGAATACCATATGAGGCCGAGCGTGGTGGCTAATGCCTATAATCCCAGCACTTTTGGAGGCTGAGGTGGGCAGATCACCTGAGGTTGGGAGTTCAAGACCAGCCTGACCAACGTGGAGAAACCCTGTCTCTGCTAAAAGTACAAAATTAGCCAGGCATGGTGGTGCCTGCCTGTAATCCCAGCTACTCGGGAGGCTGAGGCAGGAGAATTGCTTGAACCTGGGAGGTGGAGGCTGTGGTGAGCCAAGATCACCCCACATTAAATACCATATAAAAGAAACAAAGTGCACCTATATAGGGCACTTACCATGAGTGGAGCTTCCAGAACTGGAAGTTACTCTGGGTGAGACAGTGAGGAGTAGTGAGTGAATGTAGAGGCCTAGGACACACTCCACACTACTGTAGGCTTTAGAAACACTGTACACAGCTGGGCACGGTGGCTCACGCCTGTAATCCCAACTCTTTGGGAGGCCGAGATGGCTGGATCACAAGGTCAGGAGTTTGAGACCAGCCTGACCAACATGGTGAAACCTTGTGAACACTAAGATTACAAAAAAATTAGCCGGGTGTGGCGGCGCATGCCTGTTATCTCAGATATTCAGGAGGCTGAGGTGAGAGAATCACTTGAATCCAGAAGGCGGAGGTTGCAGTGAGCCAAGATCATGACATTGCACTCCAGCCTGGGTGACCGAGCAAGACTCCATCTCAAAAAAAAGAAAAGAAAAAAAAAAACAAAACACTGTACACTTAGGCTATACTAAATTTATTTTTTAAAAATAAAGTAATTGTGCTGTGATGTTACCATGGCTGCAGTGTCACTAGGCATTAGGGATTTTTCAGCTCCATTGTAATCTTATGGTACCACCATTGTATATGTGGTCAGTAGTTGACCAAAACATCATTATGTGATGCATGACTACTTATTTTCACTGATGTCCTTTGCCATTTTAAAGTGATGGAGGTCTTTGTACCATAATATGTTAGGCTAAGTAATGGGTTTCTGAAACATGTTAAGAGACAAAATACTGTAAGACTGAAGTTAAATTATTACTGATTACATATCATATAATGGATTAATAATGAAGGAATATTTAATTTAGGAATAATGTAATTATTGAAATTGACTGGGCTGGGGGCAGTGGCTCACACCTGTAATCCCAGTACTTTGGGAGGCCGAGGCAGGCAGATTATGAGGTCAGGAGTTCAAGACCAGCCTGACCAACATGGTGAAACCCCATCTCTACTAAAAATACAAAAAAATTAGCTAGGTGTGTTGGTGGGTGCCTGTAATCCCAGCTACTCAGGAGGCTGAGGCAAGAGAATCACTTGAACCCAGGAGACAGAGGTTGCAGTGAGTCAAGATCACGCCACTGCACTCCAGCCTCAGTGACAGAGTGAGACTCCATCTCAAAAAAAAAAAAAAAAATGAGGAAAAGACAAACACTAAAAGTGGCATCTAGATTTTTTTTTTTAAGATGGGGTCTTTCTCTGTGGTCCAGGCTGGAGTACAGTGGCGTGAACACAATCCATTGTTGCTTCAGCCTCCCAGACTCCCAAGTAGCAGGGACCACAGCCGTGCACCACCATACCTGGCTAATATTTATTTATTTAGTAGAGACAGAGTGTTGCTATGTTGCCAGGCTGGTTTAGAACTCCTGGGCTCAAGGGAGCCTCCGACCTTGGTCTCCCAAAATGCTGGGATTGCAGGCATGAGCCACCATCCACCAGATTTTTTTTTTCTTTTCTTTTTAACAGAGAACTATCACAAGATACATCTGAACCTGCAAACTGCCAATTCCCAGATTTTTTTCATCTGAAACTCATCATAATGCTAACTTTTCTACAAACAGATATTGCCTAAGGCCAAGAGGGATAATAGTTTCACTATAATCAGCAGACCTCAGATATTTTCTGTGGATAGTACTGTATCCATGAAGCATATGATATGCCCACCTTTCAGAAAAAAAATAAGTTATTTATATTGCAGCCATTGCCTCTCAGACATTCAGTTTTTTGATATAATTGTCACATAGTTATATTTATTCATCATGACATGAAAAGAGGCTCTATACTGACACCTCTATTATCCTGAAAATCATGTTTGTAATTTTTGTAGGCTGGATAAACTTCACAACTACAATTGCAGTGTGATTTAAATATCAGATAATAGTATAGAATAAAACATCAACCATCACCACAAGTGTGGATTACATTAAATTACTGTCAGAGGTATTAGGGATTTGTATAGACGGGAGGACCAAGTGCTCCAGATTATTTCAGCAACTCATTGGGATGTAGCTCTGGACTAGTTTAAAATTTTTTTTTTTTTTTTTTTGAGATGGAGTCTCACTCTGTCACCCAGGCTGGAGTGCAGTGGCGTGATCTCAACTCACTGCAACCTCCACCTCCTGGGTTCAAGTGATTCTCCTGCCTCAGCCTCCCAAGTAGCTGGGACTACAGGCACACGCCACCACACCCAGCTAATTTTTGTATTTTTAATAGAGATGGGGTTTCACAATGTTTGCCAGGATGGTCTCGATCTTGACCTTGTGATCCACCTGCCTCGGCCTCCCAAAGTGCTAGGATTACAGGTGTGAGCCGTCACACCCAGCTGGACCCGTTTTTATGAAGAATTTTCTGACATAAGCACTTCTCCAGATTCCTGAAGGCCTCCTTACCTTCACAGATGCGCCTCTCAGAACAAAATAGAAAATACTCACCAGACTCTTTTCTGCTCCCAGGATGGTGGGCTCAGTGTGAAGGTTATAACAGCCAGTATATCTGTGAGAGGGAGACAGCCAGGCCCTGAGATAAAGGTTTGTGATTCTGCGACCTCACCTCCCCGAAGAACCACAGTTATTAGTTTACCTTTAGCAAAATTGCAGTGCATGCTAGGAAAGTCAAAAATATTTTTTCTAATAATTTGTTTCCATTCTCAATTACCAGAAACAATTACAGTGTCTAGTGAGCATCTCCAAAGAGACTAATGCAGTATTTAGAAGAGGCTTTTTTATTTCCATGGACCCTGGAAGCAGACAGGGGCTCAGGTGGAGAGTGCAGGACACGCTGAGGTCTGAGCCATGAGGGACTCTCAGCAAATTGTACACCTCACGCGACCTTCTGCTTCCTTGAGTTCTGCTCAAAATCTAACTTTTTCCTGACTCTGAGAACCATATGCTTCCAGACCCCTTCTAGATTATGGGAAGGCAAATGGGATACCATGAAGAGACCAAGAAGGATCTATTAATGCACTAAGAGTGAAATGAAGAATGTGATGTCAATAATTGATAGTCTGAAACATTAAATGGCACTTTCTGATATACATGAATGATTAAATAAATAATTGGGAGATAAGAGACCCAACTCCTATGCAGAAAAATTCCAAATAACTCTTGTAGACACTCCACCTCCAAGGAGGTGGAATACACATAACTCCCAACTCCACAAATGCAGGCTGCACAGTGCTGCTTCCTTTTAAACAATACAATATGGCAGGGAGAGAATGTGAGGATTTTTATAGCTGAGAAACCTGACAGACACAGCCTCAGACAGGTGATCAAGGTTGACATCCAAAGGGGATTAAGTAATGTTAATAGTATACACCTTTGATAGGATGTGATAAAAATGGCACTTCTCATTGGTTTTTCTCCCCAGTATACTTAACCTTTGTCTAATCATGGAAAACATCAGACAAATCCCAATAGAGTGGCAGTCCCCAATAACACATTGACAGCCCTGCTACCTAACCAGTACTCCTCAAAGCTGACCAGGTTATAAAAAACAAGAGTCTGAGAATCTGTTAGAGCCAAGGGGAGCCTAAAGACACATAATGGTTAAATCTAATGTGGTGGCCTGGACAGGATCCTGGCAGAGAAAAGGTCAGGGAGCCGAAGGCCTGTGGGACGTGACCAACTCAGCATTCCTCTGGAGGCTATATGATCAAACAGCAAACTGTTTATCAAGAATGCAGGATATGGGCAAACTCACACTTCCCTGCCACCAAAAGGTTTGCTGAGGGACATGTCTCCCTTGCACCGGGCTCCTTGAAGTTATCTAATGAGAAATCTAGCACCTATTATTCAAAGGATGCAGTCTTGCAAGCCTGCTGTGAACCAAACGGCTGACTGACAATTACCTGACAATCACCCTGCCTTTCTCGCTCTCTCTTTTGCCTAATAAATATGGAGGGCTGTGTAAAGCTCAGAGCCCTTGTCCACTAGAGGCAAATATACTCTCTTGTCTTTTATTTCCACATTTGCCCCCTTTGTTCAATCCCCCTAGGTCCATGTGGGTTACAAGTGGCGCCTGAACAGGGACAGAATTGGGTGCTTTATAAGTGGCATCACGAAGTGGCACCCTGAACAGCGACAGTGGCATCCAAACTCGGGACTATGAGGACATAAACGAAGAAGGTCTGCTGGAGCAGAGGAACTGAAATTGACAAGGTGAACAAGGACCCCGGGACGAGTCTGCCGGCAGCGGATATAAGGTCAGTGCCCTAAAGAGGTACTGGGAGCAGTGCTTTAAAGAAGTACTGGGAATGGGAAGTTTTCTGAATCAGGGTAACAAGGGGAATAATTTGTCTATTGAAGAAACATTATTTGCAGTTGTAAAGTTCTGTTGAGACAGTCTGGAGCTCAGGTTAATTTGCAGACACTAACTAACCTCCTGCAGAAGCCCCAAAAAGCTATTATGCGTAACCCATGGTTTCCATAGGCAAGCACTCTTGATGTGGAAAACTGGGATAGAGCAGGAGATGGATTGAAACAGGCTCATCAAAAAGGTTTTAAAGTTGATTCTTCAGTTTTTTCCACTTGGAGTTCAGTTTGTACTGTATTTCTGCCATTATCATCTTCTTATTCTGTGGGACAGCAAGCTGAATCTAAAAATCTGAAAGAATATGTTGCTCTACCCACAGCTCCAACTGAAAATAAAAAACAGGAGAAGGAGGATAAAAATTGGGCTATACAGCCTCCTCCAATTGCAGAAACATTTGTACCACCACCTTCGGTGGCAGAAATAAGAGACCCTAATACAAAGAATTTTATGCTCTGCTGTCATAGCTGGAGAGCCCTTAGGACCTTGCACTTTTCCTATTTCCGTAAGACCTGATCCATATAATCCACAGCAGTTTATTCATGAACACACCCCACTAGAATTTAAGTTGTTGAAGGAATTAAAAACTAGTGTGGTCAATAACGGAGTACAAAGCCCATGGTTCCTGGAGGAAGGAATGCTAGACGTAGAACTCTGAGAACAAGTGAGGAGAAATCTTAACATCAGGCGCAAAGGCATCAGGTCCAATAAAATCTTTAATGTTACGGGCTTTAATTAGATCAGCCTTTGCTCAGTTACACACAGAAGAGCCTAAAAAGAGGAAGGAGGAGAAAACATCACTTGCCTTATCACCTCCTCTTCCCTCAGCCCCAGTATCATCAGGCCAAAATAACAAAGAGGAAATGGAAGTCTTACCTAAGCCTCCTCTTCCAATAGATAGGACAAAGGACAGAGGATACACTACAGCTATCAGTCCCTGTGTTAAGCAGGCAACATTAGAAGGAGAGCTCTTAACCTGCTCAGTAATGCAAAATCGGCAAGGCAATCAGGTGTATGTTTATAAAAAGATAAGAAAAAACGCATTAGAAGCCGAAACTGCGCAGCCAAGCAGGCAGTAGGTGGAAGAAAAGGCTCAGCAGCAGAAAAGCTCCCGGTAACCAAGCCGACAAGGCCTGCCCAGGCTGGCAACATCCCCCTGGCAAAGGAGGGAGGGACCGGCGCAGACACAGGCAAAGCCTAAGAAAGTACAACATGGCTGCCTCCCAGGACCTGCACCGCTGCCCTCTGGCTCTGTGGGCAGCCCGTAGCAAAATTTCATGTGTTACGTCCCAGGCTATGATTCTCTGCTAAGATTTAAGTAAAATGTAAGAATTTGAAAAACCTGCTTTCTAATAATGGTCACTGTTGTTACCTCTCTTCTATCCCTGACGTAGCTTTCCAAATTCAATTTAAGTAAAATAGTAACCTCTGAAGGGAGAGAGATTACAGAGGGCCCATGAATTAGTTAAAGAGTAATTAAAAGCTAGGCATGTAAAACCACACATTACTCTTTAAAGGAGAACTTTAAACCTAATTAAATGGTATTTGTTAAATTAAAAGGTAAAAATGCTGTGCCCTTCTCAGAAAGTGAAGAAAAGTTGTATGTAAGTGTAGTGAAAAACTTATGCATGAATGACTGTCTTAACCTACTGATTACAGATAGTCTTTGATTTGTGCTTGCTAAAAGAGTCCTAAATTGAGTTCTCCAGCTATGGAGTCACTGTTTTCAAGACTGTTTGCCAGATTAAACTCCATAAACTTGGTCACATCCCACAGGCCTTCAGCTCCCTGCAGAAAAGAACATGAGTTAAAACCAAAGAAATCAGAATAAATTATGAATAAGTTGATGGTAGTATATCAACAATGGTTTATAAACTGTAAAACCCATACAAAACTAGTATAAGATGTTAATAATAGGGAAAACGGGTCAGGGTATATGGAACTTGTCTACCTTTTTTGAATTTTTTAAATATAAATCTATAAATCTTCTAAAATAAAGTGTATTAGTTTTTTAAATAACTAATTTAGGCCGGGCTTGGTGGCTCACGCCTGTAATCCCAGCACTTTGGGAGGCCAAGGCAGGTGGATCACGAGGTCAGAAGTTCAAGACCAGCCTGACCAACTTAGTGAAATCCCGTCTCTACTAAAAATACAAAACTTAGCCAGGCATGGTGGCACGTGCCTGTAGTCCCAGCTACTCGGGAGGCTGAGGCAGGAGAATTGGTTGAACCCGGGAGTTGGAGGTTGCAGTGAGCTGAGATTGCGCCACTGCACTCCAGCATGGGTATTGGAGTGAGACTTTGTCTCAAAAATAAAATAAAATAAAGTAATTTATAAAATTAAATGAATATTGACTGGAAACACAGATGAAACAAATTTTCTAGGAAAATGTACTCTACCAATTTTGACAGTAGTAGAGACAGAAAATCTAAACAGAATGTAAGATGAAACATATAAGATGATTTAACAGAGAAATTGCACCAATCTTTCAGGCAGGAGAATCACCTGAGGTCAGGAGTTTGAGACCAGCCTGTCCAACATGGTGAAACCGTGTCTGTACTAAAAATACAAAAATTAGCCAAGCACTGTGGTGCAAGCCTGTAGCCCCAGCTACTTGGGAGGCTGAGGCTGGAGAGTCGCTTGAACCGGGGAGGCAGAGGCTACAGTGAGCTGAAACCGTGTCACTGCACTCCAGCCTGGGTGACAGAGCAAGACTCTGTCTCAAAAACAAACACACACACACACACACACACAATGTAATTTACATCTATTTTTTAAAGTTATTGGTTTTTTTAAAAGCAACAGTTGGGCCGGGTGCAGTGGCTCACCCCTGTAATCCCAGCACTTTGGGGGCCGGGGCGTGGGGGGGGGGTGTGGATCACGAGGTCAGGAGATCGAGACCATCCTGGCTAACACGGTGAAACCCCATCTCTACTAAAAATACAAAAAATTAGGCGGGCGTGGTGGTGGGTGCCTGTGGTCCCAGCTACTCAGGAGGCTGAGGCAGGAGAATGGCGTGAACCCAGGAGGCGGAGCTTGCAGTGAGCCTGGGTGACAGAGCGAGACTCCGTCTCAAGAAAAAAAAGCAGTTGGTGGTGGCCTAACATCCCTCCGGGGACAGGACCCATCGCCGAACGATGGGTATGGTGGCATGTGCCTGTAGCGTTTTTAACACACAGGGAAGCGACCGCCAGACTCTCACGGAGATGCCCCGTTCGTTCTGCCTTGGGCCAGGTAAATACGGATTCCCAGGTTGGCCTTAACCCTCCAACGCGCTTGGCGTTGTCCCTCGGAAACTCTCTAGAGATGAGCACTCTAGAGATGACTCAGTGGACTGGGAAAGGCAGACCCACCTCAATTTGGGTGGGCACAATCTAATCAGCTGCCAGCACAGTCAGAATAAAAGCAGGCAGAAGAACGTGAAAACACTAGACGGGCTTAACCTCCCAGCCTACATCTTTCTCCCGTGCTGGAGATCAGAGATGATGATGGAAAGGGAGAAGATTTCTATTATGTTCTGTGGGCCGTCAGCATGAAATTGCACATGCTACCCAGGCAGGGCTTTGCATTTCACATTTTAACTTGCATCGCCTTCACACAGAATTCCAGGCCTTTTAAATTAAATTGTTAAAATTAGTTTTTATTTACTTATTTATTTTAGGACAGAGTCTACACTGAGTATAGCACTGGGTCTACACTACGCCCAGGCTGGAGTGCAGTGGCCATGATAGCTCAGTGTAGACTCGAACTCCTGGGCTGAAGCGATCCTCCAGCCTCAGCCTCTCTAGTCGCTGGGACTACAGGTGCCTGCCACCACGGCCGGCTTAAAATTGATTTTAATAGCAGGAAATTTCCTGGATCTAATCCTCAACTGACGTTGCTTTGCTCCGGCAGGATCCCAGTTTGCAGAGGGCTGAGCTGCTCCAGCCTCACTGCCAGCAAAACCCGGAAAACAGAGGCACTGGAGGCGTGGCCTAGGGAAGCCCCGCCCCGTCCCGTCCCGGTCCGCTCTCTATGCTGCGCGCGCGCAGTTTTTTGCAGACCCGGAAGCGGATCGCGTGGGTAGAAGGTCACACCGCAGCGCGTCAGTTTCCCTTTGTTTAGATTCAATCTGGGCTTCCCAGCTCCCCCGCGCTTCTGTACCCGGGATCTGAGAGTCAACACAGACCTTGAAATCCCCGCACCGCTCCCTCCACCCCGTGTAAATTCAGGCGTCTCCGTGAGAGTCCGGCGCTCGCTTCCCTGTGTGTTAAAATCGCTCGGCGACGGGTCCTGTCCCCGCTCGTTCTGCCTTGGGCCAGGTAAACACGGATTTTCGAGACTCCTTTCCGCTTAAAACTCTTTACTGACCCAACGTCCTGCCCCGCGCTTTTAAAAGTCCTTACCGCAAGGTGGATTCCCGCCCGGGGAGCCTCCCAACCTCGCCCCCGGCCCCTGAAGCGCAGCGCCGCAGCCCCAGTCCCGGCGGGGGAGGCCGCGTCCTGTACTGGGTCCTGGGACCCTTGAGACCCCACACTTCTAATAATTCAGCCCCACCCTTTTCCTCCTTGATCCGGGCCTTCCTACTCCCCAGGCCTCCCCTTCGCAGCCATCGCTACTCCCGACCCCCGGGTGTGGGGACGTGACTTCTTCTGTCTTAGGACATTCAGGATTCTTCGTCCCAAATTCCATCCCACTAAAAATGTGCTCTTGGCGGAGGTGGGCACCTTATTGTACTCCCCTGCCTATGGATGTGTGGGGAAAGATGGTGAAAGAGTGGCAGGAAATAGAAAAATTTTGAAAAAGAAGCATGAGGGAGATCCATAAGCAGACGGCAGAGAGTAGCTGAGAGATTTACAGAGACAGTGAATGAAGCCGAGAATGTAGCAGGGGGAGAAAAGTAACTGGAGAAATGTAGAGAAAAGCTGGGTCTCCAGAGAGATGAAGATGAAGCAAGATTGGGAGAGGGGCAGAAAGGGGGAGGCTCCTCAGACAGAGTAGGGGAGAGGAGGAGGGATTTGGAGCCAGGGCAGACAGAGCAGCATGGTGCTGGGACAGCAAGAGGGGGCAGCTGATGACAAGGAGAGCAGAGGGAGAACCACAGCATGGGGAGGCCTGGGATCCGGGGGGGCCAGAGAGTGGGGACAAGAGAGTGTAGCAGGGAAGAGGAAATTTAACAGGGAGAACAGAGAGGAAGCAGAGATAGGGAGGGCAAGAAACAGGCAGAATGGAAATTGGGGACAATCAAAAATTGGACACAAAGAGGAACAAGGGGTAAAACAAATTGCCAGAATGGAGCAGAACAAATGGAAGAGAAGGAATAGAGGGAAGAGGGGGAGAAACAGCAGGAGAGGAGAGGGGCAGAAAAATAAGCCAATTCTTATGGGAAAAATGAAGTGAAAAAAAGCAGGAGAAAGAAGGTAAGAATGAGAGAGCTGTACAGAATGAGGGAGGGAAACATACTAATGACAAAAGAGGGGGAACCTGAGTGCAGATGAGCGATGAGTTGATGGACTATTATGATCAAATTGTGATATACTGATTTCTCTAATTGTAATCTAATAAGCACAAAATTTATTTCAAAAGTACAGATGAAGATGAGACTTGCAAAGTTCCTGCCTATAAGGGAAGTGCATTTTATAATTCTTGACATCACAAGTTAGCTTCCATTCACAATCCCTGTTCAGCCAGAGGGCAGTGACTTGCCTCATTCGGGTGTGGGTGAGTGGGTAAGACAGGAGGAAAAACCAAAGCGTTTTTCCTACGCTTACAATCAACACAATAGTGAACACCCAACACAGAATGCCACATCTCTGGTCACCAAAATGTGTTGGGGATTACTTCCCACCCACAAGCAGTTCATCAGACACCACCTGGGTGTTGTGTAATTTAACTCAATTTCACACTAACACTATCTATGTGGAGTTAGCCTCAGATTCTACAGGTTGAGAGCTCAGTTCCACAGGCATGCTCCCACTTCAGGTGCCACTTGCAAGTCCTGGGTTGGGACTTGAACCTTGTGACCAACCAACTATGAACCGGGGGTTCCCATGACCCTTTCCTCACATTTTGTGAATTTGCTAGAGTGGTTCACAGAACTCAGGGAAACTTTTTGCTTAGTTTCACCCATTTGTTACAAACCATATTACAAAGGATACAGATGAACAGCCAGATGGAAGAGCCTTCCTAGCAAACTAATCAAAATGAGGGGCTTTTGGACCAGGCGCAGTGGCTCTTGCTTCTAATCCCAGCACTTTGGGAAGCCAAGGTGGGCAGATCCACTTAAGGTCAGGAGTTCAAGACCAGCGTGGCCAACAAGGTGAAACCCCATCTCTACTGAAAATACAAAAATTAGCTGCGCATGGTGGCGTGTGCCTGTAATCCCAGCTGCTTGGCTGAGACACAAGAATCTCTTGATCCCAAGAGGTGGAGGTTGCAGTGGGCCAAGATCGCACCACTGCAGCCTGGGCAACAGTGAGACTCTGTCTCAAAAAAAAAGGAGGGGCTCTTAGTAAACATGTTTTTTTTTCTTTGAGACGGAGTTTCGGTCTTGTTGCCCTGGCTGGTGTGCACTGGCGCGATATTGGCTCACCACTGAAGGGGTGGCCTGCCCCTCCACACCTGTGGGTGTTTCTCGTCAGGTGGAATGAAACACTCAGAAAAAGAAAGAGACACAGAGCAAAGTACAGAGAAAGAAAAGTGGGCCCAGGGGACCGGCGCTCAGCATACGGAGGACCCGCGCCGGCCCGGTCTCTGAGTTCCCTCAGTATTTATTGATCACTATCTCTACCATCTCGGAGAGGGGGATGTGGCAGGACAAAGGTAATAGTGGGGAGAGGGTCAGCAGGAAAACATACGAACCAAGATCTCTGTCATAAATAAGGAAACGTGCTGTGCCTTGATGTGCATGTATACAAACATCTTGGTGCAGTAAAGAGCAGTATTGCTGCCAGCATGTCTCACCTCCAGCCCTAAGGCGGTTTTCTCCTATCTCAGTAAATAGAACATACAATCAGGTTTTACACCTAGACATTCTATTGCCCAAGGACAAGCAGGAGACAGATGCCTTCCTCTTATCTTAACTGCAAAGAGGCCTTCCTCTTTCACTAATCCTCAGCACAGACCCTTTATGGGTTCCAGGCTGGGGGATGGTCAGGTCTTTCCCTTCCCATGAGGCCATATCTCAGGCTATCACATGGGGAGAAACCTTGGACAATACCTGGTTTTCCTAGGCAGAGTTCCCTGCGGCCTTCCACAGTGTATTGTGTCCCTGGGTACTCGAGACTGGAGAATGGCGATGACTTTTACCAAGCATACTGCCTGCAAGCGCTTTTTAACAAAGCACATCCTGCACAGCCCTAAATCCATTAAACCTTGAGTCAACACAGCACGTGTTTCTGCGGGCACAGGGTTGGGGCTAGGGTTACAGATTCACAGCATCTCAAGGCAGAAGAATTTCTCTTAGTACAGAACAAAATGGAGTCTCTTATGTCTACTTCTTTCTACATAGACACAGTAACAGTCTGATTTCTCTTTCTTATCCCCACACACCACAACCATTGCCTCCTGGGTTCAAGTGATTCTCTTGCCTCAGCCTCTCCAGTAGCTGGGATTACAGGTGCCCGTCACCATGCCTGGCTACTCTTGTATTTTTAATAGAGATGGGGTTTCTCCATGTTGGTCAGGCTGGTCTTGAACTCCCGACCTCAGGTGATCCACCCGCCTTGGCCTCCCAAAGTGCTGGGATTACAGGCGTGAGCCACCGATCCTGGCTGGAAACCATGCTTTTTATCTGCATCTAAACTGAGGGGCAGCCTTGTGGGACTGCACCTTTAACCCGTGGAATCTGTGCCTATCTCCAAGTAGACAGTAGCAAAGTTGAGTTAACCTGTGGGACACACAGCTGCGAGCGTGCCACAGAACTGGTCAGCACGGGCCAGACGCGTTGGCTTAAGCCTGTAATCCTAACACTTTGGGAGGCTGACTCAGGCAGATCACTTGAGGTCAGGAGTTCGAGACTAGCCTGGCCAACGTGGTGAAAAATAAAAAATTAGCTGGGCGTAGTGGCTTGTGCCTGTAATCCCAGCTACTCAGGAGGCTGAGGCAGGGAATTGCTTGAACCCTGGAGGCAGAGGTTGTGGTGAGCTAAGACCGCGCCACTGCACTCCAGCCTGGGCGACAGTGAAACTCCGTCTCAAACATGGGGGAAAACACACATTTTGGTGATGGGCGGCATAGTATTCTGTGCTGAATTTGAGTGTAGTAAAAACAGTTATCTTTTTTCCTTACCTCAAACAGTAAAGGGAAGAGACTTGGCCCACCAGTCTCAGGGCCTGTGATGTCTACTCAATAGTGATGGAATGATCTGTCCCTGCTCCTGGCTGCTGCTGATCCTGAGACTGTACACCATGTGCCAGCCCCACTTACAGTCTCAGAGTGGAATGACATCCCTCCTCTATGGTGTCGTTAATTTTTTTGTCTAGGAAATTATTATTATTATTATTATTATTATTTGAGACGGAGTCTCACTGTGTCACCCAGGCTGGAATGTAATGGCGCAATCTCCACTCACTACAACCCCTGCCTCCCGGGTTCAAGCGATTCTCCTGCCTCAGCCTCTCAAGTAGCTGGGACTACAGGCACACGCCACCACGCCTGGCTAATTTGTGTATTTTTAGTAGAGACGGGGTTTCACCATGTTGGCCAGGCTGGTCTCGGACTCCTGACCTCAGGTGATCTGCCCGCCTTGGCCTCCCAAAATGCTGGGATTACAGGCGGGAGCCACTGCTCCTGGCCTAGGGAATTATTTTGGTCAGCATACTGAAATGGAGGTGTTGTCCACTGAAACACACACACTCACATACTCACTCACTAAAGCCTTTTCGTTCCATTTTTCAATCTTTAAAACAAAAAATACTGTATTTACTACATTTCTCCCTGCAGTAAGTACCCCTCTTGCATGCTCTATTTAAGATCACAGTACACTAAAATCTTGTTTATATTCTCTCTTCAATTCTTGCCCCTAGTTCTTGGTTGACTCCATCCAATCAAGTTATCGCATCCACCCATTCCATTGCTCCTGCGACCTGTTTCTAAATTTATTTTTATTTTTAAAAAGTTTTATTTTTTATTTTTATTTTTTTTGAGACAGAGTCTCGCTTTGTCATCAGGCTGGAGTGCAGTGGCACGATCTCGGCTCACTGCAACCTCTGCCTCCCGGATTCAAGCGATTCTTCTGCCTCAGCCTCCTGAGTAGCTGGGATTACAAGCACACGCCACCATGCGTGGCTAATTTTTGTATTTTTAGTAGAGACGGGGTTTCACCATGTTGGCCAAGATTGTCTCGATCTCTTGACCTTGTAATCTGCCCGCCTCGGCCTCCCAAAGTGCTGGGTTTATAGGCATGAGCCACCGTGCGTGGCCCCTAAATTTATTTTTAATTAATTATTTATTTTTTTAAGGGACGGGGCCTCACTCTATTGCACAGGCTGGAGTGCAGTGAGGCAATCATAGCTCACTGTAACCTCGAACTCCTAGGCTCAAATGATCCTCCTGCCTCAGTCTCCCAAGTAGGTAGGACTACAGGCATGCACCACTATGCCTGGCTAATATTTTTATTTATTTACTTATTTATTTATTTTTGAGACAGGGTCTTGCTCCCAGTCTCCCAGGCTGGAGTGCAGTGGCATAATCACAGCTCACTGCAACCTCGACGTCCTGGGCTCAAACAATTCTCCCACCTCAGCCTCCTGAATAGCTGGGACTACAGGCCCATGCCAGTATGCCACTAATATTTTGGTTTTTTATAGAGTTGGGGTCTTGCTATGTTGCCTAGGCTGGTCTCAATTTCCTGGCCTCAAGCGATTCTCCCATCTCAGCCACCCGAGTAGCCAGGACTACAGGTTTGTGCCACTGTGCCATGCTAATATTTTGATTTTTGTAGAGTTGGGGTCTTGCTGTGTTGTCCAGACTGGTCTTAAACTCCTGAGCTGAAGTGATTTTCCCACGTCAGCCTCCCAAAATGTATCCAGATGGAGGCATCATTCATTAAAACACATTCCTACATAAAATAAAGGTTTTATTTTCCTTCTACTCTTCTATCTTTAAAACAAAAAATATTATATTAACTACATTTCTTCCTCTAGGAAGTACCCCTCTTCTGTGCTCCCAAATCTCTGGAATTACAAGGATGAGCCCCTGCACCAGGCTTAATAGTTTTTAAATTTTTGTCCTCATCTTTCTTTCCCTGTCAGCAGCAATTTGCACAGCCGATCACTCCCTCTTCTTTTTTCTTGGCTTTGAAGAGATTCTTCATAATTTAAAAAATCTGTTTAACTTTTTTTTTTTTTTTTTGAGACGGAGTCTTACTCTGTCACCCGGGCTGGAGTGTAGTGGCGCAATCTCGGCTCATTGGAACCTCTGCCTCCCGGGTTCAAGTGATTCTCCCACCTCAGCCTCCTGAGTAGTCCCGAGCTGGGACTACAGGTCCGTACCACCACACCTGGCTAATTTTTGTATTTTTAGTAGAGATGGGGTTTCACTGTGTTGGTCAGGCTGGTCTTGAACTCCTGACCTCGTGATCCATCCACCTTGGCCTCCCAAAGTGCTGAGATTACAGGCGTGAGCCACCGCGCCTGGCCCTGTTTAACATTTTTGTCATCACCTTCATGTCTCCTGAACTGTCTTCTGTGAATATGGGAGTGTCCCACAATTTAGTCCTTAAACCTGTTCTCTCTGCCCACACCCTCTACCTTTCCTTATGATCTCGTCTTACAGCTTCAAACACCACCTGCCTGTCTCCATTTTCCCTCTCCACCCACCCCTCTCTCCTGAATTCCAGAATCCTGTGTCCACTCGTGTTCTGGACATCTCTGCTGGGGCATCCACAGGCATCTCCACCTTCATATGTCCAAAAGAGACCCTGAACTCCCCAAACACGTATCCCCAGCAGTCCTGCACATATCAGATGAGGGACACCCTGTACTTTCTGGGAATTAAGTAAACCTGTCAAATGTATTTAAAATGTAGGAGATATTTTCTTATTTGTGTTTTCATTTATAATACAAACAATAAATCACATGTTTACTTACATGCCTGTAATCCCAGCTACTTGGGCTAAGGCAGGAGAATCGCTTGAACCCAGGGGGCAGAGGTTGCAGTTAGCCAAAGATCACGCCCTGCACTCCAGCCTGTGCAACAGAATGAGACCCTGTCTCACAAACCCACACACAAAATTATCCGGCTTTGGTGGCAGGCGCCTGTAATCCCAGCTACTCCAGGAGGCTGAGGCAGGAGAATTGCTTGGACCTGAGGCAGAGGTTGCAGCGAGCCGATATCATGCTATTGCACTTCAGCTTGGGTGACAGAGTGAGACTGTCTCAAAAAAAAAAATGTATTTGCTCAGTTAGGATGGAAATAGGCCTGTATGGAAAGTACAGTTAATGTTTGAGTTGTACCTTGATACAAGCAGTTTCTTGGGAGAAATGGCATCCAGCCCAGTGGAGACCCGCAAGAACAGGTCATGTCCATACATTCCCGCTAGAGGGCAGTGCTGGTGTTGGTCGAGGCTTCGGAGGTCACCTTGAAGGCTAACGGTGTGATCATTGGAGAACAGCTGGCATACAGCCACGTCTCAGTGTAGGCTGCAGGTCTTCAGAGAGGCCCCTGACAGCAGAGTGTGTCGCAGCCTCTGGTCTCACAGTGCCTGTCAACCTCTTGAATTTCTGTGTATTTTGAATTCCAGTAGTCGAGGTCAGAATCTCATATATGGGGTCTGAGAAGGTGCCATATAACATTCTCCAGGGGAGCTGGGAATCCAACCACATTCTCTGGGGTGGGAGGGAAGTTTACTCCATTTCCTATTTATGGGGGCTGCTAAGGGGTGATGCATCACTCGTGAAGGAAGGAGGAACACACTCCAAGTTCTTATCACAGCACACAAGTCATTCATGTAGCAAACTATGTAAGTGGAATCATTTGAAACCTACATAACAGGGGGCCCAGGTTTCTCCTGCCTCAGAGACTTCATCTGGGCTGTTCCTCTGCCTGGAACTCTCTGGCCCCTCAGCTGCAGGTGACAAACACCCTTCCTTCCCCAGGCCTTTGTTCTGGTAGTACCTTCTTAGGATTCTGTGACCCCCCCATAGCCCCCGATTTAACACTCCAGCCTGACCCCACCCCAACTCTCCTCCATTTTGAAGCTGTGTGTGTTTCTTTCTTTCCCTTTTCCTGCCACTGTCTGGATCCTGGTGACAGCAAGGACCCAAGGGGAGAGACGAGCCAGAAGGTGGGGACTGTGCTGGCTCAACCCCTCTGAGTGGAGCTCAGCCCTAGTCTCACATTTGAGAGCTGAGGCATTTTGCAGAAACATCTCTTGTGCCTCCTTACAGAGATTCTGATTTCAATACTCAGGTGGAGGCCAGGCCTAATATTTAAAGCTGATGCTACAGTAGTTGCTCCCTATCTGCTGGTTTGATTTCTGTGGTTCCAGATCCTCGAGTTTAACCGTGGTCTGAAAATATTACACAGAAAGTTCCAAAAATGAAGAATGTACAACTTTTAAATTTCTTGCCATTCCGAGTAGTGTGCTGAAATCTAGCACTGTCCCACTCTCTTTTGTTTTTGAGGAGTCTCCATTGCCCAGGCTGGAACGCAGTGGTGCAATATCGGCTCACTGCAACCTCTGCCTCCCAGGTTCAAGTGATTCTCATGCCTCAGCCTCCCAAGTAGCTGGGATTACAGGCATATACCACCACACCCCACTAATTTTTTGTATTTTTAGTAGAGACAGTTTCACCATGTAGCCCAGGCTGGTCTTGAACTCCTGAGCTCAGGCAATCCACCTACCTTGGCCTCCCAAAGTGCTAGGATTACAGGTGTGAGCCACTGTACCCGGCCAGTCCCATGCTATTTTGCCCAGGACTCGAATCATCTCCTTTTCTGGTATATCTAGGCAGTACAGTCATCCCTCAGTATTGGAGGGATTACTTCCACGACCCCTGAGGATACCAAAATCAGGTGATCTTCAAGTCCCTTATGTAAAGTTGCATAGTACAGCCATACACTGCATAATGACATTTTGGTCAACAATCAGATCTATGATGGTGGTTCCGTAAGATTACACTGTTACACTGGAGATGAGAAGTTCCTGTTGCCTAGCTACATCAGAGTAGTCATGACGTCATAGTGCAGTGCATTCCTTGTGTCTGTGGTGATGCTGGGGGAAACGAACCTAGATCGTTGCCAGGCAGCTTTAACCTGGGTGTGGGTGAGGATGACACTGTGATGCTCCTAGAGGTGGTTCATGAGGAATGGACGAATAAGTGGTTGGAACTGATATGAGAACACATAGCTGAAGAAGAGGTGAGAAGATAGGAAAGTGAAGGAAAAGAAAAAAAAAATCCAGGAACTTTCACAGTGAAGGGTTTAGCAGAAACTTGTACAGACCTCAACAAGCTTCTTAAAAAGTTTGAAAACATGAACTCCAACACCAATAGGTGTTTATTTATTTATTTTATTTTTATTTTTATTTTTTTTTGGAGATGGAGTCTCGCTCTGTCGCCCAGGCTGGAGTGCAGTGGGGTGATCTCGACTCACTGCAAGCTCCGTCTCCCGGGTTCACACCATTCTCCCACCTCAGCCTCCCGAGTAGCTGGGACTACAGGCGCTCACCACCACGCCCAGCTAATTTTTTGTATTTTTAGTAGAGACGGGGTTTCACCATGTTAGCCAGGATGGTCTCGATCTCCTGACCTCGTGATCCACCCGCCTTGACCTCCCAAAGTGCTGGGATTACAGGCGTGAGCCACTGCGGCCAGCTTATTTTATTTTTTGAGACAGAGTCTCACTCTGTCACCCAGGCTGGAATGTAGTAGTGTGATCTTGGCTCACTGCAACCTCCGCTTTCTGGGTTCAAGCGATTCTCCTGCCTCAGCCTCCTGAGTAGCTGGGATTACAGGTGCCTGCCACTACACCCGGCTAAAGTTTGTATTTTGTTTTTTTTGTTTTTGGTTTTTTTTGAGATAGAGTCTCTCTCTGTTGCCCAGGCTCAGCTCACTGCAACGTCTGCCTTCCGGGTTCCAGCGATTCTCCTGCTTCAGCCTCCTGAGTAGCTGGGATTACAGGCATGCGCCACCATGCCCAGCTAATTTTTGTATTTTTAGTAGAGACGGGGTTTCACCATGTTGGTCAGTCTGGTGTCGAACTCCTGACCTCGTGATCTGCCCGCCTCGGCCTCCCAATGTGTTAGGATTACAGGCGTGAGCATGGGGCCCAGACTAACGTTTGTATTTTTACTAGAGGCAGGGTTTTACCATTTTGGCCAGGTTAGTCTCGAACTCTTGGCCTGGTGTGATCAGCCTGCCTCAGCCTCCCAAAGTTCTGGGGTTACAGGCGTGAGCCACCACACCCAACCCCAAAAGGTGTTTATTAATAGAAAGGAAAGTTTATGGTGCATTACCTGCTCACAAGAACATTTAGGAAGAAAAAATAAGCAAGTAAACCACCATAGATATTTTTCTTCCTCTCTCGTTTTCCTAATCAGCTGATTTATTTTTTTATTTTTTGAGACCGAGTCTCGCTCTGTCACCAGGCTGGAGTACAGTGGTGCGGTCTCGGCTCACTGGAACCTCCACCTCCAGGGTTCAAGCAATTCTCCTGCCTCGGCCTCCTGAGTAGCTGGGACTACAAGCCTGTGCCACCACTCCGAGCTAATTTTTGTATTTTTAGTGGAGATGGGGTTTCACCATGTTGGCCAGGATGGTCTTGATCTCTTGACCTCAAGATCTGCCTGCCGCGGCCTCCCAAAGTGCTGGGATTACTGGTGTGAGCTACTGCACCAGGCCCTCAGCTAACTTTCAGATTCACACCACAGACATATTTCTGAAAGGAGTGCCTTCTCTCCTAGAAGAGCCTCGGGCAAGTTCTTCAAGAGGTATCCAGAAGAAGTCATTGTTATCCCAGATGACAGCTCCATACATGTTATTGCTCCTGAGGACCTTCCAGTGGGACAAGATGTGGCACTGGAAGACAGTGACATTGATGGTCCCCACCCTGTGTAGGCCTAGGCTAATGTATGTGTTTGTGTCCTGGTTGTTGACAAAAAAGTTTTAATGGGGAAAAAGATTTTAAATGGGAAAAAGCTTATAGAATAAAGACATGAAGACAAAATATTTTTGTACAGCTATATAACGTGTGTTTTAAGCTAAATGTTATTGTAGAAGTCAAAAAGTTTAATTTAGAAGTTTATAAAGTCAAAAAGTTATAGTAAGCTAAGGTTAATTTGTTATTGAGAAAAAAATATTTTTTATGTTAGTGTAGCCTAAATACACAGTAAGTATGTATTTATTTTTGAGACAGCCTCTCACACTGTCGCCCAGGCCGGAATGCAGTGGTGCGATTATGGCTCACTGCAGCCTCAACCTCTTAAGTTCAGGTGATCGTCCCACCACAGCCTCCTGGGTAGCTGGGACTACAGATGTGTTCCACCATGCCTTGACTTATTTCTTGTATTTTTTTTTGTAGACACAGGAGTGTTGCCATGTTGTCCAAACTGGTCTCGAAATTCTGGAGTCAAGCAGTCTGCCTGCCTCGTTCTCCAAACGTGCTGGGATTACAGGCATGAGCCACTACGCCTGGCCAAGTATTCGGTATTTATAAAATCTACAGTAGTACACAGTTATGTCGTAGGCCATCACATTCGGTCACCACACACTCACTGACTCATCCAGAGCAATTTCTAGTCCTGCAAGCGCCATTCATGGTGAGTGCCCTAGACAGCTGTACCATTTTTTAAACATGTATATCATATTATTATTGTACCTTTTCTATGTCGAGACATGTTTTTATTTACAAGTACATACCATTGTGTCACAGTTGCCTGTAGTATTCAGTACATAACATGATGTACAGGTTTTTAGCAATAGGCTATACCATATACCCTAGGTGTGTAGTAGACTATACCATCTTGGTTTATGTAAGTGCAGTCTGTAATGAAATGGTCTGAAAACACATTTCTCAGAACCGGTCCCATTACTAAGCAGTGCATGACTGTATTTGCATATAAATTACACATGTCCTCCCGTAGACTTTAAATCATCTCTTGATTACTTATAATGGATTATTTTTAATGGATTAATGAAATTTATAAATGCTATGTAGTTGTTATACTCTGTTGTTTTCTTGTATTATTTTCATTGTTTGTTACTTTTTGGTTTCTTTCCTTTTTTTTGTAATTATTTCAGTCTGTCGTTGGTTGAATCCCTGGATTTGGATCCTAGAAATACTGAGACTGAGGGCCGAGTGTAGACTCTATCTGCTCATTAGTCAGTGAATAGTCTTCTTTTTGATCTGCTCCACTTTTGGGGTACCTCAGTCCTTTTGTTTAACCCTTATTTTACTTAACAGTATTCCCCAAGCACGTGAATATTGATGCTGGCAATTTGGATGTGCCAGTAAGAAGCTGTCACATGCATAATTTAAGTGGAGTAAATAGAGGTCAGTACTGTTTGAGGTTCCAGGCATCCACTGGGCATCTTGGAACATATCCTCATGGATACGGGGATTCCAGTGTGTTCTGTCTCTGGCGCTGAGCACCAACGCTCTGTGTCCTCCATTTCTGAGGGCTTACATGAGCCTGGGATCCATAGAGAGGGGAGGAGGGGCTGTGCTCTTCATGGAGTTTGGTCACAGCTGTGTCTCTTCCCTGAATGGGGCAGCTCAGTCCAGCCTAGCTCCCTACTGCTGTAGCGTGTGTGCGGGCTTCTCCAGGAGGGGAGCGAGTCCTGAATAAAAGAGTAAAAATTTCACTCATTCTTCCTGTAGGAATTTCTTGTCCCTGCATCAACTCTGGTGCAGTGGGCAACAGAGGACATCTTTCCGCAGGATTAGGTCTAACCTGTGTGTGTGGTTGTGGCATAGGGAGGGGAATGTGTTGATTCCGAGCAGTAATCAGTGTATTTTTGACATTTAGGATTGACTTATAAACAGTCATGCTATGTGATGAAGAAGCCCAGAAGAGGAAAGCAAAGGAGTCAGGGATGGCTCTTCCTCAGGTAAAGTGATATTCTCGGTGGTTGGTTCTCTCTGTTTCTTTCTGAAATGCCTGAAGCATCCTGCCTGACACGTTTGCTCACACTCACCCATGCCTTCCCTCAGTCCCTTTCATCTCGCTTAGATTCTATCTCTCGTGACCCAGTGACATGAATGTGGGAAGAGACTGCACTGGGCGTGGTCCTGGGAAGGGCTCACACCCAGACATGGATGGAGACGGGGTGAGGGTCCCGTGGTGTCAGTGGTGTTGGGCAGCAGGGATTGTTCAGGGGCCACATCTGGATGCACTGTCAGCTCTCTGTGGACCAGGATTAGAGAGGCTGCCAATGGAAGTCACGTATTTTTTTTTTTTTTTTTGAGACAGAGTCTTGCTGTGTCACCCAGGCTGGAGTGCAGTGGCACGATCTCGACTCGCTGCAACCTCCGCCTCCCGGGTTCAAGCAATTCTGCCTCAGCCTCCTGAGTAGCTGAGATTACAGGTGCCTGCCACCACGCCCAGCTAATTTTTTGTATTTTTAGTAGAGACGGGGCTTCACCATGTTGGTCAGGCTGGTCTCGAACCCCTGACCTCGTGATCCACCTGCCTCGGCCTCCCAAAGTGCTGGGATTATAGGCGTGAGCCACCGCGCCTGGCCTGAAGTCACATATTAATGCACACAAGTACCTGGTACATTCTGGAAAAGGAGTTCAGGAAGGAGAAATCTTTTCTGTCTGATTTTTACTACATTTGAAGCTAAACACCTTTCCTACTTTCTAATGTCTGGCTTGGTTCAGAGAGGACATTCTCTCTTCTTTCTCAGCATGCCCCTCCCATGGAGACTGGTGTTCCTGCAGGGAGTCTTGTACAGCATCTGTGTTAGGTGAAAAAAGCTGTAATTTTGCACAGAGATTGGAGCATAAATTTTTTGTCATTAAAGAGGTGGAAATTATATTCATTCTTGTTCCAGCAATTAGTTATTTTTTTATGTTAAACATCAAATTATGTATATATTTGTTTTATAGGAAGACACCACACATGCAGCTTAGGCCATCAAATACGAAGCCTCCCCTGCCCTGCCCTGTGCAGTTTCCCACCCTCCCTGCGTCTCACTGGTGACCCACTGCTGTCAGCTCTGTGTCAAGAGTGAGAGCATGTCCTGTAGAAATATATTTATACAGCATTGGCCGGGCGTGGTGGCTCACGCCTGTAATCCCAGCACTTTGGGAGGCCGAGGCGGACAGATCACCTGAGGTCAGGAGTTTGAGACCATCCTGGCCAACATAGTGAAACCCTGTCTCTACTGAAAATACAAAAATCAGCAAGGCTTGGTGGTGGGCACCTGTAATCCCAGCTACCACAGAGGCTGAGACAGGAGAATTGCTTGAACCTGGGAGGCGGAGGTTGCAGTGAGCCAAGGTCACGCCACTGCACTCCAGCCTGGGCGACAGAGCAAGACTGTGTCTCAAAAACAAAACAAAACAAAAAAAACCTATACAGCATTATAAGGCTGGACGCTGTGGCTCATGCCTGTAATACCAGCGCTTTGGGAGGCCAAGGTGGGTGGATCACCTGAGGTTGGGAGTTTGAGACCAGTCTGACCAACATGGAGAAACTCCATCTCTACTAAAAACAGAAAATGAGTCGGGCATGGTGGCACATGCCTGTAATCCCAGCTCCTTGGGAGACTGAGGCAGGAGAATCGCTTGAACCCGGGAGGTGGAGGCTGCAGTGAGCCAAGATCGCACCATTGCACTTCAGCCTTGGAAACAAGAGCAAAACTCCAAAAGAAATATATTTATACAGCATTATGGTATTTTAAATAAAATCCTCAGTGATTGTTTCGTTGTAATATTTTATACCAAAAGTTGTGAAAATTTGCATGTTTTCATGTTAGGAAGATGGATTCCTTGCTCCTTTACATCCTCATGTGAACGTTCTCTGAATTAGAAATTAGTCACCTTGGCAAGGTGCAGTGGCTCACGCCTGTAATCCCAGCACTTTGGGAGGCTGAGGCAGGCAGATCACCTGGGCTCAGGAGTTCGAGACCAGCCTGACCAACATGGTGAAACTCTGTCTCTACTAAAAATACAAAATTAGCCTGGTGTGGTGGTGCACACCTGTAATCCCAGCTACTTGGGAGGCTTAGGCGGGAGAATCACTTGAACCCGGGAGATGGAGTTTGCAGTGAGCCAAGATTGCGCCATTGCACTCCAGCCTGGGCGACACAGCGAGACTGTCTCAAAGAAAAAAAAAAAAGAAAGAAATCAGTCACCTCTCTTTTTTTTTGTGCCTGGCGTGGTTCAGGGACCATGTGTGCCATTCAGCCCAGGAGGAGTCTCTGGAGGTCCTGAGCTTTGTCTAGGATGCATCCTCTCTGGACTTTGCTTGTCACCTCCTCACTGAAGAGGGTGGCCAGGTTCTGCTCAGGAGCTTCCCTTTCTGCACCTGCTCTGCAGCCTGTGTGAGGCCATAGGAAGCTGGGGTCCGCACCGCCACCTAGTATCTGCCCGTGTAACTGCGGGCTCTGATTTATGCTGATGCCTTTGTTCTCAGTGGCTTCCTGATCTGGGGCCCTGTTACTTCAGTGCTTCTGTTCAACCAAGACAGAACGTTGTCCCTCAGGAGAAATCTGGAGTTTGTGGTTTCCTCTGGATGATGGCGCGTCGTGCCTGAGCAGGGGCTCAGGCTAACGTGTTCATGCATTTTCCCACTGGGCTCCCAGCAGGTTGACTTGGTGCTTCTTTGGGGTGCAGGAACTTGCTAAGGACCTTCTGGATTTCTCACAAAGCCAATTGGTCTGTGTACTGTTTAATTTTTGTCTCCAGGGGGACAGAAAGGTCTGTGGCTTCGCATTCCTGTGTCTTGCTGACATTACTCTTTTAGTAGAGTTGCGAATTTCTTACACAGGTCTGGAGTGTCTTTTAGTTAGGGGCCATGTGTATATTTGCTGAGGGAGAGGTAGGATGTTTCTTGTGTGTGTGTGTCATTTATAATTAGTGCTGCTGAAGAAGGAAACTTGTTTTCTTTTTTTATTTTTTTTGAGATGGAGTGTTTCACTCTTGTTGCCCAGGCTGGAGTGCAATGGCGTGATCTCGGCTCACTGCAACCTCTGTCTCGCAGGTTCAAGCAATTCTGCTGCCTCAGCCTCCTGAGTAGCTGGGATTACAGGCATGTGCCACCACGCCTGGCTAATTTTGTATTTTTAGTAGAGACGGGATTTCTCTGTGTTGATCAGGCTGGTCTCGAACTCCCCACCTCAGGTGATCCGCCCATCTTGGCCTCCCAAAGTGCTGTGATTACATGTGTGAGTCACCGCACCGGGCCAAAACTTGCTTTCAATATATTCGTATTAGTTAATACGCCTAAATGGCATTCTTTGTTATGGTTACAATCCTGTCATTCGTTAGTTCTAACAGATCCTGCTTTTTCCTGCCTCCTACCCCCACTTTTTTTTTCCTGTTTTTTTTCCTCTGCTTCTGGTCCCTGCTCAGGCATCCTGTGCAGTGGTAATTGGCTGCAGCACAGACCAGTGCCCTGTTTCTGGCCTTAAATTAGAGGAAATGCATCCCACGTTTACTGTTGATTATGATGTTTTATGAGATGTTCTTGTTTAATATCATGTTTTTTTTGTTTGTTTGTTTTCCAATTTCATTCTTGGCCTGAGTATTAATTATCTAGTAATTTCTTAAGGTATGTCCTGCTGAGATATTTTCTTTGACCTTTATTTGTTTGTTTATTTTTTGAGACGGAGTCTTGCTCTTGTCGCCCAGGCTGGAGTGCAGTGGTGCGATCTCGGCTCACTGCAACCTCTGCCTCCCAGGTTCAAGCAATTCTCCTGCCTCAGCCTCCCAAGTAGCTGGGATTACAGGCGCCCGCCACCATGCCTGGCTAATTTTTTGTATTTTTAGTAGAGACAGGGTTTCACCATGTTGGCCAGGCTCGTCTCAAACTCCTGACCTCAGGTGATCCATCCACCTCGGCCTCCCGAAGTGCTGGAGTTACAGACGTGAGCCACTGCGCCCAGCCTATTTGTTAAATTAGTGTATAATATTCTTAAATTTTGTATCATGTATCACTGTTTTATTAATGAAATAAATCAATAAACTCCATTGGGCTTTTGCTAATACCTACATATGTAAATTTTAATGGACAAAAGTGTATTTATAGGCCAGGGTTAGTGGTGCATGCCTATAATCCCATCTTCTTG
This sequence comes from Homo sapiens, assembly GCF_000001405.40. Lineage (NCBI taxonomy): Eukaryota > Metazoa > Chordata > Mammalia > Primates > Hominidae > Homo > Homo sapiens. Next base: position 52,353,421 of record NC_000019.10, read on the forward strand.
GGAGGCTGGGGCAGGATTAAACTCTTCCCATGAACCCAGGAGTTTGAGATCTTTCTGGGCAACCTAGTAAAACCCCATCTGAATTTTTAAAAATACTACATATTTTTGAATGTGAACATTTACTAGAGATTGGAATTGAAGTTTCTATGTTTTTTAATGATCTGCCATTTTTAATAGCTTAATATTCAAAAATGTTTATCAACTAAATTGAGTACAATTTCTACATTTTTAGTGTTGTAAACAATGTGGTCCTCATTTTAGGGACGCTTGACATTCATGGACGTGGCCATCGAATTCTCTCAGGAGGAGTGGAAATCCCTGGACCCTGGACAGAGGGCTTTATACAGGGACGTGATGTTGGAGAACTACAGGAACCTGGTCTTTCTGGGTGAGGATGACTTCCCTCCAGAAGCCGGGATCTGCTCTAATCTGTCTTTGCATTTTCTCTTGCGTGCCTCTTGGGAGCCCCTAAATTGCTTAACTGAGGTAGAAACCTTGTTGACTCAGAAATGAAAAGCTCTATTATGCTCTCTGGATTTGAAATGCGTCCTTTCTTCAGATGTACCGCCCCCTTCATAATACATCATTGGGTGGCACCGGATAACCAGTTCTCTGTTTTCTCCCCTGTGCTTACAAGTCAGTAGTTCTTGGAAGAGATCTCAGTGTCTACATATTGCATATTCCCTAAGCATTCAGAAGGAGCCAGTCTGTGGGTGAACTTGTGAGATATTATTCTTGATCCATTTGCGATATCCCCTCTCTTACCTAAACACAGGGTTTGGGTTTTGGAAATGCCCCAGCACATCTTGTTTCTTTCTTTTTATTAACAGGAATCTGTCTTCCTGACCTAAGTATTATTTCCATGTTGAAGCAAAGGAGAGAGCCCTTGATTCTGCAAAGTCAAGTTAAAATAGTAAAAAATACAGATGGAAGGGAATGTGTCAGAAGCGTGAACACAGGTAAGAGCTCTGATGGGCAGTGTGGAGGCCATAGTTTTTATTTTTTTATTTTTGAGCCAGGGTGTTCCGCTATCACCCAGGCTGTAGTGCAGTGGCAATCATAGCTCACTGCAGCCTCAAACTCCTGGACTCAAGCAATCCTCCTGCCTTGGCCTCCCAAAGTTGTAGATTATAGCCACTGCACCTTGCAAAGCCATACTATTTTTTTTTTTTTTTTTTTTTTTTGTCTCACTCCGTTGCCCAGGCTGGAGTGCAGTGGTGTGATCTCGGCTCACTGCAACTTCTGCCTCCCAGGTTCAAGTGATTCTCGTGCCTCAGCCTCCCCAGTAGCTGAGATTACAGGCATGTGTCACCACACCCAGCTAATTTTTGTGTTTTTAGTAGAGACGGAATTTCACCATGTTGGACAGGTGGGTCTCAAACTCCTGACCTCAAGTGATCTGCCTGCCTCAGCCTCCCAAAGTCCTGGGATTACAGACGTGAGCCACCACACCCAGCCCATACTAACTATTCAAGAGTGTGTGGGAAACTCTCCAAAGGTGGGAGAGTTCTGTGAGAAAAGAAAAGTTTAAATCCTAGGCATTCTGAATGGAAATATTTCTTTGCTCTCTCTTGTCACTCAGTTCTATAAATGTGTGATAGTTTCATCTTTTCACCCTCGAGTGGTGTTGCCACCCAGAGACAAAAGCAAAGTCTTTATCCTGATGGACAGCACCCTGTCATGTGGCTTCTGTGAACTTTTGTTCCATGATTCTGAAGAACACAGGGAGCATTGTTGCCAGGGGTCTCTTTCCCCTGTGGTCTTTCTTCCTGTACTTGATTCCATCTGATGCTTAGTTTCTGTCCCTGTAGGTCAAAGCTGAGGTCTTCATAGACCTGCCCCCTTGACCTATTCATGGTCCACCCCATTTCCTGTAATGGGAAGATGTAATCAGGAAATGAGAGAACATGAGCTACTCTTTTTTGCATCTGGGCCCTGGAAACTACAGGTGCCTCCAGCCCCCTCTGCCTGTTCAGGTCTATTTGGATGGGAAGAAGCCAGTGATTTTCCTATTCTCACATGCCACTCAGCACAGAGCATTTCACTTCTGGTCACCAAAATGTGTGGGGATTTCTCCCCATCGGCAATTTTTCACTGGATCTTTACTGGGTTTTCTATAATTCATTTCTAACACTGTCTACCTGGAGTTAGAATCAGATCCCACAGGCTAAGGGTTGGGTTCCCAAGCCTGTCGCCCACCTCAGCCACCACTTGTTAGTAGTAGATTGTCACCTTTCTGTCTGACCAACACAGCTGTAAGCTGGGTTCCCTCGACTCCCTTCTTGGGTTGATTACTTTGCTCGGGTGGCTCACAGAACTCAGTGAGACACTTCATTAGGTTCACTGGTTCATGATGCAGGATGTTTCTAAGGATACAGATGGACAGCCAGATGAGGAGATTCACAGGGCGAGGCACGTGGGAAGATTGACTGGGTGTGCCGCCCTCCAGGCGCCTGTGTGTCTTCAGCATTTGGAACCTCTTGTGACCCCATAGTTCACGAGCGGCTTCATCACGTAGGCGTGATTGATATTAACTCAATCTCCAGCCCCTCTCCTAGAAGCTAGTGGGTGGGGCTGACAGTTTCATGCTTCTAAGTATGGCCTGGTCTTTCTGGTAATCAGCCCCATCCAAGGAACCCACAAAGGTTGCCTCATTAGAGCAGATCACACTCGTACCACCCAGGACATCTCAAGGTCTTCAGAGCTCTGTGTCAGGAACCGGGGAAGAGACCAATGTATGTATGTATTCTTATTCCACAAGGCCCCTCAGCCATTCTTCAGTTGTGCTTCATCCACACTTTACTGGTGTGTGTCACAGGGGAGTAGGTGGCTCTTCTGAGATGCTTACTCAGCTGAGTGGGGCAGATAGTCAACAGAAAGACCCTGTATTCGATCCCTAGGTCCCCATGGGGAACATGGCACAAAATAGCAACCAGATGCTTCTGGTTTTAACACTACCATCATTTGTTCAAACCACTGTTACTTTCATCTTGTACCTTTCCATGTATTATAAATTAACTTGGTTTTTGTATATTTAGTCAGCAGTTCCATATTTCATATAATACTCTTTGTGTTTATTATTTTGTATCTGTAGGGCTGTAGTATCAGGGAATGGCCATTGATTTATATATTTTTGAGTGTGGTTTTTTTAAATGCACAGGGTATGCCTCAGCAGGAGAGTCTCTAAAACTGACACTCCAGAAATTTTTGAATAGGAGTTTAAATATTTGTTTTCCTTTGTTGTACGTGACTTAGTAGCTACTATTGAACAACACTTTTGCCAATTAAATGTATTACAGTGTATAATATGGAAATTTTTTATATCTTAAGAATATGCTGTTTTAAAATTGTTGCCATCTTAATCTCAGAAATACCATTACACTGACTTGCCGTAATTTGTTATTTAAGACTGAGGGGCAAAACTCAAACCGTATCTTCCTCTGTCTGGTCTTGCACCACGCAACAATAAACACAGACAACTTATGTCACCAAATGTGAGTTTTACTTCCACCAATAAGCAATCAGTTCTGCAGTGGCTACTTGCTGGGGGCCCTTGAATTCTATTCTGATGCTGTGTACCTGGAGAGCGTGTCACATGCCACAGGTTGAGGGCTCAGTCTCCAATACTGCCCCCTTTCAGACACGGGTCATAAGTCCAGGCCTCTGGAACTTTCGACCAACTGGCTTCAAAAGTTGGGGTTCCCATGGCTCCCTCTTTGGGTTTGATTAATTTGCTAGAGTGGTTCACAGATCTCATGGTAATACATACTTAACATTTACAGGGTTTATTCCACAGCGTATTTTAAAGGCTCCAGGCCCGGCATGGTACCTCATATCTGTAACCCAAGAATTTTTGGAGGCTGAGGTGGGCGCATTACTTGATCCCAGGAGTTTGAGACCAGCAACATAATGAGACGTTATCTCTACAAAAAATTAAAAAATTGGCCGGGCGCAGTGGCTCACGCCTGTAATCCCAGCACTTTGGGAGGCCCAGGCGGGCGGATCACGAGGTCAGGAGATCGAGATCATCCTGGCTAACATGGTGAAACCCCGTCTTTACTAAAAATACAAAAAATTAGCCGGGTGTGGTTGCAGACGCCTGTAGTCCCAGCTACTTGGGAGGCTGAGCCCGGAGAATGGCCTGAACCCGGGAGGCGGAGCTTGCAGTGAGCGGAGATGGTGCCACTGCACTCCAGCCTGGGAGATAGAGCGAGCCTCCATCTCAAAAAAAAAAAAAAAAAAAAAAAAAAATTTAAAAAATTAGCCAGGCATGGTAGTACACACCTTGTAGTCCCAGCTACTCAAGAGGACTGCTCGAGCCCAGGAGTTTAAGGCTGCAGTGAGCTATGATCGCGCCACTGCACTGCAGCCTGGCTGACACAGAGCAAGACCTTATTCCAAATAGATAGAGAAGGATAAATTAACAGATGGAAAGAACATAGGGTCAGGTCTGGAAGGGTCCCCAGCACAGGAGCTTCTGTGTCCTGGAGTTGGCTTGTGCCACCCTCCTGGCATGTGTGTGAGTTCCTGCTCACCTTCCTGTCAGCCTCGGGGTGTTCAGCTGTCCAGAAGCTCTCTGAACCCAGTCCTTTTGGGTTTTTATAGAAGCTTTATTATATAATGAAGTTACATGATATAACTTCATTATTTGTCTTTTTGTCTTTGTATGACTGGCTTATTTCACTTACCAGAGTGTCTTTCAGGTTCATCCATTTTGTAGCATATAAAGAAATTTCCATATTTTTTTAGGAACAAAGAATGCTTCTTTTGCTTTCTTTTTTTGAGACGGAGTCCCACTCTGTCGCCGGGCTGGAGTGCGGTGGCGCGATCTTGGCTCACTGCAACCTCTGCCTCCCGGGTTCAAGCGATTCTCCTGCCTCAGCCTCCTGAGTAGCTACAACTACAGGCATGCGCCACCATGCCCAGCTAATTTTTGTGTTTTTAGTAGAGATGAGGTTTTACCATGTTCACCAGGATGGTCTCGATCTCCTGACCTCGTGATCCACCCACCTCAGCCTCCAAAAGTGCTGGGATTATAGGCGTAAGCCACTGCGCCTGGCCTCCTTTTTCTATTTGTTAATCAGGTTACTGGTTTTCTGATTTGTAGGAGTTTTATGTATTTTAGATATATAAAATCTTATCAGAGGTATGATTTGAAAATATTTTCTCACATATGGTAGGTTTCCTTTTCACTCTGGTAATTGTTTTCTTCCATCCACAGTAGTTGTAGGTCTTGTGGTAGTACATTTTATGTATTTTTACCTTCTTTCTTGTGTTATCAGTGTTCTATCCAGGGAAGCATTATTGAATCCAACGTTATGAAGCTTTCCACCTGATTTTTTCTAGGAGTTTTATGGTTTTAGGTCTTAGTTTTAGGTCATGAATTGGCTTTCAGATAATTTTTGCATACGGTGTAATAAGAGTTCAACTTCATTCCTTTCTTGTGGATATCCAGTTTCCTCAGCACTATTTGATAAAGAGACTGTCCTCTCTCGTTACATGGTCTTGGCAGCCTTATTGAACATCATTTGACCAAATATTTGAGGGTTTGTTTCTGGCCTGTCTGTTCTAGTCCATTGGCTTATATGTCTGCCTTCATGGCAGTACAGTTCTATTTTGATGAAGGTAGCTTAGTAATAAGTTTTGTAATCATGCAGTGTAACACCTCCAGCTTTCTTTCTTTCAAGTTTGTTTTGCTATTGAGGCACATGTGTGATTTCATATTAATTTTAGGATGAGTTTATTTATGAAGAAAACTTCCTTGGGATTTTGCTAAAGAGTTCACTGAATCTGTAGATCTCTTTGGCTATTGACATCTTAACCTTAAGACTTACAATCCATAAACATGGGCTGTTTTTGCATTTGTGTGTGTCTTCTCTACTTTGTTTCAGCAATTTTTTGTAGATTTCTGTGTACAAATTTTTCCCGTCCTTGTTAAGCTTATTCCCTCCATATTTGGAGGTTTTGCATCTACAGATTCCACAAAATTGCAGATCAGAAATCCACAGGTCATTGAATCTGCACATATGGATCCCATGGATACGTAGGGCAGACTGTATTTTCAATCCATGGTTAGTTGAATCTGCAGATATAGAAACCACAGGTATGGAAGGCCTGCAGTAAGGAACTCAGGCATCCACAGATTTTGATATCTGAGAGTGTTTTAAGAAAAACTCTCAAACCATGTTTTTCCTCTGCTCTCACGCCACCACAACAATCTGTCAAGACAGAATAAGACTTCCGTGACCGACGGTATAGGAGTTTTTTCCCACACATCAAGCAACGGACAAGAGCTGGGTTTCCTACAGTTCAGTTCTGACACTATACCTGGAGATAGTGTCAGATCCCACGGGTTGAGGGCTCAGTGTCAAAGGCTTCCCCCATTTCCCACCAGTTACGAGTCTGGGCCTCTAGAACTTCTGACCAACTAGCTTCCATTTGTGGTTTCTGTGGCCCCTCTTTGGGCTCGATAAAGTTTCTGGATTGTCTCACAGAACTCACAGAAACACTTACTTACATTTGCCAGTTTATTATAAAGGCTATTGAAAAGGATACAGATGAAGAGACCTGTAGGGCAAGGTATGGGGGAAGGGGTGTGGAGCTTCTCTGCCCTCCCTGCGACCAGCATCCAGGAAGCTCCATGTGTTCAGCCATCTGGAAGCTCTCTAAATGCAGTCCTCTTAGATTTTTATAGAAACCTTATTATGTCAGCATTCTTTCCCCCAGACATAAAGCAGGACCCTCTCTCGGGAGGTCTTAAGACCTATAATCAGAAAGATGGGAGATTAGAGTTCTGCCTTGAGGCAGGTGAATGGAGGGCAGGAAAAGGTTGGAGAGGTTCTGTTTCCTGAGTTCTGCCCTGGGGCCTACCGTACCCAACACTATAACAGAAGACTGTAGCAAAGGCTATGGGAGTTATGAGCCAGGAACTGCAGATGAAAACAAATATATATGTAATACCATAACACCACACAGGGGTTCCTGGAACCAGTCTTCCCTGGACACCAAGGGACAGCTATATTCTCAATAGAAATAATGCAACATGGGCTTTCTTTTTATTTTTTCCTAATTATGAAGGAAAAGCCTTCATTATTTCAACACTGAGTATGATGTTACCTTTTGGCTTTTTATATAAGGCTTCTGTATGTAAAGTAGATTCCTCGTATTCCTAATGTGTAGAGTGTTTCTATCATCAGTAGTTGTTGATGTTTTTCAAATGTTTTTTCTGCATCTGATGAGCCTATCAAGTGGGTTTTTGTTTTTATTCTGTTTTTGTGGAGTATTGCAGGGATCAATGTTCCTAAGTTGCAACATCGTTGCATTCCAGGAGTGACTTTCACATGATCATAGTGTGTGGTCCATTTTAATATACTGCTGAACTTGCTTGCTAGCATTTTGTTGTGGATATTTGCATTAGATTGATGAGGAATATTGCTCTGTAGTTTTCTTAGAGCCTTTGTGTGCCTTTTCTGTCAAGGTGACACTAGCCTTATTGAATGAGAGAGGGAGTGTTTTGTCCATCACATGGAACATTTTTAAGAGTGTTGGTGTTAAATCCTTTTTCAGTATTTGATAGCGTTTTACAGTGAAGTCATCTGGTTCATTACTTGTTTTTGTTAGTAGTTATTTGATAACTAATTCAATCTCCTTATTTGTTACTCGTCTTAGTGTTTCTACTTCTTCATGAGTAAGTCTTGGTGAGCAGTGTGTATCTAGAAATTCATCCATTGTTGGGACACAGTTGTACAATCTCATTTTCTTTTTTTTTTTTTTCCGAGACAGAGTCTCGCTCTTGTTGCCCAGGCTGGAGTGCACTGGCGCGATCTCGGCTCACTGCAACCTCCGCCTCCCAGGTTCCAGTGATTCTCCTGCCTCAGCCTCCTGAGTAGCTGGGATTACAGGCGTGCACCACCAGGCCTGGCTAATTTTTTGTATTTTTAGTAGAGATGGGGTTTCACCATGGCCAAGCTGGTCTTGAACTCCTGACCTCAGGAGATCCACCCGCCTCGGCCTCCCAAATTGCTGGGATTACAGGCGTGAGCCACTGCGCCCGGCCACAATCTCATTTTCTACAATTCAGTTTTATTTGTAATGTCCTCTATTCCATTTCTAAGTTTACTTATTTGAGGCTTACGCTTCATTTTTGTTTTGTTGTTTATCTAGCTAAGGGTTTGTCAATCTTTTTAAAATTTATTTTAATTTAAAAATTTTTTTTTTCAAAAGAGACAGAGGTCTCATTATGTTGCTCAGGCTGATCTCGAACTCCTGAGCTCAAGTGATCCTCCCGCCTTGCCCTCCCAAAGTGCTAGGATTACAGGCGTGAAACACTATGCCCAACTGTCAATTTTCTTACCATTCGAAGTATGAGCTTGCAGTTTCATGACTTTAGTGCTTCTCTCTTCTGTTTTCTAATCTTAATTTTTTCTTTCTGCTACCTTTCTATTTAGTTTGGTTTTTTTTATACTTCATTGAAGTATAAAGTTAGATTGTTTACATGTAACTTTATTTATTTATTTTAGTGATGAGGTCTCACTCTGTCTCCCACATTGGAGTGCAGTAGTGCAATCATAGCTCAATTCAACCACAAACTCCGAGGCTAAGGTGATTCTCTTATCTCAGCCTCCTGAGTAGCTAGGACTACAGGTGCATGGCACTGTGCCTTGCTAACTAAAAAATAAATAAGCCAGCACTATGGCTCACGCCTGTGGGAATCACACTATGGGATTACGCCTGTAATCCCAGCACTTCGGGAGGCCGAGGCGGGTGGATCACCTGAGGTCAGGAGTTCAAGACCAGTCTGACCAACATGGTAAAACCCCGTCTCTACTAAAAATACGAAAGTTAGCTGGGCATGGTGGCACACGCCTGTAGTCCCAGCCACTGGGGCGGCTGAGGCAGGAGAATCAGTTGAACCTGGGAGGCGGAGGTTGCAGTGAGCCGAGATCGCACCACTGCACTCCAGCCTGGTGACAGAGCGAGACTCCATCTCAAAAATAAATAAATACATAAATTTTGTAGAGATGGTGTCTTGTATTGTTGCCTGTGCTGGTCTGCAACTCCTGGCTTGAAGTACTCCTCATGCCTCAAACTCCCAAGTGCCGGGATTATAGATGTGAGGCATCATGCCTGGCCATTTGTTTATTTTTAATGTAAGCACACATTTTTGTTGCATTTTATAAGTTCTGGTGTGTTCTGTTTTCCTTTCCTTTTCTATCAAGATATTTTAAAAATCAGTTTGTGGTTTCTTTTTTGACCTATTGGTTTTTTAGATGTGTTGTTTCATTTGGACATATCTGTGGGTTTTACATTTCTTTCTGTTAATTTTGTTTTATTACATTATAATGGGAATCAATACTTTGTAGACTTCTAAATGTTTAAAAGATTGTTTTGTGTCATAACATGAAGTCCATCCTGGAAACTGTTCCATGGGCACTTCCGAAAAATTTGTATTCTGCTGTTTTTAGGTGATGTGTTGTGTATACGTCTGTCATATCTAATGAGGCTATAGTGATGTTTGAGTCCTGTTTTCTTCTTCTTCTCTTTGATTTTTATTTATTTATTTTTATTTTTTAGTTTTAAGGAGCAGGGAGTTTAATAGGCAAGAAAGAAGGGGGAAGAAAGAAAGAAGAAGCTCCCCTGTACAGAGACAGAGTGAGGGGGGCTCCAAAGCCGAGAGACAGAACCCCCTTCTCTTTGGTTCTATCCCCTTTTTTTTTTTTTTTTGAGACATAGTCTCACCCTGTTGCCTACCCAGGCTGGAGGGCAATGGTGTGATCTCAGCTCACTGCAACCTCCACCTCCCAGGTTCAAGCGATTCTTATGCCTCAGCCACCTGAGTAGCTAGGATTACTAGAATGCACCACTGCATCCAGCTAATTTTTGTAGTTTTAGTAGAGATGGGGGTTTCGCCATGTTGGCCAGGCTGGTATCAAACTCCTGGCCTCAAGTGATCCTCCTGCCTCAGCCTCCCAAAGTGCTGGGATTACAGGTGTGAGCCACCCTGCCTGGTCACCTTGTTCTATCCATTTTTGAAAATGAAGTATTGAAGTCTACTACTATATCGTGGAGCTATCTGTTTCTCCTTTGAATTTTGTGAATGTTTCCATCCTATACTTAGGGGCTGTGATATTTGGTGCCTATATATTTATAGTTGTTATATCTTCTTGGTGAATTGAACCCTTCATCATTGTATAATAACTTTTCTTTCTTATACTGGTTATTGAGTAAACGTCTGTTCTCTTTGATTTTAATATAGACACCTCTGTGCTCTGCTGGTTACTATTTGCATGGAATATCCTTTTCCATCCTTTCAGTTTCAGCCAATTTATGTCTTTAGAGTTAAAGGGAGTCTGTCGTGGATAGGATTTAGTTGGATCCTGTTTTGTTCTGATTCCAATGGGAAATCATTTGTATTTCACATACTCATAGAGAAGGCCTTAATAGTGCCATCTTGTCACATATTAGCTGTAGATTTTGTAACATCTTGTAGATTTTTTTGTCCTTCATTTTTCCCTTACTGCCTGCTTTTGTATTTTGTTGGTTTTTTAATTGTGACATGCTTTGATCCCCTTCTCATCTCCTCTGGTGTATGTTTGTAGATTTTCCTCTTGTGGTTAAGATTGAAGTTACATAAAACATTGTAACAATAAAACATTATTTTAAAATGTCAACAGCTTAACCTTGATTAGGTACCGAAAGCATTACATTATAGCTGTGCTATTTGTTATTGTGCTAGAAGTTCCTTCTATATATGTAATATTCCCATTAACACATTTTAGTGCTTTTTAAATAATTTTGCCTTTGAAATGCTAGGAAAGAAAAGCCAAATTACAAATGAAAAGTACAATAATGCATGATTTTTTTGTTTTCTTTTTTAATTTTTTTCTCATACAGTGTCACTCTCAGGATACTATGTTTCCATATTTGATCATTTATTGACCTTTAATGGAGAACTTTATATTTTCATTTGGGTTAGAAGTACTGTCTGGGGTCCTTTTATTTCCTTTTGAAGGATTCCCTTTAACATTTCTTGTCAGACAGTTCCAAGGTACTAATTACCTTCCTCAGCTCTTCTTTATTCAGGAACGTGTAAATTTCTCCTTTATTTTTGCAAGCAAGTTTTGCTGAATATAGTATTCTTGGTTTTTTGTTTGTTTGTTTGAGAAGGAGTCTCGCTCTGTCGCCCAGGCTAGAGTGCTGTGGCGCGATCTTGGCTCACTGCAACCTCCATGCCCCGCCTTCCCCCATGTGAGGTTCAAGTGATTCTCCTGCCTCAGCCTTCCAAGTAGCTGGGATTACAGGCATGTGCCAGCACAGCCAGCTAATTTTTGTGTTTTTAGCAGAGATGAGGTTTCACCATGTTGGCCAGGCTGGTCTTGAACTTCTGACCTCAGGTCATCAATCCACCTCAGCCTCCCAAAGTGGTAGGATTACAGGTATGAGCCACTGCACCCAGCCGTATTTTTTTTTCTTTAAGCACTTTCAACATATCATCATCTTACTGCCTTCTAGCCTGCAAGTTTGCTTTAAGATGTTTAATGATAGGCTGGGCACGGTGGCTCACGCCTGTAATCTCAACACTTTGGGAGACCAAGGCAGGCAGATTGCCTGAGGTTGGGAGTTTGAGACCAGTCTGGCCAACGTGGTGAAACCCCGTCTCTACTAAAAATACAAAAAAATTAGACGAACGTGGTGGCGTGCGCCTGTAGTTCCAGCTACTTGGGAGGCTGATGCAGGGGAATTGCTTGCGGAGGTTGCAGTGAGCTGAGGTGGTGCCACTGCACTCCAGCCTGGGGCAACAGAGAGAGACTCCGTCTCAAAAAAAAAAAAAAAAGAATTGTGACAGGTGTGACAGGGAGACCTTTCCCAATTAGCCTGTTGTAAAGGGTGTGGGAACACCTCACTCCTGGGATTGTGTCTCTCCTAGCTTTATGCGTATATTATACTATTACTAATGTCTATACAACTGCTCTTAAATGTCTTATTTTCTCTAAGAGGCTCATCCCTGCTTTTTCTGAGAAGCTTTCAGTTTCTGTTCTATTTTTCTGCCCTTAATCTTTCTCAAAGTCACTCATAATCCTCCCGAGTCCTGCAGATTCCCCACTGCTCCAATGCATCACGTCACCCCCTTGTGTTTTCAGCTCTCACAATGTGACATGCAAAGTATGCCGATACTTCTTCCAGTGTCTGAGTTGGGTGAGGCTGATTCTGGTCCCTCCACCAGACGGTAAACATGCCAGAATCATGGGTTCATGTTCTACTCTTTCTTCTTTTCTAGGGAGGAGCTGTGTATTGGGAAGCAATGCAGAAAACAAGCCTATTAAAAATCAACTTGGATTAACCCTTGAGGCACATCTGTCTGAATTGCAGCTGTTTCAAGCCGGAAGGAAAATTTACAGAAGTAATCAAGTTGAAAAGTTTACAAACCATCGTTCCTCAGTTTCACCACTTCAAAAAATTTCTTCTAGTTTCACAACACACATTTTTAATAAATATAGAAATGATCTTATTGATTTCCCATTACTCCCACAAGAAGAGAAAGCATACATTAGAGGAAAATCTTATGAATATGAATGTAGTGAAGATGGTGAAGTTTTTAGAGTCCGTGCAAGCCTTACTAACCATCAAGTAATCCATACTGCAGAGAAACCTTACAAATGTACTGAATGTGGCAAGGTCTTCAGTCGCAATTCACACCTTGTAGAACATTGGAGAATTCATACTGGACAGAAGCCTTACAAATGTAGTGAATGTGACAAGGTGTTTAATCGCAATTCAAACCTTGCACGACATCAAAGAATTCATACTGGAGAGAAGCCTCACAAATGTAACGAATGTGGCAAAGCTTTTAGAGAGTGTTCGGGACTTACTACCCATCTTGTAATCCATACTGGAGAGAAACCTTACAAATGTAATGAGTGTGGCAAGAACTTCAGGCACAAATTTTCTCTAACCAATCATCAGAGAAGTCACACGGCGGAAAAACCTTACAAATGTAATGAATGTGGCAAGGTCTTTAGTCTGCTTTCATACCTTGCACGGCATCAAATAATTCATAGTACAGAGAAGCCCTACAAATGTAACGAATGTGGAAGAGCATTTCACAAGCGTCCGGGCCTTATGGCCCATCTTCTAATCCATACTGGAGAGAAACCTTACAAATGTAATGAATGTGACAAAGTCTTTGGGCGCAAATTATACCTAACCAACCATCAGAGAATTCATACTGGAGAGAGACCTTACAAGTGTAATGCATGTGGCAAGGTCTTCAATCAAAATCCACACCTTTCACGACATCGGAAAATTCATGCTGGAGAGAATTCACTGCGTACCTTACAGATGGAATGAATGTGGCAAAATCTTTAGTTAGAATTCACACCTAGCACAACATTGGAGGACTCAGGAGAAAAACCTTACAAATATCATAAATGTGGCAAAGAATTTAGTTTGCATTGAAGCCTCATCACTCATCTCTTGATCCACACTGAAAGGAAACCCTACAAATGTAAAGTTAATAACATATATAAATAATCTATAAAGAGAGAACAGTTATATCAGAATAGAGCATTTAATGAAAACTACCAGTATAGCATATTCTTGAGTAGGATTCACATTTAACTGCTGGCACCGTAATTTGTAACTCTTTGATTTAGAATGTACATACTTCTCATGTTTTAAGTAATAAAGTTTAAAGTTTTTTTTTAGTTTTTTCTTTTTTTTTTGAGACGAAGTCTCGCTGTATTACCCAGGCTGGAGTGCAGTGGCATGATCTTGGCTCACTGCAACCTCCGTCTCCCGGATTCAAGCAATTCTCCTGCCTCAGCCTCCTGAGTAGCTGGGATTACAGGCATGTGCCACTACTGCCCGGCTAATTTTTGTATTTTTAGTCGAGACGGGGTTTCCCTCCGTTGGCCAGGCCGGTTTCAAACTCCTGACCTCAAGTGATCCACTGGCCTTGGCCTCCCAAAGTGCTGGGATTATAGGTGTGAGCCACAGCGCCCGGCCTAGTTTAAATTTTTCTTAGTGTGAATGAATTACATCCTTTCTACCAGCGTTGTTTAATCTTACCTCAGGAGGATACTTTATAGTAGAGAATAATAACCCATTATGATTTTAAGGTTGAAGCAGCCAGAAAAGTGTGTGTGTGTGTATGTGTGTGAGACATAAAACAACATACGCTTCTGGGTGCAATATACTTAAGTAAGTATGATGTTGAGTAATTACACTTAGTACTTGAGTTAGTTTCTCTGTACTCTGGTGTAGGATGTTTATGTGGGTAAAGTCAAAATCACTTTAATAGTACAATTTCAGCCTTGTACACCCTCAAATGTGTGTGAGTGTTAAAGAGTATGCCCTGTATTGTGTTTCTACATGCCTCTTTCTTGTGTGCCAAATAAGAACTATGGTGTGCACCTTCATTTTCATGCAGCAAAAATATATAGTAATATGACAAATATTAGGAAATAAAGTATGGGTTGAGGGCAAAAATACTGTAACATGGCCGGGCCTGGTGGCTCACGCCTGTAATCTCAGCACTTTGGGAGGCTGCATTGGGTGGATCACGAGGTCAGGAGATTGAGGCCATCCTGGTCAACATGGTGAAACCTTGTCTCTACTAAAAATACAAAAAAAAAAAATTAGCTGGGCCTGGTGGTGTGCACCTGTAATCCCAGCTACTTGGGAGGCTGAGGCAGGAGAATCGCTTGAACCCAAGAGGCAGAGGTTGCAGTGAGCTGAGATCACCCCACTGCACTCCAGCCTGGTGACAGAGCAAGGCTCCGTCTCAAAAAAAAAAAAATAATAATAATACTGTAACACAATTTCTTTTTGTACTTCTAGTGTTCAGTGACATCATTTGAAAATATTAATGTTCACCCATCTTCTTTTTAAGTCACACACAGAAAGGGAATTTTGTTTTGGTACATTAACTAGAAACTTCATATAGTCACCCTCACAACTCTTTTGGTAATTTGAATTTTTGACCACTCTTCTGGAACTTGTTTGAAGTCCCCCTAAGGTTTGGCTTGGATCTTGAGAATGATGATCCCATACACTGATATGGTTTGAGAGTGTTTATTATATAATGAGGCTCTGTGGGGGAAAGCAGGGTATACTTTTCCAGCTGGTCCAAAAGTGGCTTCAGAGAACTGGGATAGGTGACTGGCTTGGGGTGTCATGATTGCTAAAGGGTAGGGCTGGGGCGGGGATACCCACTACCCATACTGGAAACTTAGTTACAATTCACACCTAGCATGTATATTTTTATATTTTTTGTATGTATATATATTTTTACATTTTTTTCCTACATTGCCTCCAAATTCTATGTTTAATACATTTCTTCCCTGTTTTGCTCTGGTGAAAACTTTAGGGGACAAATAAATGAGTGCTGTTTGGAGACAAAATTTTGTGACATGGGACTGGGCATTGTGGCGTGTGCCTGTAGTCCCAGCTACTTGGGAGGCTGAGATGGGAGGATCACTTGATGCCAGGAGGTCGAGGCTGCAGTCAGTGAGCTGTCTGCACTTCAGCCTGAAAGACAGAGGGAGACCATCTCAAAAAAAAAAAAAAAAAAAAAAAAAAAGTTGTGACCTGAGTATGTCCATAAGACAATGGCAGGTATACACTAGGATTAATATAAATATGAAAAAAAAAAAAAAACTTGGCCGGGTGCGGTGGCTCACGCCTGTAATCCCAACATTTTGGGAGGCCAAGGCAGGCGGATCACGAGGTCAGGAGTTCAAGACCAGCCTGGCCAACATGGAGAAACCCTGTCTCTATTAAAAGTACAAAAAAGTAGCCCGGTGTGGTGGTGGGCGCCTGTAATCCCAGCTACTCGGGAGACTGAGGCAGGAGAATCGCTTGAACCCAGGCGGCGGAGGTTGCAGTGAGCCGAGATCGCGCCACTTCACTCCAGCCTGGGCAAAAGAACGAAACTCTGTCTCCAAAA
Source organism: Homo sapiens (assembly GCF_000001405.40). Taxonomy (NCBI): domain Eukaryota; kingdom Metazoa; phylum Chordata; class Mammalia; order Primates; family Hominidae; genus Homo; species Homo sapiens. The sequence goes on from NC_000019.10 coordinate 52,369,367, forward strand.
AAAAAAAAAAAAAAAAAAGGAAATTGCACATTCCGCCCTGGCAGGGTTTTGCATTTCATATTTTAATTTGCATCCCCTTCATAAACAATTCAAGGACTTTAAAATTCCGGAAACTAGTGTTTATTATTCATTTATATTTATTTATTTTAATTATTTATTTCCAATTTGTTATTTATGATTATGTATTTATTAGGCGCAAGGTTTCTCTCTCATGCCCAGGCGGGAGTGCAGCGCACGACCTCGGCTCACTGCAGCCTCCACCTCATGGGCTCAAGCGATCCTCCCACCTCAGCATCCGGGTAGCTAGGACCACATGCGAGCGCCCCTACAGCCGATTTAAAATTAATTTTAATAGCAGGAATTTTCCTGGATCTAATCATCAACAAACTTTCCCTCTGCCGGGACACAATCTATTTCCAGATAGCTGAGTTCTTCCAGTCTCCACGGCAGGTCTAGCCTCCAAAACGAGACGAGCTGGGAGCGAGGCGGAGGGAAGCGCAGGCTCCGCCCAATCCCACCCGGGCCTGGCCTCGCCTCGCCTCTCAGCTGCGCGCGCAGTTTCCTGGAGACCCGGAAGCAGATTACGTGGAGTGACGGTCATGCTGCGGCGTGTGAGTTTCCCTTTGTTTAGATTAAATCTGGGATGCTGAGTCCCCTCGCGCTTCTGTACCCGGCATCTCAGGGGTCACACAGACCTTGAAATCCCCGCATCGCTCCCTCCACCCCGACTAAACTCAGACGTTCTAATGAGAGTCTGGCGGTCGCTTCCCTGAGTGTTAAAATCGCTCGGAGGCTGGTCCTGTCCCCGGTCTTTCACCACAGGGCCATGTAGACAGCTCCTGTCGCGGAGTTTGCCTGCTTCAAATCCTTCAGTGACCCCTAGACACGGCCCGCGCTGCGTAAAGTTCTCACCCGCGAGATGGATCCACGTCTTTCCGGTCCCCCAAGCCTCGCCCTCTTTTCACAGGCCTGCCCCCTTTTCTGTGCCTTAAATGAGAGGAAATCGATCTGATGTTTACTGCTGATTGTGATGTTTCAGCCTCCATTGGGCTTTTGCTAACACCTAAATAAATATTTAGTGGACAAAATTAGGTTAGTGCAAAAGTAATGGCAAACCGCGATCACTTTTGCACCAACCTAATATTTATGGGCCGGGGCTGGAATTCCATCTTCTCCGGAGGCCCAGGCTGGAGAATTCCTTGAGCACAGGAGTTTGAGACCACTCTGGACAACATAGTGAGACCCCCATCTCAATTTTTGAAACATATGTTTCAGTACGGGTATTTAATAGAGATTGGAATTCTCGTTTCTATGTTTTTACATGGTCTGACTTTTTGAAATAGTTTGAAATAATGTTTATAAACTGAATTGAGCACAGTTTATACATTTTTATTGTTGCAAACATGCTGAAATGCACATTTGCAAAAACAACGACAGCCAGGCACAGTGGTGCACGCTTGTCATTCGAGTTACTCGGAGAGGGTGTCATTTGAGGCCAGGAATTCAAGGCTGTAGTGTGCCATGAATAAGCCACTGCACTGCAACCTGGACACATTAAAAAACGAACAAAGACAAATATCTAAAAAAGAGGTTATTGACAGACAACTCTTTCAGTTGTCACATATATGTTTACTAGAGTATATGTGTGTGAATGTATATATGTATATGAATAAGTGTGTACATGTGATGTGTGTGGATGAGTGCACAGATGAGCAAGTCTATTGTTTTTATCAAAGGCGCATCATCAGTTTATATACGTCTTATATCTTTTAACAGTTGAAATTACATCTTATATATTTTCATGACCTTAAAATTGTTCTACACTGTTATGATAGTGAGTCTATGGCTGTAAGGATAGTAACCTGTTATGGGGATACATGTGCGACAGTTTCTTGATTTTAATCCCGGAACTTATTTTAACTATACTCAGTTAGGTCATTGTCTGTCAATTTACTTTTGATGCTGATCTGTTATTGTTTGATGTTTTTTTTTTTCTTTTTCTGAGATGGAGTCTCTCTTTGTCACCCAGGCTGGAGTCTCGCTTTGTCACCCAGGCTGGAGTGCAGTGGCACCATCTCAGGTCACTGCAAACTCTGCCTCCCGGGTTCAAGTGATTGTCCTGCCTCGGCCTCCCAAGTAGCTGGGATTACAGGTGCCCACCAGTACGCCTGGCTAATTTTTTTATTTTCGGTAGAGATGGGGTTTCACCATGTTTGCTAGGCTGGTCTTCAACTCCTGACCTCAAATGATCCACCTGCCTTGGCCTCCCAAAGTGCTGGGATTGCAGGCATGAGCCACCACGCCTGGCCTAATTCTTAAAGTTTGATTCTAATGCCCAGACTCCTGGGATCTGGCGCTTACTCTGCCATTTTTAGCCTTCACACCTGGGGCAAGTTTCTTAGAATGTCTGAGAAAGAGTTGTCTCTTCAATAGGATGGGAACAGATTGTTCTTTTATGGGCTTTTGTTGTTATAGCCGTTAGTACATGTACAACATTTAGAAAGTGCCTGTCACATGGGAGGTGTTCAAAAGCTTCATCCTGGCTGGGTGAGGTAGCTTACGCCTGTAATCCCAGCACTTTGGGAGGCCGAGGCGGGAGGATTGCTGAGGTCAGGAGTTCAAGACCAGCCTGACCAACATAGTGAAAACCTGTCTCTACTAAAAATAGAAAAATTAGCTGGGCACAGTGGTGGGTGCCTGTAGTCCCAGCTACTCGGGAGGCTGAGGCAGAAGAATCACTTGAACCTGGGAGGCGGATGTTGCAGTGAGCCAAGATTGTGCCACTGCACTCCAGCCTGGGCAATAAAGTGAGACTCCATCTAAAAAAAAATTATATATATTGTATCTGACGCTTCTATAGAAATAACTGTGGGTTAATTTTTTGTATTTCTTATGTTGTCCACAAAATTAGAAATCTCTACTAATTTTTTTTTTTTTTGGAGACAGAGTCTCGCTCAGTTGCCCAGGCTGGAGTGCAGTGGCACCATCTCGGCTCACTGCAAGCTCCGCCTCCCAGGTTCACGCCATTCTCCTGCCTCAGCCTCACGAGTAACTGGGACTACAGGCGCCCGCCACTACGCCTGGCTAATTTTTTTGTATTTTTAGTAGAGACAGGGCTTCACCATGTTAGCCAGGATGGTCTCGATCTCGTGACCTCATGATCCACCCGCCTTGGCCTCCCAAAGTGCTGGGATTACAGGTGTGAGCCACCGCGCCCGGCCTAGAAATCTATACTAATTTAAAGAATATCAGGTTGGGCATGCAGTGGCTCATGCCTGTAATCCCAGCACTTTGGGAGGCCGAGGTGGGCGGATCACGAAGTCAGGAGATCGAGACCATCCTGTGTAACATGGTGAAACCGCATCTCTACTAACAATACAAAAAAAAAAAAAAATTAGCTGGGCGTGGTGGCGGGCGCCTGTAGTCCCAGCTACTCGGGAGGCTGAGGCAGGAGAATGGCGTGAACCTGGGAGGCGGAGGTTGCAGTGAGCCAGGATCGCGCCACTGCACTCCAGCTTGGGCGACAGAGCGAGACTCCGTCTCAAAAAAAAAAAAAAAAAAAAAAAAAGAATGTCATAACTTCTAATGGAGAAGTATATTAAAACACAATTAGAAACATATAACTAGCTAAAAAAATACCTTAACGTGGATTTGTCAGAACATCCACTTCAATCAAGTCAGTCCTTACAACTGTCTCCTCATTTTGTGTGATATCCTGTTGGTGAAATGTGTTTTTCATTTTAGGGACACTTGGCATTCAGGGACGTGGCCATAGAATTCCCTCAGGAGGAGTGGAAATGTCTGGACCCTGCTCAGAGGACTTTATACAGGGAAGTGATGGTGGAGAACTACAGGAACCTGGTCTTTCTGGGTGAGGATAATGTCCCTTCAGAAGTCAAGATCTGCCCTGGTGTATTTTTGCATTTTGTCGTGTGCCTCTTAGCATCTTAGGAGTCACTGTATTGCTTGACTGAGATTGAAACCCTGTTGACTCAGAAATGAAAACCTCCATAATGCTTTATAATGCTGTATTTTTCAGAAACAATAAGCTCCATAATACTTTCTGGACTTAAAATAATTGCTTTCTTCAGAATTCTGGCCCCTTTGAGATTCATCATTGAGTGGTACCAGGGCTTAAGTATGCGTCAAACCTTATGACAGACTTAAGATATACAGTTCTGTGTTATCCACCCCTGTGCTTATTATTTATTAGTTCTTGTAAGAGAGCTTGATGTCTGCATGTTACAATGTTCCCTCAGCATTCAGAAGGAGGCAGTGGATGAATTCATGTGAAATACTGTAATTTTTTTTTTTTTTTTTTTTTTTGAGACAGAGTCTCCCTGTGTTGCCAGGCTGGAGTGCAGTGGCAGGATCTCAGCTCAATGCAACCTCCGCCTCCCGTTTTCAAGCAATTCTGCCTCAGCCTCCCGAGTAGCTGGGACTACAGGCACGTGCCACCACGCCTGGCTAATTTTTGTATTTTTAGTGGAGATGGGGTTTCACCATATTGGTCAGGCTAGTCTTGAACTCCTGACCTCGTGATCCGCCCACCTCGGCCTCCCAAAGTGCTGAGATTATAGGCGTGAGCCACCGTGCCTGGCGAAATACTATTCTTGATTCATTTATAATATCCTCTCTCCTACCTAGACATGGGGCTTGCATTTTGGAGATGCCACAGTACACATTTATTCTTTCTTTTTATTATTATTATTTTTTTGAGACAGAGTCTCGCTCTGTCGCCCAGGCTGGAGTGCAGTGGCGCGATCTTGGCTCACTGCAAGCTTCGCCTCCCAGGTTCACGCTGAGTATCTGGGACTACAGGCACCCGCCACCACGCCCCGCTAATTTTTTTTTTTTTTGTATTTTTTAGTAGAGATGGGGTTTCACCGTGTTAGCCAGGATAGTCTTGATATTCTTTCTTTTTTTAAATAGGAATCTGTCTTCCTGACCTGAGTGTTATCTCCATGTTGGAGCAAAGGAGAGATCCCCGGAATCTGCAGAGTGAAGTGAAAATAGCAAACAATCCAGGTGGCAGGGAGTGCATCAAAGGTGTGAACGCAGGTAAGAGCTTGGATGGCCAGAGTGGAGGCCCCATAATTTTTTTTTTTTTTAAACAGGGTCTTGCTCTGTCACCCAGGCTGTCGTAGAGTGGCAATCATCAGTGGCAATCGTGGCTTAACTCATAGCCTCAAACTCCTGGTCTCAAGTGATCCTCCTTCCTCTGCTTCCGAAAGTGGTGGGATTACAAGCATGAGCCACTGTACCCTGCAAAACCACACTTTGAGTTTCTGTTTGGGAGCTCTCTGCAAGTGAGAGAATTCTTTGGGAAAATAAAAGTTTAAATCCTGTGAGTTCTGATTGAAGTTTGTTTTGTCTTGTTTTGTTGAGACAAGTTCTTGCTCTGTTGCCCAGGCTGGAGTGTAGTGGTGGTGTGATCGTAGCCCGTGTACCCTCAGTCTTTGGGCTCATATGATCATCTCACCTCTGCCTGCCAAGTCACTGGGACTGTAGGCATGTGCCATTGCATCTTGCTAATTTTTAAAAAATCTTTTGTGGAGATGAGGTCTCACTAGGTTGCACAGGCTTGTCTTGAACTCCTGGCCTCAACTATTCTTCCCACCTGGCCTGCCAACGTGCTTGGATTGCAGGCATGACCCACCATGCCTGGCCTAGAAGGGAAATTTTTCTTTGCCCCCTCTTACTGCTGCTGTGTTCTTTGTTTTTGGCGTTTTGTTTGTTTGCTTGTTTGTTTTTGAGATGGAGTCTCACTGTGTTACCCAAACTAGTATTGGTTTTTTTTTTTTAATTTTTAATTTATTTTTATTAATTTATTTTTTTGAGACAGAGTCTTGCTCTGTCGCCCAGGCTGGAGGGCAGTGGCACGATCCTGGCTTACTGCAACCTCTGCCTCTCAATTTCAAGCCATTCTCATGCTTCAGGCTCCCAAGTAGCTGGGATTACAGGCGTGCACCACCAAGCCTGGCTAATTTTTTTTTTGTATTTTTAGTGGAAACGGGGTTTCACCATGTTGACCAAGCTGGTCTCGAACTCCTGGCCTCAAGTGATCCACCCACCTTGGCCTCCCAAAGTGCTGGGATTACAAACATGAGCCACTGCTCCCGGGCATAATGTTATTATTATAATTATTTCAATAGGGTTTTGGGGAACAAGTGGCATTTGGTTACGTAGATAAGTTCTTTAGTGGTGGTTTCTGAGATTTTGGTGCACCCATCACCCGAGCATTGTACGCTACATTCAATATATAGTCTTTTATCCCTCACCCCCCTCCCACCTTTTCCCCCAAGACCCCAAAGTCCATTGTATCGCCTTTGCATCCTCCCAGTTTAACTCCCACTTATGAGTGAGAACATACAATGTTTGGTTTTCCCTCAGGCTTTGGGCTCATATGATCATCTTGCTCTGCCTGCCAAGTCACTGGGACTGTAGGCATGTGCCATTGCATCTTGCTAATTTTTAAAAAATGTTCTGTGGAGATGAGGTCTCACTAGGTTGCCCAGGCTTGTCTTGAACTCCTGGCCTCAACTATTCTTCCCACCTGGCCTGCCTAAGTGAGTTAGTTCATTTAGAATAATGGCCTTCAATTCTATCCAGGTTGCTGCAAATGCCATTATTTCGTTCCATTTTATGGCTGAATAGCATTCCATATTAGTATGCCACATTTTCTTTATCCATTTGTTGATTGATGGGCATTTGAGCTGGTTCTCTATTTTTGCATTTGTGAATTGTGCTGCTATAAACGTGTGTGGAAGTGTCTCTTTTGTATAATGACTTCTTTTCCTCTGGGTAGATACCCAGGAGTGGTTTTGCTGGATCAAATGGTAGATCTACTTTTAGTCCTTTAAGGAATCTCCCCGCTGTTCTCCATAGTGGTTGTACTAGTTTCCATTCCCACCAGCAGTGTAAAGTGGTCCCTTTCACCACATCCACACCAACATGTAGTATGTTTTGATTTTTTGATTATGGCCATTCTTGCAGGAGTAAGAGGGTATTATATTATAGTTTTAATTTGCATTTCTCTGATAATTAGTGATGTGGAGTCTTTCTTCATATGTTTGTTGGCCATTTCTGTATTTTCTTTTGACAATTGTCTATTCATGTCCTTAGCACCGCCCCCCCCCCCCCTTTTTTTTTTTTTTTTTTGAGACAGCGTCTTGCTCTGTCGCCCAGGCTGGAGTGCAATGGCATGATCTCGGCCCCCTGCAACCTCCACCTCCCGAGTTCAAGCAATTCTCCTGCCTCAGCCTCCTGAGTAGCTGGGATTACAGGTACCCACTGCCAAGCCCAGCTAATTTTTGTATTTTTAGTAGAGACGGGGTTTCATTATGTTGGCCAGGATGGTCTCAAACTATTCACCTCAGGTGATCCACCCGCCTTGGGCTCCCAAAATGCTGGGATTATAGGGGTGAGAGACTGTGCCCGGCCCTTAGCCCACTTTTTGATAGGATTGTTTGTTTTTTTCTTGCTGATTTGTTTGAGTTCCTTGTAGATTCTGGATATTAGTCCTTTGTCAGATACATAGTTTGCAAAGATTTTCTCCCATGCTGTGGGTTGTCTGTTTACTCTGCCGATTATTTCTTTTGCTGTGTCATAGGCAAAGTCTTTATCATGATGGACAACACCCTGTCATATGGCTTATGAGAATTCTTTGATTCCATCATTCTGAAGGACATAGGGAGGGCTGTGTCAAAGGGGTCTCTTTTTCCCATGGTCTCTGTTTCTGTAGTGATTTTATCTGATGCTAAGTTTATACATCAAACCTGGGGTCTGCATAGACCTGCCTCCTTGACCTGTGTATGGTCCACACAATTTCCTATATGAGGAAGACCTCATCAGAAGATAGGAAAACATTGGCTGCTCTTTTTTTTTTGCATGTGGGGCTCAAAGATTGCATGAAGGCGTCTCAACCCCTCTTTGCCTCTTGAGGTCTTGTGGAGATAGGGAAAATCCAGTGTTTTTTCTACTCTCAAATGCCACTCAGCAGAGAGCGCTTCACTTCTGGTCAACCGAATGGGTGGGGATTTCTACGCACCAACAACCAGTTTTTCAGTGGCCATCTAATAGTTTTCTATGATGCCTTTCTGATATTATGTATCTGGAATTAGAGTCAGATCCCACAGGCAAAGGGCTGAGTTCCCAAACACGTCCCCTACCTCAGCAACCAATCACAAGTAGCAGGTTGTCACCTTTCCTTCTTACCAACCAGCTACAGGTTGGGGTTCCCTCAAGCCCCTTCTTGGGGTTGATTACTTTGCTAGGGTGGCCCACAGAACTCAGTAAAACACTTTCTTAGGTTCACTGCCTCACGCTGAAGGATGTTTTGAAGGATACAGATGAAGAGCCGGATGAGGAGATTCACAGGGGGAGGCACGTGGGAAGATTCACTGGGTGTGCCACCCTCCAGGCACCTGTGTGTCTTCAGCATTTGGAAGATCTCGTGACCCCATAGTTCAGGGATTATTTTTTATTTTTTATTTTTTTTAGACAGAGTCTTGCTCTGTCACAGGCTGTAGTGAAGTGGCACAATCTCAGCTCACTGCAATCTCCGCCTCCTGGTTCAAGTGATTCTTCTAGTTCAGGGATTTTTTATGGAGGCTTCATCACATAGGTGTGATTGATATTATCTCAGTCTCCAGCCCCTCTTCCCTTCCTGGAGGATAGTGGATAGGGCTGACACTTTCATGCTTGTAATCATGGCCTGGTCTTTCTGATGATCAGCCCAGTCCAGGGAACCTACAGAGGTTGCCTCATTAGAACAAATCACATTCCTATCACCCAGAACATTCCAAGGAGTTAGGAGCTCTGTGTCAGGAGCCAACGAAGAGACCAATGTATGCATTTCTTATTTTACAAGGTTCCTCAGCCATTCTTCAGTTGTGCTTTGTCCATACTTTAGTGGTGTGTGTAACGGGAGTAGGTGGCTCTTCTGAGATTTTTACTCAGCAGAATGGGAAAGACAGTTGACAGAAGGATCCTTTAGGCCGGGGCGGTGTCTCACGCCTGTAATCCCAGCACTTTGGGAGGCTAGGGCAGGCGGATCAGAAAGTCAGGGGATCGAAACCATCCTGGCCAACATGGTGAAACCCCGTCTCTACTAAGAATATAAAAAAAAATTAGCTGGGTGTGGTGGTGCATGCCTGTAGTCCCAGCTACTCGGGAGGCTGAGGCAGGAGAATCGCTTCAACCCGGGAGGTGGAGGTTGCAGTGAGCCAAGATCGTGCCACTGCACTCTGGCCTGGTGACAGAGCGGGACTCTGTCTCAAAAAAAAAAAAAAAAAAAAAGAAAGATCCTTTATTGGATGCCCGAGTCCTCGTGACAGAATAGCTCACTAGAATGATACATCTGGTTATAAGACTAAAGCCACTGCTGATTTTATTTTGGGCCTTTCCATGTATTAGAAATGAACTTGGGGCCAGGCACAGTGGCTCACACTTGTAATCCTAGCACTTTGGGAGGCTGAGGTTAGTGGATTGATTGAGCCCAGGAGTTTGAGACCAGCCTGGACAACATGGCAAGAACTTGTCTCTACAAAACATATAAAAATTTGGCTGTGGTGGTGCACACCTGTAGTCCTAGCTACTCAGGAGGCTGAGGTGGGAGAATCACCTGAGCCCAGGAGGTCAAGGCAGCAGCCAGCCATGATGGCGTCACTGAACTCCAGCCTTAGTACAGAGTGATACCCTGTCTCAGAAAAAAAAATAAGAAGAAAATAAAAAATAAATGAACTTATTTGTATTTAGTCAACAGTTCCATATGGTACTCTTTGTCTTCTTTGTTTTATATGTGTGGGGATGTTGTATCAGGGAATGGCCATTGATTTATATATTTTTGAGGACCTTTATTTTATTTTATTTTTTGCCTAGGAGTTTATGTAACACTTATATACACTCCAGGAGTTTTGGAATGGGTAGTATAAATATTTCTTTTCCTTTCCTTTACCTGATTAAGATATTAAATAATATTTTTGTCAGTTACGTTTATTAGAATGTATAAATTGGGAATTTATTTTCATTTTTCTTTTTTTTTTTTTGATAGAGTCTCGCTCTGTCACCCAGGCTGGAGTGCAATGCCGCGATCTCGGCTCACTGCAACCTTCGCTTCCTGGATTCAAGCAATTCTTCTGCATCGGCCTCCCCAAGTGCTAGGATTACAGGCGTGAGCCTCCGCGCCTGGCCTCATTTTTAATTTTTTTAGAGACAGGGTTTCACTCTGCTGCCCAGGCTAGATGGCAGTGGTGCAGTTTTAGGTCGCTGCATCCTTGACTTTGAGGGCAGAACTGCTCTTCCCAGCTCAGGTGATCCACCCGCCTCAGCCTCCCAAAGTTCTGGGATTACAGGCATGAGTCACTGTACCCGGCTCTGATATTTTTAATAATGCTTCAATGAACATGGGTTTCTAAATATCTCTTTAAGCTGCTATCTTAGTTCTTTTGTATATATACCCAGATGAGGAATTGTTGCCTATACTGGTAATTTGATTTTGGATTATTTGAGAAAATGTCATACTTATTTTTTTTTTTATTATTATTTTCGAGACAGGGTTTCACTCTGTCACCCAGGATAGAGTGTGGTATACAATCTCAGTTCACTGCAACCTCCGTCTCCCAGGTTCAAGTGATTCTTGTACCTCAGCCTCCCAAGTAGCTGGGATTACAGGCGTGTGCCTCCATACCCATCTAATTTTTGTACTTCTTTAATAGAGACAGGTTTTTACCATGTTGGCCAGGCTGGTCTCCAACTCCTGGTCTCAGGTGATCTACCCGCTTCAGCCTCCCAAAGTGCTGGGATTACAGGCGTGAGCCACCGTACCTGGCCCATACTTCTTTGCACCATTATACATTTCCAGCAACAGAACATAAGTCTCCCATTTCTGCACATTTTTGCCACTTGTGATGTACTGTTTTTTTTGTCTTTTGGGTTTTTTTTTTAACAATAAATATTCCATATTGGATGTGAGATGATAGCTCATTGTGTTTTTTATTTGCATTTTTCCAATGATTAGTGGTATTTTGCATGTTTAATATGGTTGCTAGTTATTTGTATATCACCTCTGGAAAAATGTGTATTCCATTCTTTTCCTTATTTCTTAATTTTTCATTTACTTTTATTCAATAATAATATTAAATGAAATCTTTTTATTTGTATGAGTTACATATATTTTAGATATTAACATCTTATCGGAGGTTTGATTTGCAAATATTTTGTTACATTAAGTTTCCTTTTGACTCTGGCAATTGTTTTCTTTCATTCACAATCATTGTCTTGTAGTGCGTTTTATGTATTTTTGCCTTCTTTCTTGTTCCGTTGTTTTAGATATATTCTTGCTCTTTTGCCTAGGCTGGAGTGCAGTGGTACAGTTATAGCTCATTGTATCCTGCATCTCCTAGGTTCAAGTGATCCTCCTGCCTCAGCCTCCCAAGTAGCTGGGACTACAGGCATGTACCACCATGCCTGGCTAATTTTTAAAAATTTTTTGTGGAGACAGGGTCTTGCTGTGTTGCCCAGGCTGGACTTGAACCCCTAGGATCAGTGATCTTCCCACCTCAGCCTTGCAAAGTGTTGGAATTACAAGCATGAGCCACTGCTCCCAACCAGAATCGTCTTTTTCTTTATTCTTCTTCTGGTTCTATCCATTTTCAAAACTGGAATATTGAAATCAACTATAATATTGTGGAGCTATTTCTCTTTGGAGTTTTATCAAGTTCCATTCTATACTTAGTTTTTTTAAATTTACTTACTACTTTTAATAGAGATGGGGTCCCAGTGTGTTGCCCAGGCTTATCTCAAACTCTTAGGCTCTAGTAATCCTCCTGCCTCAGCCTCCCAAAGGGCTGTGATTACAGGCATGAGCCACTGCATCCAGCCTCATTCTGTACTTAGGAGCTCTGACACTTGGTGTTTATATATTTATAATTGTTGTATCTTCTTGGTGAATTGAGTCTTTCATCATTTTATAATAATCTTTGTCTCTTATGGTTTTTGAATAAAAGTCTATTCTCTCATATTAACACTGCTACCTGTACTTTCTGCTGGTTCCTGTTTGCATGGAAAATATTTTTCCATCCTTTCCATTTCAGCCTGTGTGTGTCCTTAGAATTAAAGGGAGTTTCTTGCAGATGGGATTTAGTAAATCTTGTTTTCTTCTGATTGCAAAGTTAAATCAGGCCAACATTACATGAAAAGGAGAATATCAAACATAGTAACTATTAAAAACAAAAGAATACATATTAGATTATTATCTGTAGATTTTTTAAATCTTGTAGATTTTTTTCCCCTACATGTCTTTCTTACTGCCTTTTGTAGTATTTTGCTTGTTTCATCATAGTAACATACTTGAATCCCATCTCTTGTGTGTGTCGGATAGATTTTCTCTTTGTGGTTAGCATTGCAGCTACTTCAAATACTGTGAAATTGAAACATTCTATTTTTAAATATTAACAGTGTAACTTTAGGTACAGAAAGGTCTACTTCACAACTCTGCTCTCACTTTCTGCTATTAATGGCAGAAATTATTTTGATATATGTTATGGTCCCATTAACATATATCAAAAAAGCTTCTGAGAAAAAGCAGGGATTCTTAAGGAAAATCTATACATATATAGTGCTTTTTAAATGATTTTGTCTTTTAATTACTAGGAAAGAATTATGGGAGGCTGAGGCAGGTGGATCACCTGAGGTCAGGAGTTTGAGACCAGCCTGGCTGACATGGCGAAACCCCGTCTCTACTAAAAATACAAAAATTAGCCAGGTGGGGTAACGCATGCCTATAATCCCAGCTACTACTTGGGAGGCTGAGGTGGGAGAATTGTTTGAGCTTGGGAGGGGGAGGTTGCAGTGGGCCAAGATCACGCCACTGCACTCTAGCCTGGGTGACAGAGCAAGACTCTGTCTCAAAAAACAAACAAAAACCATTAAAAGTCAAGTTACAAAAGAAAAGAGTAATAATAAATATCTCTATATTTGATTATTTACTGACCTTTAATGGTGAACTTTCTATTTTCATTGAGGTTAAAGATACTATTTAGAGACCTTTTATTTTATATTGAAGGAGTCCCTTTAGCATTTCTTGTTGGGTAAGTCTAGAATACTAATGCACTCCCTCAGCTCTTCATTTTCTAAGAACATCTAAATTTCTTATTTTTGCAGGTGAATGTTACTAAATATAGTATTCTTGGTTGATATTTTTGCTTTTTTTAAAAAAGTATTTTCAACATTTCCTCTCACTGCCTTCTAGCCTGCAAAGTTTCTGTTGAAAAATACACATAATCTTATACAGTTTCCCTTTATGTGACAAGTCTTTTTTGTTGCTGCTATCAAGACTGTTTCTTTGTCTTTGACTTTTGATAATTTCTGTATAGTATGTCTCTGAATGTCCTTGGGTTCGTTTTAGTTAGCATTTTAGTTTAGTTAGTTGACCAAGCTTCTTGAATTTGTATATTTATTTCTTTCCTTAGATTGGGGATGTTTGAACATTATTTCTACAATGGTGATTTCGAATCTTCTGTCTTCCTGTGAATCTCCAATAGTTTGTATATTGTTCCACCTGATAGTATCTCAAAAATGTACTAGGGTTGGTTTTCTTCATCATTTTTTCTTTTTGCTCTTTGGAGCTGATTCTTTTGAATAACATATCTTTCAATTTGCTCATTGTTTTCTGTTCCTTTTGCAGTCTGCTGTTGAATCCCTTAGTGAAATATTACTTCAGTTATCATATTTAAGCTCCAGAATTTCTGTTCTTTTGGTTTTAGTAGTTTCTCCTGTGATTGGTATTCTTTTTCTTTTCATGTAATGTTTGCCTGATTTTATTTAGTTATCTGTCTCTGTTATCTTTTTTAGCTCATTAAGCATCTTAAGGCAGTTGCTTTAAATACCTGTCAAGTAATTCAGAGGGCTGCCTATTTTTAGGCTTGTTTTGTGGAGATTGATTGATTGATCATAATTTTAGCCATATTTCCCTGTCCTTTTGTAGGCCTCGTAATTTTTGGTTTAGGTTTGGTAAAGCAACCACTTCTCCCAGTTATTTTGTGTAAGCGTTGTGCAGGATACCTTTACTAATTAGCCTGCTATAAAGGGTATAGGAACAGCCACTCCTTTTCTGGGGATGTGTTTTTTTCCTGGCGTGTGGAAGTACTATTACTAATGACTATACAGCTGCTCTAAAAGTTCTGATTTTCCTTAAGAGGCTCATCCCTGCTTTTTCTCAAAAGCTTTCAATTTCTGTTGTATTTTTCTGCTCATAATCTCTCTCAAACTCACCCATAATCCACCTGACTCCTGCAGGTTCCCCACTGCTCCAGTGCATCCTTCCGTCCCTTTTGTTTTCTGCACTGCCAGCATGATACACACAGTATGCTGATATTCCTTCCCATGTCTGAGTCAGGTGAGGCAGAATCTAGTCTCTCTGTCAGACACTGAACATGCCATTGTCATGGGTTGAAGTTCCACTTTTTTCTTTCTTTTTTAGAGAGCAGCTCTAAATTGGGAAGCAATGCCGGAAACAAGTCTCTTAAAAATCAACTTGGATTAACCTTTCAGTTACATCTGAGTGAACTGCAGCTATTTCAAGCTGAAAGGAATATTTCTGGATGTAAACATGTCGAAAAACCTATCAACAATTCCTTAGTTTCACCACTTCAAAAAATTTATTCTAGTGTCAAATCCCACATTTTAAATAAATACAGAAATGATTTTGATGATTCTCCATTTCTCCCACAAGAACAAAAAGCACAAATAAGGGAAAAACCGTGTGAATGTAATGAGCATGGCAAAGCCTTTAGAGTGTCTTCAAGACTTGCTAACAATCAAGTAATCCACACTGCAGATAACCCTTACAAATGTAATGAATGTGACAAGGTCTTCAGTAACAGTTCAAACCTTGTACAACATCAAAGAATTCATACTGGAGAGAAGCCTTACAAGTGTCATGAATGTGGCAAGCTCTTCAATCGAATTTCACTCCTTGCACGACATCAGAGAATACATACTGGAGAGAAACCTTACAAATGTCATGAGTGTGGCAAAGTCTTCACTCAAAATTCTCACCTTGCAAATCATCACAGAATCCACACTGGAGAGAAACCTTACAAATGTAATGAGTGTGGCAAGGTCTTCAACAGAAATGCACACCTTGCACGACATCAGAAAATTCATAGTGGAGAGAAACCTTACAAATGTAAGGAATGTGGCAAAGCATTTTCAGGGGGTTCAGGCCTTACTGCTCATCTTGTAATTCACACTGGAGAGAAACTTTACAAATGTAATAAATGTGGCAAGGTCTTCAATCGAAATGCACACCTTACCAGACATCAAAGAATCCATACTGGAGAGAAACCTTATGAATGTAAAGAATGTGGCAAGGTCTTCAGGCACAAGTTTTGTCTAACCAATCATCATAGAATGCACACGGGAGAGCAACCTTACAAATGTAATGAATGTGGCAAAGCATTTAGAGACTGTTCAGGCCTTACTGCCCATCTACTAATTCACACTGGAGAGAAACCTTACAAATGTAAAGAATGTGCCAAGGTCTTCAGGCATAGATTATCCCTAAGCAATCATCAGAGATTTCATACTGGAGAGAAACCTTACAGATGTGATGAATGTGGCAAGGACTTCACTCGAAATTCAAACCTTGCAAATCATCACAGAATCCATACTGGAGAGAAACCTTACAAATGCAGTGAATGTCACAAAGTCTTTAGTCACAATTCACACCTTGCACGACATAGGCAAATTCATACTGGAGAGAAGTCTTACAAATGCAATGAATGTGGCAAGGTCTTCAGCCACAAGTTATACCTAAAAAAACATGAGAGAATTCATACTGGGGAGAAACCGTACAGATGTCATGAATGTGGTAAGGACTTCACTCGAAATTCAAACCTGGCAAATCATCACAGAATCCATACTGGAGAGAAACCGTACAGATGAAATGTGTGTGGTAAGATCTTTAGTAATAATTCACACCTTGCACAGCATGAGATAATTCATTCATGAGAGAGTTCTTACAAACTGAGTATGGCAAACTCTTCATGCTAAGTTCTAGCATTAATCAACATCAGAGATTCCATACTAAAGAGAAATCATAGCAATGTATGTGAATCAGGTCTCTTGAGGCCTGCCAAATGACTAGATATCAAAACATACATCTTGGATGAAACCATACAGATGGATTATGTATGCTGAGGCTATTATTCAAGGACCATTACTATGGAACATGATAAGATTTACACAAGCGATAATTCAGTCTCTAGTTCTCCAATATTTATGATACTGCATGCTGCAGAAAAGTCACAGCTCCAAATACGTTGAATCTCATGACGCGATGCATGTCGAAGGTCCAAGGGCATGTGGAAATGGTCAGTTATATTCAGGCAATTAAAAAACCTAATTATATGGGGTTTTTTGAAAAGGCTACTTTACATTTTATGACTTTCATCCTCAACTCTGAAATCACTTCATGTGACTTCTTTACAGACCTTTCACTGTGGTCTCTTGAATCAGTAGGATGCTGGGCGCGGTGGCTCCCGCCTGTAATCTCAGTACTTTTGGGAGGCTGAGGCGGGCGGATCACGAGGTTAGGAGATCAAGACCATCCTGGCTAACATGGTGAAACCCCATCTCTACTAAAAATACAAAAAATTAGCCAGGCATGGTGGCAGACGCCTGTAGTCCCAGCTACTCGGGAGGCTGAGGCAGGACAATGGTGTGAACCTGGGAGGTGGAGCTTGCAGTGAGCTATCACGCCACTGCACTCCAGCCTGGGGGACAGAGTGAGACTCTGTCTCAAAAAAAAAAAAAAAAAGAAAGAAAAAGAAGCAGTATGATGACAGGGATGACTTCATTAGCTGAGAATCATTTCTATCAGTTTGCCGAGGAAGAAGGACACTGCGTTTTCTTATTATTGTCTGATTTAGAGAGCATGGAGGTGGGGAGGAATCATATAAAATGATGATGGCAGTCATCATACTGTTGCTGAGCACTTTTTTCCTGACAGAATGGCACAGTGCTTCTGTGCTCTACCAACTAGCCATGAAATAGAGCATATCTGTAGAAATCATGCAAGGGAGATGGTGGGCACTAGGACTGCATAGCAATCACTGTTTAGGCAAGAATGATTAAAAAGTAGTCATTTTTGGCTGGGCGCGGTGGCTCACACCTGTAATCCCAGCACTTTGGGAGGCAAGGTGGGTGGATCACTTGAGGTCAGGAGTTTGAGACCAGCCTGGTCAATATCTCCAAACCCCATCTCTACTAAAAATACAAAAATTAGCTGAGCGTGGTGGTAGATGCTTGTAATCCCAGCTACTCGGGAGGCTGAGGCAGGAGAATCGCTTGAACCCGGGAGGCAGAGGTTGCAGTGAGCCAAGATCGCACCATTGCACTCCAGCCTGGGTGACAAGAGCAAAACTCTGTCTCAAAAAAAAAAAAAAAAAAAATAGTGGTCATTTTTGAAATGGAAGAGAGAACAGTTGATTAGAGAATTTAAACTACCAGTATGCCATGTTCTTGAGTAGCATTTACATTTAACTGTTGGCATAATTTCCAACTGTTTGATTTAGAATGTACATAGTTCTCATGTTTTAATTAATAAAATTTTCCTAAGTATGAATGAATCACATCATTTCTACCAATTGTTTTAGTCCCCCTTAGGAGAATATACTGCACAGTAATGCAACATTAATAGTAAATACTCTGCAATTTGGTTTTCTTTGTCTTCACACTGAGTTATGTAGCAGTGATATGTGTCTAATCACTCTAACTTTAGTGTAAAATAGGCATTTTTAAAAAATGCACCATTAAGGTTGACGCATCCAGAACAATTTTGTGTGTGTGAAATCAACATATGCACACACTTGTGGTGCATATCCTTGGGTAAGTATAATTTACACTAATCATACTTAATACTTGAGTTATTCTTTCTGTGCCACTTCAGCCTCCTACACCCTCAAAAGTCCATGAAACATTCACTGTTCATTATATTTCTACGTGCCTATTGTGTGCCAAGGAAGACTCATGGCATGCACCTTAATTTTTATGAAGCAAAAATACAAATATATGACAAATACTTTTTTTTTTTTTTGAGACAGTGTCTTGCTCTGTCACCCAGGCTGGAGTGCAGTGGCACAATCTCGGCTCACTGCAACCTCTGCCTCCCGGGTTCAAGCAATTCTCCTGCTTCAGCTTCCCTAATAGCTGGGACTACAGGCGCACGCTGCCACGCCCAGCTAATTTTTTGTATTTTATTAGAGACGGGGTTTCACCATGTTGCCCAGGCTGTTCTCGAACTCCTGAACTCAGGCAATCTGCCTGCCTCGGCCTCCCAAAGTGCTAGGATTACAGGCGTGAGCCACTGTGCCTGGCGACAAATACTATTAAATGAAAGAAAGTATGTTAATAAGAGTGAAAATACTGTACCACAATGTCTTTTTTTTCCTAGTAGTGCATGTCTTTTTTTTTTTTCCTAGTAGTGCTCAGTGACGTAAGTGGAAAATATTAATGTTCATAAATTTTCTTTTTTTTTTTTTTTTTGAGACAGAGTCTGGAGTGCAGTGGCACGATCTCGGCTCACTGCAACCTCCACCTCCCAGGTTGAAGCAATTCTTCTGCTTCAGCCTCCCAAATAACTGTGACTACAGGCGCGCACCACCACGCCCGGCTAATTTTTGTATTTTTAGTAGAGACAAGGTTTCACCATATTGGCTAGGCTGGTCTCAAACTCCTGACCTTGTGATCCACCCGCCTCGGACTCCCAAAGTGCGGGGATTACAGGTGTGAGCCACTGCGCCTGGCCCATAAATTTTAAGAATGGTCACATAGAATGGGAGTTTTTTTTGCTTTTGTAGATTAACTAGAAACTTCATATACTTCCCCTTACAACATTTTTGGCAATTTGAACTTTTTTTTTTTTTTTTTTTTTTTTAGGCAGAGTCTCTGTCACCAGGCTGGAGTGCAGTGGCGCGATCTTGGCTCATGGCAACCTCTGCCTCCCGGGTTCAAACGGCTGCCTCAGCCTCATGAGTACCTGGGACTACAAGCGTGCACCACCACGCCCAGCTAATTTTTGTATTTTTAATAGAGACAGGGTTTCACCATGTTGGCCGGGATGGTCTTGATCTCTTGACCTCGTGATCCACCCGCCTCAGCCTCCCAAAGTACTGAGATTACAGGTGTGAGCCACCATGCTTGACCGATAATTTGAACTTTTGACTGCTGTACTGGAATTTGTTTGAAGTCCACCTAAAGTTTGTATTATATATTGAGAATGATGATGCCATACACTGATATGGTCTGCAAATGTTTACTACATAAACATTTACATGAGGCTTTCTGGGGAAAGCAGGATGGACTTCCCCAGCTGGTCCAAATTGGAGAACAGGGATAGGTGAGCAGCCTGGGATGTTGTATTAGTCTGTTCTCATGCTGCTAATACAGACATACACAAGACTAGGTAATTTATAAAGAAAAAGAAGTTTAATGGACTCACAGTTTCACACGGCTAGAGAGACCTCACAATCATGGCAGAAGGTGAAGGAGGAGCAAACACATGTCTTACGTGGTGGCGGGCAAGAGAGAGCCCGTGCAGGGAAACTGCCCTTTATAAAACCATAAGATCTCATGAGATTTATTCACTATCATGAGAACAGCATGGGAAAATCCCACCCCCATGATTCAGTTACCTCCCCCCGGGTCCCTCCCACATGTGGGGATCATGGGAGCTGCAATTCAAGATGAGATTTGGTGGGGACACAGCCAAACCATATCATTTTGCCCCTGGTCCCTCCCAAATCTCATGTCCTCACATTTCAAAACCAATCATGCCTCCCCAACAGTCCCCCAAAGTCTTATTTCAGCATTAACTCAAAAGTCCACAGTCCAAAGTTTCATCTGAGACAAGCAAGTCTCTTCTGTTTATGAGCCTGTAAAATAAAAAGCAAGTTAGTTATTTCCTAGGTACAATGGAGGCACAGGTATTGGATAAATAACGCCCGTTGCAAATGGGAGAAATTGGCCAAAACAGGTCACAGGCCCCATGCCAGTCTGAAATCCAGCAGGGCAGTCAAAGCTCCAAAATGATCTCTTTTGACTCCGTGTCTCACATCCAGGTCACACTTATGCAAGAGGTTGGTTCCAGTGGTCTTGCAGGGAACCCATGTCTGCCCCTGTGACTTTGCAGGGTACAGCTCCTCTCCTGGCTGCTTTCACAGGCTGGTGTTGTGTCTGCTACTTTTCCAGGCACATGGTGCAAGCTGTCGGTGAATCTACCATTCTGGGGTCTATAGGAGGGTGGCCCTTTTCTCACGGCTGCACTAGGCGAGTAGTGAGTAGTCTGTGTGGGGGCTCCAACCCCACATTTTACTTCTGCACTGCTCTAGCAGAGGTTCTCCATGAGGGCTCCGCCCCTGCAGCTCACCTCTGCTCCAGTTCCAATAAAGTTCCTCATCTCCATCTGAGACCACCTTCAGCCTGGACTTTTTGGTCAGAACCATTCAACAACCATTTTCTAGGAAGCTCCAAACTTTCCCACGTCTTCCTGTCTTCTTTTGAGCCCTCCAAACTGTTCCAGCCTTTGCCTGTTACCCAGTTCAAAATTTGCTTCCACATTTTGAGGTATCCTTATAGCAGCACCCCACTCTATACCATTACCAATTTACTGTATTAGTCTGTTCTCACGCTGCTAATAAAGAAATACCCGAGACTGGGTAATTTATGAAGACAAAGAGGTTTAATGGACACAGTTCCATGGGGTCGTGTCCCCCGTGCTTCTGCCACAGGGCCATATAGACAGCTCTTATCGCGGAGTTTTCCTGCCTCAAATCCTTCAGTGTCCCCTGCACTGGCCCGCACCTTTTTTAAAGTCCTCACCGCAAGGTTGATTCCCGCCCTGGGAGCTTCCCATCTGCTCCGCTCCCTCGTCAGCTCCTGGAGCGCAGCGACGCAGCCCCAGTCCCAGGGAGGCCGTGAACTCTTCCTGGTCCTGGGATCCTGCAGACCCTGCCCCTCTCCTGACTTTCTCCTGCCTTTTTCCTCCTTGATCGGGGGCCCTTCTGCTCCCCAGGCCTCCCCTTCTCCTGATATCGAGTGTGGGGACGTGACTTCTATCTCAGGACGTTAAGGTTTCTCTTGTCCCAAATTCCATCCCACAGGAAATGGGCTCTTGAGGTGGGGATCTGACTGCAGTCCCCTCCCTATGAATGTGTGGAGGAGAGGAAATAGAAAAATGGTGAAATGGGAAAGAAGAATGAAGGAGACCCATAAACAGACGGCAGCTGGGTGCGATGGCTCACGCCTGTAATTCCAGCACTTTGGGAGGCTGAGGCGGGCAGATCACCTGAGGTCAGGAGTTTTGAGACCAGCCTGACCAACATGGAGAAACCCTGTCTCTAAAAAATACAAAATTAGCCAGGCATGGTGGCGAATGCCTGTAATCCCAGCTACTCTGGAGACTGAGGCAGGAGAATCGCTTTTACCCGGGAGGCGGAGGTTGCGGTGAGCCAAGATCGCACCATTGCACTCCAGCCTGGGCGACGAGCAAAACTCCATCTCAAAAAACAAAAAACAAAACAAAACAGATGGCAAAGTAGATGGTGGATGAGGGATTTGCAGAGACAGTGCATGAAGATGCTGAGAAAGGAGCAGGGGGAGAAAAGCAACTAGAGAAATTTAGAGAAAAACTGGGTTTCTAGAGAGATAAAGTTCAGCAAGATAGGGAGAGGGGCAGAAAAGGGGAGGCTCCTCAGATGGAGAGTTGGGGAGAGAAGGAGGGATTTGGAGCCAGGGCAGACAGAGCAGCATGGTGCTGGGAGAGCAAGAGGGGCAGCCAGTGATAAGGAGAGCACAGGGAGAACCACAGCCTGGGGAGAACTGGGATCTGGGGATGCCAGAGAGGGGACAGGTGGATATAGCAGGGAAGAGGGGATTTAACAGGGGAAGCTAGGGGGCAGCAGAGACGGGGGGAAGAAAGAGGCAGAACTATATGAAAATTGGAGACAAATATTGGGCAGAAAGAAGAATAAGAGGTGAAAGAAGTGAGAAAGGAGCAGAACAAGTGGAAGAGAAGGAATAGAGGGAAGAGCAGGAGAAGGAAGAAGGGCTTGAAATGAGGAGAATCCTAGGGGAAAAATAAAGAGAAAAAAAAAGCTAGGAAAAGAAGGTGAGAATGAGAGGTAGGTAGAGAAACACACAGTAATGAGGAAAGAGGGGGACACTCAATCCAGATGAATGATGAATTGATTGGATATTATGATTAATTTCTCTATAATAAACATCACATTTGTTTAAAATATACAGATGAAGATGAGAATTGGAAAACTGTCTATAAGGCATGTGCATTTCCTAATTCTTGGTATCAGAGGTTAGCTTCCATTTGCTGTCCTTATTCTGCCAGACGGCAGGCAGTGACTTGACTCATTCAGGTATGGGTCACTATCTTCACTTCTGGGATGGGGTAGGGTGTGTGAGTGTATAAGATAGGAGGAAAAACCAAAGTGTTTTTTCTACTCACAATCAACACAATAGTGAATGCTCAACACAGAATGCCTCATCTCCGGTCATCAAAATGTGTGGGGATTACTTCCCACCAACAAGCTATTTTTCATCAGATAAAAACTGGGTGTTCTCTAATTGAACTCAATTTGACACCATTTATAGGGAGTTAGCATTAGATCTCACAGGAGGCTGAGGGCTCAGTTGCACAAAACTGCCCCCAGAATTTGCTATTGCTAGAGTGATTTACACAACTTGGAGAAACAATTTACTGAGGTGTACCATTTGTTATAAAGGATGTTACACAGGACACAGATCAACAGCCAGATGGAAGAGCATTCCTAATAAATTAATGGAAACAGAAGTATGTTTTGGAAACCATGGACTGACTTTCTTTCTCTTTCTCTCTTTCCTTCCTCCCTTTCTCTCTCTCTTTCTTTTCTTTCACTTTGACGGAGCCTCGCTCTGTCACCCAGGCTAGAGTGCAGTGGTGCTATCTCAGCTCATTGCAACCGCCACCTCCCGGGTTCAAGTGATTCTCCTGCCTCAGACTCCCAGGGAGCTGGGATTACAGGCGTCCACCACCAAACCTGGCTAATTTTTATATTTTTAGTAGAGACAGCATATTGCCACGTTGGCCAGGCTGGTCTCGAACTCCTGACCTCAAGTGATCTGCCTGCCTCGGCATCCCAAAGTGCTGGGATTACAGGCCTGGGCCACTGCACCCAGCCCAGGGCTTGAGTTTTAAAGGTGCCACAGTACACCTTGGTTCTCTTTTTTTATAAACAGGAATCTGTCTTCCTGACCTGAGTATTATCTCTATGTGGGAGCAAAGGAGAGAGCCCTGGACTCTGGAGAGTGAAGGGAAAATAGCAAAAAAATCCAGATGGGAGGGAATGGATCAAAGGTGTGAACACAGGTAAGAGCTCAGATGGGCAGAGTGGAAGCTGTATATATATATATATTTTTTGAGAGACAGGGTCTTGCTCTGTTAGCCAGGTTGGAGTGCAGTGGCAATCATAGCTCACTGCAGCCTGGAACTCCTGGGCTCAAGTCATCCTCCTTCCTCTGCCTCCCAAACTGGTGGGATTACAGGTGTGAGCCACTGCACCCTGCAAAGCCACACTAATAAATAGTGTTTGGGAAACTCTGCAACTGGGAGAATTCTGTGGAAAACCAATAGTATAAATCCTGTTAGTTTTTTTTTTTTTTTTCTTTTCTGAGACAGAGTCTCACTCTGTTGCCCAGGCTGGAGTACAGTGGCGCAATCTCGGCTCACTGCAACCTCTGCCTCCCAGGTTTAAGCTAGTCTCCTGCCTCAGCCTCCTGAGTAGCTGGGATTACTGGTGCCTGCCACCATCCTTGGCTAATTTCTGTATTTTTAGTAGAGAGAGGGTTTCACCAAGTTGGCCAGGCTGGTCTCGAACTGCTGTCCTCATTTGATCTGCCCGCCTCAGCCTCCCAAAGGGCTGGGATTACAGGTGTGAGCCACCATGCCTGGCCTAAATCCTGTTAGTTTTGAATGGAAATTTTCTTTCTTTCTTTTTTTTTTTTCTGGGACAGATTCTTGCTTCGAGACAATGACAAATACAAACTAGGTTTACTGTAAATATGAGAAAGGGAAAAAATACTTTTATTGTATTAGAAGACTTGAAATCACATGAAGTGATACCAATCTTTTGTTGTTGTTGGTCAGATGTTTTAGCTATTTTAGGTGTTTGGGTTTTTTGTCTTTCTACATAACTGCTAACCTTGTTAGTATCTGCAGAATGCCTTAATTAGGAAAGGTATTAACCCTATGTGTCAGATTTGTATAATTCATATTGCTTTACATGGAGTCTTCCAATAAATGTATATGGTATATGTCTCTATTTGCTGTCTTTGATTTCTTTTATCAGCATTTGGTAGTTGTAACATAACAGTTCTATGAATGTTTTGTTTCACATGTATTTCTTTGCCCCCCCCCTTTTTTTTTTTTTTTTTTTGAGACGGAGTCTTGCTCTGTCGCCCAGGCTGGAGTGCAGTGGCGCGATCTCAGCTCACTGCAAGCTCCGCCTCCTGAGTTCACGCCATTCTCCTGCCTCGGCCTCCCCAGTAGCTGGGACTACAGGCACCCGCCACCACACCTGGCTAATTTTTTTGTATTTTCTTAGTAGAGATGGGGTTTCACCGTGTTAGCCAGGATAGTCTCGATCTCCTGACCTCGTAGTCCACCTGCCTTGGCCTCCCAAAGTGCTGGGATTACAGGTGTAAGCCACTGCACCCGGCCTCTTTGACCTTTTTCTTAATGGAGCAATCATACATAGTATTTTATTTTTAATATCAGGTTTCATGTGCAAATTGCTAGTGTATAGAAATATACAAGATTATTATTATTATTATTTTGAGACAGGGCCTTACTCTGTCATCCTGGCTGGAGTGCAGTGGAGCAATCTCAGCTACTGCAACCTGTGTCCTGCAGGCTTAAGTCATCCTCCCACCTCAGCTTCCCCAGTAGCTGGCACTGCAGGCATGTGCCACCATGGCCTGTTAAATTTTTGTGTTTTGTAGAGATGGGGTTTCACCATGTTACCCAGCCTGGTCTCAAACTCCTGAGCTTGAGTGATCTGCCTGCCTTGGCCTCCCAAAGTGCTGGGATTACAGGCACGAGCCACCATGCCTGGCTGATGAAATATACGATATTTTTGTAGGTTGACCTTATACTTTGCTACCTTTACATTTTTCTTGTTCTAGAGATTTTTGTAGATTTTTTTGGAATTTTCTACATAAAATCATTTCATCAGTTTCCTATTGCTATACACAGTGATTGGCTTAAAACAAGAAAAATTTATTCTTTTATAATTCTGTAAGTCACATATCTAATATGGGTCCATAGTTCTGTGATTCTTCATTAATCTCCAGGGGAGAATTTGTTTCCTTACCCTTTGTAGGTTCCAGAGGCCACTTACATCCTTTGACTCATGGTCCACTTCCTCCATCTTTAAAGGTGAGAAAAAAAATCTCTTTATCCCTCTATTTTCAACACATCACCACTGTCTCTGTCCCTTCGCATCCACCTGCACCCTTCTGATATTGAACCTTGTGATTCTATCACTTTGACCATATAATTCAGGATGTCTATCTAAAGATCCTTATCTAGACCACATTTGCAAACTCCCTTTTGATATATCCAGTAACACAGGTCATAGGGATGTAGCTACCTTCCTTTGGGAAAGGTATTAGCCTGCACAACCAACATATTTTCTGTTGGTACACTATTTTTTTTGTCCTGTCCTCAGGCCACCCTCCTTCCTCAGCCTCCCAAAGCACTGTGATTACAGGCCTCAGACACCACACCCAGCCTGTCACTTTTATTTCTTTTTCCTTTATTTCACTGGCTGGAACCTTTCATATTGTGTGGAATAGTAGTGATAAGAGGGGACATTCTTGCCCTCATCCCAACCTCTAGGGGAAACTATGCTTTCACCAGTTTGTATGATGATTCTGATTCTGTAAGGATTGGTAGGTGATCTTGAGTTGAGGAAGTTTCCCATGATACTGCTTTCCATACTGACCGCAGTATTTCAGATTCCCACAAAATGTACGAAAATAGTTTCTCCACATCCTTGCTTGTGAAGCAGGTTCACTGCACACTGGTTGCCAATGTGTCTGAGTTGAGTGAGAGATAATCTCACGGACACACAGTAAGTTACATGAAGTGAATTTGTTACATACAGATCGGCAGATACCTGGGATTCATGCATTCTGCTCCCCAAGGCTCAGGAAAACCACCCAGTGCAGATGCAGTCTCTCTGTATGTGTTCAACTTGCATCACAGCTGTGGGAGGCTGGAAGGCGGCCCATCCTGGGTTTCATGCTCCAGGGATGCATGGCACGTTGGCCTAAAGCAACAAAGGGGATCCTGTTCTGGGGATCTGGAACACATCCTGTCCTTTTCTCACCGGTCCCTTCCTCTCAGGATGTTGCTTTTCCAGCACATTCTATATTCATTCTTGGGAACTACAAGTGAGAAGTCAGATGCAACTGGGCCAATTCAACCCCACTTGAATGCTGTCCTGCAGTCTCTCCGCCAATCCAGATATCCCTTTTATTTTTATATTTTTTGAGACGGAGTCTCGCTCTGTCTCCCAGGCTGGAGTGCAGTGGCGCAATCTTGGCTTACTGCACCTCCACCTCCCAGATTCAAGCAATTCTTGTGTCTCAGCCTCTCGAGTAGCTGGGACTACAGGCGTGTGCCACCATGCCTGGCTAATTTTTTTTTTTTTTTTTTTTGTATTTTTAGTAGAGACTTCGTTTCACCATGTTAACCAGGCTGGTCTCTAATTCCCGACCTCAGGTGATCTGCCCTCCTCGGCCTCCCAAAGTATTGGGATTACAGGCGTGAGCCACCACGCCTGGCCCAGATATCCCCTTTAATAAAGCTAGTCCATTTACATGTGCACTGACCTCCCTGGATCTGGAGGTAGAGGCTGGTCTCAGGAGATTGAAGTAATACCTCGACTGGCAGAATCTCAGGGCAACATCATTGAGGTACAGCCAGTTGCATTTCACTAGGCTCAAGAGGATTGCTGCCTCAAGCAGGATAACCAGGCCTGCCTGGAGCAGTGCCGTAGTCCAGGATCCCAGTGACCTAGGTGAGAAGTTGGTACTCAGATCAAAGAAAAGTTCTTCAGGTGACCCCACTGTCTGCAGCCAATGGGCCTGCTTGTGGGCCTTATGTATTTGTGTTTCAAAAATAACCTGAGGGCTTGATGTGGGGGTCCTTATCTCCCATGCAAGGTGATTCATGCCTATAATCCGAGCACTTTGGTAGGAGCAGATGGGAAGACTGCTTGAGGCTAGAAGCTGGAGACCAGCCTGGGCAACAAAACCAGACTACATCTCTATTAAAAACAAAGCAACAAACAGTAGAAAATTAGCACAGTGGAGAGGCACAGGCCTTTACTCACAGCTACTCGGCAGGCTGAGACAGGGGGTCACCTGCCCAGGACCCCAGGAAGTCAAGGTTGCAGTGAGCTATGATTGCGCCACTGCATTTCAGCCTCGGTGGCAGAGACCCTGTCTTAAAATTTTAAAAAGTATTAAAAAACTAAGTTGGACCGGGCGTGGTGGCTACTCTGGAGGCTGGGGCAAGAGAATCACTTGAACCCAGGAGGCGGAGGTTACAGTGAGCTGAGTGCCTGCCACTGTACTCCCGCCTGGGGGACAGAGGGAGACGCTGTCTCAAAACAACAACAACAACAAAAAACTACGTCGTTTATGGCTATTTTTATAAGTTACTGGCTTTTTTTTTTTAAAGAATCGGTGACTTATCTTCACACTGGCCTTAGTCCTCCATGCCCAACACGATGTCCCTAGGAAAGTCTCTGGAATTGAGCACAGGGTTGACCTTCACCGTCTAGAGTGAATGGGGAAGATAAATGAAAAGTATTTATCTTCTATGGGCACTGGCATGAAATAGAACATTCTACCCTGGCAGGGTTTTGCATTTCACATTTTAGCTTGCATCATCCCCTTCACAGACAATTCCAAAGTGTGTTAATTCAATTCCTAAAGCTTCCCTTCCCTTCCTCCCTTCCCTTCCCTCCTTACTTTTCTTTCTTGTCCATTTATTTTCGGTTTTTTTCTCTTTCTTTCTTGGTTTTCTTTCTCTTTTTCAACTTCTCTTTCTTTTCTCTTTCTCTTTACTCTCTCTCTTCTCTCTCTTTCTGCTTCCAGGGTAGGTGGGACTTGAAATTCATTTTAATAGAAGGAATTTTCGTGGATATAATCTACAACCGATTTTGCTCTGCGCAGGTAAGATCCGTTTTCAGACCAAAACCCTGAAAACAAGCGCAGCCAGTCAAGCGAACGGAAGCGCAGGCCCGGCCCAGGCTTTGTCCCGGCCCGCCCTGGTCCCAGCCAGTCCGGCCTCTAGGATGCGCGCGCAATTTCGTGCAAACCCGGAAGCGGACCGCGGGGGGCGAACGCCTAGAGCGCAGTTTCCGGTAGACCCGGAAGCCGATTGCAGGGAGAAACTGTTTTCGCAGCAGTGCGTGAGTTTCCCTTTGTCTATGTTAAGTCTAGGCTAGCCAGTTCTTCTCTGCTTCTATACCCGGGAGCTGAGGGGCATGCAGACCTTGAAATCCCGGCACCGCTCCCTCCACCCCGAGTAAATTCAGACATCCTTTGAGAGTCTGGGAGTCGCTTTCTGCGTGTTAAAATCGCTTGGAGGCTGGTCGTGTGCCCGGTCTTTTTGTCATTTACCCACGTAGACACCTCCTATCGTGGGGTTTACCTGCTTCAAATCCTTTAGTAACCCCTACACACGCCCCGCACCACGTAAAATCCTCACTCTCCGTTCCCCTAGCCTCGCCCTTCTTTGCCCCTAGAGCTCAGCGCCCCAACAGGGCACGAGAGGCCTCGTCCTCTGCCCAGACCTGGTTTCTGCAGACTCCACCCCTCTCCTGACCCACTCCTGCCTTTTTGCTCCTTAATCTGGACCCTCTGTTCCCCAGGCCTCCCTTTTCCAGCCACCGGTTCTCCTGACCCCGAGTGTGGGGGGTGACTTCAGTCTCCTGACATCCAGTGTTCTCTCGAGCCAGTTTCCAGCCCACAGAAAATGAGCTCTTCCGGAAGTGGGCATCTTATTCCAATCCCCTCCCTGTGAATGTGTGGAGAAAAAGAGATGGGAACGAGGCAGAGGAAATAGAGAAATTTTGAAAGAGAAATGAAGAATGAGAGACCCATTAACAGAAGGCAAAGTAGAAGGTGAGTGAGGGGTTTGCAGAGGCACAGTGAAAGAAGGTGCCGAGAAAATAGCAGGGGAGAAAAGTAACTGTAAAAATATAGACAAACCTGGGTCTGTAGAAAGACGAAATTCAACAAGATAGGGAAGGCTTCTCAGACAGAGGGGGGAGAGGAGGAGGGATTTGGAGCCAGGTCAGACAGAGCAGCGTGGTGCTGGGACAGCCAGAGGGGGCAGCTGGTCACAAGGAGAACAGGGAGAACCACAGCAGGGGGAGGCCTGGGATCTAAGGGTGCCAGAGAGTGGGGACAGGGGTGTGTAATATCGAAGATGGAATTTAACAGGGAGACCCCAAGGGGAGCTGAGATGTGGGAGGAAAGAGGCAGAAATATATGGAGATTAGGGACAATGAAAGATTGGGCAGAAAGAGGAATAAGAGGTGAAACAAGTTGTAAAAATGGATCAGAACAGGTGGGAGAGAAGGAATAGAGGGAAGAATGGGACAAAGAGAAGAGGAGGGACTCAAAATGAACAGAATCCTAGGGGAAAATAGAGAAAAAAAGAGCTAGGAAAAAAGATGAGAATGAGAGATATGTACAGAATGAGGCAGGGAAACAGTAGTGAGGAAAGAGGGGGACCCTGGTTACAGATGAGTGGTGAGTTGATTGGAAATTATGATTGAATTGTGACATATTAATTTTTCTATAATATAAAATTTGTTTAGAACACATGAGGCTAGGAGCTGTGGCTCACACGTGTAATCCCAGTACTTTGGGAAGCTGAGGTGAGCGGATCACTTGAGGTCAGGAGTTGAGACCAGCCTGGCCAACATGTGAAACCCATCTCTAGTAAAAATACAAAAATTAGCTGGGCCTGATGGCCTGCGCCTGTAATCCCAGCTACTCTGGAGGCTGAGGCAGGAGAATCGCTTAATCCTGGGAGGCAGAGGTTGCAGTGAGCCGAGATCGTGTCACTGCACTCCAGGTTAGGTGACAGAGCAAGACTCCATCTCAAAAAACAAAAAACAAAAAACCACACATGAAGATGAGAATTGGAACACTATTTATAAGGCACTCTTCTCTTTTCTTGGGATGGACTAGGGTGTGAGTGTATAAGTTAGGAAAAACCAGTGTGTTTTTGTGTTCACAGTGAACACAATAAAGAGCGCTCAACACAGAATGCCTCATCTCTGGTCACCAAAGTAATATGGGAATTACTTGTCACCAACAAGCAGTTCTTCGTCAGACAGCACCTGGGTGTTCTGTAATTTTACTCAGTTTAACTGGTCAGTGTAGGAACAACCACAGACACATTTTGATCACTAAAGGTGAGGGATTCTCCTTTGGGTGTGAGAGTAGTAAAAACAGTGTGGTTTTTTCCTGTCTCAAACAGTAAGGGGAAGAATTTTCCAACAGGCCCACTCACCTGTCTCTAGGACTGTGTTCTTAGTAGTGACTGGGAATTGTCTGTCCCTGCTCCTGGCTGCTGCTGATGCTGAGACTGTGTGCCACAGGCCAGCCCCATTCACTCTCTCCTGATGCCACGGCATCCCTCCTCCACAGTGTCATCAGATTTTACTTCAAGGGAATTATTTTGGTCAGCATACCCAGATGGAGTTGTTGCCCATTAAAACACACACACACACACACACACACACACACACACACACGCCTTTATTTTTTCCACTATTTCATCCTCAGAAGAAAAAACAAAGTATTAGCTACATTTTTACTTGCAATAAGTATGCCTTTTCTGTGCTCCATGTAAGAGCACAATATACCAAAATCTTGTTTAGGCGCTCTCTCACTCTTTCCTCCATTTCTTGCTTGACCCCATCCAATCAGGTTTTGACACCAACCATTCCACTGCTCCTTTTTTTATCTGAGTCACCAGTGACTTCTCTGTTTCTAAATCTAGTTATTTATTTATTCATTTAATTTTTAGAGACAAGGTCTTGCTCTGTCACCCAAGCTGGCATGCAGTGGCACAGTCATAGTTCACCATAACCTCAAACCCCTAGACTCCAGCAATCCTCCCGTCTTAGCCTCCAGAGTAGATAGGACTATGGGCCTGTCCCTCTGCGTGGCTGATTGAAAAAAAAATTTTTTTTTTTGAGACAAAGTCTCACTACATTGCCCAGGCTGGTCTTGAACTCCTGACTTCTAGCCATCCTCCTACAAAGAAGTCCCAGCATGCTGGGATTAGAGGCATGAGCCCTTTACCCTGCTTAAATCTGACTTTGAATTTTCTGTCCTCCTGTCTTTTTCTGTCAGCAGCATGTTTCACAGCTGATCACTCTTTTTTTTCGCAGCTTTGAAGACATTGCTTGTATTTTTAAAAATCTGTTTAAAATTTTTCTCATTACTTTCGTATCTTATCAGTTTCCTCTGCTGCTGTCTCCTGAAGTGTCTTCTCTGAATATGGAAATGTCACCCAATTTAGTCCTTAAACCTGTTCTGTCTGCCCACACCCTCAGCTTTTCCTTTTGATCTCATCTATGGTTTTAAACACCACCAACATGTCTCCATTTTCCCTCTTCACCCACCCCTCTCCCCTGAATTCCAAAATCCTGTGTCCAGTCATGTTCTCGACATCTCTGCTGGGACATCCACAGGCATCTCCACCTCCACGTGTCCAAAATAGGCTTCCTGAACTCCCCCAGACATGTTCTCCCTACAGTCCTGCATAGCTCAGATGACAGACACCTTCTACTTTCTGGGGATTAACTAAACCTGTCAGAATGTGCTTAAAATATATGAGATACTATTTGTGTTTTAATTTCTAAGGTACAGAATAAGTGACATATTTACTTAAAATGAGTGAGGAAATAGATTGTTTCAAAATTTCTTTTGATGTGTAGGAGAAAATATTTGAAGAGCTCAGCCCTGCCTGATCTGCTTCCCCAGGACCTCTCTGACCTCATCTCCTGCCTCTGTTCTTCCCGCTCCCTCTACTGCAACTACACAGCCCCCTTTCCTTTTCTGAGAGCGTTTTGTATTTTTAAAATAAGTGCTTGATCAAAGTATGATTTTAGGAATCACAGTTTATTACCACATGAAGAATTGCTTTTTTTTTTTTTTTTTTTTAGGTTCACAAATTTTAAGAAAGGGAGAATAAAGTGAAAAAAATCTCAGAAGGAATCCACTCAACAGACGAGGTACCTTAACCACATAATGGTTGATTTCCAAAATTATTAACATCTGCTTGCTCAGTTAGGATAAATCAGACCTATGTAGAAAGTCAAAGTTTGAGGATTACCTCAGGGTGAGGTCTTCCCTTTGTGTGTGGCTATGGCACAGGAAGGAGGTATGTTGATTCTAAGCCCTAAGCAGCATATTTTTGACATTCAGGATTCACTTCCAAAGAGACATATTATGCAAGGAAGCAACTTGGAAGAGGAAAGAAAAGAAGTCAGGAATGGCCCTTACTCAGGTAAGGTAATGTTCTCAGTGGATTGTTCTGTCTCTGTTTCTTCCTGAAATGCCAGGCATTGGAGTTGCTAATCTTTGACTCTGAAGCATCCTGCCTGACACGTTTGCTTGCACTTACCCATGGCTTCTTCCAGTCCCTTCATTTCCGCTTGAGATTTCAGTTCACTGTGACCCATTGACATGAACTTGGGAAGAGGCTGCACTGGGCATGGTCCGGGGGAGGGCTCTCAGCAGACATGGATGGAGACGGGGTGTGGGTCCCGTGGTGGCAGTGCTGCTGGGCAGCAGGGATTGTTCAGGGATCACATCTGGATGCACTGTCAGTGTTCTGTGGACTAGAATTAGAGAAGCTGCACGTCAAAGTTCCTTTCTTTCTTCTTTCTTTTTTTTTTTTGAGACAGAGTCTCACACGTTGCCCAGGCTGGAGTGCAGTGGCATGATCCCTGCTCATTGCAACCTCCGCCTCCCTGATTCAAAGGATTTTTCCACCTCAGCTTCTCATGTAGCTGAGATTACAGGTATGCACCACCACTCTAATCTAATTTTTGTGTTTCTAGTAGAGATGGGGTTTCGCCATGTTGGCCAGGTTGATCTTGAATGTCAGCCTCAAGTGATCTGGCCACCTCGGCCTCCCAAAGTGCTGGGATTACAGGCGTGAGCCACCACCCCCAGCCATATCCAATGATTTCTTAAGGTATAGGGTGCTGAGGTATTTTCTTTGCCCTTAATATGTTAAATTAGTACATTAATTTCCTGTAACATATCACCTTTTTATTAATGGAATAAATTAGTAAACTTAATTAAATTTTGTTAATACCTAAATAACAATATTTTAATGGACGAAGCTTCATTTATAGGCCAGAAGCAGTGATGTGTGCCTATAATTCTAGCTTCTTGAGGGGTTGAGGTGGGAGGATCCATTCAGCCCAGGAGTTTGAGACTATCCTGGACACCTAGTGAGATCCTGTCTAAAATTTTAAAAATATTATGTTTTTGAATATGGATATTTAGTAGAGATTGGAGTTCAGGTTTCTGTGGTTTTACATGGTCTCCCATTTTTAAGTACTTACCATATGTTTATAAAATAAGTTGGTACAATTTATACATTTTTATTGTGGCAAATATGCTGAAATACACATTGGGAAAAATAGTACTTACAGGTAGGCACAATGGTGCATGCCTTTAGTTTCCCACTTGGGAGGCTAATGAGGAAGGATCCTTTGATGCCAGGAGTTCAAGGTTATGGTGTGCTGTGAATAGCCACTGCCATCCAGTTTGGACAATGTATTGAGACCCTGTGTCTAAAAATTGCGAACCAAACTAATGATGAAAAATATGTAAAAAATAGGTCACTGGGACAGGGTGCAGTGGCTCACCCCTGTAATCCCAGCACTTTGGGCCAAGGCGGGCAGATGAGAGGGTCAGGAGTTTGAAACCAGCATGACCAACATAGTGAAACCCATCTCTACTAAAAGTAGAAAAATTAGCCAGGCATGGTGGCGCACATCTGTAGACCCAGCTACTTGGGCGGCTGAGGTAGGAGAATCGCTTCAGCCTCAGAGGTGGAGATTGTGGTGAGCCAAGATTGTGCTACTGCACTCCAGCCTGGGCAACAGAGCGAGACTCCATCTCAAAAAAAAAAAAAAAAAAAAAAGTCAGTGAGAGACAACTTCTCTTATTTCAACTGATGTCTATAAGTGTGTATGTGTACTAGTGTATATGAGTGTGTAAGTGTGTACATGTGATGTGTGTGGATGAGTGCACAACAGTGGTTTTTATGAATGGCATGTCATCTATATAAATTTTATGTTTTTTAGTCAGTTGAAATTACATCTTAAATATTTACCAGGTTAAAATTTTTCTATACTATCATGCTAATGAGCTGATAGCTATAAGAATAATAATGTATTATGGGGACATATAATATATTATATATATGCAGATATAATGACCTTTTAGGCAGTTTTGTGTTTTTAATCCTTGAACTTGTTTTAAGTTTACTGAATTAGGTAATTGTCAATTTTCTTTTGATCCTGATCTGTTACTTAACTGTTTGATTCTTTAGGTTTGATTCTAATGTCCAGACACCTGGGATCCCATGCTTACACTGCCATTGTTAGTCCTGACACCTGGGGCGAGTTTCCTAGAATACATGTGAAAGAGTTGTCTCTTCAGTAAGATAGGAACAGATTATTCTTTCTTCTTTTGTTTGTTTTTTTAGGTGAAGTCTCGCTCTCTCACCCATTCTGGAGTGCAGTGGCGAGATCTTGGCTCGCTGCAACCTCCGCCTCCCGGGTTCCTGCGATTC
Source organism: Homo sapiens (assembly GCF_000001405.40). Classification (NCBI taxonomy): domain Eukaryota; kingdom Metazoa; phylum Chordata; class Mammalia; order Primates; family Hominidae; genus Homo; species Homo sapiens. Next base: position 52,404,336 of record NC_000019.10, read on the forward strand.
TCCTGCCTCAGCCTCCCAAGTAGCTGGGATTACAAGCGCCTGCCACCACACCCAGCTAATTTCTGTATTTTTACTAGTGATGGGGTTTCACCATGTTGGCCAGGATGCTCTCAGTCTCTTGACCTTGTGATCGCCTGCCTTGTGATCCTCCAGTTAGTTCATGTAAAGCATTTAAAATAGTGCCTATCACATGGGAAGTGTTCCATTCAGCCATTGCTATTGTTATCATCACAGTTTTCAGATTTTGATCATTTTTTATTTTATTTGTTTTTTTGAGTCGGAGTGTCACTCTTGTCTGTTGCCCAGGCTGGAGTGCAGTGGCATGATCTCAGCTCACTGTAGACTCCACCTCCCGGGTTCAAGAGATTCTCCTGTCTCAGCCTTCTTAGTAGCTGGGATTACAGGCACTCACCACCACACCTGGCTAATTTTTTTCTATTTTTAGTAGAGACAGGGTTTTACCATGTTGGCCAGGCTGGTCTCGAACTCCTTACCTCAGGTGATCCACCTGCCTTGGCCTCCCAAATTGCTAGGATTACAAGCATGAGCCACCACACCTGGCCAAGATTTTGACCATTCTTAAAAACTACAATAGGTTGGGGCCGGGCACAGTGGCTTACGCCTGTAATCCCAGCACTTTAGGAGGCCAAGGCAGGTGGATCAGGAGGTCAAGAGATCGAGACCATCCTGGCCAACATGGTGAAACCCCGTCTCTACTAAAAATACAAAAAATTAGCTGGTCGTGGTGGCAGGCACCTGTAATCCCAGCTAGTTGGGAAGCTGAGGCTGGAGAATCACTTGAACCTGGGAGGTGGAGGTTGCAGTGAGCCAATATCACACCATTGCACTCCAGCCTGGGCAAAAAGAGCGAAACACCATCTCAAAAAAAAAAAAAAAACCCAAAACTACAGTAGGTTGGGTGTGGCGGCTCACACCTGTAATCCCAGGACTTTGGGAGGCCAAGGTGGGAGGATAGCTTGAGTTTAGGAGCTCAAGACCAGCCTGAGCAACATGGTGAGACACCATATTTATAAAAAATACAAAAATTAGCCAGGCATGGTGTCATGAGCCTGTAGCCCCAGCTACTCCAGAGGCTGAGGTTGGAGGATGACTTGAGTTTAGGAGGCAGAGGTTGCAGTGAGTCAAGATTGTGGCACTGCACTCCAGTCTGGGTGACAGAGTGATACCCTGTCTCAAAAAAAAGAAAAAAACACTGTAGACATTGTCATCTCTGAAGACACCACTTGAATTGAATCTCAGGTAGATACTGGATATCACTTGGTGTGTAAAAATACCTAACACTTCTATAGAGAGAGATAACCCTGGATTAATTTTTTTTGTATTGTCCAAAAATGAGACATCTACACTGATTTAAGGAATGTCTTAACTTCTTATGGAGAAATATAATAAAACCACAATTACAGACACGTAACTGGCTCAAGAATACCTTAATATGGATTTTTCACAGTGCTCACATAAGTGGAGTCAGTCCTTAACGACTGTCTTCCCATTCTTTGTGACGATGAGTACTGTGTGCATACCTTGTTGCTGAAATGTGGATTTTCTTTCAGGGACCCTTGAAATTCATGGATGTGGCCATAGAGTTCTCTCAGGAAGAGTGGAAATGCCTGGACCCTGCGCAGAGGACTTTATACAGGGACGTGATGTTGGAGAATTATAGGAACCTGGTCTCCCTGGGTGAGGATAATGTCCCCTCAGAAGCCGGGATCTGCCCTGGTGGATCTCTGAATTGTGTCTTATATGCCTCTTGGGAGCTCCTGCATTGCTTGCCTGAGATTGAAACCATGTTGACTCAGAATTGAAAAACTGTATTACACTTTCTGGACTTGAAATGTCCCCTTTCTTCAGTTATTCTCCTCCCTCCACAATTCATGATTGGTGGCACCAGGGCCGAAGTATGCAGGAAACCTTATGACAAACTTTAAAAATATCCAGTTCCCTGTTTTCTACCCCTGTGCTTTTGATTCTATAGTTCTTGGAAGGGGGCTCTATGTCTGCATGTTACAATGTTCCCTAAGCATTCAGAAAGAGGCAGTCAGTAGATGAATTTGTGAAATACTATTTATGATTTAATTATAATATCCTCTCTCCTCCCTAAATACAGGGCTTGGACTTGGGAGATGCCACAGCACACATTTATTCTTTCTTTTATAAATAGGAATCTGTCTTCCTGACCTGAGTGTTACCTCCATGTTAGAGCAAAAGAGAGATCCCTGGACTCTGCAGAGTGAAGAGAAAATAGCAAACGATCCAGACGGCAGGGAGTGCATCAAAGGTGTGAACACAGGTGAGAGCTCGGGTGGGCAGAGTGGAGGCCCCATAATTTTTGTTTTTTGAGACAGGGTCTAACGCTGTCATCCAGGCTAGAGTGCGGTGGCAATCATAGCTCACTGCAGCCTTGAATTCCTGGACTTAAGGGATCTCCCTGGCTCGCTCTTCCAAAGTGTTGGGATTACAGCCATGAGCCACTGTACCCTGCAAAGCCACACTATTACATAGCGTTTGGGAAACTCTCTGCAAATGGGAGAATTCTGTGGGAAAACCAAAGTTGAAATCTTGTGAGTTCTGAACAGACATTTTTCTTTATTTTCCTATTTATTTTTTGGAGATAGGATCTCTCTTGGGTCACCCAGTCCAGAATGCAATGGCATGATTATGGCTTGCTGCATCCTCGACTTCCTGGGCTCAAGTGGTCCTCCCACCTCAGCCTCCTGAATAGCCGGGACTACAGGTGTACGCCACGATGCCTGGCTAATTTTTGGTATTTTATGTGGAGATGGGGTTTCACCATGTTACACAGGCTAGTGTTGAACTCCTGGGCACCCAGTCCAGAATGCAGTGGCATGATTACGGCTTGCTGCATCCTCGACTTCCTGGGCTCAAGTGATTCTCCCACCTCAGCCTCCTGAATAGCTGGGACTGCAGGTGTACGCCACCATGCCTGGCTAATTTTTTGTATTTTTTGTGGAGTTGGGGTTTCACCATGTTATACAGGCTAGTGTTGAACTCCTGGGCTCAAGTAGTCTGCCTGCCTCAGCTTCCCAAAGTGTTGGGATTATAGGCATAAGCCACAGCAACCAGTAAGGTGTGTTGTTTAATTGGCAAATATTTGTGGATCTTTAAGTTTTTATTCTTTTGGCTGGGCACGGTGGCTCATCCCTGTAATCCCAGCACTTTGTGGGGCTGAGGCAGGCAGATCACTTGAGGCCAGGAGTCCGAGACCAGCCTGGCCAACATGGTGAAACCCTGCCTCTACTAAAAATACAAAAATCAACTGGGTGTAGTGGCAGGTGCCTATAATCCCAGCTACTCAGGAGGCTGAGGCAGGAGAATCGCTTGAACCTAGGAGGTGGAGGTTGCAGTGAGCCGAGATTGCACCACTGCGCCCTAGCTTGGGTGACAGAGTGAGACCCTGTCTCAAAAAAAATAAAAATGCATTTTTTTCTTTTGTTAATTTCAACGTTACATGCCTCTGCCTCTGGAGTAGCTGGGATTACAGACATGCACCACCACGCCTGGCTAATTTTTGTATTTTTAGTAGAGATGGGATTTTTCCATGTTGGGCAGGCTGGTCTCGAACTCCTGGCCTCATGTGATTAGCCCTTCCTTAGCCTGCCAAAGTGCTTGGGATTACAGGTGTGAGCCACTTCACCTGGCCCAAAACATTCTATTTTAAATGTTAACAGCTTATCTTTGATTAGGTACACAAAGCTCTGCTTAACAACTCTGCTCTTTCTGTTATTACTGGCAGAAATTAATCCTATATATTTTATGTTCCCATTAACATATGTTTATAATGTTTATAATGCTTTTTAAATGAGAGTGTCTTTTTTTTTTTTTCTGAGATGGAGTCTCCTTCTATCTCCCAGGCTGATCTCGGCTCACTACAGCCTCTGCCTCTCTGGTCCAAGTGATTCTCCTGCCTCAGCCTCCTGAGTAGCTGGGATTACAGGCGCCCATCCCCACCCCTGGCTAATTTTTGTATTTTTAGTAGAAACAGGTTTTTGCCATATTTGCCAGGCTGCTCTCCAACTCCTGACCTCAAGTGATCCACCTGCCTCGGCCTCCCAAAGTGCTGGGATTACAGGTGTGCCACTGTACCTGGCCTGATTGTGTCTTTTAAATTGTAGGAAAGAATTAAAAGTCAAGTTACAAATGAAAAGTGCAATAATACTTGTTTCTGTATTTGATCATTTGTTGACCTTTTATGATGAGCTTTTTATTTTTATTTTTGGGGGATGGAGTTTTGCTCTGTTGCCCAGGCTGGAGTGCAATGGCAGGATCTTGGCTTACTGCAACCTCTGCCTCCTGGGTTCAAGCGATTCTCCTGCCTCAGCCTCCCGAGTAGCTGGGGTTACAGACACCACGCCCAACTAGTTTTTGTATTTTTAGGAGAAACGGGGTTTCACCATGTTGGCTAGGCTGGTCCCGAACTCCTGACCTCAGGTGATCCACCCACCTCAGCCTCCCAAGTTGTTGGGATTACAGGCATGAGCCACTGCGCCCTGCCTATGATGACCTTTATATTTTCATATGGATTAAAGATACCGTCCAGAGTGCTTTCATTTCATCTTGAATGCTCGTTTTAGCATTTCTTCTTGGACAGGTCTAGAATACTAATTAACTTCCTCAGCTCTTCTTTAGGAAAGTCTAAAATTCGCCTTTATTTTTGCAGGTGAGTTTTGCTAAGTGTAGTATTCTTCATTGCTGTTTTGCCTATTTTTCTTTAAGCACTTTCAATATATCACCTCACTGCTTTCTAGCCTGAAGATGTCTGCTGGAAAATATATATAATCTTACAGAGTTTAGTATTGTCTGACAAGTCTCTTTTTTGTTGCTGCTGTCAAGATTTTGTCTTTGTCTTTTTTTGACTCTTGATAATTTCTTTATAGTATGTCTCTGTGTGAATGTATTTGGGTTAATTTTAATTAGAATGATCAAATCTCTTTTTTTTTTTTTTGAGACGGAGTTTCACTCTTGTTGCCCAGGCTGGAGTGCAGTGCCATGCATGATATTGGCTCACTGCAGCCTCCACCTCCCGGGTTTAAGCGATTCTCCTGCATCAGCCTCCCAGGTAGCTGAGATTACAGGCACCCTCCATGATACTCCTTTTCATGCATCATTTTCCTGATTTCATTTAATTGTCTATCTCATTTATGTTTCAGCTGGTTAAGCATCTTAAGACAGTTGCTTTCAAAATTTGTAAAGTAATCAGAGGGCTGCCTTTTTCTAGGTTGGGTTTGTGGAGATTTGGGTTTTTTTGTTTGTTTGTTTATTTCAATGTCCTTATGTAGGCCTTGTAATTTTTATTTTAGGTTTGCTAAAACAACTTCTCCCAGGTTTTTTTGCTTGTTTGTTTTTGTTTTTGTTTTTTTTGAGATGGAGTCTTTCTCTGTTACCCAGGGGCTGGAGTGCAGTGGCATGATCTTGTCTCACTTCAACCTCCACATCCAAGATTCAAGCAATTCTCTTGTCTTAGCCTCCTGAGTAGCTGGGACTAGGCGCACACCATCACGCCTGGCTAATTTTTGTATTTTTAGTAGAGACAGGGTTTCACCATGTTGGTCAGGCTGGTCTCGAACTCCTGACCTCAGGTGATCCGCTCACCTTGGCCTCCCAAAATGCTGGGATTATAGGCATGAGCCACCATGCCCAGCCAGGTCTCTAACTATTGACCTCAAGTTATCCATCCCCCCTTGGTTTCCCAAAGTGCTGGGATTACAGGCATGAGCCACTGCACTGGCTGTTCCAGTTCTTTTACATAAGAACTGTACAAGGTGAGACCTTTACAAATCAACCTGTTGTAAAGGGTGTGGGTGCCACCTGCATGGACCTTGGGGGACTAAACAAAGGGAACAAATGTGGGAATAAAAGACAAAGACAATAGAGTATATTTGGAAGAAAGGGTCAGGGGGCTCCTTGCTTCTAATGGACAAGGGCCCTGAGCTTTAGAGCCCTTCACATTTTATTGGGTAAAAGAGGGAGAAGGGTGGGGGTGATTGTCGGTCAGCGGCTTGATTTACAGCAGGCTTGCAAGACTGCATTCTTTGAACAATAGGCTCTAGATGTCCCAGTAGATAATCTCAGTGAGCACAGTGCCAGGGAATGATTGCCTCCAGCAAACCTTCTGGCGGTAGGCGCAGTCATGAGTTTGCCCACATCCTGCATTCATGATAAACAGTTTGCTGTTTGGTCATATAGCCTCCAGTGGAACGCTGAGTTGGTCATGTCTCTCAGGCCATCGGCTCCCTACATCTCCCCTTTGTGTTTATGTATTACTGTTACAGATTTGTCTAAGCATTGGCCTACCTAAAAGTTCTGTTGGAGATAGGGGGTAGAGAGAATAAACAAAAACAAAGGTTTTTGTGGCTGTAGCCGGGAGGCATGTCTCTGCTGAAGCATTTGCTCTATAAGCTATAATTCCTCTTCAGCCTGTTAAGGGGCACAGGGAATTTAAGGAAGAATCTCCTTGCAGGGTTTGGTAAAGATGTGTAAGTTGATAGGTGGCAATACCTAGCATAGGGCGTAGCCAATTAATATCTCCTAGTATTTGTTGAAAATCATTTAAAGTCTATAATGTGTCTTTACCAAGAACTGCTTTCTATGGCCGTACACTCCTCTCCGTAACAATATTTCCTACGTAATGGTATGGGGAAGTTATTTGCACTTTCTCTGGAGCAATTTTGGGATTCCGTTTAACAAGATCTTGCTTTACATCTCTGAGTAATTGATGTAAATTTGATCTGTAGGAGTGGCCAGAAGAATATCATCCATAAAATGAATGATATACGCAGTGGGAAACATATTTTGAGACTCCTTTAATGCTCTTCCTACAAAATGGTGACATAATGTAGGACTGTTAAGCATGCCTTCAAGTAAAACTTGCCATTGATAGCAAGAAACAGGTTCTCTATGATTAATAGAAGGCATAGAGAAGGCAAATTGAGGCTTATGCTTCTCGTGTAATGGTATAATAAAGAAACAATCCTTAAAATCTATTACTACAAGAGGCCAGTCTCTTGGAATGGCCGCCGGGGAAGGTAAACCTTGCTGTAATGCACCCATTGGTTTAATTTGTGCATTAATAGCTCTCAAATCATGCAGCAGTCACCGTCTTCCAGGCTTTTTTGGAATAACAAATACCAGTGAATTTCAGGGGCTAACTCACTTCTCTATATGTCCTGCATTCAATTGTTCTTTTACCAACAGATGAAGTTGATCTAGCTTCCCCTGTGTTAGGGGCCCACACAAGTTTCTCACTAAGCCATTCTAATGGTAAGGCAGTGGGCAGAGGAGAAATATGAATGACCCCCATCAGAAATCCTGACGTCCTAGCCCTTTTCTGTTTTTCCAGTTACTGAGAACGGGTTAGGGTTTCCTTGTAGGAATTTCCCTAAACCTTTTCTACTTTCATATCCCATGTCCTTCAACATTTCAAATCCTGGGTTACCAAAGTTTTCATTTGTAAGTCTCATATTTCATGCTGTAAGTCTCCACCCCATAAATTGATGGCTGTATTTACAACATAAGACTGGAAAGTACCTGACTGACCATCCAGACCAAGACAAGGTAAAATCTCAGCACTCTGTTGAACACTTTTAGCTGCTCCTACTCCCACTAGGGGTGTGGAGGTTAGTCTGAGAGTCGATGCTGGGGGCCAGTCTTTACTGGATATGACTGACACATCAGCTCCTGTGTCCATTCGCCCATAAAATTTCTTTCCTTTAATTAGTACTACACAGGTAGGTCTATTAGAGGCTATGGATTGGGATAGATAAGTTTCCTATGTAGTTGTGCTCCCAAACCCTTTATTTCCTCATTTCTCCTTTTATGAAGATGGGTGTAATTTGCAGGGAATAAGCAATAGCTAAGCAGTATATTCTCCTGGTTCAAAAACCCAAAGATCTTGTGACATTAAAACTACTTGAATTTCTCCTTCATAATCGGAGTCAGTCACTCCTGGGACTACAGTGATGCCTTGCAAGTTAAGGCGGCCTTTGCCTAAAATTAGTTCCATGTATCCTCTTGGTAAAGGTCCTCAAATGCCAGTGGGAATTTTGATAGGTTTGTCTCCACCAACTACTGTTATTTCTCTTGACTGGGAGATCTAATCCTGCACTTCCTGGTGTTCCTGGGGTGAGGGAATCAATGTTTCTCTTGGGACCCATCCCTGAAATGGGCTTGTGGTCTGGACTGAGAATGCCCTGATTGTTTGAGGGGCCCGGGTCCAGGCCACCTTCTCATTTCCCAGCAGGAGGGGTGCCATTCTGATGAAGTCTTGAGTGGCACTGATGAGCCCAGTGATTTCCTTTGTTACAGCGAGGACAGAGTGCTGGCGTTTTTCTGCTGGGTGTTGGGGGGGGGCACTGCATTGTGAAGTCCTTTCTGTCCTGAGATCTGGTGGCATTCCTTTTTAAAATGTCTGGTTTTACCGCAAGTACAACATTTTCCCAATTTAGCGTTTGACCCTTGGCTCCTTTTAGATTTGTCAACTACTAAATTAGCCATGCTTCAGCTATCATTGAAGAGCAATGAAGCTCAGTTCCTTCATCCTAACAAGCTCTGAGAAAATTTCCCAAGTCTTTTGTACACCTTACAGGTGCCAGTGCACATTTACAATCCACGTTTGCATTCTCAAAAGCTAAAGTTAAGGTTAGCATTTCTGTGGCAGTGGCATGAGGAATCTGACGCTTCACTGCCTCTTGTAATCTCGCAAGAAATTGTGCATAGGGCTCCTACAACCCTTGCATGATATGCAAAAAGGATTGTACTAGGACTCCCTCATCTGGAATTGTGGCCCAGGCGCATTTAGCAGCCTGTGAACGCTGCTGATAAGCAGCAGCTGGGGGTGCCATTTGATGTTCCAGGTCTGAATAAGGGTCATTACTCAATAGCATATCCTCTGTAATGTCTCCTTGACAAGCAGCACGATTCTGTCTAGCCTGGTTTGCACACAGTTCTTGCCAATTTAAATTCCGTGTCAGATACGCAGTAGCAGACAAGTTTGCGCCAAAAGTTTTACATCAAAGAGTAGAAGGCACGTAGCACCGAATACAGATTCTAGCAATCCTAAAGTGAATGGGCTCTGTACTCCATCGTTAACTACACTCGTTTGTAATTCCTTCAACAACTAAACTCTAGGGTATTTTCATGAATAAACTGATGTAGATTGTTTCGATCAGGCCTTATGGAAATAGGAAAAGCACAAGGTCCTAAGGGCTCTCCAGCTATGGCAGCAGAGTGTAACATTCTTTGTACTGGGGTCTCTATTTCTGCTACTGAAGGAGGTGGTACAGATGTTGCTGCAACTGGAGGGGGTGGTAAAAACCAATTTTTATCCTCCCTCTCCTGTTTTTTGTTTTCAATTGGATCTGTGGGTGGGACAACAGATTCTTTCAGATTTTTAGACTCAGCCTGCTGCCCAGCAGAATAATGAGATAATGGCAGAACAGTACGAACCAGACTCCACGTGAAGATAGAAGAATCAACTTTAAGACCTTTTTGATGAGCCTCTTTTAATCCTTTTCCTGCTGTGTCCCAATTTTCCACATCAAGAGTGCCTGCCTGTGGAAACCATGGGCCATGCATCATAATCTCCTGCAGAAGCTTAATGTCTGTGAATTAACCTGAGTTCCAGGCTGTCTCAATAGAACTTGAAACAACTGCACGTAGTGTTTTTTTCAACAGACAAGTTCTGCCCCACGTTACCCTGATTCAGAAAACTTCCCGTTCGCAGTACTTTAGAGCACCGACCTCATATCGCTCCCAGTACCTCTTCAGGGCACTGACCTTATATCCGCTGCCAGCCGACTCATCCAGGTTTCCCCATTCACCTTGTGAATTTCAGTTCCTCTACTCCAGCAGAACCTTCTTTGTTCACGTCCTCAAAGTCCTATGTTCGGAGGCCACTTGTCCGACATCCTCGGAGTCCCTCTTCTGGGTCACCAGTTGCCACCTGCACAGACCTTGGGGGACTGAACGAAGGGGGCGAACATTGGAATAAAAGACAAAGGTGTATATTTGGAAGAAGGGGTCAGGGGGCTCCTTCTAGTGAACAAGGGCCCTGAGCTTTAGAGCCCTTTGTATTTTATTGGGTAAAGGAGATGGTGGCAGGGGGAGGGGGTGGTTATTGGTCAGCGGCTTGATTTACAACAGGTTTGCAAGACTGCATTCTTTGAACAATAGACTGTAGATGTCCCAGTAGATAATTTCAATGAGCATGGCACCAGGGAGTGATTACCTTCAGCAAACCTTCTGGTGTCAGGCGCAGTCGTGAGTTTGCCCACATCCTGCATTCATGATAGTTTGTTGTTTGATCATAAAGCCTCCAGTGGAATGTTGAGCTGGTCACATCTCTTGGGCCTTCAGCTTCCTACATGTGGGAACACTCAGTCCTTTTCTGGGGATGTGTTTCTTCTGGCTTGTGGAAGTACCATTATTAATGTCTATACAGCTCTTCTTGGATTTCTGATTTTCCCTAAGAGGCTCATCCCTGCTTCTTCCCAGAAGTTTTCAGTCTCTGTTGTATTTCTCTGCTCATAGTCTGTTTCAGATTTACCCATAATTCTCTCGACTCCTGCAGATTCCCCACTGCTCCAATGCATCACCTCAGTTCCTTGTGTTTTCTGCACTGCCAGCATGATACACACAATACCCTGATACTCCTACCAATGTCTGAGTCAGGTGAGGCAGAATCTAGACCCTCTGTCAGACACTAAAGATGCCATTATCATGGGTTGAAGTTCCACTTTTTTCTTTCTGTTTTAGAGAGGAGCTCTAAATTGGGAAGTAATGCAGGAAACAAGCCTTGTAAAAATCAACTTGGATTCACTTTTCAGTTACATCTGAGTGATCTACAGCTATTTCAAGCTGAAAGGAAAATTTCTGGGTGTAAGCATTTTGAAAAACCCGTCAGTGACAATTCCTCAGTTTCACCGCTTGAAAAAATTTCTTCCAGTGTCAAATCCCACCTTTTAAATAAATATAGAAATAATTTTGATCATGCTCCATTACTTCCACAAGAACAGAAAGCACACATTAGGGAAAAAGCTTATAAATGTAATGAGCACGGCCAAGTCTTTAGAGCATCTGCAAGCCTTACTAACCAAGTAATCCATAACGCAGATAATCCTTACAAATGCAGTGAATGTGGCAAGGTCTTTAGTTGCAGTTCAAAGCTTGTGATACATCGAAGAATGCATACTGGAGAGAAGCCTTACAAATGTCATGAATGTGGCAAGCTCTTCAGTAGCAATTCAAACCTTTCACAACATCAAAGAATTCATACTGGAGAGAAGCCTTACAAATGTCATGAATGTGACAAGGTCTTTCGAAGCAGTTCAAAGCTTGCACAACATCAAAGAATTCATACTGGAGAGAAGCCTTACAAATGTCATGAATGTGACAAGGTCTTCAATCAAATTGCACACCTTGTACGACATCAAAAAATTCATACTGGAGAGAAACCTTACAGTTGTAATAAATGTGGCAAGGTCTTTAGTCGCCATTCATATCTAGCAGAACATCAAACGGTTCATACTGGTGAGAAACCTTACAAATGTGAAGAATGTGGCAAAGCATTTTCAGTGCGTTCCAGCCTCATAACCCATCAGTTAATTCACACTGGAAGGAAACCTTACAAATGTAAAGAATGTGACAAGGTCTTTGGGCGCAAGTGTTTCCTGACCTCTCATCAGAGAATTCATACTAGAGAGAGACCTTATGGATGCAGTCAGTGTGGCAAGATCTTTAGTCAGAAATCAGACCTTATACGACATCGAAAAACTCATACTGATGAGAAGCCTTACAAATGTAATAAATGTGGCACAGCGTTTAGAGAGTTTTCAGACCTTACTGCCCATTTTCTAATCCATAGTGGAGAGAAACCTTATGAATGTAAAGAATGTGGCAAAGTCTTCAGGTACAAGTCTTCTCTAACCAGTCATCATAGAATTCATACTGGAGAGAAGCCTTACAAATGTAACAGATGTGGCAAGGTCTTCAGTCGCAGTTCAAACCTGGTATGCCATCAGAAAATTCATACAGGAGAAAAGCCTTACAAATGTAATCAATGTGGCAAGGTCTTTAATCAAGCATCATACCTTACAAGACATCAAATAATTCATACTGGAGAGAGGCCTTACAGATGTAGTAAATGTGGCAAAGCATTTCGAGGGTGTTCAGGCCTTACTGCCCATCTTGCAATCCATACTGAAAAGAAATCTCATGAGTGTAAAGAATGTGGCAAGATCTTCACTCAGAAGTCTTCCCTCACCAATCACCATAGAATTCACATTGGAGAGAAACCTTACAAATGCACCCTGTGCAGTAAGGTCTTCAGTCACAATTCTGACCTTGCACAGCATCAGAGAGTTCATTCATGAGAGTCCCTACAAACTGTATGGCAAAACCATCATCATGAGTTCTAGCATTAATCAACATCAGTGAGTCCATACTAAGTGGAAATCATATAAATGAAATGTATGTGACACAGGCTTTATCAAGGCCTGCCAAATCACTGGACATCACCACATCACTGTGGAGGATGAAAGCACACAGATGAATTGTGTGTACTTGGGCTATTATTCAAGGACCATTGCTATAGAACACGATAGGATTTACACAAGAAGTAACTCTGTCTCTGGTTCTCTGATACTAATCTATGATATTGCATGATGCAGAATAATGCTAAGTCAAAATATGTTGAATCTCATGACCTGATGTATATCAAAGGTGCAACGGCTTGTAAATGACCAGTTTTATTCAGGCTATAAAGCATTCAATTATTTGGGGCTTATAGAAAAGGCTACTTTACTCTTTGTGACTTCGAAATCTTTTCATGTGCCTTCCATACAGGCCATTCACTGTGGTCCCTGGGAAAGAATCAGTAGGATGACAGGGCTGACTTCATTAGCTGAGGATTATTTCTATCCAATTTCCTGATGAAGGACATTGCCTTTTGAGATTAAATATTGTCTGATTTAGAGAGCATGGAGGTGGGCAGAGTAACATAAAACTGATGACCGTCATCATACTGTTGCAGTTAGCACACTTTCTCCTGACATAAGTGCACAGAGCTTCAGTGTCCACCAACTGACCATGAAATAGAGTATGCTGTAATCTTAAGGCATAGGTTATTAGTGGGAAGAGAGTAATAGGTTGCTAGTGTCTGATTATATGGTAGAAATAATGCAAGGAAAAAGGTAGCCACCTTCTCCATTGAACAGCAGTACCTGCTGTTTAGCAAAGACTGATGAGAAGTAGACTTTTTTTTTTTTGGAGATAGAGTCTCACTCTGTTGCCCAGGCTGGAGTGTAGTGGTGTGTTCTTGGCTCACTGCACCCTCCGCCTCCTGGGCTCAAGCAGTCCTTCTGCCTTAGCCTCCTAAGTAGCTGAGACTACAGACGTGCGCCACCACACCCAGTTCATTTTTGTATTTTTAGTAGAGACAGTGTTTACCATGTTGGCCAGGCAGGTCTCCAACTCCTGACCTCAAGTGATATGTTCACCTCAGCCTCCCAAAGTGCTGGGATTACAGGCATGAACCATGGTGCCCAGCCTCATTTTTGAAATGGAATAGAGAACAGTTATATCACAGTTGAGAGTTTAATCAAAATGACCGGATCAGCATATTCTTTTTTTAGATGAGACAGAGTTTCGCCCTTGTCACCCAGGCTGTAGTGCGGTGGCGCGATCTCGGCTCACTGCAACCTCCGCCTCCCGGGTTCAAGCAATTCTCCTGCCTCAGCCTCCCAAGTAGCTGGGATTACAGGCGTGTACCACCATACCCAGCTAATTTTTGTATTTTTAGTAGAGATGGGGTTTCACCACGTTGGCCACACTGGTCTCAAACTCCTGACCTCAGGCGATCCATCTGCCTCAGCCTGAAAGTGCTAGGATTACAGGCGTGAGCCACCACACCTGGCCAGCTCAGCATATTCTTAAGTAGGATTCACATTTAATTCTTGGTATTATAAGTTGCAACCATTTGATTTAGAATGTATGCAGCTCTCATGTTTGTAGTAATAAAGTTTCATTTTTCCTAAGTATGAATGAATCGTGTTTTCTACCGTCATAATTTCATCCCACCTCAGGAGGATGGATACTCTGTAGCACACAGTAATGCACCATTGGGATTTTAAGATTGGAGCATCCAGAGCAAGTTTTCTGGTTGTGAAATGAAACATGTCCTTTGGTTACATATCCTTAGGTAAGTGTGAATATGAGTAATCATACTTAGTACTTGAATTATTGTATCTGTGCTCTGCCCTAGAATGCTTCTGTGGGTACAGTGAAAGTCCCAAAGCAGTGCAACTCCAGCATCCTATACCCTCAAATGTGTTTATAGCCCTTGGCAAATGTTTAGTGTATCATTATATTTCTATGTGCCTTTTTCTTGTGTGCTAAATTAGACCCATGGCACACATTCTCTCTTTTTTTTTTTTTTTTTTTTTTTTTGAGAGTCTTGCTCTGTCACCCAGGCTGGAGTGCAATGGCGCGATCTTGACTCACTGCAACCTCCACCTCCTGGGTTCGAGCAATTCTTCTGCCTCAGCCTCCCGAGTAGCTGAGATTACAGGCATCTGCCACCAGTCCTGGCTAATTTTTTTGTATTTTTAGTAGAGACAGGGTTTCACCATGTTGGCCAGGCTGGTCTCAAACACCCAACCTCAGGCGATCCACCCACCTTGGCCTCCCAAAGTGCTGGGATTATAGGCTTGAGCCACTGTGCCTGGCCCACACTTTCATTTTTATGAAGCAAAAATACAAATATGACAAATATTATGAGATAAAAGTGTGAGGATAAGGTTAAAAATAGTGTAACACAATCTCTTTTTTTGTCCTTGTGCTCAGTGACATAATTTGAAATTACTAATGTTCATAAATTTCCTCGTAAGGGTGGACACACAGAATGGAATTGTGTTTTGCTTTGGTATTTTAACAAGGAACTTCACATATTTACCCCCACAACCTTTGTGGTAATTTGAACTTTTGCCTACTCCACTAGAACCTTACAAAAAAAGTTTTTTTTTTTTTAAATTTGAGACAGGGTCTTTGTTGCACAGGCTGGAGTGCAGTGGCACAGTTAGGGCTCACTGCAGCCTCAACCTCCCCGGCTCAAGTGATCCTCCCACTTTAGCCTCATGAATAGCTGTGACTACAGGCGCACACCACCACACCCAGCTAATTTTGGGGTGTTTTTTGGTCACAGTGTTGCCCAGCTGGTCTCCAACTCTTGGGCTCAAATGACCCACCCACCTCAGCTTCCCAAAGTGCTAGGATTACAGGCATGAGCCATGTACCTGGCCTCCACTAGAACTTGTTTGACGTCCACCTAAGATTTGGCTTGGGTATTGAGACTGATGATGCTATGTACTGAAGGGGTCTGAGAATGTTTATTACATAATAAGACTTTCTGAGGAAAGCAGGTTAGACTTCCCCAGTTGGTCCAAAAATGTCATGAGAAAACTGGGATAGATGACTACTTTGGGTGTTATGATTGTTGAAGCGTCGGGCTGGGGTGTGGGTACTTACTTGTGGTTTGAACTAATACCTGGTGCCAAATGAGGGAGCACTCAGGCTTTATTATCAGTTGACCAGATGGGCATCATAATGTAGTCTCAGCAATGCACCAAGATGTAACAGTCTCTCATTTGAGATAACACTTTGGGTTCTTTGTCCTACCTCCAAGAAAAGGAGTGTGGACATAAAAGTGAGTTTGGAGCGAAAGTTTAATAAGCAAGAGGAGAAAGCTGTCTGCCAGCAGAGAGGGGCTCCTGAACAGGAGTACTCACTATGAGGTCCGTATTGGGGTTTTTATGGACTGGAAAGGGGAAGGAATGTGCTTAGTCTGCGGGCTGTCTTGGAGAATGCATGCCTCAGCTTGGCCCGGGACCTATTAGAAGCTGAAGTGAAAGCTTGGCCCAGGACCAATTAGGGGCTGAAGTGATGATTCATAGAAGCCAGACTTACAGTCCAATAAAGGAACCTGAACTTATTGGAGCACCTGAACTTATTGGAGCCCACTGTGCCCATGTCCACAAAGGGAGAAGAAACTTTTGCCTGGGAGCCCACTGACTCTACAAAGGCAAAAGGCATTTCTGTGCCAGGCCTGCTCCCTTATCTGAGTGAGATGGAGGTCTGTGCAAGTTTTTATCCAAATGGGCCTTTTCCATCTGTGCAGCCGTAGGCATAACACCTTGTGCTAGTTCCCTTATCGGTCCCTGCACCTTGAATTTTTTCCCAGGCTGCTTTTTCTGTTAGGTGGGGATGAGGCACTGACCCATGGGCCAGGGACTCTCCAGAGACCCTTTTCTTGCTATCTACCTAAGGCAAGTTAACTACCTCCTTTCATAGGAAGAAGGAATGCAGAGGTGTAAAAGCTGTTAGTATTCAGACATCACAAAATGTAGTCTAACTCTTTAGTACAAGACTAAATACTTCTTCTTGAAACTCCTGACTTCTTGGTTAGGAAAAACCCCAGTTTTCTTCATGGTGATAGCTGGTTACATTCCTCTCGGATGGACGTGTAGGTTTCACTGCACCTATGATTGTTGAAAATGCTTGTGAATTACTGTTTAGTAAAGTGTCTAGTAAAGGTGAAGGGGTGGGTTGCCCCTCCACACCTGTGGGTGTTTCTTGTTAGGTGGAACGAGAGACTTGGAAAAGAAAAAGACACAGAGACAAAGTATAGAGAAAGAAATAAGGGGGCCCCAGGGGACCAGTGTTCACCATATGGAGGATCCCGCCAGCCTCTGAGTTCCCTTAGTATTTATTGATCATTTTTGGGTGTTTCTCAGAGAGGGGGATGTGGCAGGGTCATAGGATAATAGTGGAGAGAAGGTCAGCAGGTAAACACGTGAACAAAGGTCTCTGCATCATAGACAAGGTAAAGAATCAAGTGCTGTGCTTTAGATATGCATACACATAAACATCTCAATGCCTTACAGAGCAGTATTGCTGCCCGCATGTGCCACCTCCAGCCCTAAGGCGGTTTTCCCCTATCTCAGTAGATGGAATATACAATCGGGATTTATACCGAGACATTCCATTGCCCAGGGACGGGCGGGAGACAGATGCCTTCCTCTTGTCTCAACTGCAAAGAGGCATTCCTTCCTCTTTTACTAATCCTCCTCAGCACAGACCCTTTACGGGTGTCGGGCTGGGGGACGGTCAGGTCTTTCCCTTCCCACGAGGCCATATTTCAGACTATCACATGGGGAGAAACCTTGGACAATACCTGGCTTTCCTAGGCAGAGGTCCCTGCGGCCTTCCGCAGTGTTTGTGTCCCTGGGTACTTGAGATTAGGGAGTGGTGATGACTCTTAAGGAGCATGCTGCCTTCAAGCATCTGTTTAACAAAGCACATCTTGCACAGCCCTTAATCCATTTAACCCTGAGTGGACACAGCACATGTTTCAGAGAGCACGGGATTGGGGGTAAGGTCATAGATTAACAGCATCTCAAGGCAGAAGAATTTTTCTTAGTACAGAACAAAATGGAGTCTCCTGTGTCTACTTCTTTCTACACAGAAACAATCCGATCTCTCTTTCTTTTCCCCACAAAAGTTGCCTGAGATACGTTTTATCCTAGTTCAATGAAAATTATTGTACAAAAGTGTTTATTATAAAATCAACATGATTTGTTTATTGTTTATTGATTATATAATTATATTTATTATACAATAAATATGATTTTGCTAGAAGAGCATTTTGCCAAAAGTTGTGGAAATGTCATTGTCAGATTATGGTATGAAGCAATTTTTTCAGGCTGAGTGGGGGTGGCTCACCTGTAATCTCAGCACTTCGGGAGGCCAAGGTGGGAGAAATCACTTGAGCCCAGAAGTTCAAGACCAGCCTGGGCAACATAGCAAGAGCTTATGTCTACAAAAAAATTTTAAAAATAGCCGGGTGTGGTCATGTACACTTGTGGTCCCAACTACTTAGGGGCACTGCAGCAGGAGGATCGTTTGATGCCAGAAGGCTGAGGCTGCTGTCGTCCTTGATTGTACCACTGCACTCCGGCCTGGATGACAGAGGGAGACACTGTGTCAAAAAAAATTTACTTTGTGCTTCTTTATATGAGTTACATTAAAAATCTTTTATAAATTGCAGTCCAGGTTCCATGTCTAATACGTTTCTTCCATGTGTTACTTGAGTGAAAATTTACGGGCTACATAAATATGGCTGTTGTTTGGAAAGAAAATGTTGTGACATTAGTATGCGCACAAGACAATGGGAAGTACGAACTAGGATTCCTGTAAATACGAGAAAGGAAAAGAATGCTTTTACTATGTTAGAAGACTTAAAATCACATGAAGTGATTCCAGTCTTTCTGTTGTTATTCCGATGTTTTAGCTATTTTAGATTTTGGGGTTTGGCTTTTTTTTGTTTCATTGCCTTTCTACATAATTGGATAACCTTGTTAGTATCTGCAGAATGCCCTGATTAGGAAATGTGTTAACCCTATGTGTCAATTTGGTATAATTTCATATTGTTTTCATATTGTTTTATGTGGAGTCTTCCAATAAATGTATATTGTATATGTGTCTGTATTTGGTGTCTTTGATTTCTTTCATCAACATTTTGTAGTTTTAACATAATGGTTCTATGAATGTTTTGTTTGGCACGTATTTCTTTGACTTTTTTTTAAGACACAGTCTCACTCTGTTGCCCAGGCTGGAGTACAGTGGTGTGATCTCGGCTCACTGCAACCTCTGTCTCCTGAGTTCAAGCAATTCTCCTCCCTCAGCCTCCCAATTAGCTGGGATTACGGGCACGTGCCATCACTCCAGGCTAATTTTTGTATTTTTAGTAGACATGGGGTTTCACCATGTTGGCCAGGCTGGTCTCGAACTCCTGTCCTCAGGTGACCTGCCCGCCTTGGCCTCCCAAAGTGCTGGGATTACTGGCATGAGCCACCATGCCCAGCTGACCGATATTGTTAATGGAGCAATCATACATGGTATTTTATTTTTAATACCAGCTTTCATGTGTAAAGAAATATGCTAGATTATTATTATTATTATTATTATTTTGAAATAACGTCTTACTCTGTCACCCAGGTATAGTGCAGTGGAGCGATGTCAGCTAAGTGGAACCTCTGTCCTGCAGCTTTAAGTGACCCTCCCACCCCAGCTGCCTGAGTAGCTGAGACTGCAGGTGCGTGCCACCACGGCCAGCTAATTTTCGTGTTTTGTAGAGACAGGGTTTTGCCATGTTACCCATGCTGGTCTCAAACTCCTGAGCTCAAGCAATCCACCTGCCTTGGCCTTTCAAAGTGCTGGGATTACAGGGATGAGCTGCCATGCCTGGCCAGTGAAATATACAAGATTGCTGTATGTTGGCCAGCGCGGCGGCTCATGCCTGTAATCCCAGCACTTTGGGAGGCCAAGGCGGGTGGATCACAAGGCCAGGAGTTCGCGACCATCCTGGCTAACACGGTGAAACCCCGTCTCTACCATAAATACAAAAAGAAATTAGCCGGGCGTGGTGGCGGGCGCCTGTAGTCCCAGCTACTCTGGAGGCTGAGGCAGGAGAATGGCATGAGCCTGAGAGGCAGAGCTTGCAGTGAGCCGAGATCGTGCCACTGCACTCCAGCCTGGGCGACAGAGTGAGACTCCGTCTCAAAAAAAAAAAAAAAAGATTGCTGTATGTTGATCTTATACCTTGCCACCTTTACATTTCCCTTGTTTAGAGATTTTTGTAGATTTTTTGGAATTTTCTACATAAAATTATTTCACCAGATTCTTATTGCTACCACACAGTGATTGGCTTAAAACAAGAAAAATTTATTTTTTTACAATTCTGTAGGTCACATATCTAATATGGGTCCACAGTTCTATGATTCTTCATGAATCTCCAGGCAAGAATTTTTTTTCCTTACCCTTTGTAGGTTCCAGAGGCCACTTACATCCTTTGACTCATGGTCCACTTCCTCCATCTTTTTTCTGAGATGGAGTTTCGCTCTTGTGTCCCTGGATGGAGTGCAGTGGCACGATCTTGGCTCACCGCAACTTCCACCTCCCTGATTCAAGCGATTCTCTTGCCTCAGCCTCACAAGTAGCTGGGACTACAGGCGCGTGCCACCACACCGGGCTAATATTTTTATTATTTTTAGTAGAGACGGGGTTTCACCGTGTTAACCAGGATGGTCTTGATCTCTTGACGTCGTGATCTGCTCGCCTCGGCCTCCCAAAGTACTGGGATTGCAGTCATGAGCCACCACACCCGGCCCACTTCCTCCATCTTTACAGGCGAGATAAAATCTCTTTATCCCTCTATTTTCAACACATCACAACTGTCCGTCCCTCAGGGTCTACCTGCATCCTTCTGATATTGAACCTTGTGATTCTATCACTTTGACCATATAATTCAGGATAATGTCTATCTAAAGATCCTTAACTAGACCACATTTGCAAACTCCTCTTTGCCACAGCCAGTCACACAGGTTACAGGGTTGAGGATATGAGAACATATTCAGTAACACAGGTTACGGGGATGACCTGTGCAACCATCATATTTTCTGAGAGTACACTATTTTTTTTCTCCTGTCCTCAAGCCACTCTCCTTCCTCATTGCTACCACACGGTGATTGGCTTAAAAGAACAAAAATCTATTCTTTTACAATTCTGTAGGTCATGTATCTAATATGGGTCCACAGTTCTGTGATTCTTCATGAATCTCCGAAAGTGCTGCTATTACAGCCCTCAGATACCACATCCAGCCTGTCACTTTTATTTCCTTTTCTTCCTTTATTTCACTGGCTGGAACTTTTCACACTGTGTGGAATAGTAGTGATAAAAGTGGACTTCCTTGCCTCATCCCCTACCCCTGGGGGAATCTTTATGTCTTTCACCAGAATGTATGATGATCCTTTTTAAATTGGTGGGTGATCTTGAGTTGAGGAAGTGTCCAATGACACTGTTTTCCATACCATCTGCAGTCTTGTTTTTCTGAAAAATTACTTTTTTTATTGGCAACTGTCAAAAGAGATATTCTCAAGACTTGGAACAAGGGCAGAAACCCCTAGACAGATGGTTTTTTCTTTTCTTTTCTTTTTTTCTTTTTTGTTTTTTTGAGAGAGAGTCTCGCTCTTGTTGCTCAGGCTGGAGTGCAATGGTGCAGTCTTGGCTCACCGCAACCTCTGCCTCCCCGGTTCAAGCGATTCTCCTGCGTCAGCCTCCCAAGTAGCTGGGATTACAGGCATGTGCCACCACACCCAGCTAATTTTTTATTTTTAGTAGGCGGGGTTTCTCCATGTTGGTCAGGCTGCTCCCAAACTCCTGACCTCAGGTGATCCACCCACCTCAGCCTCCCAAAGTGCTGGATTACAGGCATGAGCCACTGCACCCGGCGTTTTTTTTTTTTTTTTTTTTTTTTGTTGTTGTTGTTTTTAATTCATCAGGCTGGAGCAGTGTTTAAACCAATCTGGAGTTACCATTCCAGCTATGGCCACAACCTGATCTCTACATCTTGGCCTTCTTCACATTGGCTGGAAGCTGGCTCACTTCACCCAAGGGCGTAGTTTGACGGCATTCATGCTTTCCACAAGTTTGAGCATCCCTCGCTCCTGGCACTGGCAGTGCCACTCAGCCATGGACTGGGGCATCCACTTGGTCTGGCACTTGTATAAATAGAAGCCGTAACCGACAACCTCGGTGAGGTCTGAAGACTCCAGAGCCTTCAGCACGAGCATGACCTTGCTCACCTGCTCGATGTAAGGGATTTGAGATCAGTCTGGGCCAAACATGGCTTCCAGCAGCTGCATCTGGACCTGGAGCACCTCTGGATCTTTCAGGAAGTTTCACCCATGGTGGGATATTTCTACATCTGGGATTGTTCCCAACTTGTAACCCTCACAACCAAAACTATGCTCCCGCATGAGCCGGGCCTAAGCGTTCATCAGTATTTTTGATTCCCACCAAATGTATGAAGATTACAATTTCTTCACAGCCTTACTTGTGAAGCAGGTTCACTGCACACTGGTTACCAACGTGTTGGAGTTGAGTGAGAGATAGTCCCATGAACACACAGTAAGTTACATGAAGTGAATTTGTTACAGATTGGCAGCAACGACAGCAGATGCCTGGGGTTCATGCATGCTGTTCCCGAAGGCTCAGGAAAACCACCCAGTTCAGATGCAGTCTGCGTGTGTGTTCCTCCCGCATCACAGCTGAGGGAGCCTGAAAGGCGGCCTGGCCCAGGTTTCATGCTCCAGGGATGCATGGCACGTTGGCCTAAAACAATGAAGGGCATCCTGTTCTGAGGGGACTGGAACAGATCCTGTCCTTCTCTGGTAAGGATGGACAGGATCCTGTCCTTCTCTGGTAAGGATGGACAGGATCCTGTCCTTCATCTCAGTATGTTGCTTTTCTAGCACATTTTATATTCATTCTTGGGAACTACAAGTGAGAAGTCAGACGCAACTGGGCCAGTTCAACCCCACTTGAGTGCTGTCTTGCAGTCTCCCCACCAACCCAGTATCCCCTTTAATAAAGCTAGTCAATTTATGTGTGCACTGACCTTCCTGGATCTGGAGGTAGAGGCTTGTCTCAGGAGATTGAAGTAATATCTTGACTGGCAGAATCTCAGCGCGACATCACTGAGGTACAGCCAGTTGCATTTCACTAGGCTCAAGAGGATTGCTGCCTCAAGCAGGATAACCAGGCCTGCCTGGAACAGTGCCATAGTCCGGGATCCCAGTGACCTGGGTGAGAAGTTGCTATTCAGGTCAAAGAAAATTTCTTCAGGTGACCCCACTGTCTCTAGCCAATAGTCCTGCTTGTGGATCTTACGTATTTGTGTTTCAAAACTACCTGAGGTCCTGATGTGGGGTCCTTACCTCCTGTGCACAGTGACTCATGCCTGTAATTTGAGTACTTTGGGAGTGTAGACAGAAGGAAAACTTGAGGCCAGAACTTGGACACCCGGCTGGGCAACAAAGTGAGACTCCATCTCTACAAAGTAATAATAATATATAAAACTAAAAAATTAGCACAGTCCAATGTCACAGGCCTGTACTTCCAGCTACTCGGGAGACTGAGGTAGGAGGTGCCCATGACCCCAGGAAGTCAAGGTTGTAGTGAGCTATGATTGTGCCACTGCACTCCAGCCTGGATGTCACAGGTTGATTCCCTGTCTTTAAAAAAAAAAAAAAAGTCTTAAACTAAATAATTTATACCTATTTTTAAAGTTATTGGCTTTTTTAAAAAGAGTTGGTGACCTGACTTCACACTGACCTTAGTCCTCTATGCCCAAGGTGGTGTCCCTAGGAAAGTTTCTGGAATTGAGCACAGGGTTGACCTCACCCTCTGGAGTGAATGGGGAATGTAAATGAAAAGTATTTCTAGCCGGGCGCGGTGGCTCACGCCTGTAATCCCAGCACTTAGGGAGGCTGAGGCGGGCGGATCATGAGGTCGGGAGATCGAGACTACGGTGAAACCCAGTCTCTACTAAAAATACAAAAAAAATTAGCCAGGCATGGTGGCGGGTGCCTGTAGTACCAGCTACTCGGGAGGCTGAGGCAGGAGAATGGTGTGAACCCGGGAGGCGAAGCTTGCGGTGAGCCGAGATTGTGCCACTGCACTCCAGCCTGGACGACAGAGCAAGACTCCATCTCAAAAAAAAAAAAAAAAGTATTTCTATTCTATGGGGCATTGGCATGATACTGCGCATTCCACTCTGGCAGGGTTTAGCATTTCACACTTTAGCTTCCATCCCCTTCACAGATAGTTCCAAAGTGTCTTAATTCCTAAAATTTGTCTTTCTGGCTGGGCATAGTGGCTCACGCCTGTAATCCCAACACTCTGGGAGGCCGAGGCGGGCAGATCACCTGAGGTCAGAAGTTCAAGACCAGCCTGGCCATGGTGAAACCCCGTCTCTACTAAAAATACAACAAATTAGTCGGGTGTGGTGGTGCGCACCTGTAATCCCAGCTACTCGGGAGGCTGAGGCAGGAGAATCACTTGAACCTGGGAGGCATAGGTTGCAGTGAGCCGAGATCTCATCATTGAGCTTCAGCCTGGGCAACGAGCGAAACTCTCAAACAAACAAACAAACAAAAAAAATGTCTTTCTTTCGTTCTTTCTTGTCTCTCCCTTTTTCTCACACACAGGCACAGACACCTACATTCTTTTCTTTGTTGCACTATTTCTCTCTAGTCTTATTTTCTTTCTTTCTTTTCTTTTTTTTTTTTTTTTTTGAGACGGAGTCTCACTCCATCGCCAGGCTGGAGTGTAGTGGTACGATTTCGGCTCACTGCAACCCTGCCTCCCGGGTTCAAGTGATTCTCCTGCCTCAGCCTCCCGAGTAGCTGGGACTACAGGCGCCCACCACCACACCCAGCTAATTTTTGTGTTTTTAGTAGAGACGGGGGTTTCATCATGTTGGCCAGGATGGTCTCGATCTCCTGACCTCGTGATCCGCCCGGCTTGGCCTCCCAAAGTGCTGGGATTACAGGAGTGAGCCACCGCACCCGGCCTTGTCTTTCTTTTTGCTTTCTTTTCACGCTCTCTTCTCTCTCTGCTTCCAGAGTAGTTGGGACTTAAAATTTATTGTAATAACAGGAATTCTCGTGGATCTAATCTAATCACCAACCGATTTTGCTCTGCCCCAGCAAGATCTGTTTACAGATCTGTTTACAGAAGTGCTGAGCAGATCTCGCCTCCAAAACCCTAAAACAGGATCGCTGAGTCAGACTGACAGAAGCATAGACCCCGCCTTGAGCCCGCCCTGTCCCGGCCCTGCCCTCGGCCCCGGGCCCGGCCTGTACGATGCGCGCGCAATTTCCTGCAGACCCGGAAGTCGAGATCATGGAGTGAACGTTTCGCGCGCTTTTTCCTGTAGACCCGGCACCCGACTGCGCGGAAAGACTGTCTAAGCCGCCACTCGTGAGTTTGCCTTTGTCTAGATTAAATTTAGGCTGCCCAGTTCCTGTGTGCTTCTACACCCGCGATCTGAGGGCTCATGCAGACCTTGAAGTCCCGGCACCGCTCTATCCACTCCAAGTAAATTCAGACATTCTCTAGAGAGTCTGGAGGTCGCTTACCTGCGTGTTAAAACCGCTTGGAGGCTTCTAGGCCGGGCGCGGTGCCTCACGCCTGTAATCCTGGCACTTTGCTATTTTTTTTTCATTTTTTGTAATTATTCAGTCTAGTTGATTGAATCCATTGATGTGTACCCCAGAGATACCAAGGGCTGACTTTAGACTGTATCTGCTCGTTAGTCACTTAATAGTCTTTTTTTTTTTTTTTTTCCTGAGACTGAGTTTTGCTCTTGTTGCCCAGGCTGGAGTGCAATGGCGTGATCTCGGCTCACTGCAAACTCCGCCTCCCGGATTCAAGCGATTCTCCCGCCTGGGCCTCCCGAGTAGCTGGGATTACAGGCATACGCCACCATGCCTCTCTAATTTTGTATTTTTAGTAGAGATGGGGTTTCACCATGTTGGCCAGGCTGGTCTCGAACTCCTGACCTCAGGTGATCTGCCCGCCTCATCCTTTCAAAGTGCTGGGATTACAGGCATGAGCCACCGTACTTGGCCAATAGTCTTTTGGATGAGATCCACTTTTATGGTATCTCAGTGCTTTTTTTTCATGTAACCCTTTTTTTTTTCCCTTAACAATGCCCTCCAGGCACATGAGTATTGATTGATGCTGACAATTTTTTTTTTGGGTTTTTTTGAGACAGAGTCTCACTCTGACGCCAAGGCTGGAGTGCAGTGGCACTGTGTTGGCTGACTGCAACCTCTGTCTCCTGGGTTCAAGCAATTCTCCTGCCTCAGTCTCCCGAGTAGCTGGGATTACAGGTGTCCACCACCACGGCCGGCTAGTTTTTATATTTTTAGTACAGACAGGGTTTGACCATGTTGGCCAGGCTGGTCTTGAACTCCTGACCTCAGGTGATCCACCTGCCTCGGCCTCCCAAAGTGCTGGGATTACAGGCGTGAGCCACTGCGCCCGGCCTTGATGCTGACAATTTGGATATGCCAGTGAGAAGCTGTAACATGGAGTCTTTAAGGGGAATTAATAGGGTTTAGTACTGATGGAGGTTTCAGGCATCCATTGGGGCTCTTGGAACATAGTGCACATCGATAAAAGGATTCTACTATAGTCTATATCTAGAATTGAGCACTGTGATCCACAGAGGGCTGAGGGGCCTGTGCTCTGCATGAGCTTTGGTCAGGGTGAGGTCTGTGCTTTTTTTTTGTTTTTTTTTGAGATAGAGTCGCACTCTGTCACCCAGGCTGGAGTGCAGTGTTAAAATCTTGGCTCACTGCAACCTCTGTCTCCTGGGTTCAAGCAATTCTCCTGCCTCAGCCTCCTAAGAGCTGGGATTATAGGTGCCTGCCATTACCCAGCTAAATTTTGTATTTTTAGGAGAGACGGGGTTTCACCATCTTGGCCAGGCTGATCTTGAACTCCTGACCTCGTGATCGACCTGCCTTGGCCTCTCAAAGTGCTGGGATTACAGGCGTGAACCACCACACATGGCCTTTTTTTTTTCTTTTTCTTTTTTAAGATGGAGTTTCACCCTGTCACCCAGGCTGGAGTGCAATGGTGCGATCTCGGCTCACTGCAACCTCTGCCTCCCAAGTTCAAGGGATTCTCCTGCCTCAGCTTCCTGAGTAGCTGGGATTACAGGCCCGTGTCACCACGCCCAGCTAATTTTTTGTATCCTTAGTAGAGACGAGGGTTTCATTATGTTGGCCAGGCTGGTCTCAAACTCCTGACCTCATGATCTGCCCACCTCGGCCTCCCAAAGTGCTAGGATTATAGGTGGGAGCCACCGCACCCGGCCAAGTCTGTGCTTTTAAGGGGAGCTTAGTCAAGCCCAGCTCTGCACTGCTGCAGTGTGTGTGTCGCTCACCATGAGACAGGAGAGAGTTTTGAGGAAGGGAGTAAAAAACTCACTTGTTGATTTTCCTGTGGGAGATCAACAGTAGGCAGCAGAGGACCATCCTTCCAGAAGGTGAAGTCTTCCCTTTTTGTGTGGCTGTGGCACAGGAAGTGGGTGTGTTGATTCTAAGCCCTAAACAGCATTATTTTTGATACTAGGATTCACTTTCAAAGAGACATATTATGCAAGGAAGCAACTCGGAAGAGGAAAGAAAGGAAGTCAGGAATGGCCCTTACTCAGGTAAGGTAATGTTCTCAGTGGATTGTTCTGTCTCTGTTTCTTCCTGAAATGCCAGGCATTGGAGTTGCTAATCTCTGACTCTGAAGCATCCTGCCTGACTCATTTCATTGCACTTACCCATGGCTTCTTCCAGTCCCTTTCACTTCCACTTAAGATTCCAGTTCCCTATGACCCAATGACATGAACTTGGGAAGAGGTTCCACTGGGCATGGTCCTGGGAAGTGCTCACACCCAGACACGGATGGAGATGGGGTGTGGGCCTTGTGGTGTCAGTGCTGTTGGGCAGCAGGGATTGTTCAGGGGCCACATCTGGATGCACTGTGAGTGTTCTGTGGACTAAGACTAGAGAAGCTGCATGTGGAATTCCTTTTTTTTTTTTTTTGAGACAGAGTCTCGCACTGTTGCCCAGGCTGGAGTGTGGTTTTGTGATCTCGGCCATATAAATGTATATGTGTACTAGTGTATATGAGTGTTAGTATATATATGTGTAAGTGTGTACATGTGATGTGTTTGCATGAGTGCACAGATGAGCAAACCTATAGTTTTTATAAATAGCATGTCATCATTATATATATATATATTTTTATCAGTTGAAATTACATCTATTTATCAGGATGTTCAAATTTTTCTACATTATCATGTATGATGATATGAGGCATCATACCTGATAGTGGCTATAAGAGGCAATGAGGCAATGGCTATAAGAACATTATAGTAATGTATTATGGGGATATCGATTATATATATGCATATATAATGAACTATTAGGCAATTCCATGTTTTTAATCCTTGAAGTTGTTTTAAATTTACTGAATTAGGTAACTGTCAATTTACTTTTGATGCTGATCTGTTACTTAACTGTCTGATTCTTTAGGTTTGATTCTCATGCTCAGACACCTGTGATCTGCTGCTTACTCTGCTGTTTCAGTTCTCACACCTGGGGCAAGCTAGCGTGTATGTGAAAGAGTTGTCTTTTTAGTAAGATAGGAGCAGATTATTCTTTCATTGGCTTTTGTTGCTGTACCAGTTAGTTCATGTAAATCATTGAGAATAGTGCCTATCACATGGGAAGTGTTCTATTCAGCCATTGCTGTTGTTATCATCGCAGTTTTCAGATTTTCACCATTTTTTATTTATTTTATTTATTTATTTATTTTTTTTGAGACAGGGTCTCGCCCTGTCACCCAGGCTGGAGTGCAATGATGCAATCTCGGCTCACTGCAACCTCTGCCTCCTGGCTTCAAGCCATTCTCCTGCCTCAGCCTCCTGAGTAGCTGGGATTACAGGTGCACACCTCCATGCCCAGCTCATTTTTTGTATTTAGTAGAGATGGGGTTTCACCATGTTAGCCAGTCTGGTCTCGAACTCCTTACCTCATGATCCACCTGCCTCGGCCTCCCAAAGTGCTGGGATTACAGGTGTGAGCCACTGCGCCCGGCCCAGATTTTGACCATTTTTAAAAACCACTATAGGTCGGATGTGGTAGCTCATGCCTGTAATCCCAGCATTTTTGGAGGCTGAGGTGGGAGGATCACTTGAGCTTAGGCCTTTGAGACAAGCTTGGACAATGTGGTGAGACTCTATCTCTACAAAACATACAAAAATTAGCTGGGCATAGTGGTGTGAGCCTGTAGTCCCAGCTACTCGGGAGGCTTAAGAGGATCACTTGAGCCTGGGAGGCAGAGGTTGCAGTGGGTGGATATCACACCCCTGCACTCCAGTCTGGGAAACAGTAAGATCCTATCTCAAAAAAAAAAAAAAAAAAAAAAAAGAAAGAAAGCACTGTAGACATTGTCATCTCTGAAGACACTACTTGTATCTCAGGTAGATACTAAATGTCACTTGATGTGTCAAAAATAAAACCTAACATTTCTTTCTCTTTTTGGGGGGGGGAGGGGACGGAGTCTCACTCTGTCACCCAGGCTGGAGTGCAGTGGCGCAATCTCAGCTCACTGCAATGTCCCACTCCTGGGTTCACACCATTCTCCTGCCTCAGCCTCCTGAGTAGCTGGGACTACAGACCCCCACCACCGCGCCTGGCTAATTTTTTGTATTTTTAGTAGAGATGGGGTTTCACCGTGTTGGCCAAGATGGTCTTGATCTCCTGACCTCGTGATCCGACCGCCTTGGCCTCCCAAAATGCTGGGATTACAGGCATGAGCCGCCGTGCCCGGCAGTAATACCTAACATTTCTATACAGATAACCCTGGTTTAATTTTTTGTTTGTATTGCTTGTATTATCCACAAAATGAGACATCTACTCTGATTTAAAGAATGTCATCACTCCTTATGGAAAAGTATAATAAAACACAATCACAGACACATAACTAGCTCAAGAATCCTTTAATGTGGATTTGGCGCAGTGCTCGCTTCAGTGGAGTGAGTCCTTACAACTGTCTTCTCATTCTGTTTGAAGATAAGTACTCTCTCCATACCCTGTTTTTGAAATGTGGATTTCCTTTTAGGGGCAATTGTCATTCAGCGATGTGGCCATAGAATTCTCTCAGGAGGAGTGGAAATGCCTGGACCCTGGGCAGAAAGCTTTATACAGGGACGTGATGTTAGAGAACTACAGGAACCTGGTCTCCCTAGGTGAGGATAATGTCCGTCCAGAAGCCTGCATCTGCTCTGGTATATCTTTTTGCATTTTCTCTTGTGTGTCTCTCGGGAGCCCCTGCATTGCTTGACTGAGATTGAAACCTGTTGACTAAGAAATGAAAAGCAGGCCAGGCGCAGTGGCTCACGCCTGTAATCCCAGCACTTTGGGAGGCCGAGGCAAATGGTTCACGAGGTCAGGAGATCGAGACCACGGTGAAACCCCATCTCTACTAAAGATACAAAAAAGGGTGCCTGTAGTCCCAGCTACTCGGGAGGCTGAGACAGGAGAATGGCGTGAACCCGGGAGGCGGAGCTTGCAGTGAGCCAAGATCGCACCACTGCACTCCAGCCTGGGTGACAGATCAAGACTCCGTCTCAAAAAAAAAAAAAAAAAAAAAAGAAATGAAAAGCATTATGCTTTCTGAACTTGAAATGTCCCCTTACACCAGCCTGACCAACCTGGTGAAACCCCATCCATACTAAAAATACAAAGATTAGTTAGGCATGGTGGTACATGCCTGTAGTCCCAGCTACTCGGGAGACTGAGGCAGGAGAATCACTTGAACCTGGGAGGCAGGGGCTGCAGTGAGCTGAGATCATGCCACTGCACTCAAGCCTGGGCAACAGAGTGAGACTCTGTCTCAAAAAAAAAAAAAAAGAAAGAAATGTCCCCTTTCTTCAGATATTCTGCTTCCTTCATGATTCATCATTGATGGCACCAGGGCTGAAGTGTGCATGAAACCTTATGACAGACTTAAAAAATATCCAGTTCCCTGTTTTCTACCCATGTGCTTTTGATTCAGTAGTTCTTGAAAGGGGGCTTGACGTCTACATGTTACAATGTTCCCTTAGCATTCAGAAGGATGCAATCAGTGGTTGAATTTGTGAAATATTATTCTTGATTAATTTGTAATATGCTGTCTCCTACCTAAATATAGGGCTTGGACTTTGGAGATGCCACAGCACACATTTATTCTTTCTTTTTGTAAGTAGGAATCTGTCTTCCTGACCTGAGTGTTACCTCCATGTTGGAGCAAAAGAGAGATCCCTGGACTCTGCAGAGTGAAGTGAAAATAATAAACAATCCAGATGGCAGGGAGTGCATCAAAGGTGTGAACACAGGTGAGAGCTCAGGTGGGCAGAGTGGAGGCCCCATAATTTTTGTATTTTGAGAAGGGTCTCACTCTGTCATCCAGGCTGGAGTACAGTGGCAATCATAGCTCACAGCAGCCTTAAACTCCTGGACTTAAGGGATCCTTCTGGCTTGGTCTTCCAAAGTGTTGGGATTACAGGCTTGAGCCACTATACTCTGCAGAGCCACACTATTACATAGTGTTTGGGAAACTCTGCAAGTGGGTGAATTCTGTGGGAAAACCAAAGCTGAAATCCTTTGAGTTGTGAACAGACATTTTTCATTTTCTTTTTTCTGTTTTGAGATAGCGTCTCTCTCCTGTCACCCAGGCTGGAGTGCAGTGGCATGATTATGGCTGGCTGCAGCCTCACCTTCTGGGGCTCACGTGATTCTCCCACCTCAGCCTTCTGAATAGCTGGGACTCTGTGTGTACACCACCATGCCTATCTAGTTTTTTGTATTTTTAGTAGAGATGGAGTATTGCCATATTACCCAGGCTGTACTTGAACTCCTGACCTCAAGTGATCCACCCACCTCAGCCTCCCAAAGTGCTGGGATTACAGGCATGAGCCACTGTGCCCAGCCTCACATAATGATTTTTGAGTTCTAATTAACTTTCTCAGTTCTTCTTTATCTAGGAAAGCCTGAATTATTTTTGTAGATGAGTTTTACTAAATATAGTATTCTTCATTGATGTTTTTCTTATTTTTCTTCTTCTTCTTTTTTTTTTTTTTTTTGAGACCGTCTCACTCTGTCACCCAGGCTGGAGTACAGTGGCATGATCTTGGCTCACTGCAAGCTCTGCCTCCTGGGTTCACGCCATTCTTCTGCTTCAACCTCCCAAGTAGCTGGGACTACAGGCTCCCGCCACCATGCCTGGCTAATTTTTTTTGTATTTTTAGTAGAGACGGGGTTTCACCGTGTTAGCCAGGATGTTCTCAATCTCCTGACCTCATGATCCACACACCTCAGCCTCCCAAAGTTCTGGGATTACAAGCATGAGTCACCGTGCCCGGCCCTTATTTTTCTTTAAGCACTTTCAGTATCACTTCACTGCCTTCTACCCTGAAGATACCTGCTGGAAAAATACACATAGACTTATACAGTTTCCTATTATATGTCAAGTCTCTTTTTTTGTTGATGCTATCAAACTTTGTCTCTGTCTCTCTTTGACTTTTGATAATTTCCTTATATTATGTCCCTGTGTGAATGTCTTTGGGCTAATTTTAGTAATGGTCAAGCTTCTTGAATTTGTATATTCAGTTCTTTCCTCAGATGTGTGATGTTTTAACATTATTTCTTCAGTTGTGGCTTTTCATCCTTTGTCATCTTCATATGAACCTCCAATAGTTTGTATATTGTTCCACCTTATAGTCTCTCAAAAATGTATTAGGGTTTGTAAGGTTTTCTTCATCATGTTTTCTTTGTGGTCTTTGGAACTGATACTTTTGAATAACTTATCTTTCAGTTTGCTCATTGTTTTCCTTTCCTTTTGCTGTCTGCTGTTAAACCCCCTAATGGATTTTTACATCAGTTACTGTATTTCAGCTCCAGAATTTCTGTTCTCTTGTTTTTAATGATTTCCCCTGTGTTTGTTATCCTCATTCTTTTCACATACTGTTTTTCTGATTTTATTTAGTTTTCTATTTCTGTTATCTTTTAGTTTGGTGTCTGGAGTTTTATTTATTTATTTATTTGTTATTCTTCTAGCCATATTTTCTCATCTTTTCATAGGCCTTGTATGGTAGTTTTTGGTTTAGGTTTGGTAAAACAACCACTTTTTTCAGTTATTTTTTATAATGCGCAGTGGGAGACCTTAGTTGCTGTAAGGGTGTGGGAACACTCCATTCTTTTCTGGGATGTATCTTTCCTGACTTTGTGAAAGTACTATTACAAATATCTACATTGCTGCTCTTAAATATCTTATTTTCCTTAAGAGGCTTATCCCTGCTTTTTCACAGAAGCTGTTAGTTACTCTTGTATTTGTCAGCTTATAATCTCTCTCAAGCTTTCCCTTAATTCCCCTGACTCCTGCAGATTCCAGATTCTTCAGTAAATCACCTCACTCCCTTGTGTTTTCTGCATTACCAACATGTTATACAAAGTATGCTGATACTGGCCAGGCACAGTGGCTCATGCCTGTATTCCCAGCGCTTTGGGCGGCTGAGGCAGGTGGATCACAAGGTCAGGAGTTTGAGACCAGCCTGGCCAACATAGTGAAACCCCGTCTCTACTAAAAATAAAAAAAGTTAGCCAGGCATGGTGGCAGGCACCTGTAATCCTAGCTACTTGGGAGGGAGAATTGCTTAAACCCAGGAGGCAGAGGTAGTAGTGAACTGCAATCACACCATTGCACTCCAGCCTGGGTGACAATGTGAGACTCCATCTCAATAAAAACAAAGTATGCTGATAATTTCAATGTCTGAGTGAAGTGATGCAGAATCTTGTTTTCTGTCAGACTTTAAACATGCCAGAATCGGGATTAAGTTCTAAAATTTTCTTGCTTTTCTAGAGAAGAGTTCTAAATTGGGAAGCAGTGCAGGAAACAAGTCACTTAAAAATCAACATGGATTAACTCTTCAGTTACATCTGACTGAATGGCAGCCATTTCAAGCTGTAAGGAATATTTATGGATGTAAGCATGTTGAGAAATCTATCAGTGACAATTCTTCAGTTTCACCAGTTCAAATAAGTTTTTTCAGTGTCAAAACCCATATTTTTAATAACTACAGAAATGATTTTCTTTTTTCTACATTACTCCCACAAGAACAGAAAGTACACATTAGGGAAAAGCCTTATGGATGTAATGAGCATGGGAAAGTCTTCAGAGTGTCTTCAAGCCTTACTAACCGTCAAGTAATCCACATTGCAGATAAAACTTACAAATGTAGTGACTGTGGCGAGATCTTTAGTAGCAATTCAAACTTTGCACAACATCAACGAATCCATACTGGAGAGAAGCCTTACAAATATAATGAATGTGGCAAAGTCTTCAATCAGAATTCACACCTTGCACAACATCAGAAAATTCATACTGGACAGAAACCTTACAATAACAAAGAATGTGGGAAAGTCTTTAGTCACCATGCCTACCTTGCACAGCATAGGAAAATTCATACTGGAGAGAAGCCTTACAAATGTAGTGAATGTGGCAAAGCATTTAGTGTGTGTTCCAGTCTTACTGCTCATCTTGTAATCCATACTGGAGAGAAACCTTATGATTGTAAGGAATGTGGCAAGGTCTTCAGGCATAAGTCTTCCCTAACCACTCATCAGACAGTTCATACTGGAGAGAGACCATACAAATGTAATGAATGTGGCAAGGGGTTTAGTCGAATTGCATTCCTTGCAAGGCATCGGAAAGTTCATACTGGAGAGAAACCTTACAAATGTAATGAGTGTGGCAAGGTCTTTATTGGCAATTCACGCCTTGCACGACATAGGAAAATTCATACTGGGGGGAGGCGTTACAAATGTAATGAATGTGGCAAAGCATTTAGAACGTGTTCAGATCTCACTGCCCATCTTCTAATCCATACTGGAGAGAAACCTTACGAATGTATAGACTGTGGCAAGGTCTTCAGGCACAAGTCTTCCCTAACCTATCACTGTAGAATTCATACTGGAGAGAAGCCTTACAAATGTAACGAATGTGGCAAGGTCTTCAGTCAGAATTCAAACCTTCAACGACATAGGAAAATTCATACTGGAGAGAAGCTTTACAAATGTAATGAATGTGGCAAGGTCTTCCGTCAGAATTCACACCTTGCACAACATAGGGATATTCATACTGGAGAGAAGCCTTACAGTTGTAATGAATGTGGCAAGGTCTTCCGTCGGAATTCACACCTTGTGCGACATAGGAATGTTCATACTGGAGAAAAGCCTTACAGTTGTAATGAATGTGGCAAGGTCTTCAGTCGGAATTCACACCTTGCGCGACATAGGAATATTCATACTGGAGAGAAGCCTCACAGTTGTAATGAATGTGGCAAGGTCTTCAGTCGGAATTCACACCTTGCGCGACATAGGAAAATTCATACTGGAGAGAAGCTTTACAAATGTAATGAATGTAGCAAGGTCTTCAGTCGGAATTCACGCCTTGCACAACATAGGAATATTCATACTGGAGTGAAGCCTTACAGTTGTAATGAATGTGGCAAGGTCTTTAGTAAAAATTCCATCCTAGTACAACATTGCAGTATTCATACCAGAGAGAAGCCTTAAAAATTTAGTGAAGCTGGCAGGGCGCAGTGGCTCACGTCTGTAATCCCAGCACTTTGGGAGTCCGAGGCAGGTGGATCATGAGGTCAGGAGATTGAGACCATCCTGGCTAACACGGTGAAACCCCATCTCTACTAAAAATACAAAAAAAAAAAAAAAAAAAAAATTAGCTGGGTGTGGTGGCAGGCACCTGTAGTCCCAGCTACTCAGGAGGCTGAGGCAGGAGGATGGCATGAACCTGGGAGGCAGAGCCTCCAGTGAGCCGAGTGAGCCACTGCACTCCAGCCTAGGTGACAGAGTGAAACTCCATCTCAAAAAAAGAAAAAAAAAAAATGAGTGAAGCTGCCAAGCATGGTGGCTCACGCCTTTAATCCCAGTACTTTGGGAGGCCAAGGTGGCCAGATCACCTGAGGTTAGAAGTTCGAGACCAGCCTGACCAACATGGAGAAACCCCATCTCTACTAAAAATACAAAATTAGCTGACTGAGGTGGCAGGCACTTGTGATCCCAGCTACTCAGGAGGCTGAGGCAGGAGAATTGCTTGAACCTGGGAGGCAGAGGTTGTGATGAGCCGAGATTGCAACATTGCACTCCAGCTTGGGCAAGAGGAGCAAAACTCTTTCTTTAAAAACAAAACAAAAAAAGTTATGAAGCCTCACAAAAGTAATAAATATGGCAAAGAATTTCATATGAAATCATGCCTCTCTACCCATCTATTAATCCATACTGGAAGGAAACCATAGAAATATAAAGAATACAAGAAGGTCTTCAGGCACATGTTTTCCCTAACCTCTCATCAAGAGAATTCACACTGGTGATTGACTTTAAACATATAACAAGTGTGGCAACGTATTCACTTAAAATACACACCTTGTAAACTATCACAGAATCCATACTGGAGAGAAACCTTACAAATGAATGACAGCATCTTCAAATAAAATGCACATCTGGCACAACATTGGAAAATTCATACTGTAGATACCTTTTAAATGTAGCAAATATGGCAAAGTCAAAGTCACAATTCACATCTTGCACATCAAATAATTCATACTGGAGGCTGGGTGCGGTGGCTCACGCCTGTAATCCCAGCACTTTGGGAGGCTGAGGCAGACGGATCAGTTGAGGTCAGGAGTTTGAGACCAGCCTGACCAATGTGTTGAAACCCCATCACTACTAAAAATAAAAAAAATAGCTGGGTGTGGTGGTGGGTGTCTGTAATCCCAGCTACTCAGGAGGCTGAGGCAGGAGAATCACTTAAACCCAGGAGATGGAGGTTGCAGTGAGCCAAGAATGCGCTACTACACTCCAGCCTGTGTGACAGTGAGATTCTGTCTCAAAAAAAAAAAAAAGAATTCATACTGGAAGGAAGCGTTACAAATGTAATGAATGCGGCAGAGCA
Organism: Homo sapiens; assembly: GCF_000001405.40. Lineage (NCBI taxonomy): Eukaryota > Metazoa > Chordata > Mammalia > Primates > Hominidae > Homo > Homo sapiens. Next base: position 52,440,843 of record NC_000019.10, read on the forward strand.
TTGAGAAGGTGTTCAGGTCTTAACTGTTCATTTTGTAATCCATAGTGGAGATAAGTCTTTTTTTTTTTTTTCCCCCGAAACAAGAGTCTCGCTCTGATGCCCAGGCTGGAGTGCAGTGGTGTAATCTCAGCTCACTGCAACCGCCACCTCCTAGGTTCAAGCAATTCTCCTGCCTCTACCTCCCGAGTAGCTAGGACTACAAGCACATGATGCCATCATGCCTGGCTAATTTTTTGTATTTTTAGTAGAGACGGGGTTTCACCATGTTAGCCAGGCTGGTCTCGATCTCCTGACCTTGTGATCCATCTGCCTTGGCCTCCCAAAGTGCTGGGATTACAGGCATGAGCTGCTGCACCCAGCTTGAGAAATCATATGAATATATGGAATGTACTCCAGGCATGGTGGCTCACACCTATAATCCCAGCCCTTTGGGAGGCCAAGGTGAGAGGATTGCTTGAACCCAGGAGTTTGAGACCAACCTGGGTAACATAAGGACAACTCCATCTCTACAAATAATAAAAAATTAGCCAGGTGTGTTGGTATATGCATGTATTCCCAGCTACTTGGGAGGCTGAGGCAGAAGGATCATTTGAGCCTAGGAGCTTGAGGCTGCAGTGAGTCATGTTTGCAGTACTGCACTCCAGCCTGGGTGACAGAGTGAGACCCTATCTACAAATATAAACAAACAATGTGAAACGTCTTCAGTCACAAGTATTCCCTAACAAATCACTATAGAATTCATACTGCAGAGAAGCCTTACAAATGCAGCGAATGTGACAAAGCATTTAGATAATGTTCAGGCTTTACTGCCCATCTTGTAATCCATACTGCAGACAAACCTTACAACTGTAATGAATGTGGCAAGGTCTCAAATTGAAATTCACATCTTGCGAATCACCACATAGAGAGAAACCTTACAAATACAAATCACCACATAGAGAGAAACCTTACAAATACAAATCACCACATAATGGAGAGAAACCTTACAAATGCAACATATGTGGTAAAATGTTTTAGTCACAATTCACACCTTGGACAGCATCAGATAATTTATTCATGAAAGAGTCCTTACAAGCTGTGTACGGAAAGCTCGTCATGAGTTTTAGCATTAATGAACATCAGAGGTTCCATACTAAGGAGAAATCATATAAATGTAATGTATGTGGCACAGGCTTTCCTGAGGCCTGCCAAATCACTAGAAATCAAAATATACTTTTGGATAAAACGACACAGATGGATTGTATATGCTGAGGATATCCAAGGACCATTACTATAGAACATGAAAAGGATTTAATTATTGTTTTCTTTTTTCCTAAAAGTGTTGGGAACAGGCCACCAAAACTGGCCATAAACAAAATCTCTGTAGGACTGTGACATGTTCTTGATGGGCATGACACCCATGCTGAAGGTCGTTGGTTTACCAGAATGATGGCAAAGAACACCTGGCCCACCCAGGGCAGAAAAACCGCTTAAGGCGTTCCAGAACCACAAATAATAGCATGTGCATTCTGTGCCTTAAGGACATGTTCATGCTGCAGATAACTAACCAGAGCCCATCCCTTTGTTTCCCATAAGGAATGCTTTTATGTAATCTATAATCAATAGAAACAATGCTTATCACTGGCTTGCTCTCAATAAATATGTGGGTCAAACTCTGTTCATGGCTCTCAGCTCTGAAGGCTGTCAGTCCCCTGATTTTCCACTCCACACTATATTTCTGTGTGTGTGTCTTTAATTCCTCTAGCACCGCTGGGTTAGGGTCCCCATGACTGAGCTGGTCTCAGCAGAAAGCTACTTTCCTCTTTATAACTTTCAACCTGAACTTTGAGATCTTGACATATACCTCCTCCTACAGGCCTTTCACTGTGGTCTCTGGGAAAGAATCAAGTGAAAGAATCAATAGGATGACAGGGCTGATTTCATTAGCTGAGGATCACTTCTATTCAGCTTCCTGGAAGAAGAACACTGTCTTTTTATATTAAATATTGTCTGATTTAGACAGCATGGACATGGGTAGAGAATAACATAAAATGATGACTGCTTGAAGCAGTCACGCTTATTCTTTTCTTGAGTACTGCCCACTCTTTTCTTGACAAGGATGCAGTACTTCTGTGCTCTAATAAATAACTGTAAAATAGAGCATGCCATTAAAGGCATGGCATTTTTATGGGAAGAGAATAATTGTTGTTAGGTATTGATTACGTGGTAGCAATCATGGAGGGGAAGGGGTGGTCACCTCCTCAATTGAATAGCAATAGTTCCTGTTTAGCAAAGATGGAAAACAGTAGTCTTATTTTTGAAATGGAAGAGAAAACATGCATTTTCTCTTAAGTCTGAGCACACAGAATGGGAATGTTGTTAATTTTCGATAACCTGATGACAGTGTGCCTAGGTGATTATCTTTTTGCGATGAATTTCTCATGTATTCTTTGAGCTTCTTATGTTTGGATGTCTAGGTCTCTAGCAAGCCTGGGAAAGTTTTCCTCAGTTATTACCCTAAATATGTTTTCTAAACTTTTAGATTTCTCATCTTCCTCAGGAATGCCAATTATTCTTAGGTTTCATCGTTTAACATAATCCGAGACTTCTTGGAGACTTTGTTCATATTTTCTTATTTTTTCTTTGTCTTTGTTGGATTGAGTTAATTCAGAAACCTCATCTTACGTTGGGAGGCTGAGGTGGGCATATCACCAGGTCAGGAGTTCAAGACCAGCCTGGCCAATATGGCGAAACCCCATCTATACTAAAAATACAAAAATTAGTTGGGCATGGTGGTGAGTGCCTATAGCCCCAGCTACTCAGGAGGCTGAGGCAGAAGAATTGCTTGAACCTGGGAGGCAGAGGTTGCAGTGAGCCGAGATTGCGCCATTGCACTCCAGCCTGGGTGATGTAGTGAGACTCCATCTCAAAAACAAACAAAAAAAATCACCTTGTCTTTGAGCTCTGAAATTCTTTCTTCTGCTTGTTTAATTCTATTGCTGAGACTTTCCAGAGCATATTGCATTTCTGTAAGTGCATCCATTGTTTCCTGAGGTTTTTGTTTTTTATTTATGCTATTTATTTAACTGAAATTTCTCCCCTCATTTATTGTATCATTTTATTTCTCTAGTGCCTCCTTGATTAGCTTAATAACTGACCTTCTGAATTATTTTTCAGGTAAATCAGGGATTTCTTCTTGGTTTGTATCCATTGCTAGTGAGCTACTGTGATTTTTTGGGGGATGTTAGAAAACCTTGTTTTGTTATATTACCAGAGTTAGCTTTCTGGTTCCTTCTCATTTGGGTAGGCTGTCAGAGGGCAGGTCTAGGGCTTAAGGATGTTGTTCAGATTCTTGTCCCATGGGGTATTCCCTTGATGTAGTACTCTCCCCCTTTTCCTAGGGATGTGGCTTCCTGAGAGCTGAGCTGTAGTGATTGTTATCTCCCATCTGGATGATCTAGCCACCCAGCAGGTCTGCCAGGCTCCAGGCTGGTACTGGGGGTTGTCTGCACAGAGTCCTGTGATACGAACTGTCTATGAGTCTCTCAGCTGTGGACACCAGGACCTGCTCCAGTGTAGGTGGCAGGGGGACGAAATGGAATCTGTGAGGGTCCTGAGTTTTGGTTGTTTAAAGTACTATTTTTGTGCTGGTTGGCCTCCTGCTAGGAGGTGGTGCTTTCAAGAGAGCATCAGCTGTGGTAGTATGGGGAGGATTAGGTGGGGGCAGGGCACTAGAACTCCCAAGAGTATATGCCCTTTGTCTTCAGTTACCAGGGTGGGTAAGGAAGGACCATCAGTTGGGGGCAGGGCTAGGTGTGTCTGAGCTCAGACTCTCCTTGGCAGGTCTTGGTACTGCTGCTGTGGGGGATGGGGTTGTGGTTCCCAGGTCAATGGAGTTATGTTTCTAAGAGGATTATGGCTGCCTCTGCAGTGTCATGCAGATTGTCAGGGAAGTGAGGGAAAGCCGGTAGTCATAGGCCTCACCCAGCTCCTGTACAACCCAAAAGGCCAGTCTCACTCCCACCGTGCCCCCATGTCCCAACAGCAGGAAGTCTGTTTCCAGGCAGTGGGCAAGCAGGGCTGAGAACTTGCCCCAGGCTACCAGCCTCCCAACTACAAAAGCAAGTAAGGCTTTCGTGCCTCCCAGCCTGTGGAGTCTGCACACTGGATTCACGCTCTTCCATGAGTTTTGGCCAGGAGACTTCTCATTCAGTTGGAATTGTTACAAAGTTCAACTGGAGGTTTCCTTCTCCCTGTGGCCTTTTCCCAGTGCCTCTTGCAGCCTTCCCCCAGGACCCCTGTGAGGCAAGGCAGAAAATGGCTTGCTAGGGGACCCAGAGAGCTTTTCCCGCTACCCTTGTTTTTCACTCAGCTAATTTTTTTTTTTTTTTTTGAGACAGAGTCTTGCTCTGTCACCCAGGCTGGAGTGCAGTGGTGCAGTCTCCGATCACTGCAACCTCCAACTCCAGTGCTCAAGCGATTCTCCTGCCTCATCCTCCTGACTAGCTGGGATTACAAGCACATGCCACCATGCCTGGCTAATTTTTGTATTTTTTGTAGAGACGGGGTTTCACCATGTTGGCCAGGCTGGTCTCGAACTCCTGACCTCAAGTGATCCACCTGCCTCAGCCTCCCAAGATGCTGGGATTATAGGTGTGAGCCATAGCACCCAGCCTCAGTTCTCTAAATTGACTGAGTTCCAGGTAAGGTCAGAATCTTCTCCCATGATCTAGACCTTCAGGTTTGCCAGTGACGGTTTGTGTTCTTGGCAGACAATCTTCCTTTCCCACTTACACAGTTTGGGCACTCACAGTATTTGGGGTGTCTCCTGGGTCCTGCGGGAGCAAGAGCAACCAACTTCCTTCAGAGGTCCTGTGGGTTTTCTTGGCTTCCTAATTTACTCTTGCAGTCATTCTGGAGCAAAAATTCATGATGCAGGACTCCACACACTACTGTCCATCTGAGTGGAAGCTGCAAGTTAGTCCTGCCCTGCCATCTGCCATGATCCTCTGAAAACAAGAATTTTTCTTATATTTTTCCTTCCACACATTGTAATCCTTATTATATGTATAATTTCCATTTCTTACCTGTGTTACTCCTCTGAAAAACACAGGGAATATATAAATGAAAGTTTTCTTTTGAGACAAAATTTTGTGACATGAAAATGCACATAACACAATAACTGATATGAACTAGGTTCTGTATAATTATGAAAAAGAAGTGTTCCTTTAAATCTTTAATTCAATGGAGGTACCAAGTTGATATAAGATGGTCAACTAAAATCTCTTAATGTGGGTGCTTGCTCTCTTCAGGTGCTTGAAATCAAGTGTGTCTCCAGCATTTGTTGAAGTAAATGAAAATATAATGATAAATAACAGAAAAAGTCATCCCCCACCACATGCCAATTACAGTTTGTGACAAGGAGATTATCTCCATGCTCAATCTCAAGGCCATTCTGCCTCTTCTCACTGGATGATATTCCTATTCCCACCAGAGGATATTACAGGGAAACATGACATTAGTGCCACTATTACCATGGAAACTGACACCCAACATTCTCCCTTCAGATTTGTCCCCACCTAAAAAAGAGATTTTTGTATGTCAACGGTGCATCCTGAGACCCTGAAATTTCACTCACTCTAGAGATTTTTTATACTTTTTGGGCTTTTCTACATACATCATTTTATTGGTTCCCTATTGCTGCTATAACAAATTACCATAAAGTGAGTGCTTTAAAAAAAATCCCACAAATTTGGCTGAGTGTGGTGGCTCGTGCCTGTAACCCCAGCACTTTGGGAGGCTGAAGCAGGAGAATCATTTGAGCTCAGGCCTTCAAGACCAGCCTGGGCAACATAGCAAGACCTCATCTCTACTAAAAATTATAAAATTAGCTGACTGTAGTAGTACATGCCTGATGTCTCAGCTATTCAGGTGGCTGAGGTGGGAGGATCGCTTGAGCAAGGGAGATGGAGGCTGCAGTGAGCTATGATTGCACCATTGTACTCCAGACTGGGTGACAGAGCAAGATCCTGTCTCACACACAGACGTACAATTTATTGTCTTATAGTTCTGGATGTCAGAAGCCTAATATAGATCTGCAATGCTGTGATTGTTCTTCAATCTTGAGGAAAGAATTTGTTTTCTAACCCTTCCTTGGTTGCAGAGACTGCATCTCTCCTTGCCACATGGTCCACTTCCTCCACCTTCAATGTCAGTTGCAGATCATCTTATATCTTTATCTCTGTCCTGATGTTTTCACCATATCACCAACTACTAAGTGACTCTAACTCCACCTGCATCTTTCTTATACTGACCCTTGTGATGATATCACCTTTATAAGAAAAACCAGGACAAAATGTCATCTCAAGATCCTTAACTAGATGACATTTGTGAACCCTCTTTTGACACATAAAGTAACCCAGATCATGTTGATCAGGACATGGACATCATTTGGGAGAACATTATTCATCCTATTATAACTAATATATTCTGTTAATGGCTATACTATTTTATCCTCCTTTCTGGTCTCTTACATTTGTTTTTATTTCTTTATTTCACTGGGTACAATTTCTAATGGTATGGCAAAAAGAGTGGACATACTTGTTTCATTCTCAACCTCTGTGTTGAAGCATTCAGTTTTGTTTTTTGTTTTTCTTTTTGTTTTAACACTAACAGTGACATTTTCCCTAAGGTATGTAGGTGTTCTTCAGGAAGATGAAAAAGTTTTGCTCTATTATCAGTTTTGAAAGTCAGACCATAGACAAGTGTTGAATTTTGTTGTGTTTTTTTCTGCCTCTATTGATAGAGTCCTATGATTTTTTAAATCTTTTTATCATGTTAATATCGTGGATTACATTGATCAAATTTTATTTTTTTCTTCTCATAACGCAGTGTAGTAGACAGAACACTGATTGAATTTTAAATGATTAAACAGCCTTCCATCCTCAAATAAACCCCATTAAATCATGGAGTACAAATCTTTTTATATATTGTTGATTTCTATTGCTAATATTTTCTTAAGAATTTTGCGATTTTTTTCATGTGAAATTTAGTTTTTAGACTTTTTTTTTTTTCTAATTCCTTTGCCTAGTTTTGGCAAACCATAATAATGGTTTCATAAATTAAGTTGGGAAGTAGTCCCTCCTCTTCTGCCTTCTGGGACAAATTGTATATAATTGCTGTTAATACTTCTTTACAGGTTTAATAGAATTGTTTAGGGTTAGGCTGAGATGGGAGGATTTCTTAAGGCTAGGAGTTTGAGACTAGTCTGAGCAACATAGCGTGACCTCATCTCTAAAAAGAAAAATTTTTTGGCCAGGCGCAGTGGCTCACACCTGTAATCCCAGCACTTTGGAAGGCCGAGGTGGGCTGATCACTTGAGGTCAGGATTTGAAACCAGCCTGGTCAACATGGTGAAACCCCATCTCTACTAAAAATACAAAACAATTAGCCTGTAATCCCAGCTACTTGGGAGGCTGAGGCAGGAGAAGTGCTTGAACCTAGGAGTTGGAGGTTGCAGTGAGCCAAGATCACACCACTGCACTCCAGCCTGGGCAATAGAGCAAGACTCCGTCTCAAAAAAAAAAAATTATTTTTTAAAATTAGCCCGGCATGGTGTTCCATCTACTTGTGAATGTGAGGCTGAGTTGAGTAGACTTATTAAGCCCAGCAGTTTGAGGATACAGTGAGCTATGATTGTGCCACTGAGCTCCAACCTGGATGACAGAGTGAGACCTCATCTCTACAAAAATAAAAACAATTGTCTAGTGTTACCATCTGTGCCTGAAAATTGCATTATTTGGGCATTATTTGGGAGAATGTTTTATATAATCAGGTAAGAACACAACGTGAGCTCTAGTCTCTTAACTTTTTAAGTGTACAATTCAGTAGTGTTATTCAACCTTAAAATCATTCTTTTAACATTTTCAATGGTATTTATTTATATGGTACATGTGATATTTTGATACACACATAAAATAGATAATGATCAAATCAGGATAATTTAAATATCCATCACCTCAAACATTTATTTCTTTCTCTTGACGACCTTTCAACTCTTCTAGCTACTTTGAAATATACAATAAATTATTGTTCACTATAGTCACCCTACTATGTTACTGGAGATGACAACTTATTCCTTCTGGTTTTTTTTGGTACCCATTAACCTACTTCTTTTCATGCCTGTGCTAACCTCCCCACTCTCTGGTAATGAGCATTCTACTCTCTACCTCCATGAGATTAACTTTTTTAGCTCCCACATACGAGTGAGAGTATGAGATAATTGTCTTTTCTGTACGTGGTTTATTTTATTTAACATAATGACCTCCACTTTGACCCATGTTGCTGCCGCAAATGACAAGATTTTATTCTTTTTAAAGGATGAACAGTATACCATTGTCTATATATACATTTTCTTTATCCATTTGTTCGTGATGAAAATGTAAGTTGATCCCATATCTTGGCTATTGAGAACAGTGCTACAGTAAACATGGGTGTGCAGATATCACTTTGATATCCGGATTTCCATCCTCATTCTCTCTCTCTCTCTCTCTCTCTTTCTCTCTTTCCAACAGTGGAATTGCTGGATCATATGGTAGTTCTGTTTGTAGTTTATTGAAGAACATCCATACTATTTTCCATAATGGCTATACTAATTTGCATTCTCACCAACCAGTGTACTAGCATTTTCTTCCTTTGCATATTCACCAGCATTTGTTATTTTTTTTTGTATTTTTGATGATAGCCATTCTAACTGAGATGACATTATATCTCACTGTGGTTTTGATTTGCATTTACCTGATGATTAGTGATGTTGAGCATTTTTTCATAGGCCTGTTGGTCGTTTGTATGTCTCCTTTTGAGAAATGTCTTTTCAGATAGTTGGTCCATTTTTTAATTGGCTTTAAAAATTTGTTTGTGGCCAGGTGTGGTGGCTCACACCTGTAATCCCAGCACTTTGGGAGGCTGAAGCAGGTGGATCACGAGGTCAGGAGTTGAAGCCTAGCCTGGCCAAGGTGGTGAAACGCTGTCTCTACTAAAAATACAAAAGTTAGCCAGGCGTGGTGGTGTGTGCTTGTAATCCCAGCTACTTGGGAGGCTGAGGCATGAGAATTGCTTGAACCCGGGAAGGCAGACGTTGCAGTGAGCCAAGATCGCACCACTGCACTCCGGCCTGGGCTACAGAGTGAGACTCCGTCTAAAAAAAAAAATTGCTATCGTGATGTTTGAGTTTCTTATATATTCAACTTATTAATTCCTTGTCAAAAGGATAGACTGTAAATATTTTCTCTAATTCTGTCACTTGTCTCTTCACTATGTTGACTGTTTCCTGTGCTGTGCAGAATCTTTTTAGTTTAATATAATCCAATTTGTCTATTTTTGCCCTTGTTGCCTGTGTTTTTGAGGTCTTACCTAAAAAATCTTTGCCCAGATCAATGCCCTGAAGAGTTTTCCTATTGTTTTCTTATAGTTTTATAGTTTCAGATCTTCCATTTATGTCAAACCATTCTGATTTTATTTTTGTGTATGGTGAGAAATAGGGGTCTAGTTTTATTTTTCTGCATATGGGGATCCAGTTTTCCAGCACCATTTATTGAAGACTGTCTTTTTTCCCAATGTATATTCTTTGTCAAAAATCAGCTGGCTGCAAAGATGTGGGTTTCTTTGTTCTCTATTCTGTTCTGTTGCTCTATGTGTCTATTTTTATCCCAGTAGCAAGCTGTTTTGGATACCATTACTTTCTAGTATATTTTGAAGTCAGGTAGTGTAATACCCCTCAGTTTGGTTCTTTTTGCTCAGAATTGCTTTGGCTTTTTTGGATCTTCCGTAGTTCCCTATGAATTTTAGGAGTTTTTTTTTTTTTTGTTTTTGTTTTTGTTTTTTTTTTTTAGACAAGGTCTCTATTGCCCAGGTTGGAGTGCAGTAGTGCGATTTCAGCTCACTGCAACCTCTGCCTCCCAGGCTCAAGCGATTCACCTGCCTCAGTCTCCTGAGTAGCTAGGACCACAGGTGCATGCCACCGCACCTGGCTAATTTTTGTATTTTTTGTAGGGATGGGTTTTGCCATGTTGCCCAGGTTGGTCTCAAATTCCTGAGCTCAGGTGATCCGCCCATCTTGGCCTCCCAAAGTGCTGGAATTACAGGCACAAGCCACCTCACCCAGCCGTAGGATTCATTTTTTTCTATTTCTGTGAATAATGTCTTTTGATATTTTGAAAGAGAATGTGTTGAATATGTACATTGCGTTTGGTAGTATGATCATATACACAATATTAATTTTTTCCCACCCATAAAGATGGGTAGCCTTTACTTTTTTGTGTAACCTTTCCACTTCTTTCATCACTGTTTATAATTTTCTACCCATAGATTTTTCACTTCTGGCCTGGGACGCGCGCGTCTTCAGGGTGGAAGCCTGGCGCGCGTCCGGAGGTGCTGAGGAGCCAACCGGCCCAAACTTTGTGGGAAATGACTCCCCTCTGCCCTCGCCCCTCGCTCTGCTACCATTTCCTTCCGTTTCTGCTTCGCTTGGCGATGCAAAACGCGCGAGGCTCACGGCAGAGGGCCGAGGCCACGGGACTCTCAGGGCCGGGCCCGCCCCTCGGCCGCGCAGTGCGGCGCCGCACGCCCCGGACGCTGTCCAGCGTTGGCCGCCTGAGCAGAGGCTGCCGCGGAGCTAAGACACCCGCCGTTTCACCCAGCCAGCGGGCCCAGCCCGCGGAGGAGGGCGGCATGCAGCTCCGCGTTGCCTGGCTCTCCGGGCACGCGGGCTACGATCTGTACAGTGCCTGTGATTACACACCACCACCTATGGAGAAGGCTCTTGTGAAAACGGACATTCAGACAGCGCTTCCTTCTGGATGTTATGGAGAGTAGCTCCAAGGTCTGGCTTGGCTGCAAAACACTTTGTTGATGTAGGAGCTGGTATCACAGATGAAGATTATAGAGGAAATGTTGGTGTTGTACTCTTTAATTTTTGCAAAGAAAAGTTTGAAGTCAAAAAAAGGTGATCGAATTGCACAGCTCATTTGTGAACGGATTTTTTAATCCAGAAATAGAAGAAGTTCAAGCTTTGGATGACACCAAAAGGGGATCAGGAGGTTTTGGCTCTACCGGAAAGAATTAAAATTTATGCCAAGAACAGAAAACGAGAAGTCATACCTTTTTCTTAAAAACAAAGAGTTTTTGCTTAAAGTGTTTTGGTGTTTTACACTTCTGTAAACTTACTAGCTTTACCTTCTAAAAGTACTGCATTTTTTTTTTATGATCAAAGAAGAGATCATTTAAAAAAAGCATTTCTTTGTGTTTGGATCACAAAGAAACTTTGTTTTTCTGCAGTTGATGGTTATTTGTAAATCTACTTTGTGGTGACCTGATGTAAACAGTGTCTTCTTAAATGTACATCAATTACAGATTAAAAAAAAAATCCTGTATTATTTAACTCAAGAAATGATACCCCTTCAGCAACTTAAAAAAAAAAGTTTGTTTTTGTTTTGTGCGTGTGTGTGTTTTCTTTTTTTTGTTTTGTTTTTTTGGAGACGGAATTTCACTCTTGTTGCCCAGGCTGGATGGCAATGGCCCGATCTCTGCTCACCGCACCTTCCAACTCCTGGGTTCAAGCAATTCTCCTGCCTCAGCCTCCCGAGTAACTGGGATTACAGGCATGCGCCACCACGCCCGGCTAATTTTGTATTTTTAGAAGACACAGGATTTCTCCATGTTGGTCAGGCTGGTCTCCAACTCCCAACCTCAGGTGATCCGCCCGCCTCGGCCTCGCAAAGTGCTGGGATTACAGGCGTGAGCCAACGTGCCTGGCCCTGTGTGTTTTATAAGAGAGACTGGGACTCACTCTGTTGCCCAGGCTAGTCTTGAACATTTAGCCTCAAGTGATCCTCCCATCTCAGCCTCCCAAAGTGCTAGGATTAGAAACATGAGCCAACACACCCAGCCAAAAATCGTCTTTTCTATTTACATTCAGAGTGCGTGTAAATTTGAAATTCACTCTACGTATCGAAATTATTGACATTATGATGTCAATAAAGTTTATCGCAGAGACGTTTGAGGTTAATTCATCTGAAGTTTGGAATAGAGTAACAGGTATAAGGGAGAGCTATTTATATCTATTGTTTAAAAGTTTAAGAGTCATTTATATCTATCATCTAAAAGTTTTAGCTTTCCTTTTTAAAAGCAACATTTGGTGACCTAACTTATCCCTGGCGTTAACCCTCCATGCCCAAGGCGTTGTCCCTGGGAAATTGTCAGGAGCTGAGCACAGGGTTGATCCTCACCCTCCAGAGTGTAGGGGGAATAGAAAAGGAGAGGATTTCTACTCTGTTCTGTGGGACGACAGCATCAAATTGCATGTTCCGCCCAGGCAGGGCTTTGCATTTCATATTCTAGTTCGCTTCCTCTCCCAGACAATTCCAGGGCTTTTAAATTAAAATACTAAAATTAACTTTAATTGCAGGAACTATCTTAGGTCCAATCACTGTCCCCTACTTTGACCCTCTCATAGAGATCCCAGGTCCCAGACTGCTTGGCTGCTGGTCACCGATAGGGTCTTTCCTCAAAAACCTGGAGAACAGACGCGCCCAGAGACAGGCCGAAGGCAGCGCAGACCCCGCCCCTCACCGCCCCACCCTCTCTTCTCTCGGGTCTCGCCCATCCCTGGCCTCAGCTGCGCGCGGTTTCCTGGAAACCCGGAAGTGAATCATGGGGCGTGAACTCGCAAGCGCAGTTTCCTGAAGACCCGGAAGCCGATCGCGTGGGGAGCCGGTCTTGGAGCAGCGGGTGAGTTTCCCTTTGTCTAGATTAGATCCGCTTCCAGCGCTTCTGTACCTGGTGTTGGCGGAGGGGTTCTTACGGATCTTAAAATCCTCCCGCCGTTCCCTCCATCCTAGGTATATTAATACGTCGCCAAGAAATTCGGAGGTTAAAATCGCTTGGAGGCTGCTGGTCCTTTCCCTGAGCTCTCTGCCTTCGGGCCACGTAGACGCTTTTCGTCCCGTTTACCTGCTTAAAACCCTTTACTGACCACTCCTTCGGTCCCGCGTCATGTAAAAGCCCTCACCCATGAGGTGTATTCACGCCCAGTGGGTCCTCCAAGCCTCGCCCTTCTGGCCTCTTGGAGCTCGGTCCCGCAGTCTCGATGCATCAGCGCCGTGTCCTCTGCCCGGCCCTGGGATTTTGGAAACCCCACCCCTCTCCTAATCCACCCCCAACCTTGTCCTCCTTGGGCTGGGCCCTTGTGTTCCCCAGGTTTCCCCTTCACAACCCACATTCCTTACCCCGCATTGAGGGAGGTGACGGGGCCTGGCTTTTGACACTCAGTGTTTTTCCGTTCCAAATTGCACCCGCTGGAAAATGTGCTCTTCCAGAGGAAAAACGATTGATTTATTCTTTCCTCCTCTGAAACTCAACACGGTAGTAAACACTGAACCCAGAATACTTCACTTGTGGTCACCGAATGTGTGGGGATTTCTCCCCACTAACAAGCAGTTCTCTATCAGACATCAACTCGGTGTCCCATAATTTACCTCACTTCTGACAGCTGTACCTGGTGTAAGCATCGGATCCCACAGATTAAAGGCTCAGTCCACAAGACTTCTCCACTTCAGATGTCGGTTACAAGTCCCAGATTGGAACCTGAACTTCTAAGCTACTGGATATAAATTGAGGATTCCCATGACCCAGTCTTCAGTATTTATTAATTTGCCAGAGTAGCTCACAGAACTCAGAAACGTTTTAGTTGGGTTTACTCATTTGTTTTAAAGGATATTACAAAGGTTGCAGATAGACAGATGGAATAGCAGTTCTAGAAAATTAGTTGAATGCAGGAGAGGATTTGGGAACCGTGGTGTTTATCTGGTCAGTCAGAAGTAGAGGTGAAAACTACTACTTGTGTACAGCTTCTAAGGTGAAGGGTAGTCTTGTGGGACTGAGCTTTTCACCCATGGGATCTGACACTATCTCCTTGTAGATAGTGTAAGAATTGAGTTAAATTTTAGGATTCCCAGGTGGAAGTCTGCAAGGAACTGGTCAGTGTAGGGAAACCACACATTTTCTTGACCAGAAGTAAAGTATCCTGTGTTGAGCACGAGAGCAATGAAAACAGTTTGGTTTTTTCCTGTCTCAGTGAAGGGAAGATATTTGTAACAGGCTCACTTACCTGTCTCAAGCCCCGTGCTTTCTACTCAGTATTGACTGGGAAGGATCTGTCCCTGCTCTTTGTTTTAATTTTCTTGATGTCATCTTCATCTCTTACCGTTTTTCTCTGCTGATGTGTCCTGACTCACTGTTTTCTGAATGTGGGAATGACCCACAGCTTAGTCCTCCAACCACTTTTCCTCTCTGTCCACGTCTACTGCCTTTCTATCTTTTTTTTTTTTTTTTTTTTTTTGAGATGGAGTTTTGCTCTTGTTGTCCAGGCTGGATTGCAATGGTGTGATCTTGGCTCACCGCAACCTCTGCCTGCCAGGTTCAAACGATTCTCCTGCCTCAACCTCCCGAGTAGCTGGGATTATAGGCATGTGCTACCACACCCAGCTACTTTTGTGTTTTTAGTAGAGATGGATTCTCCATGTTGGTCAGGCTGGTCTTGAACTCGTGACCTCGTGATCCACCCACCTCGGCCTCCCAAAGTGCTGGGATTACAGGCGTGAGCCACCACGCCCAGCCACTGCCTTTCTTTATCATTTCATCTCATGGTTTTAAACCCTACCTTTATGTCTCCATCCCTCATAGACCTCTCTCCTAATTTCTAGAATTCTGTGTCCAGTTGTCTCCTCAACTTTCTTCTGGGACATCCAACAGGCATCTCCATATTTACGTGTCCACTAGTGACTTCCTGAGTTCTCCGATGTATGCTCCCTTGCAGTCCTACCCATCTCAGATAAGGGTGACCCCATACTTCTGGGAGCTTAGGTGAACATATTGGCATATATTTAAAATCTAGGACATAGTTCCTTGTTTGAAAATGTTTTAGGGAATAATATAAAGAAAAAATTACATGATTGCTTAAAATGGGTGAGGAACTAGCATTTCCAAAATTCTTTTGAGTTGAGGGAGAAAAATGTTTAAAGGCCTCCACCCTATCTGATCTGCACCCCCAGGACCTCTCTGACCTCATCCGCTACCTGTGTCGGCCTTGCTCCCTCTGCTGTAGCTACACAGATCTCATTCCTTTTCCTGGAGCTGAGGTTGCTCCTGTCTCAGGACCTTCACCTGGGCTGTCCCTCTGCCTAGGACTCTTTAGCCCCTCAGTTGCAGGTGACAAACATCCTTCCTTTTCTAGGCCTGGGTTCTGATATCACCTTCTCAGTGAAGGTTTATGTGACCCTTCCCCTGTCACAACCTCACCTGCTCTGGCCCATATTGCCTCCCCTAGATGTTTCTTTCTGCTCTTTTGCTGTCCACTGTCTGGATCCTGGTGACAACAAGGACCCAAGGGGAGACCAGAGCCAGAAGATAGGGGTTGTTCTGGGCTTGCTCCCTCTGAGTTTAGCTCAACCCTGGATTCGCATTAGAATGCTGAGACATTTTGCAAATATATCTCTTGTGCCTCCTTTCCAGAGATTCCCATGCATGTAGGTTCAAGCGCAGTGTCCCACATGATTCTAATCTGTATTCATCATTGAACATCAGGGTGCTGTGTCTTCCATTTCTGAAAGCTGATATCGGCCTGTGATCCACAGAGAGGGGAGAGGCTGTGCTCTGCATGGGGTTTGGTCAGGGCCAGATCTGTGCCCTGAAGGGGAGCTCAGTCCAGCCCAGCACCCCACAGCTGCAGCATGTATGTGGGCTTCTCCAGGTGGGGAGTAAGCTTTGAAGAACTCAAAAACTGACTTGTTCTTCCTGTAGGACTTTCTTGTCTGCATCATCCCTGGTGCTGTGGGCAGCAGAGGGCCATCTTTCCACAGGGCGAGGTCTTTCCTGTGTATGTGGTTGTGGCACAGGGAGGGGGTGTGTTGATTTTGAGCAGTAAACAGCATATTTTGAACACTCAGGATTAACTTGTTTTTTAAAAAGTTTTCTTTTTCTTTTTCTTTCAGGATTAGCTTCTAAAGTCTCTTTCATCTCTCCTAAGGAAGAAGCCTAGAAGAGGAGGAAGAGGAAAGAAAAGGAGTCAGGAATGCCTCTTAGGTACAGTGATATTCTCAGTGGACTGTTGTGTGTCTCCTTCCTTTCTGAAATGCCATGTGTGGTGTTATGATATATATTGGTTTCCATCGACGGTTCCTGGCTTATAACCTCCATAGCCCTTGTTACAATCTTTTGTTGTAATGTTGGATGTGTTAAGCCTCAGGGGTAGGCCTCTGACCTTCTTTTGCCTTCCTTTCACTCTGATGCTCCCCAGCCTTTCTAATTGTGGGTCTTAAGACCCTCCTCCGAGAGCTTCCCACCCTGTACCCTGGGGGGAAGAATGTTGATGTCATGAAACTTCCATAAAAACCCAAAAGGGCAAAGTTCGATGAGCTTCTGGATGGCTGAACACGTGGAGGTTCTTGGAGGTAGTAAGCCCAGGGGCGTCATGGAAGCCCTGCACTCCTTCCTCCATACCTTGCTGTAGGTGCCTCTTCGTCTGTATCCTTTGCAGTATCCTTTATAATAAACTGGTAAAGGTAAGTAAGTGCTTCCCTGAGTTCTGTGAGCCAATCTAGCAAATTAATTGAAGAGGGGGTCGTGTGAACCCCAGTTTGAAGCTGGGTGGTCATAAGTTCTGAAGGCCTGGACTTGCGACTGGTGTGTATGGAGGCAATCTTGGAGACTGAGCCATCAACTCGTGGGATCTGACGTCTCCAGTCTTAATGTACACAGTAGATAGTGTTGGAATTAAACTGGAAGATACCCAGCTAGTGTCTGCTGCTTGGTGTGTGGGGAAAGTACCCACATACATTTAGTCACAGAGGTCTTCTATGTTGATGATTGTTGTGGTGTGAGAGTAGAGGAAAAGCACAATTTGAGGAGAGCTTTTCCCTGTACACATCAGGCATTGGAGATGTCAGTCTTCTCTGAGTCTGAAGCATGCTGCCTGTGATGTTTGCTCACACTCACCCATGTCTTCCCTCAGGCCCTCTGATGTCACTTAAATTCCATCTCACAGTGACTGGTGCTGTGGAATTTGTGAAGAGGCTCCATTGGGAAGGGCTTATACCCAGACATGGATGGAGACGGGGTGTGGGCCCCATGGTGTCACTGCTCTTGGGCAGCAGGAATTGAAGGATTGTTTAAGGGCCAGGTCTGGAGGCACTGCCAGCTCTGTAGACTGGATTATGGAAGCTGCTCGTGGAAGTCTTAATGTGCACAACTGCCTGATAAAATTTGGAAGAAGAGATTAGGAAGAGGAAATCTTTTCTGCCTGATTTTATACTCCATTTGTAGTAAATGTTTAACAGCAAGAGATTCTTTAAACCATTCTAAGTACATCCATCCTATGGAGATTGTGGTATTCCTGCAGAGACTCTTGTGAAACAGATGTTTCAGGTGAAAATGGTAAGACTTGGGTAATACTTCTTCTAGGATGGGGCATTTCCTATTTTCTTAGATCTCTCAAGGTTCCCCTGTTATCCCCAGCTGCAGGGGTACCTCTCCTATCAAGAACATGTGAAATTTTGCCCTCATTAAAAAAAAAACAACAACTTGCTACTATGTTTATATATATATATATTTTGAAAATCTGGGAAAAATGACAACCCTCTGTATTTTCATTTTTCAATTTATTGTCTACATAGGTTTTATTATTTTGGGGACATGTATATACAAAATGAATTTTCATGCTTTGCTCAATTTTCTTTCCATGTATTTTAGTATGTGTTTTAATTTCTGTGGTTTTTATTTCTTTCATATGCCCTGATGTCTTTTATTTCAGGTTATACATTTTTTAATTGTAAGACAAATCTTTCATTTATACCTTCTGATTTTTGTTGTGCCTTTGTTTGTTTCATCTTGATTTGGAAGGCCTTGCATGATTATGAAGTACTAAGTTTCATTTAGGAATAAAGTTTTGTTGTTTAAAATTTTGTTTACATTTGTGTTTAATTTGAATTTTTGCGTATATCATAAGTATTTGATTTGTTGTAAAATTACAGATGTTTGTCATAAGAGGTTCTTACATATTTGGAAAACCCCTCCATTTTGTTTTTCTTTTCAAAATTGTGATGGTTCTCCTTTCACAGGGCACAGTCATTAAAAACTCATATATTTCTTTTGTGTTTGAATGGCTGTGGATTCCTAGTCAGAGAGGTCTTTGTGTCACCACATCTGCTAATAAGAATTGGGTTTTCCGGTCCATGATGCTCTTTGTTATGTCTTTTAGTAAAGTTTATTTGCCTGTTTATAGTTCAGTAATGTTAAGTATGTTCACGTTACTGTGCAACATATCTAGAAGTTTTTCATCTCGCAAAACTGAAACTGTATACCCAGAATACACTATATCCCTTCTGACCTCACTATAGCCTCTGTCAACCCATCTTTCTATGTTGTTTATATGCATTTGACTACTTTAGTATCCCACGTGAGTGGAATCACATAGTATTTGTCCTTTTGTGACTGTCTTATTTTCCCTAGTGTAATGTCCTCAAGGTTCATCCGTGTTGTAGCATATGACAGGATTTTCTCCTTTTATAAAGCTGAATAATATTCCATTGCATGTGTATAACACATTTTCTTTATCCATTCATCTGTAGATAGGCATGTTGGTTTTTCTGTCTTCTTGGCTATTGTATATAATGCTGTGATGAGCAGGGATTTGCAAATATCTCTTTGAGGGCCTGCTTTCAAGTCTTTAATGTGTATGTACACACACACACACACACACACACACACACACACACACATATATATACTACCATATGATCCAGCAGTCTCACTTCTGGGTATGAGTGTGTATATGTAGATATGTGTGTGTGTGTGTGTGTGTGTGTGTGTGTGTGTGTGTATATATATATATATATATTTTTTTTTTTTTTTTTTTTTTTTGAGATGGAGTCTTACTCTGTCACCAGGCTGGAGTGCAGTGGTGCGATCTTGGCTCACTGCAACCTCTGCCTCCTAGGTTCAAGTGATTCTCCTGCCTCAGCCTTCCAAGTACTACAGGTGCGTGCCACCATGCCCAGCTAATTTTGTATTTTTATTAGAGACGGGGTTTCACCATGTTGGCCAGGATGGTCTCAATCTGTTGACCTCGTGATCCACCCACCTCAGCTTCCCAAAGTGCTGGGATTACAGGCATAGCCACCGTGCCTGGCCAGATGTATATTTTCAAATATGTACGTGTGTGTGTATATACACACACAAATATATATACGTGTGTGTATGTATATAGATGTATAAAATATCTACACACACCCATGCCCAGAAGTGGGATTGCTGGATTATATGGTAGTACTGTTTTTAATATTTTGAGGAACCCCCTTACTGACCTCAGTAATGGGTATACCATTTTACATTCTCACCAACTGTCCACAAATGTTCCAGTTTCTCAGCATCCTCTCCAACACTTTTTTTTTTTTTATTGATGATGGCCATCCTAATGGGTGTGAGGTGATACCTCATTGTAATGTTGATTGGCATTTGTGTTATGTTTGGTGGTGATGAGCATCTTATCATGTGCTTGTTGGCCATATTGTCATCTTCTTTAGAATAACATCTGTTCAGTTCCTTTGCCCATTCATTAATTGGGTTATTTATTTTTGGTGTTGAGTTGTAGAAGTTACTTGATAATCTATTAATGCCTATCAGATATGTGATTTGCAACTCTTCTCCCATTCCGTAGGTTTGCCTTTTCCTTCTTTTGATCGATTCCTTTGAAGTGCAAAAACTTTAAGTTGGATGTAGATCCTTTAGTGTTTTGCTTTTCTTGCGTGTGCTTTTGGTATTATATCCAGTAAATCCTTTCCAAAATCAGTGTCGTAAGGTTTTCTTCTATCCTAGTTTGTTACGTGTATTAATCTGGAAATGGTGTTGAATTGTTCCTAATGCTTTTTTTGCATCAATTGAGATGATGGCATTGTTTTTGTTCTGAATTATATTAATAGTAGTGATATAGTTTTTGTTGGGGACCAGCCTCAACACCACCCATTTTTTCTTTTTTAAAACCACCGTTGCTATCATGGCTTGTTCATGGTGTCTGGTCTCTCTCCAGAGGCATCTTCCCCATCTGCAGACTAAAAGCAAACAGCATAAACCGATACACATTAAAGTAAAATTTGCAATAGTTGATCCTCCAACGGTCCATTTAAGAGGATTCACATTTGAAAGTCCATCAGCAGCTCCAGCTAGGATGTCAATTCCAGGCAGGAGAGTGAAATGCGCCTGAGATGCTTCAAAAATGTGTTCCTTTCATTTGGCTATATCCAATGTTAAATTTCCATCCCTTCCTTCCAGATGATGTCTAACTTTTTCCCAATGATGTTCAGTAGCATTATGTGAATGGGGATTTACGCAGAAATCAGAAGTATTTCCAATCACATTACATTTGCAATAGATGCTCTAAGCTCATTATACAATCTCCCATCCATATTAACAGTCTGTCTAAGATCATTGATTTGCCAATTTTCTTTGGTCTGTTTGAGTCTGAGAATTCCACAATTTTGAGGAATTATTTTGCCAATTATTTACATATTCTGCAGTTTGAACAGAGGAATGTAAAGCAATTCCAGCAGCACTCCCCTTAACATTTCTGTGATGATATGAATGTAAGGAGAGGCTTCCCATGGTCTATTGAGGGAAACTGGTATCCAAACTCCTTCTCTGGCCCTTACCAGCAACACAGATGTTTTCACACAAAACGTGGAATCAATACGGGTGAAAAGGCAACAGTTTTGACATTTAATAATTTTAGAATTAGGTCATATATGAATATTTCTGACCATCAACATGAAAGGAGGCTTGACACAACTCTGAATGGATACTGTTCTGTTGGAAGAAAACTGATACACAAATTGAAGTGTCTCACCTTCTCCATCAAGATAGTATTTTCCTTCCAAACTCGAATATGAGATTGGGCCATCATTAACTTCCATAGTTCAGGGTGTTCAGGGCCTATTATTGGATTAATTATTTTTGGATGTGGTCCGGCTGTACCAAAATTGGTCCAAATTATGGGAAAATGAGCACACTTTTCAGTGTAAGTAGTGTCATCTCTTTGATAGTATAGATCCTGTTTTAGTTTTGTCTTTCATCTATCATTCTGATTGGTACAATTAACTGCAAAAGTCCTCTTAGGGGACCAATCAATGATGATTCCATAGGAATTATTTTGCAGTAGCACACCATGATCAGCAATGCAATCTTTCCAAATCAATATTTCTAAATCCTTTGACCATTGTTGAGATTGTTGACACCTCTCTTTTCTGGTCTTAAATTGTTCCAGTTGGACCGAACTCTGTGAATGAGCCAGGCTCCATCCAGAAAGTAAATGATAGGATACTGGTCTTTGATTATGACCTGAAGTCTTAACTAGCCAATGTTGTTGATAGCCTTTTAGGCAACCGATAGCTGGCCCTATGTAAAGAGGGGGGACTGATAACCCATGGACACATTTATTAACATTCCTTCCTCCTCTGGGTGAGAGGGCCCATGAGTATCTGTAGGCTCAGGCATCCAAACACTATTATTAACATAAACCTCAACTGGGGGTTCCAACAAAGTGACAGACCTAATTAAAGGCAGGAATGGGACATATGCCCAATAGGTATAATTTTGGTCTGCTGTAGTCACAGGGAGACTTACCGTCATAGCAATTACCGCAATCATAGCCACGATGAGGTTACTCGAGTTTAGTGGTTTTTGTTGTGCCTTCAGGTTTTCTTCTGCAAGCTGGGTCAGCCTCTTGATGTGTCCCAAGTCAGTGGGCTCACTTGACGGGTTTTGTTTGTCTTCATGTGGTCAGCTGAAATGTTCATTTGAGCCATCAAGGTGTGCTTGGGGGTTGAGATCTTGGTTCCAAAATCCTTTTCTTTGGAATTTTGCTCATGGTAGAGTTTAAGATGTTTTGTAGGTACCCAAACTGGAAGCTGGTTTTCTCCTGGGGAAATACAAGCAAACCCTCTTCCCCATGTTATAACTCTCCCTCTTTCCCAGGTCTTTGTTTTAAAGTCCTTCCACCACACAGGTTTTCCTTCATGAACATTTATCTTCTGTCTTGTTAAATGCTGCTCAGCTGCTGTAGTAACCTGATCCTGGGAGATGTTCAAAAAATTTAAGGTAACAAGAGCCAATTGTAATTGCATATGAGGGGTGGAATATTCCCTATCTCCCCCTATCTCCTGTTTATGTAATTGCATTTTTAAGGTTCGATTGGCTCGCTCAACAATCACTTGCCCTTGAGAATTATAGGGGATACTTGTACTGTGTTTAATGCTCCACTACAGTAGCCTGTCCATTGTCTGTTTTTAATTTTTTTGGAATTCCCATGACAGCAAAACAGGAAACCAAACGTCTTTTTATATGTGCTGCAGTCTCACCAGTTTGGCAAGTAGCCCATATAAAATGAGAATATGTATCTCTGGTTACATGGACATAAGAAAGTTTGCCAAATGTAGGAACGTGGGTGATGTCCATTTGCCAGATCTTGTCAGGTGCCAACCTTTGAGGCTTAACACCAGTTCTTTGATGTGGTAATTGCCTGGCACTGAGGTAAGTCAAAATTTGGGGCATCAGTCAGTGAGGGGGAAACCAACAAGTCAGCTTGCTGATTAGCCTTAGTCAAGGGTCCTGGAAGATTGGTATGTGCTAGGACATGAGTTATATAGAAAAGAAATTCCCAGGCATGCACAACTGCTTGTACAGAGTTGAACAATTGATAAAGCTGTTCATCAATAATATATTTAATTAAGGCAGTTTTAATATGCAGAGTAGCTTACACAACATAAGCTGAATCTGAAACAATATTAACTGGCTGATTAAAATCTTCTAATACTGTAATCACCACCTGTAATTTAGCTGTTTGGGCTGAGGAAAAGTTAGTATGGATAACTTTATCACAAGGTCCCACATATGCCATTTTCCCAGTACTGTAGCCATCAGTAAAAGTAGTCACAGCTTCTTCCAAAGGGGCATCCTGAGTAATTTTTGGAAGAATCCATGTAGTTAATTTTAAGAACTGGAAAGTTTTATTTTTAGGATAATGATTATCAATACATCCAACAAATTCCGCTAAATTAACTTGCCATGTAACTGAGTTAATAAATGCCTGTTTAATTTGATTTTTATTCATTGGAACTATAATTTTATTGGGCTCAGTGCCACAAAGTTTAACAATTCATATACCAGCCTGTCCGGTTAAAATTGCCATCTGATCTAAATATACTGTAAGTGTTTTTATGGTATTATGTGGCAAAAAGGACCATTCAACTAAATCATCATTTTGAATAATAATCACCATTAGGGAGTGCAAAGTAGGGAAGACAATGAATTGTAGAGGCAAGTCTGAGTCAATCCTAATGACTTGGGCTTGCTGAATTTTTTCTTCAATTACTCTTAACTTTTTCATGGCCTCGGGTGTTAGTCCTCTTTTACTGTGTAAGCCGGAATCTCCCCTCAATACTGAGAAGAGATTAGACATAGCATAAGTAGCAATTCCTAAGGTGGGCCAAGTACAATAAATATCTCCTAACAATTTTTGAAAATCATTTCAAAATGATTTTTATTTCAAAAAGGTTTTTAAAGAATTTTTTCTAATTTGAACCTTTTGCGGCTTAATGGCTCTATCCTGTACTTGCATCCCCAAATACTGAAAAGGAGTCATTGTTTGAATTTTGTCAGGTGCTATAAGCAATCCAGCGTTTGTAATTGCCTTTTGTAAAGATGAATAACATTGAATAAGTTGTTCTCTATTTTTTGCTGCACAGAGTATGTCATCCATGTAATGGATGATGTAACAATCTGGAAATTGATCTCTAACAGGCTGGATACCTCTGCCCACAAAAGTTTGACAAACTGTGTGACTGTTTAACATATCCTGGGATAAAACCTTCCAAGGATATCTGGCTGCAGATTCTTTGTTATTAACAGCAAGGATGGTAAAGGAAATTTTTTCAAAATCTGCCTCTGCTAAAGGAATTGTAAAAAAGCAGTCTTTTTAAATCTATAATAACAAGCAGCCCGTCTTTAGGGATCATGGTGGGGGATGGGAGCCCAGGTTGTAAAGCTCTCATCGGTTGAATTACAGCTTTGACCCCTCACAAGTCAGTCAGCATGCGCCATCTGCCGGACTTTGTCTTAATTACAAATATTGGGGAATTCCAAGGAAAGTGGGTGAAACATGGCCTTTTTCTAGTAGTTCTTTAACTATTTCATGAAATTCCCCCAACTGTTCCTTGCAGAGCGGCCACTGTTTGACCCAGACAGTAGTAAACTGCAGGGCGAGCCTGAATTGCCCCCTCCCCATAATGAACTGCGGGGCAGGTAATAATTGGCACGGAGAGCCGAGTCTCGGTGAGCCGAGTATCGGGCTCCCTCCCCCACCACTCACTGGGTTGAGGAGGTGGTGGCCATTCTGGGCATTCCTCTGGAGAAGCCGTGGGCTGAACAACTTTCTGAGTAGGTTTAGGGAAACTGGAGGGGATTGGCATAAATCACCTCTGGACTCTCCTTTTGGCTAGTACTTGGTAGAGGCGGTTCAGAGTTCTGATTATCAAACTCCTCTCTCTCCTCCTCTGACTCAGCCTCATCGTCTGTCTGAAAAGGCTCCAGTGCTGCACGCACCAATGACCAAACTGACCAAACAGGAAAAGGAATTTCCTTTCCTTCTCCCTTTGTTCTTTTAAGGTCCTTTCCAACTCTTTCCCAGTCTTTCAATTCCAAAGTTCCCTCTTTAGGCAACCAAGGACAAAACTGTTCCACAGCATGAAACAAATCCGTAAGATTTTCCTTATCAACTTTTACCCCACTATGCTTCAAGCGTTGCTGTAGCAAGCTCAAATACGTGGCGTACTTATATTCAGTTTGTCCCATTTGTGTCCCTGGCTTTCTCTGAGTGCCTCGCTTACCTGCAGAGCTTAAAAACTTTTTCATCCTCAGGAGTCCTCCATCCGTCGGCCCTCCGTTTCACACGCTTGAGCGTTCCTTTACCAGATTCTCTCGGGCCCCATGGTTGGGTGCCAAGCTGTTGGGGACCAGCCTCAACACCACCCTTAGGGTACTCAAAGTCCAATGGTGACAAAGGAATGAGAAGAGACAAGTTAAGAGTGCATAAAGGTGGGGGCCACGGGGCCAGATTCAAGGTAGGAGCCTGCAAAAGGCCCTGATCTCTGGTCTCCACACTATTGTGTACAATCACTTAGATCTGAGAAGCAGATGTTGAGGGGTGAAACGATGAAAGGGAGGTGATGTGTCATACACCTAATCTATAGCAGTGGCGGTTTAGGTAAATTTTCTTTGTGCTGAAGCAGCATAAACTTTACTACTGATTTATTCTTTAACTTATCAGAGAGCAGCTGTGGGGAGTGGGCTTAACTAGGAGCCAGCAAGTCTGGCCACATTCCATTGCTTCAAAGGAGTGTCTTTCTCCTTGAACACAATGTTTACAGATAAGAGAGCAGGTCTTGCTCAGAGCATGCGAACATTATGGCAATTAGGAGGCTTTCCTCCTCAGAGGCCTCTTGTGGCTTTCTGCAACTTATTGTCCCATATTTTTATGGCCAGTTTATACAGGCACCCCGTAAGCCCTTTCCCCAACAGTTTTCTCTATGTTTTTTAATGTTTATACCATTTTTTACTAGCTTAAAATAGAAAAATGTTGATGAACTAAATGTTGATGAACAGTTGATACATTTCATTGTTCCATACATGCTGAAATGGACACAAACAAAAATGGCGATTTTTAAGAAGTTGTTGAAAAACTCACTTGTGGACAACTGTTATATAAGTTAATTTAATCGTGTGTATATGTATGTCTACATGAGTGCATGGATGAGCAAGCCCATGGCTCTTATGAAACACTCATCATAATTTAATCAATAAGTTTTATATTTAACACTTGAAATTATCTCTACAGTAGTTTCCATGGCCTTAAATTTTTCCTACACTGTCACACTGAGTTAAACAATAGTAAGCATAGTGCTGTAGTATGTGTTTGCATGTGTGTATACATAATGTGTGCATATATAATCAATATATAATACCCTTTCATGAAGTTCCATGTTGTTATCCTTGAACTCATTTCACGTTTTCCCAGGCAACCCTCTCTTGATTAATTTTTTTTTTTTTTTGAGACAGAGTCTCGCTCTGTTGCCCAGGCTGGAGTGCAGTAGAACAGTTTTGGCTCACTGCAACCTCTGCCTCCTGGGTTCAAGTGATTCTTCTGCCTCAGCCTCCCAAATAGCTGGGATTATAGGTGCATGACACCACACCTGGTTAATTTTTGTATTTTTAGTTGAGACGGGGTTTTGCCATGTTGGCCAGGTTGGTCTCGAACTCTTGACCTCAAGTGATCTGCTGGCCTCAGCCTCCCAAAATGCTGACTGTGATTACAGGCATGAACCACCACACCTCAATTTACTTTTGTAGATCATATCTGTTAGTAACTTGTTGAGCCCGGGAGGTGGAGGTTGTGGTGAGCTGAGATCGCACCACTGCACTCCAGCCTGGGCAACAAGAGCAAAGCACTATCTCAAAAAAAATAAAATAAAATAAAATAAATAAAAAATTTAGCTGAGCGTGGTGGCACAAACCTGTAGTCCCACCTGCTTGGGAGGCGGAGGTGGGAAGATCACTTGAGGGCAGTCAGTTGAGATGGCAGTGAGCATGATCAAACCACTGCATTCCAGCCTGTGGGAAACAGAGTGAGACCCCAGCTCTTAAAAAAGAAAAAAAAAGAAAGAAAGAAAACAAACTACAAAATGCTGACGAAAGAAATCAAAGGCACTCAAATGGAGACATATACAATGTCAATTTATTGGAAGACTCAGCATAGAAACAATGTGAAATTAACCAAATTGATATACAACATTAATACATTTCCTATCAAGGTGTTTTGTGGATACTAACAAGATTATCCAAAAAATTATGTAGAAAGGCAAAAAAAGATAGAATGCCTAAAACATCTGGGAAAAAAAATAAAAAGGTTGGAATCATTTCATGTGATTTCAAGTCTTCTAATATAGTATAAGTATTTCCTTCTTTTTTTCATATTTACAATAAACCTAGTTTATACCTGCCGTGATCTTATGTGCATACTCATGCATATTTTTTTTCTCCAAATAACAGCTTCATTTATGTGCCCCCTAAACTTTTCACTATAGTAACAAAGGGAAGAAATGCATGAAACATAGAATGTAGACTGCAACATATGGAAAAGGAAACTTTTTAAAATTGTGTACAAAAACAAAAAATAATTTTATTACAATTAAAGAACCAGAGAACATTTTGCTTAATACCATAATCAAAAATGACATTTCTGTAGCTTTTGGAAAAATGCTCTTCTAGTAGAGTCCTATTTATTATATATAACAATTAGATAATGATAAATTATATTATGTAAATAAACACTTCACAATAATTTTCACTGAACTGATATGAAAAATATCTTAGGCAATTTTACTAAACAGTATTTCACAAGCATTTTCAACAGTCATATTGTGCAATGGGACCTATGTGTCCAGCCACAAGAGGAATGTAATAAGCTATTACCATGAAGAAAATTGAAGTCTCTCCTAACCAAGTCTGGAGTTTCAAGAGTAAACATTCAGTGTTATCCTAAAGAGTTAGACTTCATTTTGTGATGTCTGAGTAATGTGATGGTTAATATTAGGTGTCAACTTGAGTGAGTTGAAGGATATCTAGATGGCTGATAAAGTATTGTTTCTGGGTGTGTCTGTGAGGGTGTTGCCGAGGAGATTGACATTTGAGTCAGTGGACTAGGAGAGGAAGACCCACCCTCAGTGTGAGTGGGCACCATCCGATTGGCTGCCAGTGTGGCTAGAACAAAGCAGGTGGAAGAAGGTGGGATAACCTTGCTTGCTGAGTCTTCTGGTTCTCTTTCTTCTTCCCATGCTGGATGCTTGTTTATGCTTCTCCTGCCCTTGGACATCAGATTATAGGTTCTTCAGCCTTTGGACTCTGGGACTTGAACCAGCAGCTTCCTGGGATATCTCGAGCCTTTGGTCACAGACTGAAGGTTGCATCATTGGCTTCCTTGGTTTTGAGGTTTTCAGACTTGGACTGAGCCACTACCAGCTTCTCTCTTCTCCAGCTTGCATACAGCCTATCATGGGACCTTTGCCTTGTAATTGTGTGAACCAATTCTCCCTAATAAACTCCCTTTTATATATACATGTATCCCATTTGTTCTGTACCTATAGAGAACCCTGACTAATACAGACTTTGGTACCTGGAGTGGTTTTTTTTTGTTTTTTTTTTTTTGACAGGGTCTCACTCTTTTGCCCAGGCTGGAGTGCAGTGGTGCAATCTTGGCTCACTGCAACCTCCACCTCTGAGGTTCAAGCCATCCTCCTGCCTCAGCTCCCCAGGCAGCTGGGACTACAGGTGTGCACCACCATACCTGGCTAATTTTTGCATTTTTTGTATGATGTGGTTTTGCCATGCTTCCCAGGCTGATCTCGAACTCCCGAGCTCAAGTAATCCACCTGCCTTGGCCTCCCAAAGTACTGGGAATACAGGTGTGAGCCACTGTGTCCAGCCTAGAGGAACAAAATTTTAAGGATGAATTTCCTTAGTTGGTTTAGGGGCTTCTGGAGTTGGCTCTCTAATCTTATTACAACTAAAAATGCTAAGGTCTCTACTTCTAATAGTACAGAGAACACTGATAGTCCTTGGTATGCATTGTTCAGAGACTTGTGCAAAATAAATGTATTTGATACTCATGATTCAGTGCTCCTGAGAGGCAAGGAGTTTAGTGACTTTATACATGATACTTTTCAACATTTCTGGAGAACCAAAGAACATAATGAAGTTGCTTTCCTAAGTTCCCTGGTAAAAAATGATGAAAGAAATGGATAAGCTCAGAGATGATACCTCCCAGATCTAGAATATATCATACTTAGCCTCAAAGCTTCTAAGGGTACCCTGGGTGCGACTGTTTTGTAGACAAAAGGCTGAAATTGCCAAAAATCAGACACAAGCTCTTATGTGAGTGGATGACCTACAATAATTGGTGCACACTCAGCCTCACCAGGTATCTATAAAGTAAGGGCATTGATTGGGAAAGATTGGGAGCATGTAACTTGACATGGGGATGTGTGGGAGGATCCTGATGAAGCTGGGAACACTGAGCTCTTAAACCCTGATGAGCCCTTTTTGCGAGAGAAAATGGCCTCCCTACCCCTCATGGTGGCAACATCTTCTTCCCCACCAAGGCTGCTTTCAGCCTTTGTACCTTTTTTCTGAGGACATTCACCATGCATTGCCTGAGGAAACAACAATGGCCTCCTCTGAGGCAGATGCGAGGCAAGGCAATGCTGATTCTTCTCAGGATCCTCCCCCACCACCCTTCTTTGCCTCTAGACCTGTAACTAGACTCAAGTCCCAGTGGCTGCTAGAGGTGATGTGACCCGTGAGGAGGTGCGCTGCACTCCAAAAGAACTGCTGAGGCATAATTATGACATTATTGTCTATATTTGGAGATTATGATTTAAGGAGATGTGTATGGGTGCCAAGTTGATGAGGGGTAGACTTGTGGTTAATCTTGGTTGTCAGTTTGATTGGATTGAGGGATGCCTAGATGGTTCATAAAGTATTGTTTCTGGATATGTCAGTGAGTGTATTGCTAAAGGAGATTGACATTGGAGTCAGTAAACTGGGAGAGGAAGGCCCACCCTCAGTGTGGGTGGGCACCATCCAGTTGACTGCCAGACGGCTAGAACAAAACAGGCAAAAGGTAGAATAAATTGACTTGCTGGGTCTTCTGGCTCTTTCTTCTTTCTATGCTGGACGCTTGCTTACACTCCTCCTGCCCTTGGAAATCAGACTCCAGGTTCTTTGGCCTTCGGACTCTGAGGCTTGCACTAGTGGCTTCCCAAGGGCTTCCAGGCTTTTAGCCATAGACTGAAAGCCTAATATGGATTGGATCTATGTCCCTATCCAAAACTCATGTTGAACTGTAATCCCCAGTGCTGAAAGTGGGGCCTGGTGGGAGGTGATTTGATCATGGAGGGCATTTCATGTGGTTTGACACCATCTTCCTCTTTGTGCTACCATTGCAATAGTGAGTTCTTGTGAGATCTGGTTGTTTAAACATGTGTGGCACCTACCCCCACCCACTTCCTCCTGTTCTGGCCATGTGAAGTGCCTGCTCTTACTTCACCTTCCTTCATGATTTTAAGTTTCCTAAGGCCTCCCTAGAAGTCAGAGAGATGCTGGCATTATGCTTCCGGCACACCCTGCAGAACTGTGAGCCAATTAAACCTCTTTTCTTTATAAATTACCCAGTGTTAGATATTTCTTTATAGCAATGTGAGAATGGACTAATACAAGGCTGTAATACTGTTGGCTTCCCTGGTTCAGAGACTTTTGGATTTTAACTGAGCGACTACCAGCTTTTCTCTTCCCTGGTTTGCAGAGAGCCTATTGTGGAACTTAACTTTACAATTGTATGAGCCGGTTCTCCCTAATAAACTCCCTTTTATATATACACAGATCCTATTAGTTCTGTTTCTCTGTAGAACCCTAATACAATTACTAACACATTTTACACCTCTGCACTCCCTCTTTGTATTCTGCCCATCTTGTCAAGCTGATAATAAAGCCTGAGTGCCCCCTCCTTTTGCACCAGCTGGAAGTTCAAACCACAAGTGGGTACTCCAACCCCAGCCCTATCCTTTAACAATCATGGTACCCCAAGCCAGTCATCTATTCCAGTTCTCTGAAGCTGCATTTGAACCAGCTAGAGAAGTCTACCCTGCTTTCTCCATAAAGCCTCATTATGTAATAAACATTTTCAGGCCATTTGAGTGTATGGCATCATCATTATCAATATCCAAACCAAACCTCAGGTAGACTTTAGACAAGTTCCAGTACAGTGGGCAAAAGTTAAAATTACCAAAAAAAAGGTATGAAGGTGAATATATGAAATTTCTAGTCAGTCTGCCAAAAGAAAACAATACTCATTTTGTGTGTTCATTCTTGAGAAAATGTATGAAGATTAGTATTTTCAGATTAATGTCACTAATACGAAAAAGACATTATTACAGTATTTTTACCCTTAACCTCATACCTTTTTACATCTTATTTTTCATATTACTATATTGGTATACTTCATATAAATGAAAGTGCATGCCATGGGTCTTATTTGGCATACACACAAAAAGGCACATAGAAATATAATAATATGGTGGCCAGGCACAGTGACTCATGCCTGTATTCCCAGCACTTTGGGAGGCTAAGGCGGGTAGATCACCTGAGGCCATGAGTTCGAGACCAGCCTGCCCAACATGGTGAGAACCCTAATGGTGCATTATTATTGTCTGCTATAAAGTATCTTCCTGTGGTGGGATAAAACAGTGTTGGTAGACATAACATGATTCATTCATACTTAAGAAAATTTAAACTTTATTACATAAAACATGAGAACTATGCACATTCTAAATCAAAGTTGCACATTATATTACCAACAGTTAAATGTGAATTCTATTCAAGAACATGCTATATTGGCAGTTTTCATTAAACTCTCTACTCTGATATAACTGTTCTCTCTTCCATTTCAAAAATAAGACTATAGTTCATCAATTTTTGCTAAACAACAGCTATTGCTATTCAGTTGAGGAGGTGGCCATCATTTCCCCTGGATGATTTCTATGGCATAATCAGTCCCTAAGAACCCATTACTCTTTTCCATAAAAATCCTATTTTCCTAAGGCCATGGCATGCTCTATTTTGAGGTTATTTGGTAGAGCATAGAAGCACTAAGCCATTCTGTAAGGAAAAGGATACATTGAACACAATAAGTATAATGACTGGCATCATAGTTTTACATTATTCTCTGCTCACCTCCATGCCATGAAAAGATTTCAAAGTTCAGGCTAAAGTCATAAAGAGTAAAGAAGCCTTTTCAAAAAACCTCCCAAATAATTTTTTAAAAAATTATAAGCTGAATATAACTGATCATTTCCACATGCCGTTGAACCTTTGGTACACATCATGTCATGAGGATAAACATATTTTGTTGTATAATATTTCTTCAGCATGCAATGTCATACATTAATATAAGAGAACCAGAGACTGAGTTATTTCTTGCATAAGTCTTCTGATGTACTCTAGTAATATTCCTTGAGTTATAGCCTCAGCATACAAAATCTATCTGTGAGGTATTTTCAAAGATATATCTTTTGATGTCTAGTGATGTGGCAGGCCTCGACAAAGCCTGTGTCTTGTACACTACATTTACATGGTTTCTCTTTACTATGGACTCTGATGTTGATTAACGCTCATGATGAAAAGTTTGCCATACTCGGTTTGTAATGACTGTCTCATGAATTAATTATCTGATGCGGTGTAAGTTGTGATTTGTGACTAAAGACCTTACCACATACATGGCATTTGTAATGTTTCTCTTCAGTATGGATTCTGTGATGATATGCAAGATGTGAAATCTGAGTGAAGACCTTACCACACTCATTATATTTGTAAGGTTTCTCTCCAGAATGGACTCTGTAATAACTTGTAAGGTGGAACTTTTGTCTAAAAACCTAGTCTCACTCACTACATTTTTAAGGTTTCTGTGCATTATGGATTATTTTATGAAAGGCAAGGCTTGAATGCACACTAAATGCTTAGCTATATTAATTACATTTGTAAGATTTCTCTCCAGTATGAACTATCTGATGTTTTGCAAGGTGTGAAATTTGATTAAAGGCTCTGCCACATTCGTTACATTTATGTCTCTCTCCAGTATGAATTCTCTGATGAATTGTTAAGGAGAACTTGTTCCTGAAGTCCTTATCACATTCCTTACATGTATAAGGTTTCCTTCCAATGTGGATTAACAGATGGGCAGTGAGGCTTGAATGCCCACCAAATTCTTTGGCACATTTATTGCATTTGTAAAGTTTCTCTCCTGTATGAATTCTCCAACATTGTGCTAGGTATGAATAGCTACTATAGACCTTGCCACATTCATTACATCTATAAGGTTTCTCTTCCATATGAATTATCCAGTGTTCTGTAAAGTGTGAATTGTGACTAAAGATCTTACCACATTCATTACTTTTGTAAGGTTTCTCTCCAGTATGAGTTCTCCAATGTCGTGCAAGGTGTGCAATTTGATTGAAGACCTTGCCACATTCATTACATTTGTAAGGCCTCTCTCCAGTATGAATTCTCTGATGATTGCTTAGGGATAAACTATGCCTGAAGACCTTGCCACGTTCATGACATTTGTAAGGTTTCTTTCCACTATGAATTAGAAGATGGGCAATAAGGCCTGAATAGTCACTAAATGCTTTGCCACATTCAATATATTTGTAACACTTCTCTCCAGTATGAATTCTTCGATGTCATACAAGGTATGAAAGTTGACTAAAAACTTTGCCACATTCATTACATTTGTAAGGCTTTTCTCTGGTATGAATTATCCAATGTTCTATAAAGTGTGAACTGTGAGTAAAGACCTTGTAACATTCATTACATTTGTAAGGTTTCTCTCCAGTAAGAAATAACTCAGTCTCGGGCTAAAAACTTTGCCACATTCATTACATTTGTAAGGCTTCTCTCCAGTATGAATTATCCAATGTTCTGCAAGGTGTGAACTCTGAGTAAAGACCTTGTAACATTCATTACATTTGTAAGGTTTCTCTCCAGTATGAATTCTCTGATGTCATGCAAGGTATGAATTATTCCTGAAGACTTTACCACACTCATTACATTTGTAAGGTTTCTCTCCAGTATGAATTCTCTGATGATTGATAAGGGATAACTCATACCTGAAGACTTTGCCAAATTTTTTTACATTTGTAAGGTTCTCTCCAGTATGAATTACAAGATGGGCAGTGAGGTCTAACCACTCGTTAAATATTTTGCCACATTCATTATGTTTCTGAGACTTTCTCCAGTATGAATTCTTCGATGTTGTGCAAGGTTTGAATTGCAACTAAAGAACTTGCCGCATTCATTACATTTGTAAGGTTTCTGTCCTGTATTCACTCACTAATACTCTGTAAGGTGTGAATTGCGACTAAAGACTTTGCCACATTCCATACATTTGTAAGGTTTCTCTCCAGTATGAATTCTCAGATGTTCTGCAAGATGTGAATTGCGATTAAAGACCTTGCACATTCATTACGTTTGTAAGATTTCTCTCCTATATGAATTCTGTGATGTTGTACAATGTATGAATTTTTCCTAAAGACTTTACCACACTCATTACATTTGTAAAGTTTATCTGGATCCAGGATTATGTCATGGTTACCAAGGCTTGAAGACACTCTAAAGACTTTGCCATGCTCATTACATTCATAAGATTTTTCCCTAATGTGTGTTTTCTGTTCTTGTGGGAGCAATGGAGAATCAAAAAAATCACCACTTACATTTATTAACGTGAGTTTTCACACCAGAAGAAATTTTTTCTTTCTTTTCTTTCTTTCTTTTTTTTTTTTTTTTGAGACAGAGTCTTTCTCTGTCGCCCAGGCTGGAGTGCAGTGGAGTGCAGTGATCTCTGCTCACTGCAACCTCCACCTCCTGGGTTCAAGCAGTTCTCCTGCCTCAGCCTCCTGAGTAGCTGAGATTACAGGCGCCAGCCACCACGCCCAGCTAATTTTTTTGTATTTTTAGTAGAGACGGGGTTTCACCATGTTGGTCAGGCTGGTCTCGAACCTCTGATCTCATGATCCACCCGCCTCGGCATCTCAAAGTGCTGGGATTATAGGCGTGAGCCACCGCGCCTGGCTGAGTGCAGCCAATTAATATCCCCTAATAGCTGTTGAAAATAATTTGAAGTCTGTAACCTGTCTTTACAGAGAACTACTTTCTGAGGCTGTACACTTCTTTCAGTAACAATAGTGCCTGCGTAATGGTATGGGGAAATTGTACCTTTTCTGGAGCTATTTTGAGATTCCATTTAGTTAAAGCCTGCTTTGTTCCTCGGAATAACTCATGTGAGATTTGATCTGTAGGAGCGACCAAAAGAATGTCATCCATATAATGAATGATGTAAGCAGTAGGAAACATATTCCAAGGCTCCTTTCATGCCCTTCCTACAAAATGCTGACATAGTGTAGGACTGTTAAGTATGCCTTGAGGTAAAACTTTCCATTGATAGCGAGAAACAGGTTCTCTTTGATTAATAGAAGGCACAGAGAAAGCAAATTGAGGCTTATCCTTCTTATGTAAGGGTATAGTAAAAAAAAAAAACAATCCTTAAGATCTATTACTACAAGAGGCCAGTATCTTGGAATGGCTGCTGGGGCTGGCAGACCTTGCTGTAATGCACCCATTGGTTTAATTTGTGCATTAACAGCTCTCAAATCATGCCACAGTCACCATCTTCCGGGCTTTTTTGAGATAACAAACACTGGTGAATTCCAGCTGACATCACTATATGTCCTGCATCCAATTGCTCTTTTACTAGCTGCTGAAGTTGAGTTTGTTTCTCCTGTGTTAGGGGCCATTGATCGACCCATACAGGTGTTTTGCTGAGCCATTCTAATGGTAAGGCAGTTGGCAGAGGAGAAATATCAATGACCCCCATCAGAAATCCTGATGTCCTAGCCCTTTTCTATCTGTTTTTCCAGTTTCTCATATCGGGTTAGGAGTTCCTTGTAGGAATTTCCCTAAACTTTTCCCACTCTGATATCCCATATTCTTCAACATTTTAAATCCTGGGTTATCAAATTTTCACTTGTAAGTCTGCTATCCCATGCCGTAAGTCTCAGCCCCATAAATTGATAGCTATATTTGCAACATAGAGCTGAAAAGTATATGACTGTCCACCCAGACCAAGACAAAGTAAAATCTCAGCACTCTGTCAAACACTTTGAACTGCTCCTACTCCCACTAGGGATGTGGAGGTTAGTCTGAGAGGCCATGGTAGGGGCCGGTCCTTACTGGTTATTACTGACACATCAGCTCCTGTGTCCATTAGCCCATAAAATTTCTTTTCTTTAATTTGTATTACACAGGTAGGTCTATTAGAGTTTATGGGTTGGGATAGATTTCCCATGTAGTTGTGCTCCCAAACCCTTTGTTCCCTCATTTCTCTTTTCATGGAGAAGGGTGTAATTTGCAGAGAATAAGCAACAATTGAGCAATATATTCTCCTGGTTCAAAAACCTGAAGATCTTGTGACATTAAAACTACTTGAATTTCTCCTTCATAATTGGAGTCAACTACTCCAGGGACTACAGTGATGCCTCACAAGTTAAGATGGCTCTTGCCCAAAATTAGTCCCATGTATCCTGCTGGTAAAGGTCTCTAAATGCCAGGGGGAGCTTTGGTAGGTTTGTCTCCTCCAACTAATATAATTCTTTCTCTGGCAGGGAGATCTTATCCTGGACTTCCTGGTGTTCCTGGGGTGAGGGAATCAATGTTTCTTCTGGGACCCACCCCTGAAGTGTGGTTGTGGTCTGAAATATGAATGCCCTTATTGTTTGAGGGGCCTGGGTCCAGGCCCCCTTCTCATTTCCTGATGGGGGTACGATTCTGATGAAATTTTGAGTGGCACTGATTAGCCCAGTGATTTTCTTTGTTACAGTGAGGACAGAGTCCTGGCATTTTTTCCTGGTAGTAGTGGGGAACCGCATTGTAAGGTCCTTTCTCTCTTGAGATCTCACTGCATTCCTTTTTAAAATGTCCAGTTATTTCCACAGTTATAACATTTTCCCATTTTAGGGTTTTTTTTTTTTTTCCATTTTAGGGTTTGACCATTGGCTCTTTTTAGACTTATCAACTGCCAAATTAGCCATTTCTTGTGCTAACATTGTGGAGCAATGCAGCTCAATTCCCACATCTTGACAAGCTCTGAGAAAATTTCCCAAGTTTTTGTACATTTCACAGGTGCCAGTGCATGTTTACAATCTGCATTTGCATTCTGAAAAGCTAGGGTTAAGGTTAACATTTCTGCAGCAGTGGTGTGAGGAATCTGACACTTGACTGCCTCTTGAGATCCTGCAAGAAATTGTGCATAAGGTTCCTGAGACCCTTGCACAATATTTAAAAAGGATTGTACTGGGACTCCCTCTTCTGTAATTGTGGCCCAGGCATGTTTAGTGGCCAGTGCACACTGCTGATAAGCAGCGTCTGGGAGTGCCATTTGATGTTCCAGGTCTGAATAAGGGCCATGACCTAACAGCATATCCTCTGTAGTGTCTCTGTGTCCAGCAGCACGGTTCTGTCTAGCTTGGTCTGCACACATTTCTTGCCAATTTAAATTCCATGTCAGGTATACACTAGCAGACAAACAAGTGCAAGCCAAATGCTTTACATCAAAGGGTAGAAGGTGCATAGCACCAAATACAGATTCTAGCAATCCTAAAGTGAATGGGCTCTGTATTCCATTATTAAGTACACTAGCTCTTAATTCCTTCAACAACTTAAACTCTAGTGGGGTGTGTTGATGAATAAGCTGCTGTGGGCTATTTGTATCGGGCCTTATGGAGATAGGAAAAGCACAGGGTCCTAAGAGCTCTCCAGCTATGGCAGCAGAGCATAAAATTCTCTCTATTGGGGTTTCTATTTCTGCTACCGAAGGAGGCGGTACAGATGTTTCTGCAATTGGAGGGGGCGGTACAGGCCAATTTTTATACTCCCTCTCCTGTTTTTTATTTTCAACTGGTGCTGTGGGTGGGACAACAGATTCTTTCAGATTTTTAGACTCAGAACATGACTCCTTCTGTCCAGCAGAATAAGAAGGAGATAATGGCAGAAGGACAGTATGAACAAAACTCCAAGTGGAGAAAACAGATGATCAACTTTAAGGCCTGCTTGATGAGCCCATTTTATTTTATTTTATTTTTTATTTATTTTTTGAGACGGAGTCTTGCTCTGTCTCCCAGGCTGGAGTGCAGTGGCATGATCTCAGCTCACTGCAACCTCTGCCTCCCGGGTTCAAGCAATTCTCCTGCTTCAGCCTCCCATGTAGCTGGGACTACAGGTGCCGGCCACCAGTCAAGGCTAATTTTTGTATTTTTAGTAGAGACAGGGCTTCACCATATTTTTCAGGCTGGTCTCGAACTCCCGACCTCAGGTGATCTGCCCGCCTCAGCCTCCCAAAGTGCTGGGATTACAGGCATGAGCCACCGCGCCCGGCTATTGATGAGCCCATTTTAATCCTTCTCCTGCTCTGTCCCAATTTTTCAAATCAAGAGTGCCTGTCTGTGGAAACCATGGGTTATGCATGGTAATCTCATGCAGAAGCTTAGTTAATGTCTGACAACTAACCTGAGCCACAGATTGTTTAAGTAAAACTTCAAGCAACTTCACATAAAGTTTTTCTTCAATAAACAAATTGTGCCCCATGTTAACCTGATTCAGAAATTTCTCTTTCCCAAGGCCGGGCGCAGTGGCTCACGCCTGTAATCCCAGCACTTTGGGAGGCCGAGGCGGGCAGATCATGAGGTCAGGAGATCAAGACCATCCTGGCTAATGCGGTGAAACCCCATCTCTACTAAAAATAGCAAAAATTAGACGGGTGTGGTGGCGGGCGCCCGAAGTCCCACCTACTTGGGAGGCTGAGGCAGGAGAATGGTGAGAACCTGAGAGTCAGAGCTTGCAGTGAGCGGAGATTGTGCCATTGCACTCCAGCCTGGGAGACTGGGAGACAGAGCGAGACTCCATCTCAAAAAAAAAAAAAAAAAAAAGGAAAAAAGAAACTTCTCGTTCCCAGTACTTTTTTGAAGCACTGACCATAGAGATTCCATTATGGTTTTGACATTTTGGGAAACCAGTTTTACCATTGTGTCAGTAAAACAGTAAGATAGTTTGAGAGCATATGATCTAAATAAAGATATTTGAAGGGTTAGTTGGAATTCTAAAAGTAGGTAATGGCCAAATAGCATTCTCATTCCTTACCAGACAAAAACTTCTTTGTCAAAGGAATTAGAAAATGTGAAAATATTTTTTCCAGATAAAGCTCATATGCCACTTCCAATTGACTAATGAAATATAATAGACAGACTGAAAAAGTGGATTATGATTTTTTTATCTGTATTCATTTATTTATTTATTGACGCAGTCTCGCTCTGTCTCCCAGGCTGGATTGCAGTGGCACAATCTTGGCTCACTGCAAGCTCCGCCTCCCGGGTTCATGCCATTCTCCTGCCTCAGCCTCCCGAGTAGCTGGGACTACAGGTGCCTGCCACCATGCCCGGCAAATTTTTTGTATTTTTAGTAGAGACGGGGTTTCACCGTGTTAGCCAGGATGGTCTTGATCTGACCTCGTGATCCACCTGCTTCGGCCTACCAAAGTGCTGGGATTACAGGCGTGAGCCACCGTGCCCAGTCGATTATGAATCTTAAAATGCTTCCTGTAAATATTATGTAGCTAAAGATTGATTTCCAGCATCTGACATAATGGTAGGTTTCTTGTTAACCAGTTTCTCTTCTTTCTGGGTAATTGCAAGTGAATATGTGCACATACTGACCGAAATAAAATCAGGGCCTGAACTTAGTTGTTTACTGAAAATTCCTGGGCAAATAGTCCATAAAAGCTGTTTATCTCTGAATGCACTATGGCTGGTTAAATACAGAGAACATCCTTCTTCCAGCTGTAAAGGATGAAGCATATTAAACATTACCCAGGCAGATGAAGCTAAATAACCATACAGCAGCTCTGTCTGACAATGTTGTGCTGGATATTGCAGTTTACTTTTCAAGGTGCAGATGTAAGGATTTAAAAAAAAAAAAAAATTTTTGGCCGGGCACAGTGGCTCATGCCTATAATCCCAGCACTTTAAGAGGCCGAGGCAGGTGGATCACAAGGTCAGGAGTTCAAGACGAGCGTGGCCAAGATGGTGAAACCCCGTCTCTACCAAAAATAACAAAAATTAGCCGGGCATGGTGGCACTTGCCTATAATCCCAGCTACTCGGGTGGCTGAGGCAGAGAGTTGC
This sequence comes from Homo sapiens, assembly GCF_000001405.40. Classification (NCBI taxonomy): domain Eukaryota; kingdom Metazoa; phylum Chordata; class Mammalia; order Primates; family Hominidae; genus Homo; species Homo sapiens. The sequence continues at coordinate 52,480,813 of NC_000019.10, forward strand.
TTGAACCTGGGAGGCAGAGGTTGCAATGAGCCGTGATCACGCCACCGCACCCCAGTCTGGGTGACAGAGTGAGACTCCATCTCAAAAGATAATAATAATAATAATAATAATAATAATAATAATAATAATAATAATTTGGCACCAAATAAATATGAGTAGCATCCTTTGGCCTATGAAATAGAGTCAGGATTTGCAGGGAATTGAGTTTGAGAAATGAATGAATAAAGGCACCGTGGTGCCTGACCCCCTCATTCATGTGTGTGACTCTGAGCACTCACAGGCATGTCCAGCAACTCAGCCCAGGGCAGGTGGGTTAGCCTGGGGTTATACCTTGAACCTTATATTACTCTCAGTACCTCTTTAGGGCACTGACCTTATATCGGCTGCGGCAGACTCCTCCTGGTGTCCCCATTCATCTGATCAATTTCACTTCTTCTGCTCCAGCAGACCTTCTTCCTTCATGTCCTCCTATCCCTGTGTATGGGTGCCATGTTGCCGTGGACCCTGTTGGACTGAACAAAGGAGAAGGAACGCGGGAATTAAAGACAAAAGAATATGTTTGGAAGAAGTGGTCAGGGGACTCCTTGCTTCTGGTGAACAAGGGCCCTGAGCATCTAGCACCTTTCACATTGGATAAGATTAGTTGTGACATGTTGACTTCTGTGTATATAATATAATAATTAAAACTTGTTTCAAATTATACATATGAGATTGAGAATTTTAAACTTCCTATTTATAAGACATGTACAATCTATAAATCTTGGCATCAGAGGTTAGCTTCCACTTGTAATCCCTATTCAGCCCAAGGACAGTGACTTATGCAGTTGTGTGTCACTCTCTTCCCTTTTCCCAGAGTCGGGTAGGAAATGGGGAAGTGAAGTGGGAGAAAAAAATCACTTTCTGTTATTACATAATACTTTAAATTAAATTAATTCTTTAAGACAGGCCTGCTCTATCTCCCAGGCTGGAGTGCAGTGGTGTAACTTCCTCTAACTGCAGCCTTGACCTGCTAGGCTCAAGCAATCCTCCTACTTCAGCCTCCCGAGTAGCTGGGACCACAGGTGTGAACCACCAAGACCAGCTAGGTTTTGTATTCTTTTTGTAGAAATGGGGTTTCACTATGTTTCCCAGGCTGGTCTCAAAATCCTGGGCTCAAAGGATCCTCCTGCCTTGGCCTCCAAAATTACTGGTATTACAGGGATGAGCCACCACATCTGGCCTACATAGAACTTTTTTTTGAGAGAGAGTTTTGCTCTTGTTGTCCAGGCTGGAGTGCAATGGTATGATCTCAGCTCGCCACAACCTCTGTTTCCCAGCTTCAAGCAATTCCACTGCCTCAGCCTCCGGAGTAGCTGGGATTACAGGCATGCACCACAACGCCCGGCTAATTTTGTGTCTTTAGTAGAGACGGGGTTTCTTCATGTTGGTCTAGACTGGTCTCTAATTCCCGACCTCAGGTGATCTCCCCACCTGGGCCTCCCAAAGTGCTGGGATTACAGGCGTAAGCCACCACGCCCAGCCCATAGTAGATTTTAAAATGGACATCAGGACGCGGTGGCTCACGCCAGTAATCCTAGCACTTTGGGAGGCCGAGGTACGTGGATCACGAGGTCAGGGGTTCGAGACCAGCGTGGCCAACACAGTGAAACCCCATCTCTACTAAAAAAATACAAAACTTAGCCGGGCGTGGTGGCAGACGCCTGTAATCCCACCTACTCGGGAGGCTGAGGCAGGACAGTTGCTTGAACCTGGGAGGCACAGGTTGCAGTGAGCCAAGGTTGCGCCACTGCACACCAGCCTGGGCAACAGAGCTAGACTGCATTGAAAAAAAAATTTTAAAAAAGGAACATCAAAGCCGGGCGTAGTGGCTCATGCCTGTAATCCCAGCACTTAGGGAGCAAATCACTGAAGGTCAGGAGTTCAAGACCAGCCTGGCCTATATGGTAAAACCCTGTCTCTACCAAAAGTACAAAAATTAGCGGGGTGTGGTGGTACATGCCTCTAATTTCAGCTACTTCGGAGGCTGAGGCAGGAGAATTACTTGGACCTGGCTGGGAGGCAGAGGTTGCAGTGAGCCATGATGGCACTACCACACTGCAGCCTGGGTGACAGAGTGAGACTCTGTCTCCCAAAAAAAAAAAAAAAAAAATAGCCAAGGATGGTGGCATGCATCTGTAGTCCCATCTACTTGGGAGGCTGAGGCAGGAGAATCATGCCACTACATTCCAGCCTGAGTGATAGAGTGTGACTTGGTCTCAAAAAACAGAAAAAGAAATAGCAATCAGCTCTTTAATGTCTCCCTTTATATGAGCAGTAGTCCTGGCCGTGCGCGGTGGCTCACACTTGTAATCCCAGCACTTTGGAAGGCTGATGCAGGCAAATCACCTGAAGTTGGTGGTTCGAGACCAGCCTGACCAACATGGAGAAACCCTGTCTCTACTAAAACTACAAAATTAGCTGGGTGTGGTGGCGCATGCCTGTAATCCCAGCAACTCAGGAGGCTGAGGCAGGAGAATTGCTTGAACCCGGGAAGCAAAGGTTGTGGTGAGCCAAGATCACGCCATTGCACTCCAGCCTCGGCAACAAGAGGGAAACTCCGTCTCAAAAAATACGTAAATAAATAATAAAAATAAAAGCACGAGTCCTATTCACGTGTAGTCAACACGCATGACCAAATTCTCTCACAGGCACCATCTGCAGGAACATCCTATTGGACAATAAGAACTCTGAACATCCCTTTTGGCCAATATAAACATTCAGACCAGGGAGCCTGCATCAGGTTTTTGATGTTTTTATTGTGCAGTTTGTTTTATACAATGTTTTCTGTGATCTCAGTTTATAAATTTTCCCAGTACACATTCTATGTTTTATATTTTACGCACAGTTAACTAGGTAACTAAGGGCAATGCATATATATAAAATTGCTCTATTGCCTGGTGTTATGTAACTGTACTTGTGACATCATAATTGCACCCTCCGACACTGTTAGTCAGTTCTTATTGCTTTTAATGCTGTGTATTCACTTGAACTCATATGAAGGGGGTGGCCTGCCCCTCCACACTTGTGGGCGTTTCTCATCAGGTGGAACGAGAGACTTGAGAAAATAAAGAGACACAGAGACAAAGTATAGAGAAAGAAAAGCGGGCCCAGGGAACCGACGCTCAGCATACGGAGGACCCACGCTGGCTCCAGTCTCTGAGTCCCCTTAGTATTTATTAATCATTATTGGGCGTTTCTCAGAGAGGGGAATGTGGCAGGACAATAGGGTAATAGTAGAGAGGTCAGCAGGAAAACTTGTGAACAAATGTCTCTGCATCATAAACAAGGTAAAGGAAAAAGTGCTGTGCTTTTGATGTGCATATACATAAACACCTCAATGCCTTAAAGAGCAGTATTGCTGCCAGCATGTCTCACCTCCAGCCCTAAGGCGGTTTTCCCCTATCTCAGTAGATGGTATATACAATTGGGCTTTACACCCAGACATTCCTTTGCCAGGGACGAGTGGGAGACAGATGCCTTCCTCTTATCTCAACTGCAAAGAGGCCTTCCTTCCTCTTTCACTAATCCTCCTCAGCACAGACCCTTTACGGGTGTCGGGCTAGGGGATGGTCAGGTCTTTCCCTTCCCACGAGGCCATATTTCAGAATATCACATGGGGGAGAAACTTTGGACAATACCTGGCTTTCCTAGGCAGAGGTCCCTGCAGACTTCCACAGTGTATTGTGTCTCTGGGTGTCAGGCCTCTGAGCCCAAGCTAAGCCATCGTATACCCTGTGACCTGCACATACACATCCAGATGGCCGGTTCCTGCCTTAACTGATGACATTCCACCACAAAAGAAGTGAAAATGGCCTGTTCCTGCCTTAACTGATGACATTGTCTTGTGAAATTCCTTCTCCTGGCTCATCCTGGCTCAAAAGCTCCCCCACTGAGTACCTTGTGACCCCCACTCTGCCCGCCAGAGAACAACCCCCCTTTGACTGTAATTTTCCTTTACCTACCCAAATCCTATAAAACGGCCCCACCCCTATCTCCCTTCACTGACTCTCTTTTTGGACTCAGCCCGCCTGCACCCAGGTGAAATAAACAGCCATGTTGCTCCAACAAAGCCTGTTTGGTGGTCTCTTCACAAAATTTCATGCGCATCCATGTGAAGAGACCACCAAACAGACTTTGTGTGAGCAACATGGCTGTTTATTTCACCTGGGTGCAGGCGGGCTGAGTCCAAAAAGAGAGTCGGACTTTGAATGGAAGGCGAGTCTGGTTTCCTAAGCAGTTCCTAGCTTGACTTTTCCCTTTTGTGTAGTGATCTGGTGGCCCCAAATTTATTTTCCTTTCACACAGCCCAACCCTCACACCACCTCTGGTCTATCTTGCTTGTTCTGTGTGATTACTTTTGTGCTTTTGTCATCCACTCTGGATCCTAGTAAGAACAAGGCCCCAAGGGGAGGGCGGAGCCAGAACGTGGGGCTGTGCTGGGCTCGCCCCCTCTGAGTGGAGCTCAACCCTGGCTTCACATTAGAGTGCAGAGCATTTTGCAAATAGAGCTTTTGTGCCGCTTTAGCAGGGATTCTTATTCTGATGGGATGGAACCCACCCTCAGTAATACCTGCAGTGGCGCAGGTGCTTGTCATCTGTGCGCAGCATTGAGCATCGAAGCTCTGTGTCCTCCATTTCTGAGGGCTGAGCTCAGCCTGTGATCCACAGAGAGTTGAGGGGCTGTCCTGTAGGGAAAGGAAAGAGAGATCAGACTGTTACTGTGTCTACGTAGAAAGAAGTAGACATAAGAGACTTCCTTTTGTTCTGTACTAAGAAAAATTCTTCTGCCTTGAGATGCTGTTAATCTGTAACCATACCCCCAACCCTGTGCTCCCAGAAATGTGCTGTGTTGACTCAAGGTTTAATGGATTTAGGGCTATGCAGGTTGTGCTTTGTTAAGCAAATGCTTGAAGGCAGTATGCTTGTTAAAAGTCATCACCACTCCCTATTCTCAAGTACCCGGGGACACAAAACACTGTGGAAGGCTGCAAGGACCTCTGCCTAGGAAAGCCAGGTATTGTCCAAGGTTTCTCCCCATGTGACAGTCTGAAATATGGCCTCGTGGGAAGGGAAAGACCCGACCATCCCCCAGCCCGACACCCATAAATGGTCTGTGCTGTGGAGGATTAGTGAAAGAGGAAGGCCTCTTTGCAGTTGAGATAAGAGGAAGGCATCTGTCTCCTGCTCATCCCTGGGCAATGGAATGTCTCCATGTAAAACCCGATTGTATGTTCTATTCACTGAGATAGGAGAAAACGGCCTTAGGGCTGGAGGTGAGACATGCGGGCAGCAATACTGCTCTTTAAGGCATTGAGGTGTTTATGTATATGCACATCAAAGGCACAGCACTTTTTTCTTTACCTTGTTTATGATGCAGAGACATTTGTTCACAAGTTTTCCTGCTGACCCTTCCCCACTATTACCCTATTGTTCTGCCACATCCCCCTCTCTGAGATGGTAGAGATAGTGATCAATAAATACTGAGGGAACTCAGAGACCAGTGCCGTCGTGGGTCCTCCGTATGCTGAGCGCCGGTCCCCTGGGCCCACTGTTCTTTCTCTATACTTTGTCTCTTTCTTTTGTCAAGAGATGGCAAAAGTGAAAAACAAAACACAGAAAAAAGTAAGAAAGCAGGAGGACAAAAGGAACTGGAGAAATGTAGAGAAAAGCTAGATATACAGAGACATGAAGGACGGCAAGGTAGGGAGAGTGGCAGCGAAGAGGGAGGCTCATCAGAGTGAGGGAGAGAGGGAAGGATTTGGAGCCAGGGCAGACAGAGCAGAGTGGTGCTTGTGTCAAGGAGAACAGAGGGAGAAACACAGCAGGGAGGACACCTGGGGATCTGGGGTGCCACAGGGTCGGGACACGGGAGTGTATCAGGGAAGAGAGAATTTAACAGGGAGAACAGAGGAGGCACAGAGATGGGAGAAGAGGCAGAAATAGACAGAGATTGAGGATGATTGAAATATTGGGGAGAAGGAGCAATAAGAGGTTAAATAAGTTGTGAGGATGGAGCAGAAGAGGTGGAAGAGAAGGAATAGAGAGGGAAGAAAGGGATAAACGGCAGAAGAGGAGAGGGGCACAAAATGAAGAGCAGAATCCCAGGAAGAAAGAAAAGAAAACAAGAGCTAGAGAGAGAAGGGGAGAATGAGAGAGATATACAGAATTAGGGAGGGAAGTGCAGTAATGAAGACAGAGGGGCTGGGTGCAGTGGCTCAAGTCTGTAATCTCCACACTTCAGGAGAATGAGGCAAGTGGATTGCTTGAGTCCAGGATTTCGAGACCAGCCTGGGCAACATAGTGAGAACACCATCTCTGCCAAAAAAAAAATAATAATAATAAGTAAATAAACCTGTACTCCCAGCTGCTCTGGTGGCCAAGCTGGGAGGATGACTTGAGCCCAGGAGGTCCAGGCTGCACTGAGCTGAGATCATGCCACTATACTGCAGCCTGGTCAACAGGGCGAGAGACTTTGGGTTTAGATGAGTGGGTGAGTTCATTGGATATGATTAGTTGTGACATGTTGACTTCCATGTATATAATCTAATAACTAAAAACTTGTTTATACACATCAGATTGAGAATTTTAAAATTGGTGTCTATAAGACGTACATTCTATAAATCTTGGCATCAGAGGTTATGTTCCACTTGGATTCCCTATTCAGCCAGAGGGAAGTGACTTATTCAGTTGTGAATCACTGTCTTCCCTTTTCCTAGGATGAGGAGGGCAAGGGGTAGTGAAGTGGGAAAAAAGTCACCGTCTGTTATTACATAATACTTTTAATTAAATAATATTTTGAGACAGGGTACGGCTCTATCACCCAGGCTGGAGTGCAGTGCGTGATCTCCTCTAACTGCAGCCTTGACCTCTTGGGCTCAAGCGATCCTCCTACCTCAGCCTTCTGAGTAGCTGGGACCACAGCCATGAGCCACCAAGCCCGGCTAGTTTTCGTATTTTTTTCTTTTTGTAGAAACTTGGTTTCACTATGTTTCCCAGGCTGGTCTCAAAATCCTGGGCTGAAAGGATCCTCCTGCCTTGGCCTCCCAAATTACTGGGATTACAGATTACAGGGATGGCCCGTGGCATCTGGCCTACATAGCCCCCCCCCCTTTTTTTTTTTGAGAGGGAGTTTTACTCTTGTTGCCCAGGCTGGAGTGCGATGGCATGATGTCAGCTCACCACAAACTCCGCTTGTCGGCTTCAAGCAATTCTACTGCCTCAGCCTCAGTAGCTGGGATTACAGGCTTGCACCACCCCACCCAGCTAATTTTGTGTTTTTAGTAGAGACGAGGTTTCATCATGTTGGTCCAGGCTGGTCTCTAACTCCCATCCTCAAGTGATCCGCTGCCTGGGCCTCCCAAAGTGCTGGGATTACAGGCATGAGCCACCATGCCCAGCCCATAGTAGTTTTTAAAAGGGACATTAGGCTGCGGTGGCTCACACCTGTAATCCCAGCACTTTGGGAGACAGAGGTGGGTGGATCACGAGGTCAGGAGTTCGAGACAAGCCTGGCCAACACAGTGAAACTCAATCTCTACTAAAAAAATACCAAAATTTCCATCCTGGCTAACACGGTGAAACCCAGTCTCTACTAAAAAATACAAAAAATTAGCCGGGCGTGGTGGCGGGCTCCTGTAGTCCCAGCTACTCAGGAGGCTGAGGCAGGAGAATGGCGTGAACCCGGTAGGCGGAGCTTGCAGTGAGCCGAGATTGCGCCACTGCACTCCAGCCTGGGCGACAGAGCAAGACTCCATCTCAAAACAAACAAACAAAAATACCAAAATTAGCCAGGCGTGGTGGCAGACTCCTGTAATCCCAGCTACTCGGGAGGCTGAGGCAGGAAAATTGCTTGAACCCAGGAGGCAGAGGTTGCAGTGAGCCGAGATTGCGTCACTGCACACCAGCCTGGGTAACAGATTTAGACGCCGTCTGAAAAAAAAAAAAATGAAGAAAAAGTAAGGAATATCAAAGCTGGGCATGGTGGCTCATGCCTGTAATCCCAGCACTTTGGGAGCAAATCACTGAAGGTCATGAGTTGGAGACTACCTGCCTGGCCTACATGGTGAAACCCCGTCTCTACCAAAAATACAAAAATTAGCTGGCCATGTTTACACACGCCTCTAATTTCAGCTACTCCAGAGGCTGAGGCAGGAGAATTACTTGGACCCGGCTGGAAGGCAGAGGTTGCAGTGAGCCACGATCGCACCACTGCCCTCCAGCCTGGGTGACAGAGTGAGACTCCGTCTGCCCCCCCTAAAAAAAGAAAAAGTAGCCGAGGGTGGTGGCATGCGTCTGTAGTCCCATCTACTCCGGAGGCTGAGGCAGGAGAATCTCTTTAGGCAGGAGAATCATGCCACAATAGTGCAGCCTGAGTGACAGAGCATGACTTGGTCTCAAAAAACAAAAAAAGAAATAGCAATCAACTCTTTGTCTCCCTTTATAAAAGCAGTAGTCCTGGCCATGTGCTGTGGCTCACACTTGTAACGCCAGCACTTTGGAAGGCTGATGCGGGCGAATCACCTGACGTCGGGGGTTGGAGATCAGCCTGACCAATATAGAGAAACCTCGTCTCTATAAAACTACAAAATTAGCTGGGTGTGGTGGCGCATGCCTGTAATCCCAGCTACTCTGGAGGCTGAGGCAGGCTAATTGCTTGAACCTGGGAGGCAAAGGTTGCGGTGAGCCAAGGTCACGCCATTGCACTCCAGCCTGGGCAACAAGAGGGATACTCCGTCTCAAAAATTAAATAAATAAATAAATAATAAAAATAAAAGCACTGCTCCTATTCACGTATAGTCAACACCCATGGAGAAATTCTTCTTTTTTTTTTTTCTCACTGTGTTGCCCAGCCTGAAGTGTAGTGGTGCGATCTTGGCTCACTGCAAGCTCTGCCTCCCGGGTTCACGCCATTCTCCTGCCTCAGCCTCCCGAGTAGCTGGGACTACAGGCGCCCGCCACCAATCCCGGCTAATTTTTTTGTACTTTTAGTAGAGATGGGGTTTCACCTTGGTAGCCAGGATGATCTCTATCTCCTGACCTCGTGATCTGCCCGCCTCGGCCTCCCAAAGTGCTGGGATTACAGGCGTGAGCCACCACGCCCAGCCACCCATGACCAAATTCTCTCACAGACACCATCTGCAGAAACATCCTATTGGACAATAAGAACTCTGAACATCCCTTTTGGCCAATATAAACATTCAGACCAGGGAGCCTGCATCAGGTTTTTGATGTTTTTATTGTGCAATTTGTTTTATACAATGTTTTCTGTGATCTCAGTTTATAAATTTTCCCAGTACACATTCTATGTCTTATATTTTACGCACAGTTCACTAGATAACTAAGGGCAATACATATATATAAAATTGCTCTATTGCCTGGTGTTATGTAACTGTACCTGTGACATCACAATTGCACCCTCTGACACTGTTAGTCAGTTCTTATTCCTTTTAATACTGTGTATTTACTTGAACGCATACATCAGAAGGTACTGATCTTAACATGTATTTCAGTTCTTACAGTGTGTGCTGATTTTAAGTAGAAGTTGTGGCTTTTTTCTTGAGAGAGAATTGTTTAGAATTCTGCAGGCTGTATAAATGTACTTATTTGCTTGCTGGTTTTATCATGGGTTAGAATAGTTTACTGATTAATATTTAAGATTTCACATATGGCTTTTCAGTATATGATATGTAATGGAACTGACACACTGCACTAGTTAAATTCAGTAAGTCCCTGTTCTGCATGGATATAGGTAATTTTAAGACAGGTATTCAGAAAAAAATTGTATTAACATTTTTTTTTTTTTTTGAGACGGAGTCTTGCTCTGTCACCCAGGCTGGAGTGCAGTGGCACAATCTGGGCTCACTGCAATCTCCGCCTCCCAGGTTCAAGGGATTCTTGTGCCTCAGCCTCCCGAGTAGCTGGGACTACAGGTGACCGCCACCACGCCTGGCTGATTTTTGGAATCTTTTCTTATCTTCTCTGTGCTATGATTATTTGACAATACAGAATTTCCATTGATTTTGGTTACTCTTACATAAGCTTCTTGTGGATTATTTACCAATATAGTATATTGTATGGTCTTTTAGCATTTATTTGTATACAGTAGATATTCTGTAACTATGAAGAATATATACTTTTCTTCTCATTGATGTGACAGTGATATGTTTTTTTGCAAACTGATAGAATTTAGGGTCACAGTGGAAAAACACTCCTGACTTTAGGCTTACACATGTTTGTGCCCTGTCAGAGTTTTGTCATGACATTGGATACAGGCTTCCATAGAAATGATTTGAAGGACATGTAATCGCCCTTTATTTATATTAAAGAATCTTACTCCTTTTGTATTCCTAAACTTTGAAGATCATGTTTGGAAAGTTTAAAATAAGTATTTTTTTGTGTGTCATATTTACACATTTCAGTATGATTTACCATCTGGACTTAATTGGAAACGTATTGGTGTTTATATTTTGTAGATATCTCTTCCAAATGCATGATGAAAAAGGTGGGAAGATTACTTGAGCCAGGGAGTTGAAGGCTGCAGTGAGCCCTGTTTTTGCCACCACACTCCAGCTTGGGTGAGTGAGCTACACCCTATCGCAAATAAGTCAATAAATGAGAGGTTTAATTCCTCCTTTGAAAATAAAGAAAGAGATTTTCTTTCCTTTCATCCCTTTTCTTAGGACATTTATTTAGAAAATATGCAAAAATACGAAAGTTAGCTGGGCATGGTCGTGTGCGCTTGTAATACCAGATACTCCAAAGGCTGAGGCAGAAGAATAGCTTCCACCCAGTAGGCAGAGGCTGCAGTGAGCCACGATCTCGCAACTGCACCCCAGCATGGGCCACAGAGAAATACTGTCTTAAAAATAAAATAAAAGAAAAAAGTAAAAAAAGAAAAAGTAATAGATCTCTTTAACAAACGTACTGGGACAACTAACTGGATATCCACATGGAAAAGAATAATGTTGGATCCCTATGTTACACCATGAAAAATTTTATTTAAAAACGGTAAAACAAACAAAAAACAAGGCCGTGTGGGGTGGCTCACATCTGTAAGCCAAGCAGTTTGGGAGGCTGAGGAGGGCGGATCACGAAGTCAGGAGATCGAGACCATCCTGGCTAACACGGTGAAACCCCATCTCTGCTAAAAATACAAAAAATTAGCTGGGCTTCGTGGTGGTCGCCTCAAATCCGTTACTCCAAAGGCTGAGGCAGGAGAATGGCGTGAACCCGGAAGTTGGAGCTTGCAGTTAGCCAAAACCGTGCCACTGCACTCCAGCCTGGGCGACAGAGAGAGATTCTGTCTCAAAAAAAAAAAAAAAAAAAAAAAAAAAAAAAAAGGGAGGGAGAGACGAGGAAGGGAGCCCTGTGAGAGGGGGTGTTACTTTGTCACCAGGCTGGTCTGGACCCCCAGGTTCAGCGATTCTCTGGCCGCTGCTTCCTGAGTAGCTGGGACCTCAGGCTTCCGCCTCGTGCCCGCATCCCTGCTGTGTTTAAGCAGCAGGTGGTGACCTCACTTCTCCCTTTCCTGAGCACTCAGTCCCGCATCCCAGGCGGAGGCCCTAGGGAAGTCTCTGAAGCTGAGCACAGGGTGGACTCTCCCTCCTGAATGAATGGCGAATAGAAAGAGAGAGGATTTCTGTTCTGTTCTGTGGGCCATCAGCATGAAATCATATGTTCCTCCCAGGCAGGGCTTTGCATTTCACATTTTAGTTTGCATGCCCGTTCCAGACAATTCCAGGGTTTTGAATCATGCCTCAACCTTCCTGGCCGCTCTCCCCTCCAAACACCCAAAAAACAGAGGAGCTGCCTGCCAGGCCAAGTGATGCACAGGTCCCGCCCCGGCCCCGCCCTCTGCCGGTTCTAAAGGGCAAGGTCTCTCCGCCTCGCGCTCCGACCCTACCCCGCCCAGGACCCGCCAAACTGTTCGCGGGCCCCGCCCAGGCCTGGCTTCTGTCCTGCGCGCGCAAACCAGGTGGCGTATCGCTTGGAGTGAAGGTCCTACCGCGGCATGTGAGTTTCGCTCTGTGTTGTGTTAAGTCTGCGCTTCCCAGGTCCCCGGCGCTTCTGTCCCTAGGACTTTGGGTCCCCACGGACCTGGAAATTCTCGCTTGTCTTCATTCACATAGAGCAAATTGAGATGTCCCCGTAAGAGTCCGGGAGTTGCTTCCTTTTGGGTTTGAAGTCGTCCGGAGGCTGGTCCAGTCCCTGGTCTTTCTGCTGTAGGGCAGTGTATACACTTCTATAGCGTAATTTTCCTGCTCAAAACCTTTTTCTGACTCTCCCGCCCCGTGCTTCTTAAAGTCCTCACCCGCGAGGTGGATTCCCGCCCTGGGCGCCTCCCAGGCTCGGCCCCTGGAGCACAGCGCCCCGGGCCCAGTCCTGGGGAGGCTGCGTCTTCTGCCTGGTCCTGGAATCCTGCAGGTGTCACCCTTGTCTTAAGGCGCCGTCGCCCCCTACGTCCCTCCTCGTGCCGGGCCCTGCTGCTCCCGTAGTCTTCCCTCTGCAGTCACCGCTTCCCCTGAACCAGCATTGGGCAGGTCCCAGGGGCTTGTCCTTTGACCCGGGATATTCTTGCCTGCCCAGTTCCACCCCCCGGAAAATGCGCTTCTCCGCGATGCAGGAGTCTTACTCCAAACCCGCAGAGTTTTGCTGGTGGCAAGGAGAACCGAGGGAGAAACACAGCAGGGAGGACACCGGGGGATCTGGGGTGCTAGAGAGTGGGGACAGGGGGGTATAACAGGGAAGAGAGAATTTAACAGGGAGAGCAGAGGAGACGCAGAGATAAGAGGCGGTAATATATAGAGATTGAGGACGATCGAAAGATTGGGGGGAAGGGCAACAAGAGGTTAAATAAGGACCGGGCGCGGTGGCTTATGCCTGTAATCCCAGCAGTTTTGGAGGCTGAAGCGGGCAGATCACCTGAGGTCCCGAGTTCGAGACCAGCCTGTCCAACATGGAGAAACCCCGTCCCTACTAAAAATGCAAAATTAGCCGGGCGCGGTTGCACATGCCTGTAACGCCAGCTATTAGGGAGGCTGAAGCTGGAGAATCGCTTGAACCTGGGAGGCGGAGGTTGTGGTGAGCCGAGATCTCACCATTTCACTCCAGCCTGGGCAACAAGAGCAAAACTCCGTCCAAAAAAAAAAAGTGGTTAAATAAGTTGTGAGGATGGAGCAGAAGAGGTGGAAGAGAAGTAATAGAGGGAAGAATGGAATAAATAGCAGGAGAGGAGAGGGGTACAAAATGAGCAGAATCCCAGGGAAAAAGACAAGAAAACAAGAGCTAGAGAGAAGGGGAGAATGAGAGATGTGTAAAGAATTAGGGAGGGAAGCACAGTAATGAAGAAAGAGTGGCTGGGCGCAGTGGCTCAAGCCTGTAATCCCAGCACTTTAGGAGACTGAGGCAGAGGGATTGCTTGAGTCCAGGAGTTCAAGACTAGCCTAGGCAAAATAGTGAGACCCGCCATCGCTGTCAAAAAAAAAAGAAAAAAAAATTTAACGGGGCATGATAGTGTAGACCTGTAATTTCAGCTACTCTGTAGGCAGAGGCTGGAGGATCACTTGAGCCCAGGAGCTCCAGGCTGCTGTGAGCAGAGATCATGCCACTGTACTCCAGCCTGGTCAAAAGAGCAAGACCCTGTCTTAAAAGAAAAAAAGGGTTGGGGACTTTGGATACAGATGAGTGTGTGAGTTCATTGGATATGATTAGTTGTGACATGTTGACTTCTGTCTATATAATCTAATAACTTGTCTAAATTATACAGATGAGTTTGAGAATTTTAAAAGTCCTATCTGTGAGTCATGTACATTCTATAAATCTTGGTATCAGAGGTTAGCTTCCACTTGGAATCCCTATTCAGCCCGCGGGCAGTGACATTCAGTTGTGAGTCACTCTCTTCCCTTTTCCCAGGGTGGGGTAGGAAGTGGGGCAGTGATGTGGAAAAAAAAATCACTTTCTGTTATTATGTAATACTTTTAATTAATTAATTAATATTTTGAGACAGGGTCTGGCCCTATTGCCCAGGCAGGAGTACAATGGTGTTATCTACTCTAACTGAAGCCTCGACCTCCTAGGCTCAAGCAATCCTCCTCCCTCAGTCTCCTGAGTAGCTGAGACCACTGGTGTGAGACACCAAGCCCAGCTAGTTGTTTTTTTTTTCTTTGTTTGTTTTTTTGTAGAAACAGGGTTTCAGTATGTTTCCCGGGGTGGTCTCAAAATCCTGGGCTCAAAGGTTCCTCCTGTCTTGGCCTTGCAAAGTACTGGGATTACAGGGATGAGCCACCGCGCCCAGCCTACATACTAATTATTATTAGTAGTAGTAGTTTTTTGAGGTGGAGTTTCACTCCTGTTGCCCAGGCTGGAGTGCAAGGGCACGATCTTGGCTAATGACTCTCTGTGCCTTTAGAGTTGAAGCGATTCTCCTGCGATACTACCCCCTGAGTAGCTGGGATTACAGGCATGCGCCACCATGCCCCGCTAATTTTGGATTAGGAGGCCGAGGCAGGAGAATCACTTGAACCCAGGAGGCAGAGGTTGTGGTGAGCTGAGATCGCACCATTGTACTTCAGCGTGGGCAATAAGAGCGAATCTCTGTCTCAAAAAAACCAAAAAAGAATGGAGCAAAACAGGAGAGGGGTATAAAATGAGCAGAAGCCCAGGGGGAAATGCAGAAAAGAAACAGATGGAGAGAGAAAGTGAAAAAGGGCTATGTATAAAATGATGGAGGGAAGCAGTAATGAAGATGAAGGGGGACCCTGAGTGCAGATGAGCGGTGAGTTGATTGGATGTGATGATGAAGTGATGACACGTTGTTTTCTCTGTTTATAATGTAACAAATTTAAAATTAGTTTAAATTATACAGATGAGAATGAGAGTTGCCAAACTCCTGTGTCTAAGTGTGGTGCATTTTATAATGATGGCGTCAGAGGCAGCTTCCCTCTGCAACCCCTCTTCAGCCAGAGGACAGTGACTTGACTCATTCGTTGTGGATCACCCTCTTCCCTTTTCATGGCTGGGGTCGGGAGTGGGGGAAGAGAAGTAGGGTAAGAAGTGACTGACTCTGTTACTATATGGAACGTGATGAAAGGAGTATTAAAGTGCTTTTTTTCTCTTTTTGTAATTGGTTTCCTTTTTTCTAGTTCCTCCTCATTTAATTAGTTTAGTTGTCTTTTTGTTTTTCTTTTTGAGATGGAGTCTCTCTCTGTCACGCAGGCTGGAGTGGAGTGGAGCGATCTGGACTCACTGTAACCTCTGCCTCCCGGGTTCAAGGAATTCTCTGCCTCAGCCTCCCGAGCAGCTGGGATTATAGGCGCCCACAACCACACCTGTCTGATTTTTGTATTTTTAGTAGAGACAGGATTCACCATCTTGGCAAGATGGTTCTTGAACTCATGACCTCGTGATCCACCCTCGTCGGCCTCCCAAAGTGCTGCGATTACAGGCATGAGCCACCACGCTCGGCCTCATTTGTTGTTATTTATTTATTTATTTATTTGAGACAGAGTCTCGCTCTGTCACCCAGGCTGGAGTGCAGTGGCGCAATCTCGGCTCACTGCAAGCTCCGCCTCCCGGGTTCACGCCATTCTCCTGCCTCAGCCTCCCGAGTAGCTGGGACTACATGCGCCCGCCACCGCGCCCAGCTAATTTTTTGTATTTTTAGTAGAGACGGGGTGTCACCATGTTAGCCAGGATGGTCTCGATCTCCTGACCTCGTGATCCGCCCGCCTCAGCCTCCCAAAGTGCTGGGATTACAGGCGTGAGCCACCGCGCTCAGCCTCATTAGTTGTTATTTATTTATTTATTTGAGACAGAGTCTCGCTCTGTCACCCAGGCTGGAGTGCAATGGCGCAATCTCGGTCACTGCAACCTTCGCCTCTGGGGTTCATGTGATTCTCCTGCCTCAGCCTCCTAAGTAGTTATGATTACAGGCACGCAGCACCATGGCCGGCTAATTTTGTATTTTCAGTAGAAATGGGGTTTCTCCATCTTGGTCAGGCTGGTCTTGAACACCTGACCTCAGGTGATCCTCCTGCTTCAGCTTCCCAAGGTGCTGGGATTACAGGCATGAGCCGCCGCGCCCAGCCTTTAATTTTTATTTTTTTGAGACACTCTTGCTGTTGTCCAGGCTGGAGTGCAGTGGCAGGATCACATCTCAGTGCCGTAGCAACCTCCTGGGCTCAAGTGATTTTCCCACCTCAGCCTCCGGAGTAGCTGGGGCCACAGGCACGCCCCACGAGGCCTGGCTATTGTTTAGATATATATATTTATTTGTTGAGACTCTCTGTCACCCAGGCTGGAGTGCAGTGGCACGATTTCGTCTCACTGCAACCTCCGCCTCCCAGGGTCAAGCGATTCTCCTGCCTCAGCCTCCTGAGTAGCTGGGATTACAGACGCCCACCACCCTCCCAGCTAATGTTTGTACTTTTAGTAGAGACAGATTTCAGCATGTTGGCCAGGCTGGTCTCAAACTCCTGACTTCATGATCCGCCCACCTTGGCCTCCCAAAGTGCTTGTGCACCACTATGCCCTGCTAATTTTAGTATTTTTGGTAGAGACATAGTTTCTCCATGTTGGCCAGGCAGGTCTCGAACTGCTAACCTTGTGGTGGTCTTCCTGCCCTGGCCTCCCAAAGTGCTGGGATTATAGGTGTGAGTCACCATGCCCGGCCTTATTGTTTTCAAAGTATGATATATTTTCAACTATTTCTCCTTTGAGCCAAGATTTCATTACATCTATATTTTTTGAACATTTTAAAATTGTTTCTCTGTGAAATTGTGTTCAGTTTACATTGAGGTCTGTTTGCTTTCTAGTCTTTATCATATATCGAAAACATTTTCTACTATGTGATATATGATGTTAGGTTGTTTCAGTGTGTACTTGATAATGATATCAAGGACCTTTTTTCTTTATCCTAACATGAAAATTTAGTTAAAGTAGCCTATTCCATTTTCTTTTCTTATGTCATCTGAAAAAATGGTTATCTGTGAGCTTCTAAGTAAGTGTCC
The DNA here is from genome assembly GCF_000001405.40 of Homo sapiens. NCBI lineage: Eukaryota > Metazoa > Chordata > Mammalia > Primates > Hominidae > Homo > Homo sapiens. Next base: position 52,497,858 of record NC_000019.10, read on the forward strand.
CCCTCAAGTCCCTCTGGTCCATAATATTCTCTACAGATGTTGAAGGATGGGCTGGATTGACTTGGAACCTTGGTTTAGCAGAGCCCATGTGTTCATGAGAAAAGCATTTGCTCAGATCTCATTTCTACAGCTGCCTCTTTTTCAGTGTTTTAAACACCTATTGCTGTGTGTGCACATGGTGTGTTTTGCACATTTTTCTGGGAGTGAGTAATGATATGTTTGGGATTGATGCCATCAGAACCTTACAACTCGAAAGAAGTTTCCTTTGCTCAGGTATATAAGATGGTCCTGGAATTTTTGTTTGTTTGTTTTTCTTTGAGATGGAGTCTCGCTCTGTCGCCCAGGCTGGAGTGCAGTGACATGATCTCAGCTCTCTGCAACCTCCACCTCTCGGGTTCAAGCAATTCTTTTGCCTCAGCCTCCCGAGTAGCAGAGACTACAGGTGCCCACCACCACGCCTGGCTAATGTGTGTTTTTTTTTTTTTTTTTTTTGAGATGGAGTCTCACTCTGTCGCCCAGGAGGGAGTGCAGTGGCGCAATCTCCTCTCACTGCAAGCTCTGCCTCCTTGGTTCATGCCATTCTCCTGCCTCAGCCTCCGGAGTAGCTGGGACTACAGGCACCCACCACCACACCCAGAGAATTTTTTGCATTTTTAGTAGAGACGGGCATTCACCGTGTTAGCCAGAATGGTAATTTGTGTATTTTTAGTAGAGACGTGATGTCACCATATTGGCCAGGATGGTCTTGAACTCCTGACCTTGTGATTTGCCCACTTTGGCCTGCCAAAATGATGGGATTACAGGAATGAGCCACCTCGCCTGGCCGCTTTTTTTTTTTTTTTTTGTAAGACAGAGTGTCACCCTATCACCCAGGCTGGAATGCAGTGGAACAATCTTGGATCACTGCAACCTCTGCCTCCCGGGCTCAAGTGATCTTGCGTCAGCCTCCCAAGTAGCTGGAACCACAGATGCACGCCACGATGCCTGGCTAATTTTTTGTATTTTTGTTAGAGATGGGGTTTACTATGTTGCCCGTGTTGGTCTCAGACTTCTTGGCTCAAGTGATTGGCCTGCCTCAACTACCCAAAGTGTTGGGATTTCAAGGGTGGGTCACCATTCCTGGCTGGTCTTGGAATTTTCTAGAGGAGGAAGACCAAGGCAGCCTATTGGCCCTTTCAGGCCATCACATTGGAATCAGCCACACCTCCTTCCTCCTCACCTCAGAGCTTCTCAGGATAACTTGGTGAAATGTCTCCCGCTGTGAGCCTTAGTGAGCCCACCTGTAACATAGAGGTGAGGAATAAGATCAGAAAAGCTCAGTCAGTGACACTGACCCCTGAAACGACTGACAAAATACAGTGTGTGACTTTTCTTCTGGGAGAGGATAATGGTCATTTTTAACTCAAATTTCAAATGAATTCCAGTTCTCCAAGATGAGCAAAAACAGGGGATTAGACTCAAATCACCTTGAAGGTTATCATCTCACAGCTTTCACCCACCTACACGACTCCATGTCCCCTGCAGGCCTCAACCCTGAGCTCTACAATCCTGTGTCCAGTAGTCTCCTCAGCTCTCTCCTGGGACATCAAACAGGCATCCCCACCTTCAGCTGTCCATAAGTGACTTCCTAAATCCCCAAACACATTCCCTTGCAGTCTGCACATCTCAGATGAGAGTGAATGTGTACTTCCGAAAACTTAGCTGAACTTGACAGCACATATTTTAAATATGGGAAATACATTACATTATTTGTAAGTGTTGTAATTTATAATACATAGAGAAACGTACATGTATATGTGAAAAGAGTGAGAAGATACATCACTTCCAAATCGTTTTTTTTTTTTTGAGATGAATTTTCACTCTTATGGCTGAGGCTGGAGTGCAATGCCATGATATCAGCTCACTGCAACCTCTGTCTCCTGGGATCAAGGGATTCTCCTGCCTCAGACTCCCGAGTAGCTGGGATCACAATCGACTTTCAAAATGCTTTTGGGTTGTGGGAGAAAAATGTTTGAAGACCATGTCCCTATGGGTCTGTGCCCCCAGGACCTCTCTGACCTCATCTCCTACCTGTGCCCTCCTCTCTTCCACTGTTCCAGCCCCACGGGCCGCTTTCCTTTTCCTGGGGCTGAGGTTGCTCCTGTCTCAGGGCCTTCACTTGAGCTGTCCCTCTCTCTAGGATGCTCTTCCCCTCAGCTGCAAGTGACAAGCAGCCTTTCTTTCCTAGGTCCTTGTTCTGATATCATCTTCTCCGGGTCTCCTTTGTGATCTCCCACAGCCCTCATTCGACACTGCGGCTGTGAAATCAGAAAATCTTACAGAGATCTCAGTTAATTTAGAAAGTTTATTTTGCCCAAGGTGGTCGGCGCAGAGCTTAATTTTATACATTTTATGGAGACATGAGACATCAATCAATATATGTAAGAAGTACGTTGGTTTGGTCTGGGAAGGTGGGAGAACTTTAAACAAAGGCAGGAAGACTTGAAGCAGGGAAGGGGCTTTTAGGTCACAGAGAACTGAGGCACAAATGGTTGCAATCTTTTGAGTTTCCTTTTTTTTTTTTTTTTGAGATGAAGTCCCATTTTGTCACCCAGGCTGGAGTGCAGTGGCACGATCTTGGCTCACTGCAACCTCTCCCTCCTGGGTTCAAGTGATTCTCCTCCCTCAGCTTCCCAAGTAGATGCCCAGATCATTTTTGTATTTTTAGTAGAGATGTCTTTTCACCATGTTGGCTGGGACGGTGTCGACCTCTTGACCCCAAGTGATCTGCCTTCCTCGGCCTCCCACAGTGCTGGGATTACAGTCCTGAGCCACTATGCTGGGTCTTTCTTTTGAGTTTGATTAGCCTTTCAAAGGAGGTACTCAGATAGGCATGTATGTCAGGGAGCAGAGGGGTGACTTTGAATAGAAGGGGAGTCTGGTTCCCTAAGCAGTTCCCAGCTTGACTTTTCCCTTTTGCTTAGTGATTTTGGGCCCCAAGATTTATTTTCCTCTGGTCCACATTGACTGTTTTGTGTGACTTTTTTTTTTTTTTTTTTTGAGATAGAGTCTTGCTCTGTCACCCAGGCTGGAGTGCAGTGGTGGGATCTCGGCTCACTGCAACCTCTGTCTCCTGGCTTCAAGCAATTCTCCTGCCTCAGCCTCCTGAATAGCTGGGATTATGGGCACCCGCTACCATGCCCAGCTAATTTTTGTACTTTTAGTAGAGAAAGCATTTCGCCATGTTGGCCAGTCTGGTCTTGAAGTCCTGACCCTGTGATCCAGCCGCCTCGGCCTCCCAAAGTGCTGGGATTATAGGCGAGAGCCCCTGCGTCTGGCCTCTTTGTGATTATTTTTGTGCCTTTGTCATCCACTGTCTGGATCCTGGTGAGAACTTGGCCCCAAGCGGAGGGCAGAGCCAGAACGTGGGGCTGTGCTGGGCTCGCCCCCTCTGAGTGGAGCTCAACCCTGGCTTCACATTAGAGTGCGGAGCATTTTGCAAATAGAGCTTTTGTGCCGCTTTAGCAGGGATTCTTATTCTGACGGGATGGAACCCACCCTCAGTAATACCTGCAGTGGCGCAGGTGCTTGTCATCTGTGTGCAGCATTGAGCATGGAAGCTCTGAGTCCTGCATTTCTGAGGGCTGAGCTCAGCCTGTGATCCACAGAGAGGTGAGGGGCTGTCCTCTGGATGCGGTTTGATCAGGGATGGGTCTGTGCCCTGAAGGAGAGATCAGTCCAGCCCAGCTCCCCACTGCTGCCTCGTGTGTGGTGGCTGCTCCAGGAGGGGGGCGAGATCTGAAGACCAGGGTCAAACATACACTTATAGGTCTTCCTGTGGGACTTTCTTATGTCTGCATGATCTCTGGTGCAGTGGGCAGTGGGGGGGGCTTCTTTGTACAGGGTGATGTCTCCCCGTTCCTGTGTTTTTATCACAGGAAGGGAGTGAGTCATATCTAACCTGAAGTCTTATTTTTCTTCCACATACAGGATTGATTTCTAAAGACTCATGTTACATGAGGAAGCAGCTCAGAAGAGGAAAGGAAAGGAGCCAGGCATGGCTCTTCCTCAGGTGAAGTGATATTCCTCTGTGGATTAATCTGTCTCTTTCCTTTCTGAAGTGTAGTAGTATTATATTGTATTGTAGTAATGTATTGTAACAGCCAGTCTTTTCTGAGTCTGAAGCATTTTGCCTGACACGTTTGCTTGCACTCACCCATGCCTGCCCTCAGTTCCTCTCATTTGCTCAAAAGAATTCCATCTCCTGTGACCCAGTGACATGAACTTGGGAAGAGGCTCCACTGGGCATGGTCCTGGGAAGGGCTCACACCCAGACATGGATTAACATGGGGTGTGGGCCCGTTGATGTCATTGCTGCTGGGCAGCCTGGATTGTTCAGGGGCCATATCTGGATGTCAGCTCTTTGTGGACCAGATTAGAGAAACTGCATATGAAATACGTATGTTAATGTGCCCAGGTATGTGGCAAATTCTGGGAAAGGAGACGAATAAGGAGAGGTATTTTGTATCTCATTTGGTAATGCATTTGAAGCCACACTAGTAGATCAAGATGTCTCTGTCTCCAAACTTTTTGTTTTGTTTTAAGAGACAGGATGTTGGTCCAGGTGGGATGGCTCACACTTGTAATCACAGCACTTTGGGAGGCCAAGGCAGGAAGATCACTTGAGGTCAGGAGTTCAAGACCAGCCTGGCCAACATGGTGAAACCCCATCTCTACTAAAAATACAAAAATTAGCTGTGTGTGGCGGTGCATGCCTGTAATCTCAGCTACTTAGGAGACGGAGGCAGGAGAATCGCTTGAGCCCAGGAGGTGGAGGTTACCATACACTGAAATTTTGCCACTGCACTCCAGCCTGGGAAACGGAGCAAGACTCTGTCTCAAAAGAAAAAGAGAGGGAGAGAGAAGGTGTCGCTCTGTGGCTTAGTTCTGGAGTACAATGGCACAATTCAGAGTTTACAGCAGCCTCAAACTCCTGGGCTCAACTAATCCCTCCTTTAGACTCCCAAAGAGCCTGAGTGATAGGCATGGGTCACCATATGTATGTATGTATTTTAAGATGGAGTCTCGCTCAGTCACCAAAGCTGGAGTGCAATGTCAGGATCTCAGCTCACTGCATCCTCTCCCTCTGGGTTTCAAGCAATTCTTCTGCCTCAGCCTCCTGAGTTGCTGGGACTACAGGATGCACCACCACACCCAGCTAGTTTTTGTACTTTTAGTTGGGACAGGGTTTCATTATGTTCTTTAGGCTGGTCTCAAACTCCTGACCTTGTGATCTGCCTGTCTTGGACTCCCCAGGTGCTGGGATTAAAGGTGTGCACCACCATGTCTGGCCTTATTTTTTATATTGTATTTTTATTTTGTTGTCCAGGCTGGAGTGCAGTAATGCAATCATAGCTTGCTACAGCCTTGATATCCTGGCCTCCAGTGATCCTCCCCTCTTGGCCTCCCAAATTGCTGGCATTCCAAATGGGAGACAGCCAGCCCGGCTGGACTCTGCACTTTTTTTGAGATGGAGTCTCTCTCTGTTGCCCAGGTTGTATTGCAGTGGCGGGATCTCAGCTCACTGCAACCTCTGCCTTCCGGCTTCAAGCAATTCTTTTGCCTCAACCTCTGGAGTATCTGGGATTACAGGCATTCGCTGTCACGCCTGGCTAAGTTTTTTGTATTTTTATAGAGATATGGTTTCAGCATGTTCCCAGGCTGGTCTTGAATTCCTGACCTCGTGATCCACTCACCTCGGTCTCCCAAGTGCTGGGATTACAGGCATGAGCCACTGAGACTGACCAATCATGATAGTTTTTAGATTCGGACTTTTCTTTGAAAGCCATTTGACTTTGTCCTCTCTGAAACACCACTTGTATCTTAGCTCATCTAGAGACTAAATATCAGCTCGTATGTTGAACATAATATCTGACATGTCTGTAGAGAAAACCCTGTGTTTGCTTTTTTTTTTTTTTTTGAGATGGAGTCTTGCTCTGTTGCCAGGCTAAAGTGCAGTGGTGCAATCTCAGCTCACTGCAACCTCCGCCTCCCGGATTCAAGCGATCCTCCTGCCTCAGCCTCTTGAGTAGCTGGGAGTACAGGTCCACACCACGACACCCAGCTAATTTTTGTATTTTTATTAGAGACATGGTTTTGCCATGTTGGCCAGGATGGTCTCGATTTCTTGACCACATTATCTGCCCACATTGGTCTCCCAAAATGTTGGGATTACAGGTGAGAGCCACCGCCTGGCATTGCTTTTTTTTTTTAACATGGAGTGTCAGTCTGTTGCCCAGGATGGAGGGCAGTGGTGCGATCTTGGCTCACTGCGGCCTCCATCTCCTGACTTCAAGTGATTCTCCTGCCTCAGCCTCCTGTGTAGCTGGGATTACAGGAGCCTGCCACAATGCCCGTCTAATTTTTATATTTTTAGTGGAGACAGGTTTCCACCACATTGGCCAGGGTGGTCTCGAACTCTTGAACTCAAATAATCTGCCCACCTTGGCCTCCCGAAGCATTGGTATTACAAGCGTGAACCACCATGCCCAGCCCTGTGTTTCCTTTTTATTTATATAGTTTTTATATTGTCCATAAAATCGAGACTTCCATAGCGACTTATGGGATCTTAAAATCTTTCAAGGAAAAGTACAATAAAATGCAACTATTGAGAAAAAAAATTCAAAAATACCTTAACGTGGTTTTGTCACAACACAGTCTTTGATCAAAGAAATACTTATTTTCTCTTTTCTCATTTCCTGTGAAGGTGATAACTCAATCCTCCATAATGTTTTGTTGAAATGTGTGTTTCATTTTAGGGACGCTTGACTTTCAGGGATGTGGCTATAGAATTCTCATTGGCAGAGTGGAAATTCCTGAACCCTGCGCAGAGGGCTTTGTACAGGGAAGTGATGTTGGAGAACTACAGGAACCTGGAGGCTGTGGGTGAGGAAAATGTCCCTGCAGACATGAGGAGTCTGCTCTTGTCTGTCTTGGCTCTTCCTGGTTTTGTATTCTCTTTTGTGATTTTGCCCCATACGTGGTTTTTTTGTTTGATTGTTTGTTTGGTTTGAGATGGATCTTTGCTCTTGTTTCCCAGGCTGGAGAGCAATGGTATATCGGCTCATCATAACCTCCACCTTCCGGGTTCAAGTGATTCTCCTGCCTCAGCCTCCCGAGGGGCTGGGATTATAGGCATGCGCCACCACGCCCAGCTAACTTTGTATTTTTAGTAGAGATGGGGTTTCTCCATGTTGGTCAGGCTCGTCTCTAACTCCCGACCTCAGGTGATCCGCCCACCTTGGCCTCCCAAAGTGCTGGGATTACAGGCGTGAGCCACCATGCCCAGCTCATTCTGGTTTTTGAGGAGCATCACAGAAGCGTCTCTCACTGGCACTGTGACAATGTTCATCCCATAAACTAATGATCATCTTCTCTAAGCAGCAGTCAGTGGTGTTGAAATTTCTCCTAGCGGGGACATCATTTGGGCTCACAGCCTCATATGTATGAGGCTGTTGACTGAACTCTTGTTCATTTCACATTTTTCACACCAATATATGTCATTGTTCATTTTTTGTTTGTTTGTTTGTTTTTTGTTTTTGTTTTTGAGACAGTCTCGCTCTTTCACCCAGGCCGACTGCAGTGGCACGATCTCGGCTCACTGTAAGCTCCGCCTCCCGGGTTCAAGCCATTCTTCTGCCTCAGCCTCCTGAGTAGCTGGGATTACAGGTGCCCGCCACCATGCCCAGCTAGTTTTTTTTTGTATTTTTAGTAGAGACGGGGTTTCACCGTGTTAGCCAAGATGCTCTCGATCTCCTGACCTTGTGATCCACTCTCCTCGACCTCCCAAAGTGCTGGGATTACAGGCGTGAGCCACTGCGCCTGGCCCATTGTTCATTTTTGACAAGAAAACCTATGTTCAGTTTGTTGTAGGGTCAACCCTGTAAGAGATATGGTTTTCATCAATCTTATTTAGGGAGCTTGTGAGGTTGAATGAGGTTTCCATGGTTTAGTTCTACTGTCATTTCCTTCAGACACAGTGGCTTTCAACTTGTTAGTTTCTATGTTGTTTTTTTTTTTGAGTCAGAGTCTCACTCTGTTTCCCTGGCTTGAGTGCAGTGGCTTGATCTTGGCTCACTGCACCCTCCACCTATTGGATTCAAGTGATTCTCCTGCCTCAGCCTCTTGAGTGGCTGGGATTACAGGCATGTGTCACCACAACCTAGTAATTTTTGGTAGTTCTATTACAGATGGCAGTTTCACCATGTTGGCTAGGCTTCTTTTGATAGCCTGGCCTGACGTGATTCACTTGCCTCGGATTCCAAACTGCTGGGATTACAGTCATGAGCCACCACCCCTGGCCCCATCCGAGTTTGTTTTTAAGGCTGAATAATACTCCATTTTATGTGTATACCACATTTTCCTCATGTATTTATCTGTCGATGGATATCTGGGTTGGTTTTTTCTCTTTACTATTATGAACAATACTACCAGGCTGGGTGCGGTGGCCCATGCCTGTAATCCCAGCACTTTGGAAGGCTGAGGTGGGTGAATCACCTGAGGTCAGGAGTTCGAGACCAGCCTGGCCAACATGGTGAAACCACATCTCTATTAAAAGTACAGTTTCTTTTTTTTTTTTTTTTTTTTTTTAAGATGGAGTATTGCTCTGTCACCCAGGCTGGAGTGCAGTGGTGCAATTTCAGCTTAGTGCAACCTCCACCTCCCAGGTCAGGCAATCTCCTACCTCAGCCTTCTGAGTAGCTGAAATTACAGATGTTCACCACCATGCCCGGCTAATACTTGTTTGTATTTTTTTAGTGGAGACAGTGTTTCACCATACTGTCCTGGCTGGTCTTGAACTGCTGATCTCTTGATCCACCTGCCCATTATGCCTGGCGCAAGCCTGGCTAATTTTTGTATTTTTAGTAGAGGTGGAGTTTCTACTTGTGATTCATCCACCTGCTTTTTAAAACAAGTGAATATTATTAGATGGCTTCATATATTATAAGTTTTACAGGACAGACTCTAAACTTCCTTTGTTTAATAAGATTTGTCGGCCTTTGGTGATGTTGATGATGAGATGCCCCTTTTCCTATCTCACTCATTTCATCGTTCTGTTAGAAATAGCTTAGACTGGCCAGCCGCAGTGGCTTATGCCTCTATTTCCAGCACTTTGAAAGGCTGAGGTGGGTAGATGGCTTGAGGTCAGGAGTTTGAGACCAGTCGGGCAAACATAATGAAACCTTGAATCTACTAAATTAAAAAAAACTGGATGGTCGTGATGGCTCACGCCTATAATCCCAATATTTTGGGAGGCCGAGATGGGTGGATCACTTGAGGTCAGAAGTTCGAGACCAGCCTGGCCAACATGGTGAAACCCCATATCTAGTAAAAACACAAAAATTAGCTGGGCATGTTGGTATGCACCTGTAATCCCAGCTTCTTGAGAGGCTGAGATGGGAGAATCACTTGAACCTGGGAGGTGGATGGTGCAGTGAGCCATGATCACGCCACTGCACTCCAGCCTGTATGACAGAGTTAGATTCCGTTTGCCACAAAACAAAACAAAAAAATTAGCCAGGCATGGTGGCATGTGTCTGTAGTCCCAGCTACTCACGAGGCTGAGGCACGAGACTCTCTTTAGGTAGGAGAATCGTGCCACTGCACTCCAGCCTGGGTGATGAAGCATGACTCAGTCTCAAAAACAGACAAAAAAAGAAATAGCTGGAACTGGAAAGCTTAAGACATAGAAATTTATTTCTCATTAATCTGGAAAGTGGGAAATCCAAGAGCAAGATGTCAGCTAGATTGGCTCCTGGTGAGAGCCTTCTTCGTGGTTTAGCCCAGCCGTCTTCCTGCTGTGTCCTGACATGGGGGAAAGAGGAGCAGGCAATGAGCTCTTTACTGTCTCTTTTTATAAATCACTAGTCCTGGCTGGACGAGCTGGCTCATGAGTGTAATCCCAGCACTTTGGGAGGCTGAGACAGCCAAATCACATGAGGTCGGGAGTTTGAGACCAGCCTGACCAACATGGAGAAACCACATCTCTACTAAAACTACAAAATTAGCCGGGAGTGGTGGCACATGCCTGTAATCCCAGCTACTCGGGTGGCTGAGACAGGAGACTCACTTGAATCTGGGAGGCGGAGGTTATGGTGAGCCGAGATCATACCATTGCTCTCCAGCCTGGGCAACAACAGTGAAACTCTGAATCAAAAATAAATAAAGAGGCGGGGCACGGTGGCTCATGCCTGTAATCCCAGCACTTTGGGAGGCCGCGCAGTGCAGATCACGAAGTCAAAAGATCGAGACCATCCTGGCCAACATGGTGAAACCCCATTGCTACTAATAATATAAAAATTTTCTGTGCGTGGTGGTGCATGCCTATAGTCCCAGCTACTTGGGAGGCTGAGGCAGGAGAATCACTTGAACCCGGGAGGCAAAGTTGCAGTGAGCCGAGACTGTACCACTGCACTCCAGCCTGGGTGACAGAGCAAGACTCCATCACAAAAGAAATAGAGAGAGAGAGAAAGAGAAAGTGAAAGAGAGAAAAAGAAAGAAAGATATTAAAAGCCTTAGTCCTATTCACAATTAGTCAACACCCATGACCAAATTCTCTAAAAGGCCCCATCTGCAGGAACATCCTATTGGTCCTATTGGTCCACTATCAGATGATAGTGGACCGAGCGCGGTGGCTCTCGCCTGTAATCCTAGCACTTTGGGAGGCCGAGGTGGGTGGATCACCTGAGGCTAGGAGTTCAAGACCAACTTAACCAACAGGAGAAACCCCATCTCTACTAAAAATACAAAATTATCGAGTGTGGTGGTGAATGCCTGTAATCCCAGCTACTGAGGAGGCTGAGGCAGGAGAATTGCTTCAACCCAGGAGGCATAGGTTGTGGTGAGCTGATATTGCATCATTGCACTGCAGCCTGGGCAACAAGAGTGGAACTCTGTCTCAAAAAAAAAAAAAAAGAAATCTGATAATCGCTTTTAGCCAGTACGAACATAACTGTAGTTGTGACCTCATAATTGCACTTTTCTACACTATTAGTCAATTTTTTTTTTTTTTTTTTTTTTTTTTGAGATGGAGTCCTGCCCTGTCACCCAGGCTGGAGTGCAATGGCACGATCTCGGCTCACTGCAACCTCCGGCTCCTGGGTTCAAAAGATTCTTTTGCCTCAGCCTCCAAAGTAGCTGAGATAACAGGCACCCGCCACCACACCCGGCTGATGTTTTGGTGTTCTTAGTAGAGATGCAGTTTCCCCATGTTGGCCAGCCTGTTCTCGAACTCCTGACCTCGTGCTCCACTTGCCTCAGCCTCCCAAGGTGCTGGGATTACAGGTTGTGAGTCGTCGTGCCCAGCCGTTAGTCAGTTCTTATTCCTTATAATGCTGTGTATTTTCTTGACCTCATACATCAGAAGGTAGTGATCTTAACATGTATTTCAGTTCTTATATTGTGTGCTGGTGGTTAAGTAGATGTTGTGGCTTTTTTCTTAAGAGGGAATTGTTTAGAATTCTGCAGGCTGTATAAATGTACTTATTTGCTTGCTGGTTTTATCATGGGTTACAATATTTTATTAATTAATTTTTATAATTTTGCATATGGCTTTTCAGTATGTGGTATGCAATATAACTGACACACTCCACTCGTTAATGTCAAAAGTGCCACCAGGTGCAGTGGCTCACACCGGCAATCCCAGAAATTTGGGAGGCCAAAGGGGGTGGAGACCAGCCTGGCCAACATGGTGAAACCCGGTCTCTACCAAAAACACACAAACTAGCCAGTCATAGTGGTGTGTGCCTGTAATCCCAGGTACTTAAGAGGCTGAGGCAGGAGAATCACTTCAACCCAGCAGGCAGAGGTTGCAGTGAGCTGAGATGGCACCATGGCACTTCAAGCTGGAATGCAAGACTGTCTCAAAAAAATAAAACTACAAAAAATGGTTTCAAAAGTCACTATGTGCCTGTTCTGTGTGGATATATGTAATTTTATGACATTTATTGAGAAAAGTATTGTATTAACTTTTTTTTTCTTTTTTTTCCTTTTTTTTTTCTGTTTGAGGCATAGTCTCACTTTGTTGCCCAGTGTGGAGTGCAGTGGTGACATCTTGGCTCACTGCAACCTCTGCCTCCCCGGTTCAAGTGATTCTTGTGCCTCAGCCTCCTGAGTAACTGTGACTACAGGCACGGGCCAGCACACCTGGCTAATTTTTGTAATCTTTTCTTATCTTCTCAGTGCTATAATTGTTTGATAATACAGAATTTCCATTGCTTTTGGTTATCCTTACATGAGCTTGTTGTGGATTATTTACCAATATAGTATATTGTGTGGTGTTTTTTTTTTGCATTTATTTGTACACAGTAAATATGGTTTAAATATGAAGAGTATATATTTTTCTCTTCCTTGATGTGACAGTGATATGTTTTTTGCAAACTGTGATACACTGTAGGGTCACAGTGGAAAAATACTCCTTACTTTAGGCTTACACATGTTTGTGCCCTGTCAGTGTTTTGTCATGATATAGGAAATAAGCTTTTATAGACTTGATTTGAAGGACATGTAATTGTCTGTTATTTATTAAAGAATCTTACTACTTTTGTGTTCGTAAACTTTGAAGATCATGTTTGGGAAGTTTAAAATAAGTATTTTTTATTGTGTCATATTTACACACTTCAGTATGATTTACCATCTGCACTTAATTGCAAACGTATTGGTGTTTATATTTTGTAGATATCTCTTCCAAACGCATGATGAAGGAGGTCTTGTCAACAGGGCAAGGCAATACAGAAGTGATCCACACAGGGATGTTGCAAAGACATGAAAGTTATCACACTGGAGATTTTTGCTTCCAGGAAATTGAAAAAGATATTCATGACTTTGAGTTTCAGTCACAAAAAGATGAAAGAAATGGCCATGAAGCATCCATGCCAAAAATCAAAGAGTTGATGGGTAGCACAGACCGACATGATCAAAGGCATGCTGGAAACAAGCCTATTAAAGATCAGCTTGGATTAAGCTTTCATTTGCATCTTCCTGAACTCCACATATTTCAGCCCGAAGAGAAAATTGCTAATCAAGTGGAGAAGTCTGTCAACGATGCTTCCTCAATTTCAACATCCCAAAGAATTTCTTGTAGGCCTGAAACACATACTCCTAATAACTATGGGAATAATTTTTTCCATTCATCATTACTCACACAAAAACAGGAAGTACACATGAGAGAAAAATCTTTCCAATGTAATGAGACTGGCGAAGCCTTTAATTGTAGCTCATTTGTAAGGAAACATCAGATAATCCATTTAGGAGAAAAACAATATAAATTTGATATATGTGGCAAAGTCTTTAATGAGAAGCGATACCTTGCACGCCATCGTAGATGTCACACTAGTGAGAAACCTTACAAGTGTAATGAATGTGGAAAGTCCTTCAGTTACAAGTCATCCCTGACATGCCATCGTAGATGTCACACTGGTGAGAAACCTTACAAGTGTAATGAATGTGGAAAGTCCTTCAGTTACAAGTCATCCCTTACATGCCATCATAGGTGTCACACTGGTGAGAAACCTTACAAGTGTAATGAATGTGGAAAGTCCTTCAGTTACAAGTCATCCCTTAGATGCCATCGTAGACTTCATACTGGAATAAAACCTTACAAGTGTAATGAGTGTGGCAAGATGTTTGGTCAAAATTCAACCCTTGTAATTCATAAGGCAATTCATACTGGAGAGAAACCTTACAAGTGTAATGAATGTGGCAAGGCTTTTAATCAACAATCACACCTTTCACGTCATCATAGACTTCATACTGGAGAGAAACCTTACAAGTGTAATGACTGTGGTAAGGCTTTTATTCATCAGTCAAGCCTTGCACGTCATCATAGACTTCATACTGGAGAGAAATCTTACAAATGTGAAGAATGTGACAGAGTTTTCAGTCAGAAATCAAACCTTGAGAGACACAAGATAATTCATACTGGAGAGAAACCTTACAAGTGTAATGAGTGTCACAAGACCTTCAGTCACAGGTCATCTCTTCCATGCCATCGTAGACTTCATAGTGGTGAGAAACCTTACAAGTGTAATGAATGTGGGAAGACTTTTAATGTACAGTCACACCTTTCACGTCATCATAGACTTCATACTGGAGAGAAACCTTACAAATGTAAGGTTTGTGACAAGGCTTTCATGTGCCATTCTTATCTGGCAAACCATACTAGAATTCATAGCGGAGAGAAACCTTACAAGTGTAATGAGTGTGGTAAGGCTCACAATCACTTGATTGATTCATCAATCAAGCCTTGCATGTCATCATAGACTTCATACTGGAGAGAAACCTTACAAATGTGAAGCATGTGACAAAGTTTTCAGTCACAGATCACGCCTTAAAAGACATAGGAGAATTCATACTGGAGAGAAACCTTACAAGTGTAATGAGTGTGGCAAAGCCTTTAGTGACCAGTCAACACTTACCATCAGGCCATTCATGGTGTAGGGAAACTTGACTAATGTAATGATTGTCACAAAGTCTTCAGTAACGCTACAACGATTGCAAATCATTGGAGAATCCATAATGAAGAGAGATCTTCCGAGTGTAATAAATGTGGCAAATTTTTCAGACATCGTTCATACCTTGCAGTTCATCAGTGAACTCATACTGGAGAGAAACCTTACAAATGTCATGACTGTGGCAAGGTCTTCAGTCAAGCTTCATCCTATGCAAAACATAGGAGAATTCATGCAGGAGAGAAATGTCACAAGTGTGATGAGTGTTGCAAAGCCTTTACTTCATGTTCACACCTCATTAGACATCAGAGAATCCCTACTGGAGAGAAATCTTACAAATGTCATCAGTGTGGCAAGGTCTTCAGTCCGAGGTCACTCCTTGCAGAACATCAGAAAATTCATTTTTGAGATAACTGTTCCCAATGCAGTGAGTATAGCAAACCATCAAGCATTAATTGACATTGGAGTCAATTCAGCATTGACTTGAGTTTGTGTTGACTTAACATTGAGTTCAAGCCTTAATTGACATGCAGGTGTTTATGATAAGAGGATTGGGCCAGGTGCAGTGGATCACGCCTGTAATCCCAGCACATTGGGAGGCCAAGGCACATAGGTCACTTGAGGTCAAGAGTTTGAAACAAGCATGGCCAAGAGATGTGAGCCAGTTTTCCCAGCCTGTTTATTATTATTTTTTGAGATGGAGTGTTGCTCTTGCTGCCCAGGCTAGAGTGCAATGGTGCGATCTTGACTCACAGCAACCTCCGCCTCCTGGGTTCAAGCGATTCCTCTGCCTCAGCCTCCCTAGTTGCTGGGATTACAGGTATATGCCACGACGCCTGGCTAATTTTTTGTATTTTTAGTAGGGAAAGGGTTTCTCCATGTTGGTCAGGCTGGTCTCAAACTCCCGATCTCAGGTGATCCGCCCACCTCAGCCTCCCAAAGTGATGAGATTACAGGCATATGCCACCGCGCCTGGCATTGTTTCTTCTTTTCCTTTTTTTTTTTTTTTTTTTTTTTTGAGATAGTACTTTTTAAAGAGATAGTACTTTTTTGAGATAGTACTTTTTTAAAGGGATATACCATAGTAGTTTTAAAAGGGATATCAGGCTGGGTGTGGCAGCTCACGCCGGTAATCCCAGCACTTTGGGAGGCCAAGGCAGGCAGATAACAAAGTCAGGAGATTGAGACCGTCCTGGCTAACACGGTGAAACCTCGTCTCTACTAAAAATACAAAAACTTAGCCGGGCATGGTGGTGGGCACCTGTAGTCTCAGCTACTCAGGGGGCTGAGGCTGGACAATGGTGTGAACCCAGGAGGCGGTGCTTGCAGGGAGCCGAGATCGTGCCACTGCACTCCAGGCTGGGCGACAGAGTGAGAGTCTGTCTCAAAAAAAAAAAAAAAAAGATATCAAACCCGGGGTGTCTCATCCCACAGCACTTTGGAAGACTGAAGTGAGTGGATCATCTAAGATCAGAGTTCAAGAGCACCCTGGCTAACATGGTGAAACCCCATCTCTACTAAAAATACAAAAGTTAGCCAGGGGTGGGGGTGTGCACCTTTAGTTCCAGCTACTTGGGACACTGAGGCATGAGAATCACTTAAACCTGGGAGGTAGAGGTTACAGCGAATCAAAACCGTGCCACTGTACTGCAGCGAGGTTGGCAGAGTGAGTCTCCATCTCAAACAAACAAATGAAAAAAACAGACATCAAAAATGCTTTTGTTCTCGTTGTGTCATAGACTTCCCTTTTTTTTCCTTCTGGTTCCTCTTCAGTTCTCTATTTATTTTTTCTTTTTTGCAGATTGAGTTTGAGATATATCTTAGTTTTAATAGTTTTATTTCTTAACACATAATGACTTCTGAAAGATGCCTTTGCAGCATCCTGTAATCAGCTCACATCATTCGTTTCTGTACTTGTATATTTTCCAGTTGTTTTCCGGTTGACCCCAAAATTCGTGAGATTTTTTTCCTACAACAATTTCAAAAGAGTTGCTGTTTGAAATTAGTTGCATCCAGTTCAGATCGAGGTCTGCATGCTTTCTAGTCTTTGTTATTTATTGGAAGGCTGTGGTACCTACTACTTAAGTTTGATTGTTGCAGTGTGTACTTGGTAAAGATGTCAGTGACCTTTTAAATAAACATCAAAATGTAGTTTAAGCAGTTAGTCTGTTTTTCAGTTTTCTTTCCTTATGTCATTTTTTAAAATCTTGAGCTGGGAGCTATTTATTGTGTGTTTCCCTCAAGGCCCTGTGGTCCATTCTGGAAAAATGTTGAAACATGGGCTGGAGTGGCATAGAGCGCTGCTCCAAAAGCACCCATGTATTCTTTTCTTTTTTGGAAATGGAGTCTCGCTCTGTCAGCTTGGATGGAGTGCAGTGGTGCGATCTCAGCTCACTGCAACCTCTACCTCCTTGGATCAAGTGATGCTCCTGCCTCAGTCTCCTGAGGAGCTGGAATTACAGGCACCCACCAGCACACCCAGCTAGTTTTTGTATTTTTAGTAGAGACAGGGTTTCACCATGTTTGTCAGGCTGGTCTCAAACTCCTGACCTCGCGATCCACCCGACTCAGCCTCCCACTGTGATGGGATTACAGGCATGAGCTACCACGTCGAGACTCTTTTTTTTTTTTTTTTTTAGATGGAGTTTTGCTTTTGTTGCTGAGGCTGGAGTGCAATGGTGCGATCTGGTGTCACTCCAATGTCTTCCTCCTGGGTTCAAGTGATTTCTCCTGCCTCATCCTACTGAGTAGTTGGGATTACAGGTGCCCTCCACCACTCCCGGCTCATTTTTTGCATTTTTAGTAGAGACAGGGTTTCATCATGTTGGCAGGCTGGTCTTGAACTCCTGACTTCAGGTGATCTGCCCACCTCGACCTCCCAAAATGCTAGGATTACAAGCGTGAGCCATTGTGCCTGACCACTCATGTATTCTTGATTGAAATAATTTGCTTATTTCTTAGTTCTACAGCTGACCCTCTTTCACTGTTTCCAAGGTCAATAGCTGTGTGTTCACACTTCTGCATTTTATAAATGTTCCTGTGAGTTTTTTGTAAGGAAGAATTAACTGTCAGGAATCAATGTCATCAGAACCTTGCAAAAGAAGTTTCTTTAGCCCAGGTTTGTGAAAGAGGTTTCTCTAATTTTCAAGGATGGGGGTGATAAGAGCAACCTTTGCCATTAGCCCTTCCAGGACCCCATGTAAGACTTTAGACACCTTCTCACTCATCTCAGACCTTCTCAGGGTAACTTGGTGAAAATGTCTTCCGATCTGAGCCCCAGTGAGCCTCCCTGCAACTTGGCGACGAGGGGCTTGACCAGAAAAGGTCAACCCGAGTGTCCCTGACCGTTGAAATGATTGGCAAAATGGAGTGCGTGTCTGGGTGTGGCTTTTTTTTTTTTGAGGAGTGCCCAGTTGTGATTAGAATTTTCAATGGGATGCAGTGCCCTAAAAATGAAAAACAAAAGCAGAAGAATGGAAGAAATAGAGGTAGACTCAGACACAGAGACCATCTTCAAGGCCTTTCTCTGTATGAGGACATCACAGCAAAATCTAAAGCAGGTCACGTCAATCCCTGGCAGGGAACCCTCCACCGGCTTCCCGTGTTCCCCAGGACAAAAGCCCAACCCCTCACTGTGGCTCCACAGCCCCGTGTGCAGGGCCCCTGCCAGTGTCCAGCCTCCTCCTGGCAGCTTGCCCTCATCTCATGACTCCCTCTGCCCCAGTCACATTTGCTTTTCTCTTTTCCCAAACATCAAAACCCTTCCTGTCTCAGGTCATTGTCCCTGCTCTTACCCTATGTACCCTGTCCCTTTCTCCTCCTTCAGGTCTAGGCTCAGAGCTCTCTCCCATGCCCTCCCACCCCTGGTCTCAAGCTCCTGAGCTCAAGTGATCTACCCACCTCGGCCTCCTAGAGTGCTGGGATGACAGGCATGAGCCACTGCAACCAGCCTCTGCATGGGGTTTCCTCAACTTTAGGTCTGTGCCCTGAAGGGGAGCTCATTCCAGCCCAGTTCCCAACTGCTGCAGCATGTGTGTGTGGGCTTCTCCAGAAGGGGAGCCAGAGTTTCCCTGTAGGAGTTTATCCTCCATGGTGAGGAGGGCCGCAGGGGGGACTGTATTTGCTCAGGGTGAGGTCTCCTTTGTGTCAGGCCTCTGAGCCCAAGCTAAGCCATCGTATCCCCTGTCACCTGCACGTATACATCCAGATGGCCTGAAGCAACTGAAGATCCACGAAAGAAGTGAAAATACCCTTAAGTGATGACATTCCACCATTGTGATTTATTTCTGCACCATCTTGACTGATCAATGTGCTTTGTAATCTCCCCCACCCTTCAGAAGGCTCTTTGTAATCCTCCCCACCCTTGAGAATGGACTTGGTGAGATCCACCCCCTGCCTGCAAAGCATTGCCCCTAACTCCACCGCCTGTCCCAAAAGCTACAAGAACTAATGATAATCCCACCATACTTTGCTGACTCTCTTTTCACACTCAGCCCGCCTGCACCCAGGTGAAATAAACAGCCTCGTTGCTCACACAAAGCCTGTTTAGTGGTCTCTTCACACGGACGAGTGTGACACTGTATGTGTGGTTGTGTTCCAGGGAGGGGGTGTGTGGATTCTGAGCAATAAACAGCATTTTTAACATTCATGATTGACTTCTAAAGACTGTTGGTACGTGAGGAAGAAACCTGGAAGAGGAAGAGGAAAGCAAAGGAGTCAGGAATGGCTCTTCCTCAGGTGAGATGATATTCTCGGTGGATTGTTCTGTCTCCTTCCTCTCAGAAACCCTGGGCCTTGGAGTTGGGAATCTTCTCTGGGTCTCAAGTGTCCTGCCTGACAGGTTTGCTCACACCCATGTCTTCCTTCAGTCCCTCTCATCTCACTTAGATTCCATCTCTTGTAACCCAGTGACATGAATTTGGGAAGAGGCTGCACTGGGCATGGTCCTGGGAAGGGCTCACACCCAGACATGGATGGAGACAGGGTGAGGGTCCTGTGGTGTCAGTGCTGTTGGGCAGCGGGGATTGTTCAGGGGCCACATCTGGATGCTCTGTCAGCTTTCTGTGGACCAGGATTAGAGCAGCTGCCAATGGGAGTCGCGTATGAATGTGCACAAAGTACGTGTAAATTCTAGAAAACGAAACCAAAAACAGAAAATCTTTTTTCCCCCTGATTTTATACTACATTTTTAGGTAATGGATTGAGTTCGTGTTTCTGACTCCAAAAATCGTACTAATTAGAATGGAAAGTTCATACAGACATGAATGATAGAAGGTGTTTTATTCCATCATTAGTTTAAGAATAGGAAATCAACCTGAATAATAGCAGGAGATTCATTCAACCACTCTTAACACATTAAGTTCATGGAGACTGGGGTTACTGTGGAGAGGCTTGTGAAACAGGTGTTTTTGGTAAAAATGGTTACAATTTATTTTTTGAGATGGAGTCAGCCTCTGCCACCCAAGCTGGAGTGCAGTGACATGATCTCAGTTTACTGCAACCTCCGTCTCCTGGGTTCAAGTGATTCTCCTGCCTCAGCCTCCCAAGTAGCTGGGGTTATAGGCATGTTCCACCACGGCCATCTAATTTTTTGTATTTTTAGTAGAGATGGGGTTTCATCATGTTGGCCAGGGTGGCCTCAAACTCCTCACCTCAGGTTATCCGCCCACCTCAGGCTCCCAGAGTGTTGGGATTACAGACACTAGCCACTGTGCTGGGTCCTTTTGAGTTTCTGATTAGCGTTGCCAAAGGAGGCACTCAGATATGCATGTATGTCAGGGAGCAGAGCGGTGACTTTGAATAGAAGGTGAGTCTGGTTTCCTAAGCAGTTCCTAGCTTGATTTTACCTTTTGCTTAGTGATTTGGGGCTCCATATTCATTTTCCTTTCACACAGCCCAACCCTCACACCACCTGTGGTCTATCTTGCCTGTTCTGTGTGATTACTGTTGTGCCTTTGTCATCCACTGTCTGGATCCTAGTGAGAACAAGGCCCCAAGGGGAGGGCAGAGCCAAAACATGGGGCTGTGCTGGGCTCGCCCCGTCTGAGTGGAGCTCAACCCTGGCTTCACATTAGAGTGCAGAGCATTTTGCAAATAGAGCTTTTGTGCTGCTTTAGCAGGGATTCTTATTCTGACGGGATGGAACCCACCCTCAGTAATACCTGCAGTGGCCCAGGTGCTTGTCATCTGTGTGCAGCATTGAGCATCGAAGCTCTGTATCCTCCATTTCTGAGTGCTGAGCTCAGCCTGTGATCCAGAGAGGTGAGGGGTTGTCCTCTGGATGCGGTTTGATTAGGGATGGGTCTGTGCCCTGAAGGGGAGATCAGTCCAGCCCAGCTCCCCACTGCTGCCTAGTGTGTGGGGGCTTTTCTAGGAGGGGAGTGAGATCTGAAGACCAGGGTCAGATATACACTTGTAGGTCTTCCTGTGGTAGTTTCTTATCTCTGCATGATCTCTGGTGCAGTGGGCAGCAGAGGACCGTCTTTCTACAGGGTGAGGTCTCCCCTGTCTGTTTTTGCCCCAGGAAGGGAGTGAGTCATTTCTAACATGAAAGCTCGTCTTTTTTTTTTTTTTTTTGTGGGGAAAAGAAAGATCAGAATGTTACTGTGTCTTTGTAGAAAAGGGAGACATAAGAAACTCCATTTTGATCTGTTCTAGGAAAAATTCTTCTGCTTTGAGATGCTATTAATCTGTAACTTTAGCCCCAACCCTGTGCTCACAGAAACATGTGCTGTATTGAATCAAGGTTTAATGGATTTAGGGCTGTGCAGGGTGTGCCTTGTTAACAATATGTTTGCAGGCAGTATGCTTGGTAAAAGTCATGCCATTCTCCATTCTCAGTTAACCAGGGACACAATGCACTGCGGAAAGCCGCAGGGACCTCTGCCCTAGAAAGCCTGGGTATTGTCCAAGTTTCCCCCCACTGAGACAGCCTGAGATATGTCCTTGTGGGAATGGAAAGACCTTACATCCCCGCGCCTGACACCTGTAAAGGGCCTGTGCTGAGGAGGAGTAGTGAAAGAGGGAGGCCTCTTTGCAGTTGAGATAAAAGGAAGGCTTCTGTCTCCTGCTCATCCCTGGGAATGGAATGCCTCGGTGTAAAGCCGACCATTGGTTCTATTCTGCGATAGGAGAAACCTGCCCTGTGGCTGGAGGTGAGATATTCTGGCAGCAATACTGCTCTGTGACTCTTTGCTACACTGAAATGTTTGTGTAAAGTGAAACATAAATCTGGCCTACATGCACATCCAGTGAAGGGCGCCAGCCCCTCCACACCTGTGAGTATTTCTCATCAGGTGGGATGAGAGACTGAGAAAAGAAATAAGACACAGAGACAAAGTATAGAGAAAGAACAGTGGGCCCAGGGGACCGGCGCTCAGCATACGGAGGACCCACATCGGCGCCAGCCTCTGAGTTACCTCAGTATTTATTGATCATTATTTTTACTATCTTAGCGAGGGGAGTGTAGCAGGGCAACAGGTAGGGAGAAGGTCAGCAGGGAAACAAGTGAGCAAAAGAATCTGTATCATGAATAAGTTCAAGGAAAGGTACTGTGCCTGGATGTGCACATAGGCTAGATTTACGTTTCTCTTCACCCAAACATCTCAATGTAGCAGAGTAACAGAGCAGTATTGCCTCCAGCATATCTTACCTCCACCTACCGGGTGGTTTTCTCCTGTCTCAGAATGGAACCAATGGGAATGGTCAGCTTTACAGGGAGACATTCCATTCCCAGGGATGAGCAGGAGACAGAAGCCTTCCTCTTATCTCGACTGCAAAGAGGCCTCCCTCTTTTACTACTCCTCCTCAGCACAGACCGTTTACTGGTGTCCGGGTGGGGGATGGTAAGGTCTTTCCTTTCCCATGAGGCCATATCTCAGGTTGTCTCAGTGGGTCCCCCTTGGACACTGTCCAAGGTATTGTCCACCTTGCACAATACCCAGGCTTTCTTGAGCAGAGCTCCCTGCTGCTTTCTGCAGTGCATTGTGTCCCTGGTTAATTGAGATTGGAGAATGGCGATGACTTTTACCAAGCATACTGCCTGCAAACATATGTTAACAAGGCACATCCTGGCCGAGCATGGTGACTCAAACCTGTAATCCCAGCTCTTTGGGAGGCTGAGGCAGGCAGATCACAATGTCAGGAGTTTGAGACCAGTCTGACCAACATGGTGAAACCCCGTTTCTACTAAAATTACAAAAATTAGCTGGGCGTGGTGGCGGGCGCCTGTAATTCCAGCGACTCGTGAGTCTGAGGCAGGAGAATCGCTTGAACCTGGGTGGCAGAGGTTGCAGTGAGCCGAGATCATGCCACTGCACTAAGCCTCCATAACAAAATGATACTCCCCCTCGGAAAAAAAACAAAACAAAAAACAAAACAAGGCACATCCTGCACAGCCCTAAATCCATTAAATGTTGATTCATTACAGCACATGTTTCTGTAGCACAGGGTTGGGGCTATAGTTTACAGGTTAACAGCATCTGAAAGCAGAAACAATTTTCCTTAGTACAGATCAAAATGGAGTTTCTTACGTCTTCCTTTTCTACATAGACACAGTAACAATCTGATCTCTCTTTCTTTTCCCCACAATCCAGGCATGGTACATTTCCTTAAATTTATTAATGATACAGATTCCTTTGCTTATATGTTTCCCTGCTGACATTCTCCTCACCATCACCCTGTTGCCCTGCCGCACTCCCCTTGCGAAAATAGTAAAAACAGTGATCAATAAATACCGAGGGAACTCAGAGATCAGCGCCAGTGCAGGTCCTCGCATGCTAAGTGTGCTGGTCCCCTGGGCCCACTGTTTTTTCTCTATAGTTCGTCTCTCTGTCTTATTTCTTTTCTCAGTCTCTCATCTCCACCTGATGACAAATATCCGCAGGTGTGGAGGGGCAGGCCCCCTTCATTTTTCACATACAGGATTGATTTCTAAAGACTCGTGTTACATGAGGAAGCAGCTCAGAATGTTGTAAGAGAGCGAGTTAGAGAAACACCATACTTAGAGACGAATTCAGGCGTCCTTTTTTAGCTGGTGACCAAGAGATGGCTTCACGCTCAAAATTCTCTCAGCCCTGAAGAAGGGGCTAGATTTTCTTTTATACCTTGGTCTAAGAAGGGGAGGGGATAGCCTAGCCGAAGCAATTTTACAGAAACAGAATAGGCAAAAAGTAAAAAATTAATGGTTACAGAGATAGTTACAGAAAAACAAACAGTTCCAGGCACAGGGGCTTGAACTATCACTAAGAGATAAATGCAGCGGCTTTTAGGTACCTTCCACCGAGCACATTCCCAGGGGCTGCTTGTACAGCCTGCCTGAATATCTTATCAGCAGGTGCATTCCTGGATGTGCTTGGAGTCAGCTTGCACTATTTATTCCCTTAAGGCGGATAAAGGGCACTGCAAGTGAAGAAGCTAAAATGGAGTCTGTCCGGCTCTCTCTCTAGGAGAGTCACTTAGGTTAAAACGAGGTAGGGTAGCCGGGCGCTGTGGCTCATGCCTATAATCCCAGCACTTTGGGAGGCCGAGGCGGGCGGATCACGAGGTCAGGAGATCGAGTCCATCCTGGCTAGCATGGTGAAACCCCGTCTGTACTAAATATATATAAAAAATTAGCTGGGCGTGGTGGTGGGCGCTTGTTGTCCCAGCTACTCGGGAGGCTGAGGCAGGAGAATGGCGTGAACCCAGGAGACGGAGCTTGCAGTGAGCGGAGATCGGGCCACTGCACTCCAGCCTGGGCGACAGAGAGAGACTCCGTCTCAAAAACAAACAAAGAAACAAACAAACAAACAAGGTAGGGTATCACAAGAAGAGGAAAGAAAAGGAGCCAGGGCTGGCTCTTCCTCAGGTGAAGTGATACTTCTCGGTGGATTAATCTGTCTCTTTCCTTTTTGAAATGCCAGGTATTGTAGTAGCCAGTCTTTCCTGAGTCTGAAGCGTCCTGCCTGACAGGCTCACTCGCACTCACCCATGCCTTTTCTCAGTTCCTCTCATCTGCTCTGAGATTCCATCTCCTGTGACCCAGTGACAAGAGCTTCTTAAGAAGCTCCACTGGGCATGGTCCTGGGAGGGGCTCACACCCAGACATGGATGGACACGGGGTGTGGGCCCCTTGGTGTCAGTGCTGCTGGACAGCCTGGATGGTTCAGGGGCCACATCTGGATGTCAGCTCTTTGTGGACCAGATCAGAGAAACAACATATGAAATACATGTTAATGTGCACAGATATCTGGTAAATTCTGAAAAAGGAGACCAATAAAGGGAGATAGTTTGTATCTGACTTGGTAATGCATTTGAAATCACTTTGGGGGCGGGGCCTGGTTAGACGGTGGGGGCCGGGCCTGGGGTGGGGCAAGAGGGAGGAGGCTGCTTGGAGGTCGCTCTGGACAGCGGGACGGGGCGGGGCCAGAGGTTTATCCTCGTTTGGGGGCGGGACCTGAGATGGGGTGTTGTTCTTAAGGGCGGGGCCTGGCTGCGATGGGTCGGGGGCTCTCTCCTCAGCTGGGCCCATGATGTGACCTGCTGTCATCCTCTTGACCTCCAGGACTGGATCCCCGGGGTTCTGATTGGTGGATTGTTTCTGGTGTGCCGTGATATTACCCCTAATATCACAGGGATGCTTCCTGCCCTTTTTAAGTTAGCATTTCAAACAATCGAAGGTAAAACAACATATTGTAGTGGGCCAACTGTACTGAACGCTGAATCGTTTTTTCTCTGAAGTTGAAAACGGTTTTAATGTAAAGCGCCTTTTTTGAGCAGGTAGAGTCGCGCATCCTGCAGGCGGGGCGAGCTCCCCTCAGGCTGGGGCAGGACGGGGGACAGGGGCAGGTACCTCGGTAAAGGGGTGGAGTGGGGCGCTGCTTACAAAGGGGACTGACAATTAGAATGGCTTAGTAAACTAAGCAAGGTCCTGGGTTGTTTGAGTGGATAATGGAAATAGAAAGGTGACATGGAAAACTGCCTATTATACACCTATTATAAAGGTGGAGGAAATTTTCATATTTCATGGAAATAAAGCCAGAACTCGGAGCGGTGGATCACATCTGTCATCCCAGCACTTTCAGAGGCCGAGGTGGGAGGATTGCTTGAACCCAGGAGTGTGTGATCAGCCAGGGCATAATAGTGAGACCTCGTCTCTACTAAAAATAAAAAAAAAATCAGCCAGATGTGGTGGTGCACACCTGTGTTCTCAGCTGCTCGGGGCGCTGAGATGAAAACATCACTTGAGGCCGGGCGCAGTGGCTCACGCCTGTAATCCCAGCACTTTGGGAGGCTGAGACGGGCAGATCACCTGAGGTCGGGAGTTCGAGACCAGCCTTACCAACAAGGAGAAACTCCGTCTCTACTAAAAACACAAAAAAATTAGCTGAGCATGGTGGCCCATGCTTGCAATCCCACCTACTCGGGAGGCTGAGGCAGGAGAATCGCTCGAACCCGGGAGGCGGAGGTTTTGGTGAGCCGAGATCCCGCCACTGCACTCAAGCCTGGGCGACAGAGCGAGACTCCGTCTCAAAAAAAAAAAAAAAAAAAAAAAAAAAAAAAAAAAAAAGAAAACATCACTTGAGCCAGGGAGTTGGACGCTGCACTGAGCCCTGATCTTGCCAGCACACTCCAACTTGGATGACAGAGCTAGACCCCGTCTCAAACAAGCAAGCAAATAAGTGAGAGGCGTAATTCCTCCTTCAAAAATAAAGGAAGAGATTTTCTTTCATGTAGTCTCTTTTCTTAGGATATTTATTTAGAAAATGTGTAAATGAATTTTCTCTGTCTTCTGAAGCGGTATGTTATTTGAGACAGAGTTTCGCGCTTGTAGCCCACGCTGGAGTGGAATGGCGTGATCTCCGTTCACTGCAGCCTCCATCTCCCGGGTTCAAGCCATTCTCCTGCCTCTGCCTCCCGAGTAGCTGGGATTGCACGCATGTGCCGCCACGCCCGGTTAATTTCGTATTTTTAGTAGAGAAGGGTTTTTCCGTGTTGGTCAGACTGGTCTCAAACTCCTGACCTCAGGCGATCCGCCCGCCTCTGCCTCCCAAAGTGCTGGGATTACAGGTGTGAGCCGCTGCACTCGACCAGAAGTGGAATTTTTTTAGAAAAGAACTAAACTGTTTTTTAGCTTAATGACCCAGGGATGTATTTCCGAAGGACTTGGGAGCTCTCTTTGAAAGGCAACCAACAACAGAGATAGCACTTGTGTCTCAGTAGGAAATTAAATTATTCAAACATCAAGTGATTCCAATTTAAAGCAATGGATATTTAAATAATTCTGAGCCTTGAGAGGAATGTGGTCATGCAACCAGAGTCCAGTGGAATGCAGGCGCAACTTCTAAGAGTTTTCCTGTAAATAATTTGGAAAACTGGCCATGCACAGTGGCTCACGCCTGTCATCTCAGCACTTTGGGAGACTGAGGCTGGCAGATCACGAGGTCAGGAGACAGAGATCATACTGGCCAACATGGTGAAACCCCGTCCCTAATAAAAATACAAAAATTAGCTGGGCATGTTGGTGCATGCCTCTAGTACCGTCTATTCTGGAGGCTGAGCCATGAGCATAGGGAGTCGGAGGTTGCAGTGAGCCGAGATTGCGCCACTGTACTCCATCCTGGCGACAGAGCGATTCTCCATCTCAAAATAAATACATAAATAGCAATAAAAATAAAAAAAATAATTAGGAAGACTAAGCAGCCCCAGCGATATGACCTCCTCAGAGCATTGTGCCTTCTTACGCAGTGATAAAGTAACCTTCCTTGAAGTGTATCAATCCATCACCAATCAACTTGCTGCAACCTATGCACTGGTCTTGAATGGAAAACGTGGTGATTCTGCTAAAGCATCTCTGTCTTTCCCTGTGTGTGAAACCTTAACGTCTCTACTTTGGAACGCTGATCCCATTTATTTGGAGTTGATGTTTCCAGGTGGCTTTCTTCAAGCTTTGTGTTCACATTAACTCTGTACTTAATCATATATTTTAAATTTTATTATTTACTGCTGACATCAATTTCTGTCGTATGGTAGGCGCCTGACCAGAGAGGGCACCTGTCGCCATGTTGTAAAACTCAAACTTGCCAAAAAGACATGGGTTAGGGTTTCTTCCCCTCCCTCGGGATGAAGCTAGTTAGCTGACACAGATGGTCACCTCCATTACCAAGTAGAGCCAGGATGAACTATGTGCGACCAAGGGTGTTGTCAAGTCCTCTTCCCTGAGGACTGATTAGTGTTTATCTTGAAAATATGTCCTTAATGGGTTGTATAGAACAGTGAAGTTTCTTTCTCTCTTTTCAACCTCTTAGCTGTTTGCCTCTATTTCCCATCACATTCTGGTCAAGGCTTATTGATTTATTTATTTAGAGACGGAATCTCTTCTGTCGCCCAGGCTAGAGTGCAATGGTGCGATCTCGGCTCATTGCAAGCTCCGCCTTCTGGGTTCACGCCATTCTTCTGCCTCAGCCTCTCCGAGTAGCTGGGACTACAGGCGCTGGGCACCACGCCCGGCTGATTTTTTTTTTTTGTTTTTTTTGAGACCGAGTCTTGCTCTGTCACCCAGGCTGGAGTGCAGTGGTGCTATCTTGGCTCACTGCCAGCTCCGCCTCCTGGGTTCACGCCATTCTCCTGCCTCAGCCTCCCCAGCAGCTGGGACACAGGTGCACGCCACCACACCTGGCTAATTTTTTTGTATTTTTAGTAGAGACGGGGTTTCACCATGTTAGCCAGGATGACCTCGATCTCCTGACCTCGTGATCCGCCTGCTTCAGCCTCCCAAAGTGCTGGGATTACAAGCGTGAGCCCCCATGCCCGGTCCTAAGGTTTATTTATTAACAAAATGGTTTTTATTTCTTTCTCTGTTATCGTCGTGGAGATGATTTCTCATTTGGGATAATATTTTTTAGTTTTCAATTATATTTTGTCAACATTTAAAAAGCAAAGTAAAGAATATTTCTTGGGCCAGGCATGTTGGCTGACGCATGTAATCCCAGCATTTTGGGAGGCTGACACAGGCAAATAACTTAAAGTGAGGAGTTCGATACCGGCCAGGTCACCGTAGTGATACCCCGTCTCTATGAAAAATACAAAAATTAACCGGGCATCGTGGCACGCGCCTGTAATGCCAGCTGCTCCCGAGGCTGAGGCAGGAGAATCGCTTGAACCCAGGAGGCAGAGGCTGCATTGAGTTGAGATCTCGCCACTGCACTCCAGCCTGGGCAACAGAAATACTGTGTCTCAATAATAGTAATAATAATAATAATAATAATAAAGTAATAGATCTCTTCCACAAATGTGCTGGGACAACTAACTGGATATCCACATGGAAAAGAGTAATGTTGGATCCCTATGTCACACCATCAAAAATTTTATTTAAAAAAGTTTTTTTTTTTTTTTTAAAAAGGGAAAAGGCCCGGGCGCGGTGGCTCACGCCTGTAATCCCAGCACTTTGGGAGGCCGACGTGGGCGGATCACCTGAGGTCGGGAGTTCAGCCTGGCTAACATGGTGAAACCCTGTCTCTACTAAATATACAAAATTAACTGGGCATGGTGGCGCATGCCTGTAGTCCCAGCTACTCGGGAGGCTGAGGCCGGAGTATCGCTTGAAACCAGGAGGCGGAAGTTCTAGTGAGCTGGGATCACTCCACGGCACTCCAGCCTGGGCGACGGAGTGAGACTCTGTCTCCAAAAAAAAAAAAAGGGAAAGAGAGAGAGAGAGACTAGGAAGGGAGACCTGCCGCAGTGGGTGTTACTTTGTCGCCCAGGCTGGCTTGGGACCCCAGGCTCAGCAATTCTCTCCGTTGCTTCCTGAGTAGCTGGGACCTGAGGCTCCCGCCCCCGCGCCTCTGCTGTGTTTAAGCAGCAGGTGGTGACCTCACTCCTTCCTGGCCTAAGCACTCCGTCCCGCACCCCTGGCGGTGGCTTTAAGGAAGTCTCTGAAGCTGAGCTCAGGGTGGACTCTCCCTCCCTAGTGAATGGAGATAGAAAGGGAGAGGACATCTATTCTGTTCCGTGGGCCGTCACCATGACATCGTACATGCCGCCCAGGCAGGGCTTTGCATTTCACATTCTAGTTTGCATCCCGGTTCCAGACAATTCCAGGGCTTTGGAATCATGCCTCAGACTTTCTGGCGCTCTCGCCTCCACAACCTAAAAACAGAGACGCTAGGAGAGAGGCTGAAAGACGCGCAAGTCCCGCCCCGGCCCCGCCCCGGCCCCGCCCTCTGCCGGTTCTAAAGGGCAAGGTCTCAGCGCCTCGCGCCCCGCCGCTACCTCGCCCAGGCCCCGCCCACCTCCTCCCACCTCCCGCCCAGGCCTGGCTTCCGTCCTGCGCGCGGAGATTAACGCAAACCCGGAAGCGGATCGGGTGGAGTGAAGGTCACGTCGCCATGGTGAGTTTTGCTCTGTGTTGCATTAAGTCTCCGCTTCCCAGGTCCCCGCCGCTTCTGTCCCTGGGACGTGGGGTCCCCACAGACCTGGAAATTCTCGCCCGTCTTCCTTCGCCCAGAGCAAATTGAGACAGCCCAGTGAGAGGCCGGGTGTCGCTTCCTTTCGGGTTTAAAGTCGTCTGGAGGCTGGTCCCGTCCCGGGTCTGTCTGCTATAGGGCAATGTATACACTTTCTATTGCGTAGTTTTTCTGCTCAAAACCTTCTTCTGACTCTTCCCTCCTCGCGCTATTTAAAGTCTTCACCCACGAGGTGGATTCTTGCCCGGGGCGCACCTCCCAGCCACCCCTCGTCGGCCCCTGGAGCGTCGCGCCGCAGCCCCAGTCCCAGGGAGGCCGCGTCCTCTGCCTGGTCCTGGGATCTTGCAGACCCCATCCTTCTCCCAAGGCGCCGTCCCCCCTCCTCCCACCTCCCTACTCGTGCCAGAGCCTGCGGCTCCCCAGGTCTCTCCTCCGCAGTCACCGCTTCCATTGAACCCACACTGGGAAGGACGCAGGGCCCTGTCCTGTGACATGGGGTCTTCTTGCCTGCCGAGCTCCAGCCCTTGGAAAACGCGCTCCTCCGGGATGCAGGCGTCTTACTCCAAACCCTCCTGCGATTGTGTGGGCCGAAGGGATCAGGAGACAGACAGCAGTAGAAAACCTGAGACAGAGAAAGAATAAGAAAGGCCCATAACAGATGGCAAAATAGAGGATTGGTGAGGGATATGCCAAGATATGGTGAAAGTGGAAAAAGAAAGCAACAAAATACCTAGAAAAGCAGGTGGAGAAAAGCAACTGGAGAAATGTAGAGAAAAGCTAGATGTACACAGAGATGAAGGACGGCAAGGTAGGGAGAGTGGCAGCAAAGAGGGAGGCTCATCAGAGTGAGGGAGAGAGGGAGGGATTTGGAGCCAGGGCAGACAGAGCAGAGTGGTGCTGGTGTCAAGGAGAACCGAGGGAGAAACACAGCAGGGAGGACACCTGGGGATCTGGGGTGACACAGAGTGGGGACAGGGGAGTATATCAGGGAAGAGAGAATTTAACAGGGAGAGCAGAGGAGGCGCAGAGATGGGTGAAGAGGCAGAAATAGATGGAGATTGAGGACGATTGAAAGATTGGGGAGAAGGAGCAATAAGAGGTTAAATAAGTTGCGAGGATGGAGCAGAAGAGATGGAAGAGAAGGAATAGAGGGAAGAAGGGGGATAAACAGCAGAAGAGAAGAGGGGTACAAAATGAAGAGCAGAATCCCAGGGAGAAAGAAAAGAAAACAAGAGCTAGAGAGAGAAGGGGGAGAATGAGAGATATGTACAGAATTAGGGAGGGAAGCGCAGTAATGAAGAAAGGGGGGCTAGGCACAGTGGCTCACGCCTGTAGTCTCCACACTTTAGGAGACTGAAGCAAGAGAATTGCTTGAGTCTAGGAGTTCGAGACCAGCCTGGGCAACATAGTGAGACCCCTATCTCTGCCAAAAAAAAAAAAAAGGAAATAACGGGGCATAATCGTGTGCACCTGTACTCCCAGCTGCTCTGGAGGTGGAGGTAGGAGGATGACTTGAGCTCAGGAGGTCCAGGCTGCAGTGAACTGAGATCATGCCACTACACTGCAGCCTGGTCAACAGAGCGAGATCTTGTCTCAAAAGAAAAAATGGGGCGAGAGACTGGGTTTAGATCAGTGGATGAGTTCATTGGATATGATTAGTTGTGACATGTTGACTTCCCTGTATATAATCTAATAACTAAAAACTTGTTTAAATTATACAGATTGAGAATTTTAAAATTGGTGTCTATAAAACATGTACATTCTATAAATCTTGGCATCAGAGGTTATGTTCCACTTGGAATCCCTATTCAACCAGAGGGAAGTGACTTATTCAGTTGTGAATCACTGTCTTCCCTTTTCCTAGGATTGGGAGGATGTGGGGTAGAGAAGTGGGAAAAAAGTCGCTGTCTGTTATTACATAATACTTTTAATTTAATTAATTAAATGATATTTTGAGTCAGGGTCTGGCTGTATCACACAGGCTGGAGTGCAGTGGCGTGATCCTCTAACTGTAGCCTCTACCTCTTGGACTCAAGTGATCCTCCTACCTCAGCCTTCTGAGTAGCTGGGACCAGAGGCATGAGCCACCAAGCCCAGCTAGTTTACATATATATATATATATATATTTTTTTTTTTTGTAGAAACGTGGTTTCACTATGTTTCCCAGGCTGTTCTCAAAACCCTGGGGTCAAAGGGTCCTCCTGCCTTGGCCTCCCAAATTACTGGGATTACAGGTGGGATTACAGGGATGGCCCACCGCGTCTGGCCTACATAGCCCCCCCCTTTTTTTTGAGAGGGAGTTTTGTTCTTTTTGCCCAGGCTAGCGTGCGATGGCATGATCTCAGCTCACCACAACCTCCGCTCCCTGGCTTCAAACAATTCTACTGCCTCACTCTCCAGAGTAGTTGGGAGTACAGGCATGCACCACCATGCCTGGCTAATTTTGTGTTTTTAGTAGAGACGAGGTTTCTTCATGTTGGTCCAGGCTGGTCTTTAACTCCCTACCTCAAGTGACCCGCTGCCTCGGCCTCCCAAAGTGCTGGGATTCCTGGCGTGAGCCACCACTCTCAACCCATAGTAGTTTTTAAAAGGGACATCAAGGCATGGTGGCTCACGCCTGTAATCCCAGCACGTTGGGAGACAGAGGTGGGTGGATCATGAGGTCAGGAGTTCAAGACCAGCCTGGCTGACACAGTGAAACTCAATCTCTACTAAAAAATACAAAAATTAGCCAGGCATGGTGGCAGATGCCTGTAATCCCAGCTACTCAGGAGGCTGAGGCAGGAGAATTACTTGAACCCGGGAAGCAGAGGTTGCAGTGAGCCGAGATTGCATCACTGCATGCCAGGCTGGGCAACGGAGCTAGACTCCATCTGACAAAAAAAAAGAGAGAAAGAAAAAGTAAGGAACATCAAAGTTGGGCCTGGTGGCTCATTCCTGTAATCCCAGCACTTTGGGAGCAAATCACTGAAGGCCAGGAGCTCGAGACCAACCTGGCCTACATGGTGAAACCCCGTCTCTACCAAAAATACAAAAATTAGCTGGCCATGTAGACATACGCCTCTAATTTCACCTACTCCGGAGGCTGAGGCAGGAGAATTACTTGGACCCGGCTGGGAGGCAGAGGTTGCAGTGAGCCATGATCACACTACTGCACTCCAGCCTGGGTGACAGAGTGAGACTCCGTCTCCCCGCCCCCCAAAAAAAGAAAAATTAGCCAAGGGTGGTGGCATGCGTCTGTAGTCCCATCTACTCAGGAGGCTGAAGCAGGAGAATCTCTTTAGGCAGGAGAATCATGCCACTACACTGCAAGCTGAGTGACAGAGTGTGACTTGGTCTCAAAAAAACAAAAAAAGAAATAGCAATCAGCTCTTTAATGTCTCCCTTTATATAAGCAGTAGTCCTGGCCATGTTCGGTGGCTCACACTTGTAATTCCAGCACTTTGGAAGGCTGATGTGGGCGAATCACCTGAGGTCAGGGGTTCGAGACCAGCCTGACCAATATAGAGAAACCCGGTCTCTATAAAACTACAAAATTAGTGTGTAGGTGTGGTGGCGCGTGGCTGTAATCTCAGCTACTCGGGAGGCTGAGGCAGGAGAATTGCTTGAACCTGGGAGGCAAAGGTTGTGGTGAGCCAAGATCGCGCCATTGCACTCCAGCCTGGGCAGCAAGAGGGAAACTCCATCTCAATAAATAAATAAATTAATTAATTAATTAATAATAAAAATAAAAGCAGACGTATTCACGTGTAGTCAACACGCATGACCAAATTCTCTCACAGGCACCATCTGCAGGAACATCCTATTGGACAATAAGAACTCTGAACATCGCTTTTGGCCAATATAAACATTCAGACCAGGAAGTCTGCATCATATTTTTGATGTTTTTATTGTGCAATTTGTTTTATACAATGTTTTCTGTGATCTCAGTTTATAAATTTTCCCAGTACACATTCTATGTTTTATATTTTACACACAGTAACTAGATAACTAAGGGCAATGAATATATATAAAATTGCTGTATTGCCTGGTGTTATGTAACTGTACTTGTGACATTGTAATTGCACCCTCTGACACTGTTAGTCAGTTCTTATTCCTTTTAATGCTGTGTATTTACTTGAACTCATACATCAGAAGGTAGTGATCTTAACATGTATTTCAGTCTTATAGTGTGTGCTGGTGGTAAGTAGAAGTTGTGGCTTTTTTCTTGAGAGAGAATTGTTTAGAATTCTGCAGGCTGTATAAATGTACTTATTATTTGCTTGCTGGTTTTATCATGGGTTAGAATAGTTTACTGATTAATATTTAAGATTTCACATATGGCTTTTCAGTATATGATATGTAATGGAACTGACACACTGCACTTGTTAATTTCAATAAGTGCCTGTTCTGCGTGGATTTAGGTAATTTTATGACAGGTATTCAGAAAAAGGTTGTATTAACATTTTTTTTTTTTTGAGATGGAATCTCGCTCTGTCACTCAGGCTGGAGTGCAGTGGCACAATCTTGGCTCATTGCAATCTCTGCCTCCCAGGTTCAAGTGATTCTTGTGCCTCTGCCTCCTGAGTAGCTGGGACTACAGGTGACCGCCACCACGCCTGGCTGATTTTTGGAATCTTTTCTTATCTTCTCTGTGCTACGATTATTTGATAATACAGAATTTCAATTGATTTTGGTTACCCTTACATAAGCTTCTGGTGGATTATTTACCAATATAATATATTGTGTGGTCTTTTAGGATTTATTTGTGTACAGTAGATATTGTGTAAATATGAAGGATCTATACTTTTCATTGATGTGACAGTGATATGTTTTTTGCAAACTGTGATACATTTTAGGGTCACAGTGGAAAAATACTCCTTACTTTAGGCTTACACATGTTTGTGCCCTGTCAGCGTTTTGTCATATTGGAAATAGGCTTCCATAGAAATGATTTGAAGTACACGTAAAGTATTTATTAAGTATTTATTAAAGAATCTTACTCCTTTTGTGTTCCTAAACTTTGAAGATCATGTTTGGGAAGTTCAAAATAAGTATTGTTTTTTGTGTCATATTTACACATTTCAGTATGTTTTACCTTCTGGACTTAATTGGAAACGTATTGGTGTTTATATTTTGTAGATATCTCTTCCAAATGCTTGATGAAAAAGGTGGAAGGGTCACTTGACCCAGGGAGTTGAAGGCTGCAGTGAGCCCTGTTTTTGCCACCACACTCCAGCCTGGGTGAGTGAGCTACACCCTATCTCAAACAAACAAGCCAATAAATGAGAGGTATAATTCCTCCTTTGAAATTAAAGAAGGAGATTTTCTTTCCTTTCATCTCTTTTCTTAGGACATTTATTAGAAAATTTGCAAGTGCATTTTCTGTTTTCTGAGGTAGTATGTTTTCTTTCTTTTCTTTTGTTTAATTTTCTTTTATTTCCTTTTCTGTTGTTTTCTTTTCTTTCCTTTCCAACGGAGACACAGTTTCGCTCTTGTTGCCCAGGCTGGAGTTAAATGGTGCGATCTCGGCTCACTGCAATTTCCATCTCCCAGGTACATGAGATTCTACTGCTTCAACTTCCAGAGTAGCTGGGACTACAGGCACCCGCTATAATGCCTGGCTAATTTTTATAGTTTTGTAGAGACGGGGTTTCACCATGTTGGCCAGGCTGGTCTTGAACTTCTGATATCAGATGATTCTCCAGCCTTGGCCTTCCAAAGTACTGGGATTACAGGTGTGAGCCACTGCGCCCGGCCCAGGGATGTATTTCTGAAGAACTTGGGAGCTCCTTGAAAGGCAAACAACAGCCACGCGCAGTGGCTCACGCCTGTAATCCCAGCACTTTGGGAGGCCAAGGCGGGTCAATCCCGAGGTCAGGAGTTCGACACCGCCTGACAAACATGTTGAAACCCTGTCTCTACTAAAAATACGAAGAAATTAGCCGGGCATGGTGGCACATGCCTGTAGTCCCAGCTACTCAGGAAAATTGTTTGAACCTGAGAGGCAGAGGTTGCAGTGAGCCAAGATTGTGCCACTGCACTGTAGCCTGGGTGACAAAGTGAGACTCCGTCTCCAAAAAAAAAAAAAAAAAAAAAAAAGGCAAGCAACAAGATAGATTGTACCTGTGTCTCAGTAGGAAATTAAGTAATTCAAACATCAAATGATTCCAATTTAAAGCTATGGACATTTAAATAATTCTGAGCCTTGAGAGGAATGTGGTCATGCAACCAGAGTCTAGTGGAATGCAGGTGCAACTTCTAGGAGTTTTCCTGGCTGACTGTCATGGCTCAAGCCTGTAATCACAACACTTTGGGAGGCCGAGGCTTCCGGATCACTTGAGGTCAGGATTTCAAAACCAGCTTGGCTAGCGTGGTGAAACCCTGTCTCTACTAAAAATAGAGAGAAATTACAGGCGCCTGCCACCATGCCCAGCTAATTTTTGTATTAGGCTTAGTGTTAGGGTTTCTCCCCCTCCCTCGGGATGAAGCTTGTTAGCTGACAGAGATGGTCACCTCCATTACCAAGTAGAGCCAGGATGAACTATGTGTGACCAAGGGCTTTTCAAGTCCTCTTCCCTGAGGACTGATTACTGTTTATCTTGAAAACATGTCCTTAATGGGTTGTATAGAACACTGAAGTTTCTTTCTCTCTTTTCAACCTCTTAGCTGTTTGCCTCTATTTCCCATCACATTCTGGTCTAAAGCTTATTTATTAATGAAGTAGTTTTTCTTTCTTTCTCTATTATCGTCGTGGAGATGATTTCTCATTTGGGGGAAGACTCTTTGTTTTTCAATTATATTTTCTCACATTTAAAAAGTGAAGTAAAGAATATTTCCTGGGCCAGGCATGGTGACTCACGAGTGTAATCCCAGCACTTTGGGAGGCCGAGGCTGGCGGATCACTTGAAGTCAGGGTTCTAGACCAGCCTGGCCAACATGGTGAAACCCCGTCTCTACCAAAAATATGAAAGTTAGCTGGGCATGGTCGTGTGCGCTTGTAATACCAGCTACTCGAAAGGCTGAGGCAGAAGAATAGCTTCAACCCAGGAGGCAGAGGCTGCAGTGAGCCACGATCTCGCAACTGCACCCCAGCATGGGCCACAGAGAAATACTCTGTCTCAAAAATAAAAGGAAAGAAAAAAGTAAAAAAAGAGAAAGTAATAGATCTCTTTCACAAATGTGCTGGGACAACTAACTGGATATTTACATGGAAAAGAATAATATTGGATCTCTATGTCACACCATGAAAAATTTTATTTAAAAACGGGTTAAAAAAAAAAAGGCTGGGCGGGGTGGATCACATCTGTAATCCTAGCAGTTTGGGAGGCTGAGGTGGGCGGATCACAAGGTCAGGAGATCAAGACCATCCTGGCTAACATGGTGAAACCCCATCTCTACTAAAAATACAAAAAATTAGCCGAGCGTCGTGGTGGGCGCCTGTAGTCCCAGTTACTCCAAAGGCTGAGGCAGGAGAATTGCGTGAACCCGGGAGGCGGAGCTTGCAGTGAGCCAAAATCGTGCCACTGCACTCCAGCCTGGGTGACAGAGCGAGACTCCGTCTCAAAAAAAAAAAAAAAAAAAAAAAAAGAGAGAAAAGGAAAAGAGCGAGGGAGAGACGAGGGAGGGAGCCCTGCGGGAGGGGGTGTTACTTTGTCACCCAGGCTGGCCTGGACCCCCAGGTTCAGCGATTCTCCCGCCGCTGCTTCCTGAGTAGCTGGGACCTCAGGCTTCCGCCCCGTGCCCGCATCCCTGCTGTGTTTAGGCAGCAGGTGGTGACCTCACTCCTCCCTGGCCTGAGCACTCCGTCCCGCATCCCAGGCGGAGGCCCTAGGGAAGTCTCTGAAGCTGAGCACAGGGTGGACCCTCCCTCCTGAATGAATGGAGAATAGAAAGGGGGAGGATTTCTGTTATGTTCTGTGGGCCATCAGCATGAAATCGTATATTCCGCCCCGGCAGGGCTTTGCATTTCACATTTTAGTTTGCATGCCCGTTCCAGACAATTCCAGGGCTTTTGAATCATGCTTCAGCCTTCCTGGCCGCTCTCACCTCCAAACACCGAAAAAAACAGGCGCTGGGTGCGAGGCGGAGGGATGCACAGGTCCCGCCCCGGCCCCGCCCTCTGTCGGTTCTAAAGGGCAAGGTCTCTCTGCCTCGCGCCCCGCCTCTACCCCGCCCAGGCCCCGCCAAACTGTTCGCCGGCCCCGCCCAGGCCTGGCTTCAGTCCTGGGCGCGCAAACCCCGAGGCGGATCGCGTGGAGTGAAGGTCGTACCGCGGCGCGTGAGTTTTGCTCTGCCTTGTATTAAGTTTGCGCTTCCCAGGTCCCTGGCGCGTCTGTCCCTGGAAAGTGGGGTCCCCACGGACCTGGAAATTCTCGCCTGTCTTCCTTCATCCAGAGCAAATTGAGATGTCCCCGTAAGAGTCCGGAAGTTGCTTGCTTTTGGGTTTGAACTCGTCCGGAGGCTGGTCCCAACCCCGGTCTTTCTGCTATAGGGCAGTGTATACACTTCCTGTCGCTTAGTTTTCCTGGTCAAAACCCTGTGCTGACTCCACCCACCCCGTTCTTTTTAAAGTCCCCGACCCGCGAGGTGGATTCCCGCCCTGGGCGCCTCCCAGCCTCTCCGTCTTCGGCCCCTGGAGCGAAGCGCTGTGTCCCCAGTCCTGGGGAGGCTGCGTCTTCTGCCTGGTCCTGGAATTCTGCAGGTGCCACCCTTGTCTTAAGGCGCCGTCGCCCCCTACATCCCCCCTCGTGGTGGGCCCTGCTGCTCCCCAATTCTTCCCTTCGCAGTCACCGCTTCCCCTGAACCAGCGTAGGGCAGGTCCCAGCGGCTTGTCCTATGACACCGGGTATTCTTGCCTGCCCAGCTCCACCCTCCGGAAAATGCGCTTCTCCGCGATGCGGGTGTCTTACCCCAAACCCGCAGAGTGGTGCTGGTGGCAATGAGAACAGAGGGAGAAACACAGCAGGGAGGACACCGGGGGATCTGGGGTGCTAGAGAGTGGGGACAGGGGGGCGTAACAGGGAAGAGAGAATTTAACAGGGAGAGCAGAGGAGACGCAGAGATAAGAGGCGGTAATATGTAGAGATTGAGGACGATCAAAAGATTGGGGAGAAGGAGCAACAAGAGGTTAAATAAGGACCGGGCGCTTTGGCTCATGCCTGTAATCCCAGCAGTTTGGGAAGCTTAGGCGGGCGGATCACCTGAGATCCGGAGTTCGAGACCAGCCTGACCAACATGGAGAAACCCCATCCCTGCTAAAAATACAAAACTAGCTGGGCGCGGTTGCATATGCCTGTAATGTCAGCTATTAGGGAGGCTGAGGCCAGAGAATCGCTTGAACTTGGGAGGCGGAGGTTGCGGTGAGCCGAGATCGCACCATTGCACTCCAGCCTGGGCAACAAGAGTGAAACTCTTTCTCAAAAAAAAAGCGGTTAAATAAGTTGTGAGGATGGAGCAGAAGAGGTGGAAGAGGAGTAATAGAGGGAAGAAGGGGATAAATAGCAGGAGAGTAGAGGGGTACAAAATGAGGAGCACAATCCCAGGGAAAAAGAAAAGAAAACAAGAGCTAGAGAGAGAAGGGGAGAATGAGAGATATGTACAGAATTAGAGAGGGAAGCACAGTAATGAAGAAAGAGGGGCCAGGTGCAGTGGCTCATGCCTGTAATCCCAGCACTTTAGGAGACTGAGGCAGAGGGATTGCTTGAGTCCAGGAGTTCAAGACCAGCCTAGGCAAAATAGACACCCCATCTCTTTCAAAAAGAAAGAAAAAATTAACGGGGCATGATAGTGTGCAGCTGTAATTTCAGCTACTCTGTAGGCGGAGGCTGGAGGATCACTTGAGCCCAGGAGCTCCAGGCTGCTGTGAGCAGAGATCATGCCACTGTACTCCAGCCTGGTCAAAAGAGCAAGACCCTGTCTCAAAAAAAAAAAAAAAAGGGTGGGGGACTTTGGGTACAGATGAGTGTGTGAGTTCATTGGATATGATTAGTTGTGACATGTTGACTTCTGTCTATAAAATCTAATAACTTGTTTAAATTATACAGATGAGTTTGAGAATTTTAAATGTCCTATCTGTGAGCCATGTATGTTCTATAAATATTGGTATCAGAGGTTAGCTTCCACTTGGAATCCCTATTCAGACCGAGGGCAGTGACATTCAATTGTGGGTCACTCTTCCCTTTTCCCATGGTGGGGTAGGAAGTGGTGGGAAAAAAAAATCGCTGTTATTACATAATACTTTTAATTAATTAATTAATATTTTGAGATAGGGTCTGGCTCTGTCGCTCAGCTGGAGTACAATGGCGTTATCTACTCTAACTGCAGCCTCGACCTCTTAGGCTCAAGCGATCCTCCCTCAGTCTCCTGAGTAGCTGAGACCACTGGTGTGAGACACCAAGCCCAGCTAGTAGTTTTTTTTTTCTTTGTTTGTTTTTTTGTAGAAACAGGGTTTCAGTATGTTTCCCGGGGTGGTCTCAAAATCCTGGGCTCAAAGGTTCCCCCGTCTTGGCCTTGCAAAGTACTGGGATTACAGGGATGAGCCACCGCGCCCGGCCTACATACTAATTATTATTATTATTATTATTAGTTTTTTGAGGTGGAGTTTCACTCCTGTTGCCCAGGCTGGAGTGCAATGGCACAATCTTGGCTAATGACTCTCTGTGCCTTTAGAGTTGAAGCGATTCTCCTGCGATACTACCCCCTGAGTATCTGGGATTACAGGCATGCGCCACCATGCCCTGCTAATTTTGGATTAGGAGGCCGAGGCAGGAGAATCACTTGAACCCAGGAGGCAGAGGTTGTGGTGAGCTGAGATCGCACCATTGTACTTCAGCGTGGGCAATAAGAGCGAAACTCTGTCTCAAAAAAACCAAAAAAGAATGGAGCAAAACAGGAGAGGGGCATAAAATGAGCAGAAGCCCAGGGGGAAATGCAGAAAAGAAACAGATGGAGAGAGAAAGTGAGAAAGGGCTATGCATAGAATGATGGAGGGAAGCAGTAATGAAGACGAAGAGGGACCCTGGGTGCAGATGAGTGGTGAGTTGATTGGATGTGATGATGAAGTGATGACATGTTGTTTTCTCTGTTTATAAGGTAACAAATTTAAAATTAGTTTAAATTATACAGATGAGAATGAGAGTTGCCAAACTCCTGTGTCTAAGTGTGGTTCATTTTATAATGATGGCGTCAGAGGCAGCTTCCCTCTGCAACCCCTCTTCAGCCAGAGGACAGTGACTTGACTCATTCGTTGTGGATCACCCTCTTCCCTTTTCATGGCTGGGGTCGGGAGTGGGGGAGAGAAGTAGGGTAAGAAGTGACTGACTCTGTTACTATATGGAACGTGATGAAAGGAGTATTAAAAGTGCTTTTGTTCTCTTTTTGTAATTGGTTTCCTTTTTTCTAGTTCCTCTTCATTTCATTTTTTTTTTTTTTTTTTTTAATTTTTGAGATGGAGTCTCTCTGTGTCACGCAGGCTGGAGTGGAGTGGAGCAGTCTTGACTCACTGCAACCTCTGCCTCCTGGGTTCAAGGAATTCTCTGCCTCAGCCTCCCAAGCAGCTGGGATTATAGGCACCTGCAGCCACACCTGTCTGATTTTTGTATTTTTAGTAGAGACAGTTTTCACCATCTAGGCGGGACTTGTCTTGCACTCATGACCTTGTGATCCACCGCCTTGGCCTCCCAAAGTGCTATGATTACAGGCGTGAGCCACCACACTTGGCCTCAGTAATTGTTTTTTATTTTTTAATTTTAGTTTTAATTTACTTATTTTTGTTGTGGTGGTTTTTTTTTTTTTTTTTTTTTTTTTGACGGAGTTTTGGTCTTGTTGCCCAGGGTGAAGTGCAATGGTGCGATCTTGCTCACTGCAACCTTTGCCTCTGGGGTTCAAGTGATTCTCCTGCCTCAGCCTCCTGAGTAGTTATGATTACAGGCACACACCACCATGGCCGGCTAATTTTGTATTTTCAGTGGAGATGGGGTTTCTCCATCTTGGTCAGGCTGGTCTTGAACTCCTGACCTCAGGTGATCCTCCCACCTCAGCCTCCCAAGGTGCTGGGATTACAGGTATGAGCCGCTGCGCCCGGCCTTTGTTATTGTTTTGAGACACTTTTACTGTTTCCCAGGCTGGAGTGCAGTGGCAGGATCACAGCACTGTGCAGCGGCAACCTCCTGGGCTCAAGTGATTTTCCCACCTCAGCCTCCGGAGTAGCTGGGGCCACAGACACACCCCACCAGGTCCGGCTAATGTTTAGATATATGTATTTATTTATTGAGACTCTCTGTCACCCACTCTGGAGTCTAGTGGCACGACCTCGTCTCACTGCAAACTCCGCCTCCTGGGGTCAAGCGATTTTCCTGCCTCAGCCTCCTGAGTAGCTGGAGTTACAGGTGTGCACCACTATGCCCTGCTAATGTTTGTATTTTTAGTAGAGACATAGTTTCTCCATATTGGCCAGGCTGGTCTCGAACCCCTAACATTGTGGTCTTCCTGCCCCGGCCTCCCAAAGTGCTGGGATTATAGGCGTGAGTCACTATGCCTGTCCTCATTGTTTTCAAAGTATGATATATTTTCAAATATTTCTCCTTTGGCCCAAGATTTCATTAGATCTGTATTTTTTAACCATTTTAAAATTGTTTCTCTATGAAATTTTTTTGAGTTTACATTGAGGTCTGTGTGCTTTCTAGTCTTTATCATATATCGAAAACATTTTCTACTATGTGATATATGTTGTTAGGTTGTTTCAGTGTGTACTTGATAATGATATCAAGGACCTTTTTTCTTTACCCTAACATGAAAATTCAGTTGAAGTAGCCTATTCCATTTTTTTTTCTTATGTCATCTGAAAAAATGGTAATCTGTGAGCTTCTAAGTAAGTGTCCCCTCAATTCCCTCTGGTCCATAATATTCTCTACAGATGTTGAAGGATGGGCTGGATTGACTTGGAACCTTGGTTTAGCAGAGCCCATGTGTTCTTGAGAAAAGCATTTGCTCAGATCTCATTTCTACAGCTGCCTCTTTTTCAGTGTTTTAAACATCTATTGCTATGTGTGCACAGTTGTGTGTATTTTGAACATTTTTCTGGGAGTGAGTAATGATATGTTTGGGATTGATGCCATCAGAACCTTACAACTTGAAAGAAGTTTCGTTTGCTCAGGTATATAAGATGGTCCTGGAATTTTTGTTTGTTTGTTTGTTTTTCTTTGAGATGGAGTCTCGCTCTGTCACCCAGGCTGGAGTGCAGTGGCATGATCTCAGCTCACTGCAACCTCTACCTCCTGGGTTCAAGCAATTCTTTTGCCTCAGCCTCCTGAGTAGCAGGGACTACAGGCCCCCGCCACCACGCCTGGCTAATTTGTGTATTTTTAGTAGAGACGGGATGTCACCATATTGGCCAGGATGATCTTGAACTCCTGACTTTGTGATCTGCCCGCCTCAGCCTCCCAAACTGCTAGGATTACAGATGTGATCCACCCCGCCTGGCCTTTTTTTTTTTTTTAAACCGTTTTTAAATAAAATTTTTCATGGTGTGACATAGAGATCCAATATTATTCTTTTCCATGTAGATATCTAGTTAGGTATTACAAGGGTGAGTCACCGCTCCTGACTGGTCTGGAAATTTTCTAGAGGAGGAAGACCAAGGCAGCCTATTGGCCCTTTCAGGCAATCACATGGGAATCAGCCACATGTCCTTCCTCCTCACCTCAGAGCATCTCAGAATAACTTGGTGAAATGTCTCCCACTGTGAGCCTCAGTGAGCCCACCTGTAACATAGAGGTGAGGAATAAGACCGGAAAAGCTCAGTCAGAGTGACACTGACCCCTGAAATGACTGACAAAATACAGTGTGTGACTTTTCTTCTGGGAGAGGTAGTGCTCAGTTTTAACTCGAATTTTAAAGGGATTCCAGTTCTCCAAATATTAAAAAAAAAAAAGCACAAGATGATTAAAATCAGGGGATTAGACTCAAATCACCTTGAACCTTATCATCTCACAGCTTTAACCCACTTACACGACTCCATGTCCCCTGCAGGCGTCGCCCCTGAGCTCTACAATCCTGTGTCCAGTTGTCTCAGCTGTCTCCTGGGTCATCAAACAGGCATCCCCACCTTCAGGTGTCCACGAGTGGCTTTCTAAACCCCCAAACACATTTCCTTGCAGTCTGCACATCTCAGATGAGAGTGACTGTGTACTTCTGGAAACTTAGCCAAACTTGACAGCATGTATTTTATATTTGTGAAATAAATCACTTTATTTGTAAGTGTTGTAATTTATAATATAAAGAGAAACTTAGATGTATACGTGAAAAGAGTGAGAAGATACATCACTTCCAATTTTTTTTTTTTTGAGACGAATTTTCACTCTTGTGGCCCAGGCTGGAGTGCAATGCCACGATCTCAGTTCACTGCAACTTCTGACTCCTGGGATCAAGGGATTCTCCTGCGTCAGACACCCGAGTAGCTGGGATCACAGTCGACTTTCAAAATGCTTTTGGGTTGTGGGAGAAAAATGTTTGAAAACCATGTCCCTATGGGTCTGTGCCCCCAGGACCTCTCTGACCTCATCTCCTACCTGTGCCCTCCTCTCTTCCACTGCTCCAGCCCCACGGGTCGCTTTCCTTTTCCTGGGGCTGAGGTTGCTCCTGTCTCAGGGCCCTCACTTGAGCTGTCCCTCTCTCTAGGATGCTCTTCCCCTCAGCTGCAAGTGACAAGCAGCCTTTCTTTCCTAGGTCCTTGTTCTGATATCATCTTCTCCGGGTTTCCTTTGTGATCTCCCACAGCCCCCATTTGACACTGCAGCTGTGAAACCAGAAAATCTTACAGAGATCTCAGTTATTTAGAGAGTTTAGTTTGCCCAAGGTGGTCGGGGCAGAGCTTAATTTTATACATTTTATGGAGACATGAGACATCAA
Source organism: Homo sapiens (assembly GCF_000001405.40). Lineage (NCBI taxonomy): Eukaryota > Metazoa > Chordata > Mammalia > Primates > Hominidae > Homo > Homo sapiens. The sequence continues at coordinate 52,542,676 of NC_000019.10, forward strand.
TCAATATATGTAAGAAGTACATTGGTTTGGTCTGGGAAGGCGGGACAACTTTAAACAAAGGCAGGAAGACTTGAAGCAGGGAGGCGGCTTTTAGGTCACAGAGAAATGAGGCACAAGTAGTTACAATCTTTTGAGTTTCCTTTTTTTTTTTGAGATGAAGTCTCATTTTGTCGCCCAGGCTGGAGTGCAGTGGCACGATCTCGACTCACTGCAACCTCTGCCTCCTGGGTTCAAGTGATTCTCCTGCCTCAGCTTCCCAAGTAGGTGCCCAGATCTTTTTTTTGGGGGGGGGGTGGAGGCTTTGATCAGGGATGAGTCTGTGCCATAAAGGGGGCATCAGTGCAGCCCAGGTCCCCCCTGCTGCCTCGTGTGTGGCGGCTTCTCCATGAAGGGAGTGAGATCTGAAGACCGGGGTCAAACATACACTTGTAGGTCTTCCTGTGGGACTTTCTTACCTCTGCATGATCTCTGGTGCAGTGGGCAGTGGGGGACTTCTTTCTACAGGGTGACATCTCCCGGTTCATGTGGTTTTGTCACAGGAAGGGAGTGAGTCATTTCTAACATGAAGTCTTATTTTTTTTCACATACAGGATTGATTTCTAAAGACTCATGTTACGTGAGGAAGCAGCTCAGAAGAGGAAAGGAAAGGAGTCAGGCATGGCTCTTCCTCAGGTGAAGTGATATTCCTCTGTGGATTAATCTGTCTCTTTCCTTTCTGAAATGTAGTAGTATTATATTGTATTGTAGTAATGTATTGTAGCAGCCAGTCTTTTCTGAGTCTGAAGCATTTTGCCTGACACGTTCACTTGCACTCACCCATGCCTGCCCTCAGTTCCTCTCAGGTGCTCTGAGATTCCATCTCCTGTGACCCAGTGACATGAACTTGGGAAGAGGCTCCACTGGGCATGGTCTTGGGAAGGGCTCACACCCAGACGTGGATAAACATGGGGTGTGGGCCCGTTGATGTCAGAGCTGCTGGGCAGCCTGGATTGTTCAGGGGCCACATCTGGATGTCAGCTCAGAGAAACTACATATGAAATACGTATGTTAATGTGCGCAGATGTGTGGTAAATTCTGGGAAAGGAGACGAATAAGAGGAGATATTTTGTATCTGATTTGGTAATGCATTTGAAGCCACACTAGTAGATCAAGATGTCTCTGTGTCCAAATTTTTTTTTTTTTTTTAAGAGACAAGATGTTGGTCCCAGTGCAGTGGCTTACACCTGTAATCCCAGCATTTTGGGAGGCCAAGGCAGGAAGATCACTTGAGGTCAGGACTTAGAGACCAGCCTGGCTAACATGGTGAAACCCCATCTCTACTAAAAATACAAAAATTAGCTGCATGTGGTGGTGCATGCCTGTAATCTCAGCTACTCAGGAGGCTGAGGTAGGAGAATCACTTGAGTCCAGGAGGTGGAGGTTACTGTATGCCGAAATTGTGCCACTGCACTCCAGCCTGGGAGATGGAGCGAGACTCTGTCTCAAAAGAAAAAAGAGAGAGAGAGAAGGTGTCGCTCTGTGGCTTAGTTCTGGAGTACAATGGCACAATTCAGAGTTTACAGCAGCCTCAAACTCCTGAGCTCAACTAATCGCTACTGTAGCCTCCCAAAGAGCCTGAATGATAGGCATGGGTCACCATATGTATGTGTGTATATTATGTATGTATTTATTTATTTTAAGATGGAGTCTCAGTCAGCAAAGCTGGAGCGCAGTGGTACGATCTCGGCTCTCTGCAACCTCCCCCTCCCAGTTTCAAGCAATTCTTCTGCCTCAGCCTACCAAGTTGCTGGGACTACAGGCATGCACCACCACACCCAGCTAATTTTTGTATTTTTAGTTGAGACGGGGTTTCATCATGTTCGTTATGCTGATCTGGAACTCCTGACCTCATGATCTGCCTATCTCGGACTCCCTAAGTGCTGAGGTTAAAGGTGCACACCACCATGTCAGGCCTTATTTTTTATATTGTATTTTTATTTTGTTGTCTAGGCTGGAGTGCAGTGGTGCAATCAAAGCTTGCTTTAGCCTTGATATCCTGGCCTCAAGTGATCCTCCCCTCTTGGTCTCCCAAATTGCTGGCATTCCAAATGGGAGACAGCCAGCTTGGCTGGACTCTGCACATTTTTGAGATGGAGTGTCGCTCTGTTGCCCATGTTGGATTGTAGTGGCGGCATCTCAGCTCACTACAACCTCTGCCTTCTGGCTTCAAGCAATTCTTTTGCCTCAGCCTCCTGAGTATCTGGGATTACAGGCATTCGCTGTCACGCCTGGCTAATTATTTTGTATTTTTAGTAGAGATGGGGTTTCACCGTATTGGTCAGGCTGGTCGAACTACTGACCTTGTGATTTGTTCACCTCGGCCTCCCAAAGTTCTGGGATTTACAGGCCTGAGCCACTGCACTTGGCTAAAGTCTGCACTTTTAATGACTGTCAATGCAATGGAAAGTGGAGATAGGCATCAGTGGTACAGGATGCTTTATTACATCATTGATTTTATTTTATTTTTAAATTTGTTTTGAGTTGAGTCTCTGTTGTCCAGGCAGGAGTGCAGTGGGGTGATTTTGTTTCACTGTAGCCTCTGACTCCCAGATTACAGTGATTCTGTTGCCTCAGCCTCTCCAGTAGCTTGGATTAGAGGTGGGCCACCACGTGGGTAACGCCATGATGTGATGTGTGTGCATGAATACATGGGTGGATAAGCCCATGGTTTATGTAGAAAACACAACATTTGCAATAAGTTTTATTTTTTATAATAATTGTAATGATTTTAAGTATTTTTCATTGTTGTCAACTATCACAATAATGAGTTAATGGTAAGATGGGGCCGGGCCCGGTTGCTCACACCTGTAATCCCACCACTATGGAAGGCTGAGGTGGGTAGCTCATGACATCAGGAGTTCAAGACCATCCTGGCTAAGATGGTGAAACCCTGTCGCTGCTAAATATACAAAAATTAGATGGATGTGGTGGCAGGTGCCTCAAATCCTAGCTACTGGGGAGGCTGAAGCAAGAGAATTGCTTGAACCTGGGTGGCACAGGTTGCAGTGAGCTGAGAGATTGTGCCACTGTATTCCAGCCTGTGCAATAGAGTGAGACTCCATCTGGAAAAAAAAAAAAATAAGAAGTATTGGGAAGGATTATATGTATGCCTGTGTGTGTCCATTCAGCGACCTTGTAGGATGCTCCGTGTTCTTACCCTGGGACCTTTGTCACATTCTCTGCACTAGATAAACCCGTGTCAGTTTAGTTTAAAGCTGTATCTGTTACTTCAGCGTTTATATTCAAATGTGAATCCCAGACATCTGGATTCAGTGCTTGTGTTGACATTTTTAGCTATTTGATTTGTGGTAATTTTCCTAGTATGTGTGATGCACTTGTGTCCAAGTACAGATCTTTCTTCATGGGACAGTATGTTATTTTATGGCTTAAGACATGGGAAGCACTTAGAACAGTGTATAGCACATGGGAAGCATTCAAAAATGTTAGTCATGGCTATTGCTGTCATCATAACAGTTTTTTTTTTTTTTTTGGAGACAGAGTATTGCTTTGTCACCCAGGCTGAAGTGCAGTGGCATGATATTGGGTCATTGCAACCTCTGCCTCCTGATTTCAAGCAATTCTCCAGCCTCAGCCTCCCAAGTATCAGGGATTACAGGCACCCACCACCACACCCAGCTAATTTTTGTGTTTTTACTAGAGAAGGGGTTTCAGCGTGTTCCCAGGCGGGTCTCAAACTCCTGACCTCATGATCCACCTGCCTTGGCCTCCCAAAGTGCTGGGATTACAGGCATGAGCCACTGTGCCTGACCGATCATGATAGTTTTTAGATTTGGACTTTTCTTTCAAAGCCAATGGACTCTGTCCTCTCTGAAACACCGCTTGTATCTTAGTTCATCTAGAGACTAAATATCGCCTTGTATGTTGAACATAATAGCTGACATGTCTGTAGAGAAAACCCTGTGTTTGCTTTTTTTTTTTTTTTTTTTTGAGATGGAATCTTGCTCTGTTGCCAAGCTAAAGTGAAGTGGTGCGATCTCGGCTCACTGCAACCTCCGCCTCCTGGATTCAAGCAATTCTCCTGCCTCAGCCTCTTGAGTAGCTGGGAGTACAGGCCTGCGCCACAACACCTAGCTAATTTTTGTATTTTCAGTAGAGATGTGGTTTCGCCATGTTGGCCAGGAAGGTCTTGATATCTTGACCACATTGTCTACCTGCCTTGGTCTCCCAAAATGCTAGGATTACAGGCGAGAGCCATTGCCTGGAATTGCTTTTTTTTTTTTTTTTTTTTTTTAGATGGAGTGTCAGTCTGTTGCCCAGGATGGAGGGCAGTGGTGCGATCTTGGCTCACTGCAGCCTCCATCTCCTGGGTTCAAGTGATTCTCCTGCCTCAGCCTCCTGTGTAGCTGGGATTACAGGTGCCTGCCACCATGTCCGTCTAATTTTTATATTTTTAGTAGAGACAGGTTTTCACCACGTTGACCAGGCTGGTCTCAAACTCTTGACCTCAAATAATCTGCCCAACTTGGCCTCCTGAAGTGTTGGGATTACAGGCATGAACCACCTCACCCGGCCCTGTGTTTCCTTTTTATTTATATAGTTTTTATATTGTCCATAAAATCGAGACTTCCATAGTGACTTATGGGATCTTAAAATCTTTCAAGGAAAAGTACAATAAAATGCAACTATACGGAAAAAATAGTCAAAAATACCTTAACATCCTTTTGTCAGAACACAGTCTTTGATCAAATAAATACTTATTTTCCCTTTTCTCATTTCCTGTGAAGGTGATAACTCAATCCTCCATAATGTTTTGTTGAAATGTATGTTTCATTTTAGGGACGCTTGACTTTCAGGGATGTGGCTATAGAATTCTCATTGGCAGAGTGGAAATTCCTGAACCCTGCACAGAGGGCTTTGTACAGGGAAGTGATGTTGGAGAACTACAGGAACCTGGAGGCTGTGGGTGAGGAAAATGTCCCTGCAGACATGAGGAGTCTGCTCCTGTCTATCTTGGCTCTTCCTGGTTTTGTATTCTCTTTTGTGATTTTGCCCCATCCATGCTGGTTTTTTTTTTTTTTTTTTTTGACATGGAGTTTTGCTCTTGTTTCCCAGGCTGGAGAGCAATGGTATATCGGTTCACCATAACCTCCGCCTTCCAGGTTCAAGTGATTCTCCTGCCTGAGCCTCCTGAGTAGCTGGGATTACAGGCATGCGCCACCATGCCCAGCTAATTTTGTATTTTTAGTGGACACAGGGTTTCTCCATGTTGGTCAGGCTCGTCTCTAACTCCAGACCTCAGGTTATCCGCCCACCTCACCCTCCCAAAATGCTGGGATTACAGGCGTGAGCCACCATGCCCAGCTCATTCTGGTTTTTGAGGAGCATCACAGAAGCGTCTCTCACTGGCACTGTGACAACGTTCATCCCATAAACTAATGATCATCTTCTCTAAGCAGCAGTCAGTGGTGTTGCAATTCCTCCCAGCGAGGACATCATTCGGGCTCACAGCCTCATATGTATGAGGCTCTTGACTGAACTCTTGTTCATGTCACATTTTTCACACCAATATGTGTCACTGTTCATTTTTAACAAGAAAACCTATGTTCAGTTTGTTGTAGGATCAACCCTGTAAGAGATATGGTTTTCATCAATCTTATTGAGGGAGCTTGTGAGGTTGAATGAGGTTTCCATAGTTTAGTTCTACTGTCATTTCCTTAAGACACAGTGCCTTTCAACTTGTTCATTTCTATGTTGTTGTTGTTTTTTTCTCATAGTCTTGCTCTGTTGCCCAGGCTTGAGTGCAGTGGCATGATCTTGGCTCACCACAACCTCCACCTTTTGGGTTCAAGTGATTCTCCTGCCTCAGCCTCTTGAGTGGCTGGGATTACAGGCATGTGTCACCACACCCGGGTAATTTTTGGTGGTTCTATTACAGATGGCAGTTTCACCATGTTGGCCAGGCTGGTTTTGATAGCCTGGCCTGATGTGATTCAGCTGCCTTGGATTCCCAAAGTGCTGGGATTACAGGCATGAGCCACAGCCCCTGGCCCATCCGAGTTGTTTTTAAGGCTGAATAATATTCCATTGTATGTGTATACCACATTTTCCTCACATATTTATCTGTCGATGCACATCTTTACTATTATAAATAATACTACCAGGCTGGGTGCGGTGGCTCACGCCTGTAATCCCAGCAATTTGGAAGGCTGAGGTGGGTGAATCACCTGAGGTCAGGAGTTCGAGTCCAGCTTGGCCAACTTGGTGAAACCACATTTCTATTAGAGGTACAGTTTTTTTTTTGTTTCTGTTTTTTTTAAGATGGAATATTGCTCTGTCACCCAGGCTCAAGTGCAGTGCAGTGGTGTAATCTCAGCTCACTGTAACCTCCACATCCCAGGTCAAGCAATCTCATACCTCACGCTTCTGAGCTGTTGGGATTACACACATGCACCACCATGCCCGGCTAATGTTTTGTATTTTTTTTAGTAGAGACAGTGTTTCACCATGCTGGCCTGGCCGGTCTTGAACTCCTGACCTCCTGATGCACCCGCTCATCCTCCCAATGTGCTGGTATTACAGACATGAGCCACTGCACTCAGCCTAGCTCTGTTTTCACAAACACATCTCTACCTACTGTGCCAGGGGATCCTTGTTCACCCCCATGGTCTACTGTACTCTTCATAGAGTTTACTTGTTTGTTTGTGTGTATGCCTTTCTGGTATCTACACAGGGGATATTGTTGAGTATATTCTTGAAACTGGAAATCAGAGTCACTTAATTTAAGGATGTAAAACTGCTTTCACCTCAGGCCACCATACTGCTGCTTTTTTGGATCTCTTTCATTCTTGTCCCTTGCCCATATTGTAATTTGAATATTTAACCTTGGGTCAATATTTTAACATTTGCTCAATTAGTTCCACTTTCGTCCAAGCTCAAGATTTGGTCTATCCTAGTGGAATTATATTCCCACAGAGGTGCATGCACAAAGTTTACTCCTACATGCCCATTACTTCCTGCTCTCCACCCTTGCCCTTCCTTTCCTGGCCTTGACTCACATGATACATTGATCTGGATGCAAATACTGTTTCTTTCCAGCCTATTGATTTTGTAATGCTGAACACCCCAATTTCCCCGTGAGCCCCTCCCCTCCAACACCACTCTCACTGAGTAAGTCAAGACCTTGTTCATCCACTGGACAAAATTATAGGAGGCCGCTTAAATCAGTGTGTGCAGGGCATCATGACTCAGCACATGATCCATGAGGGATGGCTTCAGAACCACTGTCAGCAGCGCAGCTCAGCGCTTGTGTCCCAGCTCAGCCTTTGTATCCCCCTTGATGTACTTCTATCTGTTCTCCTTGTATTTTCTGGTCTGGTCATTTTCTGTACTGCCTGTGCTGACTATTGTGCCTAAGAACATGTCGTGGGATCCTTCATGCCCAGGATTAAGTCTTGTCCCTCACTTACCTTATGTGCAAACTGGGGTCATGTCCATGAACACTGTGGGCCTCCTGTCATTATTTGAGAAATAATGATAATTTGCCTCCAGGGTTGGTTTTTTTTTTTTGTTTTTGAGATGGAGTTTTGCTCCCGTTGCCCAGGCTGAAGTTCAATTGCACAATCTCAGTTCACCACAACCTCCACCTCCTGGATTTAAGCGATTCTCCTTCCTCAGCCTTCTGAGTAGCTGGGATTAGAGGCATGCACCACCACACCTGCCTAATTTTGTATTTTTAGTACAGATGGGGTTTCCCCATGTTGGCTAGGCTGGTCTCAAACTCCTGACCTCAAGTGATCTACCTACCTCAGCCTCCCAAAGTGCTGGGATTACAGGCATGAACCACTGTGTCCGGGCTATTTTTTTTTTTTTAATGGAGTTTCCCTCTTGTTGCCCAGGCTGGAGTGCAATGGTGCAATCTTGGCTCACTGCAACCTCGACTTCCTGGGTTCAAGTGATTGTCCTGCCTCAGGCTCCCAAGTAGCTGGGATTATGCCTGGCACAAGCCTGGCTAATTTTTGTATTTTTAGGAGAGATGGGGTTTCTCCATATTGGTCAGGCTGGTCTTGAACTCCCAACCTCAGGTGATTCATCCACCTGCTTTTTAAAACAAGTGAATACTATTAGATGGCTTCATATAAGTTTTATAGTACATTCTCAACTTCCTTTGTTTAATAAGATTTTTCAGCCTTCAGTGATGTTGATGATGAGATGCCCCTTTTCCTGCCTCACTCATCTCACTGTTCTGTCAGAAATAGCTTAGACTGGCCAGCTTCAGTGGCTTTCACCTCTAATTCTAGCACTTTGAAAGGCTGAGGTGGGTAGATGGCTTGAGGTCAGGAGTTTGAGACCAGTCAGGCAAACATAATGAAACCTTGAATCTACTAAATTAAAAAAAATTGGGCATGATGACTCATGCCTATAATCCCAAACTTTTGGGAGGGCGAGACGGGTGGATCACCTGAGGTCAGAAGTTCAAGACCAGCCTGGCCAACGTGGTGAAACCCCGTCTCTAGTAAAAATACAAAAATTAGCTGGGCGTTTTGGTATGCACCTGTTATCCCAGCTTCTTGTGAGGCTGAGACAGGAGAGTCACTTGAACCTGGGAGGTGGATGGTGCAGTGAACCATGATCATGCCACTGCACTTCAGCCAAGGTGACAGAGTTAGATTCCATTTGCCACCAAAAAAAAAAAAAAAAGTTAGCCAGGCATGGTGGCATGTGTCTGTACTCCCTGCCTAGCTGTTAGTCCATTCTTAGTTCTTAAAATGTTGTATATTTTCTTGACCTCATACATCAGAAGGTAGTGATCTTAACATGTATTTCAGTTCTTATATTGTGTGCTGGTGGTTAAGTAGAAGTTGTGGCTTTTTTCTTCAGAGGAAGTTGTTTAGAATTCTGCGGGCTGTATAAATGTACTTATTTGCTTGCTGGTTTTATCATGGGTTACAATATTTTATTAATTAATTTTATAATTTTACATATGGCTTTTCGGTATGTGGTATGCAATATAACTGACACACTGCACTCGTTAATGTCACAAAGTGCCACCAGGTGCAGTGGCTCACACCTGTGATCCCAGAAATTTGGGAGGTCAAGGGGGGTGGATTACTTAAGGTCAGGAGTTTGAGACCAGCCTGGCCAACATGGTGAAACCACATCTCTACTAAAAACACAAAAATTAGCCAGGTGTAGTGGTGTGTGCCTGTAATCCCAGGTACTCAGGAGGTTGAGGAAGGAGAATCACTTCAACCCAGCAGGCAGAGGTTGCAGTGAGCTGAGATTACACCATGACGCTCCAAGTTGGAGTGCAAGACTCCTTCTCAAAACAATAAAAATGGAAACAAATTTTTTTTTTTTTTTGAGATGGAGTCTCACTCTGTCGCCCAGGCTGGAGTGCAGTGGCATGATCTCAGATCACTGCAAAGTCCACCTCCTGGGTTCATACCATTCTCCTGCCACAGCCTCCCGAGTAGCTGGGACTGCAGGCGCCTGTCACCACGCCTGGCTATTTTTTTGTGTTTTTAGTAGAAACAGAGTTTCACCGTGTTATCCAGGATGGTCTCGATCTCCTGACCTTGTGATCCACCCTTCTCGGCCTCCCAAAGTGCTGGGATTACAGGCATGAGCCACCGCACCCGGCCCAAAAATTTTTTCAAAAGTCACTAAGTGCCTGTTCTGTGTAGATATATATAATTTTATGACATTTATTTAGAAAAATATTGTACTAACTTTTTTCTTTTTTTTTTTTTTCTGTTTGAGGCAGAGTCTACTTTGCCACCCTGGCAGGAGTGCAGTGGTGTGATCTTGGCTCACTGCAACCTCTGCCTCCCGTGTTGAAGTGATTCTTGTGCCTCAGCCTCCTAAGTAGCTGTGACTACAGGCACGGACCATCACACCTGGCTAATTTTTGTAATCTTTTCTTATCTTCTCAGTGCTATAATTGTTTGATAATACAGAATTTCCAGTGCTTTTGGTTATCCTTACATGAGCTTGTTGTGGATTATTTACCAATATAGTATGTTGTGTGGTTTTTTTTTTTTTTTAGCATTTATTTGTACACAGTAAATATGGTTTAAATATGAAGAATATATATTTTTCTCTTCCTTGATGTGACAGTGATATGTTTTTTGCAAATTGTGATGCACTTCAAGGTCACAGTGGAAAAATACTCCTTACTTTAGGCTTATACATATTTGTGCCCTGTCAGTGTTTTGTCATGATATAGGAAATAGACTTTCATAGAATTGATTTGAAGGACATGTAATTGCCCTTTATTTACTAAAGAATCTCACTCTTTTTGTGTTCCTAAACTTTGAATATCATGTTTGGGAATTTCAAAATAAGTATTGTTTTTTGTGTCATATTTACACACTTCAGTATGATTTACCATCTGTACTTAATTGGAAATGTATTGGTGTTTATATTTTGTAGATATCTCTTCCAAACACATGATGAAGGAGGTCTTGTCAACAGGGCAAGGCAATAGAGAAGTGATCCACACAGGGACATTGCAAAGACATCAAAGTTATCACATTGGAGACTTTTGCTTCCAGGAAATTGAGAAAGAAATTCATAACATTGAGTTTCAGTGTCAAGAAGATGAAAGAAATGGCCATGAAGCACCCACGACAAAAATAAAAAAGTTGACTGGTAGCACAGACCAACATGATCACAGGCATGCTGGAAACAAGCCTATTAAAGATCAGCTTGGATCAAGCTTTTATTCACATCTGCCTGAACTCCACATATTTCAGATCAAAGGTGAAATTGCTAATCAACTTGAGAAGTCTACCAGTGATGCTTCCTCAGTTTCAACATCCCAAAGAATTTCCTGTAGGCCCCAAATCCATATTTCTAATAACTATGGGAATAATCCCCTGAATTCTTCATTACTCCCACAAAAACAGGAAGTACACATGAGAGAAAAATCTTTCCCATGTAATGAGAGTGGCAAAGCCTTTAATTGTAGCTCACTCTTAAGGAAACACCAGATACCCCATTTAGGAGACAAACAATATAAATGTGATGTATGTGGCAAGCTCTTTAATCACAAGCAATACCTTGCATGCCATCGTAGATGTCACACTGGAGAGAAACCTTACAAGTGTAAAGAGTGTGGAAAGTCCTTCAGTTACAAGTCATCCCTTACATGCCATCATAGACTTCATACTGGAGTAAAACCTTACAAGTGTAATGAGTGTGGCAAGGTCTTTCGTCAAAATTCAGCCCTTGTAATTCATAAGGCAATTCATACTGGAGAGAAACCTTACAAGTGTAATGAATGTGGCAAGGCTTTTAATCAACAATCACACCTTTCACGCCATCAAAGACTTCATACTGGAGTGAAACCTTACAAATGTAAGATTTGTGAGAAGGCTTTTGCGTGTCATTCCTATCTGGCAAACCATACTAGAATTCATAGTGGAGAGAAAACATACAAGTGTAATGAGTGTGGTAAGGCTTTTAATCATCAATCAAGCCTTGCACGTCATCATATACTTCATACTGGAGAGAAACCTTACAAATGTGAAGAATGTGACAAAGTTTTCAGTCAGAAATCAACCCTTGAGAGACATAAGAGAATTCATACTGGAGAGAAACCATACAAATGTAAGGTTTGTGATACAGCTTTCACGTGTAATTCACAGCTGGCACGACATAGAAGAATTCACACTGGAGAGAAAACTTACAAGTGTAATGAGTGTCGCAAGACCTTCAGCCGCAGGTCATCCCTTCTATGCCATCGTAGACTTCATAGTGGTGAAAAACCTTACAAGTGTAATCAGTGTGGCAATACCTTCCGTCACCGGGCATCCCTTGTATACCATCGTAGACTTCACACTCTAGAGAAATCTTACAAATGTACGGTTTGTAACAAGGTTTTCATGCGTAATTCAGTCCTGGCTGTACATACTAGAATTCACACTGCAAAGAAACCTTACAAGTGTAATGAATGTGGGAAAGCTTTTAATCAACAATCACATCTTTCACGTCATCGTAGACTTCATACTGGAGAGAAACCTTACAAATGTGAAGCATGTGACAAAGTTTTTGGTCAGAAATCAGCTCTTGAGTCACATAAGAGAATTCATACTGGAGAGAAACCATACAGATGTCAGGTTTGTGACACAGCTTTCACGTGGAATTCACAGCTGGCACGACATACAAGAATTCACACTGGAGAAAAAACTTACAAGTGTAATGAGTGTGGGAAGACCTTCAGTTACAAGTCATCACTTGTATGGCATCGTAGACTTCATGGTGGAGAGAAATCTTACAAATGTAAGGTTTGTGACAAGGCTTTCGTGTGTCGTTCCTATGTGGCAAAACATACTAGAATTCACAGTGGAATGAAACCTTACAAGTGTAATGAGTGCAGCAAGACCTTCAGTAACAGGTCATCCCTTGTATGCCATCGTAGAATTCATAGTGGTGAGAAACCTTACAAGTGTAGTGAGTGCAGCAAGACGTTCAGTCAGAAGGCAACCCTTCTATGCCATCGTAGACTTCATAGTGGTGAGAAACCTTACAAGTGTAACGACTGTGGCAATACCTTCCGTCACTGGTCATCCCTTGTATACCATCGTAGACTTCATACTGGAGAGAAATCTTACAAATGTACGGTTTGTGACAAGGCTTTCGTGCGTAATTCATACCTGGCAAGACATATTAGAATTCACACTGCAGAGAAACCTTACAAGTGTAATGAATGTGGAAAGGCTTTTAATGAACAATCACACCTTTCACGTCATCATAGAATTCATACTGGAGAGAAACCTTACAAATGTGAAGCATGTGACAAAGTTTTCAGTCGCAAATCACACCTTAAAAGACATAGGATAATTCATACTGGAGAGAAACCTTACAAGTGTAATGAGTGTGGCAAAGCCTTTAGTGACCGGTCAACACTTATTCACCATCAGGCAATTCATGGTATAGGGAAATTTGATTAATATAATGATTGTCACAAAGTCTTCAGTAACACTACAACAATTGCAAATCATTGGAGAATCCATGATGAAGAGAAATCTTCTGAGTGTAATAAATGTGGCATGTTTTTCAGACATTGTTCATACATTGCAGTTCATTGGCAACCTCATACTGGAGAGAAACCTTACAAATGTCATGATTGAGGCAAGGTCTTCAGTCAAGCTTCATCCTATGCAAAACAGGAGAATTCATACAGGAGAGAAACCTCACAAGTGTGATGATTGTGGCAAAGCCTTTACTTCACATTCACACCTCGTTGGACATCAGAGAATCCATACTGGACAGAAATCTTGCAAATGTCATCAGTGTGGCAAGGTCTTCAGTCCGAGGTCACTCCTTGCAGAACATGAGAAAATTCATTTTTGAGATAACTGTTCCCAATGCAGTGAGTATAGCAAACCATCAAGCATTAATTGACATTGGAGTCAATTCAGCATTGACTTGAGTTTGTGTTGACTTAACATTGAGTTCAAGCCTTAATTGACATTCAAGTGTTTATGTTAAGAGGATGGGGCCAGGTGTGGTGGCTCAGGCCTGTAATCCCAGCACGTTGGAAGACCAAGGCACATAGGTCACTTGAGGTCAGAAGTTTGAAACCACCATGGCCAACAGATGTCGGCCACTTTCGCCATCCTGTTTTTTGTTTCTTATTTTCTTATTTATTTATTTATTTATTTTGAGATGGAGTGTCACTCTTGTTGCCCAGCCTAGAGTGCAATGATGTGATCTCAGCTCACCACAACCTCCGCCTCCCGGGTTCAAGCGATTCCTCTGCCTCAGCCTCCCTAGTTGCTGGGATTACAGGCATGTGCCACCACACCCGGCTAATTTTTTGTATTTGTAGTAGAGACGGGGTTTCTCCATATTAGGCTGGTCTTGAACTCCCAACCTCAGGTGATCTGCCCACCTTGGCATCCCAAAGTCCTGGGATTACAGGCATGAGCCACCGTACCCGGTCTTGTTTCTTATTTTCTATTTTTTATTTTTTTGAGAGGCAGGAGAATGGCGGGTGAACCCAGGAGGTGGAGCTTGCAGTAAGCCCAGATAGCACCATTGCAACTCCAGCCTGGGAGACAGAGTGAGACTCCGTCTATTAAAAAAAAAAATTATAAATAAAAAAATGTATTTTAACCAGTTAGTCTGGTTTTCAGTTTCCTTTCCTTATGTCATTTGTTAAAATCTTCAGCTGGGAGCTATTTATTGCGTGTTTCTCTCAAGGCCCTCTGGACCATTCTGGAAAAATGTTGAAACATGGGCTGGAGTGGCATAGAATGCTCCTCCAAAAGCACCCATGTATTCTTTTGCTTTGTTTGTTTGTTTTTTTTTAAATGGAGTCTCGCTCTGTCGCCTTGGATGGAGTGCAGTGGTGCGATCTCAGCTCTGCAACCTCTGCCTCCCGGCATCAAGTGATTCTCCTGCCTCAGTCTCCTGAGTAGCTGAAATTACAGGCACCTACCAGCACACCTGGCTAATTTTTATATTTTTAGTAGAGACAGGGTTTCACCATGTTTGTCAGGCTGGTCTCAAACTCCTGACCTCGTGATCCGCCAGACCTGGCCTCCCAAGGTGCTGGGATTACAGGCATGAGCCACCGTGCCCCGCCTCTTTTTTTTTTTTTGAGATGGAGTTTTGCTCTTGTTGTTCAGGCTGGAGTGCAATGGTGCGATCTGGTGTCACTGCAACGTCTGCCTCCCGGGTTCAAGGCATTCTCCTGCCTCAGCATACCGAGTAGTTGGGATTACAGGTGCCCTCCACCACTCCCGGCTAATTTTTTGCATTGTTAGTAGAGACAGGGTTTTACCATGTGGGCCAAGCTGGTCTCGAACTCCTGACTTCAGGCGATCTGCCGACCTTGCCCTCCCAAAGTGCTAGGATTACAGGCGTGAGCCATCGTGCCTGAAGACTCATGTATTCTTGATTGAAATAATTTGCTTATGTCTCAGTTCTACAGTTGACCTTCTTTCACTGTTTTCAAGGTCAATAGCTGTGTGTTCACACTTCTGCATTTTATAAATGTTACTGTGATTTTCTTGTAAGGAAGAATTAACTGTCGGGAATCAATGTCATCAGAATCTTGCAAAAGAAGTTTCTTTAGCATAGGTATGCGTAAGATGCTTCTCTGATTTTCAAGGATGTGGGTGATAAGACCAACCCCTCCCATTAGCCCTTCCAGGCCCCCATGTAAGACTTCACACACACCTTCTCACTCATCTCAGACCTTGTCAGTGTAACTTGGTGAAAATGTGAGCCTCCCTGCAACTTGGCGATGAGGGGCTTCACCAGAAAAGCTCAGCCCGAGTGACTCTGACCCCTGAAATGACTGGCAAAATGGAGTGCGCGTCTAGGTGTGGCTTTTTTTTTTTTTTTTTTTTTTTTTTTGAGGGTAGGAGTGCCCAGTTGTAATTAGAATTTTCTTTCTTTCTTTTTTTTTTTTTTTTGAGACAGAGTCTCGCTCTGTTGCCCAGGCTGGAGTGCAGTGGCGCAATCTCGGCTCACTGCAAGCTCCGCCTCCTGGGTTCACGCCATTCTCCTGCCTCAGCCTCCGGAGTAGCTGGGACTACAGGCGCCCGCCACCGCGCCTTGTATTTTTAGTAGAGGCGGGGTTTCACCCTGGTCTCGATCTCCTGACCTCGTGATCCGCCTGCCTCGGCCTCCCAAAGTGCTGGGATTACAGGCGTGAGCCACCGCGCCCGGCATCTGAACTTTGTTTTATTTATTTTTTTTGAGACAGAATCTCACTCTGTCACCCAGGCTGGAGTGCAGTGGTGTGATCTCGGCTCACTGCAACTTCCACCTCCCAGGTTCAAGCGATTCTTGTGCCTCAGCCTCCCGAGTAGCTGGGACTATAGGCGTGTGCCACCACGCCCAGCTAATTTTTATATTTTTAGTAGAGACAGAGTTTCACCATATTGGCCAGGCTGGTCTTGAACTCCTGACCTCGTGATCCGCCCGCCTCGGCCTCCCAAAGTGCTGGGATTACAGGCATGAGCCACCATGCCTGGCAGCATCTGAACTTTTAATGACTTGGAATTGTGGGGAAAAGAGAGAGATCAGACTGTTACTGTGTCTATGTAGAAAGAAGTAGACATAAGAGACTACATTTTGTTCTGTACTAAGAAAAATTCTTCTGCCTTGAGATGCTGTGAATCTGTAACCCTAGCCCCAACCCTGTGCTGGCAGAAACATGTGCTGTGTCAACTCAAGGTTAAATGGATTAAGGGCTGTTCAGGATGTGCTTTGTTAAACAAATGCTAGAAGACAGCGTGCTTGTTAAAAGTCATCACCACTCCTTACTCTCAAGTACCCAGGGACACAGAACACTGCGAAAGGCCGCAGGAACCTCTGCCTAGGAAAGCCAGGTATTGTCCAAAGTTTCTCCCATGTGATAGCCTGAGATATGGCCTCATGGGAAGGGAAAGACCTGACCATCCCCCAGCCCAACACCCGTAAAGGGTCTGTGCTGAGGAGGATTAGTAAAAGAGGAAGGCCTCTTTGCAGTTGAGGTAAGAGGAAGGCATCTGTCTCCTGCTGGTCCCTGGACAATGGAATGTCTCGGTGTAAAGCCCAATTGTATATTCCATCTACTGAGATAGGAGAAAACTGCCTTAGAGCTGGAGGTGAGACATGCTGGAGGCAGTACTGCTCTTTAAGGCATTGAGATGTTTATGTATATGCACATCAAAAGCACAGCACTTTTTCCTTTACCTTGTTTATGACAGAGACATTTGTTCAGGTTTTCCTGCTGACCCTCTCTCCACTATTACCTTATTGTCCTGCCACATCCCCCTCTCCGAGATGGTAGAGATAATGATCAATAAATACTGAGGGAACTCAGAGGCCGGTGCAGGCGCGGGTCCTCTGTATGCTGAGTGCTGGTCCTGTAGGCCTACTTTTCTTTCTCTGTACTTTGTCTCTATGTCTCTTTCTTTTCTCAAATCTCTCCGTTCCACCTGACGAGAAATGCCCACAGGTGTGGAGGGGCAGGCCACCCCTTCAGGAATGGAATGGAAAGTGAAGATACACGTCAGTGGTACAGGGTGCTTTATCACATCATTGATTTTATTATTTTTTTCTTTTTTTGAGTTGAGTCTCCCTCTATCACCCAGGATGGAGTGCAGTGGTGAGATTTTGGCTCACTGTAGCTTCCACCTTCCAGATTACAGTGATTCTGTTGCCTGAGCCTCTCGAGTAGCTGGGATTAGAGATGCACGCCACCACGCTTGTAACGGCATGATGTGATGTGTGTGCATGAATACATGGATGGATAAGCCCATGGTTTATGTAGAAAACACTTGATTTGCAATAAGGTATATTTTTTATAGTTGTTATGATTGTAAGTATTTTTCATTTTTGTTAACTATCACAATGATGAGTTATTAGTAAGGATTGGCCGGGTGAGGTGGCTCACGCCTGTAATCCCAGCACTTTGGGAGGCCCAGGTGGGTGAATCACAAGGTCAGGAGTTTGAGATCAGCCTGGGCAAAATGGTGAAATGCCATCTCAACTAAAAATTAGCCAGGCCTGGTGGCAGGTGACTGTAATGCCAGCTACTCGGGAGGCTGAGGTAAGAGAATTGCTTGAACCTGGGTGGAAGAAGTTGCAGTGAGCCAAGATTGTGCCACTGCACTCCTGCCTGGGTGATAGAGTGACACTCCTTCTCAAAAAAAAAAAAATTAAAAAACGTCATAATTATTAATATTATTATTATTACAGGCATGAGCCACTGTGCTTGGCCTGCCTCTGTTTTCACAGACACATCTCTTCATACTCAGCCAAGGGATCCTTCTTCACATCCATGGTCTCTACATTGCTGTACTCCTCGTAGACTTTACTCATTTTTTTTGTGTGTATGAAATTCTGGAATCTACACAAGGCATATTTTTGAGTATATGCTTGAAACTAGAAATCAGAGGCCATTTTACCTAAGAGATGTAAAACTGCTTTCACCTCAGGCCACCATACTGCTGATTTTTTGGATCTTGTTCATTCTTGTCCCTTGCCCATATTGTAATTTGCATAGTTAACCTTGGGTCAGTATTTTACCATTTGCTAAATTAGTTCCATTTTCCTCCAAGCTCAAAACTTGGTCTATCCCAGTGGAATTATATTCCCACAGATGTGCATGCACAAAGTTCACTCCTACGTGCCCATTCCTGCCCTCCACCCTTGCCCTCCTTTTCCTGGCCTTGCTTCACATGGTACATTGATTTGGATGCAAAATACTGTTGCTTTCCAGCCTATTGATTTTGTAATAGTGAACACCCCAATTTCCCCATGAGCCCCTCCCCTCCAACACTACTCTCACTGAGTAAGTCAAGACCTTATTCATCCACTGGACAAAATTATAGGAGGCCGCTTAAATCAGTGTGTGCAGGGCATCATGACTCAGCACATGATCCATGAGGGATGGCTTCAGAACCACTGTCAGCAGCGCAGCTCAGCGCTTGTGTCCCAGCTCAGCCCTTGTATCCCCCTTGATGTACTTCTATCTGTTCTCTCTCTCTCTCTCTCTCTCTCTCTCTCTCTCTCTCTCTCTCTCTCTCTCTCTATATATATATATATATATATATATATACACTTTTTTTATTATACTTTAAGTTCTAGGGTACATGTGCACAACGTGCAGGTTTGTTACACATGTATACATGTTCCATGTTGGTGTGCTGCACCCATTAATTCATCATACTTCTTTCTGTTCTTGTATTTTCTGTGACTGGTCATTTTCTGTACTTTCTTGGCAGACTACTGTGCTTAAAAACATGGGATCCTTCAGGCCCATGATCAAGTTTGTCCCTCACTTAGCGTATGTGCAAATTGGGGTCATGTACATGAACACACTGGCCTGCTGTACTTATTTGAGAAATAATGTTAATTTGCCTCCAGATTTTTTTTTTTTTTTGAGACGGAGTTTCGTTCTTGTTTCCCAGGCTGGAGTGCAATGGCGCAATCTCGGCTCACCGCAACCTCTGCCTCCCAGGTTCAAGCGATTCTCCTGCCTGAGGCTCCCAAGTAGCTGGGATTACAGGCGTGTACCACCACACCCAGCTAATTTTGTATTTGTATTAGAGATGGTGTTTTTCCATGTTAGTCAGACTGCTCTCAAGCTCCCGACCTCAGGAGATCCACCCGCCTCGGTCTCCCAAAGTGCTGGAATTACAGGCATGAGCCACGGTGCCTGGCTGCCTCCAGGGTTTTAAAACAAATTAATGCTATTAGATGGCTTCACATATTGCAGGTTTTATGCTACAGGCTCTAAACTTCCTTTGTGTAATAAGATATGTCAGCCTTCCCTGATGTTGATGATGGCATGCTCCTTTTCCTGTCTCCCTCATTTCACTGTCCTGTTAGAAATAGCTTAGACTGGCTGGCCACAGTGGCTAACACCTCTAATGCCAGCACTTTGGGAGGCCAAGGTGGGTAGATCACTTGAGGTCCAGAGTTTGAGACCAGTCAGGTAATCTCAGCACTTTGGGAGGCTGAGACTGGTGGATCACCTGAGGTCAGGAGTTTGAGAGCAGCCTGGCCAACATGGTGAAACCCTTTCCCTACTAAAAGTACAAAAATTACCTGGGTGTGGTGTAACATGCCTGAAATCTCAGCTGCATGGGAGGCTGAGGCAGTAGGATCATTTGATCCCTGGAGGTGGAGGTTGCAGTGAGCCAAGATCATGCCATTGCACTCTAGCCTGGGCAACAAGAGAAAAACTCCATCTCAAAAATAAAGAAAGAAAGAAAGAAAAAATATAAATAAAAGCACCAGTCTTATTCATATGTAGTCAACACCCATGACCAAATTCTCTCAAAGGCCCCATCTGCAGGAACATCCAATTGGAGAATAAGAACTCTGAACATGGCTTTTGGCCAATATGAACACTCAGACCAGGGAGCCTGCATCATATTTTTTATGTTTTTATTGTGCAATTTGTTTTATAAAATGTTTTCTCTGATCCCAGTTTATAAATTTTCCCAGTATACAGTCTGTGTTTTATATTTCATGCATAGTGAACTACATAACTAAGGGCAATGCATGTACATAGAATTGCTGTATTGCCTGGCTGTTATATAACTGTAGTTGTGATATCATAATTGAACCCTCTGACACTGTTAGTCAATTCTTTTTTTTTTTGGAGACAGAGTCTTGCCCTGTTACCCAGGCTGGAGTGCAATGGCATGATCTCGGCTCACTGCAACCTACGCCTCCTTGGTTCAAATGATTCTTCTGCCTCACCCTCCAGAGTAGCTGGGATTACAGGTGCCTACCACCGTGCCCAGCTAATTTTTTTGTATTTTTAGTAGAGATGGGGTTTCACCATGTTGGCCAGGCTGGTCTCCAACTCCTGACCCCGTGATCTGCCCTCCTCTGCCCCCCAAAGTGCTGGGATTACAGGCCTGAACCACCGCATCCTGTCGTTAGTCAATTCTTACTCCTTATAATGCTGTGTATTTACTTGAACTCATACATCAGAAGGTAGTGATCTTAAATGTATTTCAGTTCTTATAGTGTGTGCTGGTGGTAAGTAGAAGTTGTGGCTTTTTTCTTAAGAGGGAATTGTTTAGAGGTCTGCTGGCTGTATAAATGTACTTATTATTTCGTTGCTAGTCTTATCATGGGTTACAATATTTTATTAATTAATTTTTATGATTTTACATAAGGCTTTTCAGTAAGTGGTATGCCTGGGAAACATGGTGAGACCCCCGTTTCTGCAAAAAATACAAAAATTAGCTGGGAATGATGGCACATGCCTGCAGTATCAACTACTGTGGAGTCTGCAGTGGGAGGATGGCTTGAGCCTGGGAGGTCAAGACTATAGTGAGCTGTAATCATGCTACTGCACTCCAGCATGGTTGACAGAGCAAGATGCTGTCTAAAAAAGAATACTTATTGTAAAGTTTGGGTACAGGAATAATGAAGTCATTGATAGTTTATGAACAGGCTATGGAGTTGATGCCCAAAAGAAATAAACAGTTTGTAAATGAATAACTTATTTTGAGTTGTGACAAGACAATGTTGAAAGTGATGCATGAAGCGGCAGGCAGACCATCCACATCAGTTTTACAGAAAAAAAGTTAATCTTGTTCGTGCTGCAGTGAAGAGAACAGCAAACAGGAGAAACAATAGTCAGGAATTCAATAATAGCCTGGTTAACATGATGAAACCCCGTCTCTACTAAAAATACAAAGATTAGCTGGGCACAGTGGTGGGCACCTGTAATCCCAGCTACTCAAGAGGCTGAGGCAGAAGAATTGCTTGAACCCGGGAGGCGGAAGTTTCGATGAGCCGGGATCCTGCCGTTGCACTCCAGCCTGGGCAACAAGAGCAAACCTCTGTCTAAAACAAACAAACAAAAAGGTCTAGCCCCCTCTCCTCCTTTGTCTGCCATCATGGTGTGTGCTTGACTCCACTTCTTGTCATGTCTTCTCACAAGACTTTCAGGATTAAGCGGTTTCTGGCCAACAACCAAAAGTAAAATCGTCCGATTTCCCAGTGGATTCGAATGAAAACTGGCAATAAAATCAGGTCCAACTTTAAAAGGAGACATTGGAGAAGAACCAAGCTGGGTCTATAAGGAATTGCACGTGAGATGGCACACATATTTATGCTGTGTGAGCATCATAATCACGTTACTTAAGCTGAAAATGTCACTACCATCTGGAGACTTGGACATGTTTTATTGGGAATATATTTTTTTCTCTCTGAATCTGTTATGAACGCATTGGTTGGGTGGGTTCAGTAATAAACATGTGAGACCTTTCATTTCAAAAAAAAAATTTTAATGACATAATAGATTACCTAAATTTCTGTTTTGCTTTGTTTTGTTTTTTGAGATGGAGACTCCACTCGGTTCAGTGGATCGCACCTGTTGTCCTGGCACTTTGGGAGGCTGAGGTGGGAGGATTGCCTGAGACCAGGAGTTTCCTGGGAATCTTCTCATCTTCCCTAACCCAGTTCATGAAAGACCCTTGGACTTTACTGTTAGGGAAAAAATCTATATAAAACAATATCAGCAGCTGGGAGTGATGGCTCATGCCTGTAATCCCAACACTCTGAGAGGCCAAGGCAGGTGAATCACCTGAGGTTAGGAGTTCAACAACAGCCTGACCAACATGGAGAAACTGTCTGTATTAAAAATACAAAATTAGGCAGGGTGCGATGGCTCACACCTGTAATCCCAGCACTTTGGGAGGCCGAGGCGGGCGGATCACGAGGTCGGGAGATTGAGACCATCCTGGCTAACACGGTGAAACCCCGTCTCTACTAACAATACAAAAAATGAGCCAGGCGCTGTGGCAGGGGCCTATAGTCCCAGCTACTCGGGAGGCTGAGCAGGGAGAATGGCGTGAACCCTGGAGGCAGATCTTGCAGTGAGCCGAGATAGCACCACTGCACTCTGGCCTGGGCGAAAGAGTGAGACTCCGTCTCAAAAAATAAATAAATAAATAAATAAAAATACAAATACAAAATTAGGCGGGCATGGTGGCACATGCCTGTGTAATCCCAGCGACTCAGGAGGCTGAGGCAGGAGAACTGCTTGAACTTGGGAGGCGGAGGTTGCTGTGAGCCAAGATCACGCCAATGCACACCAGCCTGGGCAACAAGAGCAAAACTCCATCTGAAAAAATAAAAAACAATATCAGTGTGTCAAAGCATTATGTCTGTCACAATACTTGTGAAAGGAAAATCAAAATTACTAACCAAAGAGAAAAGTCAAGCTGGGAACTGTGTTAGACAAACCTGCCTCCCATTTTATTCCTAAACAATATAGCTACAAGGACTAAACCAAAAATCTACATACTCCACTCACAAACTGTGGGCCTCAAGATCTCCACCCCAAAATAGTTCTGTTGAATTTCACCCTGGCAATGTAAACTGAGAGCTTATCTTCACAGGTGTAGGAAAGAACCCATCCCTCTGCACACCTGAGTCAAATGTCTGTCTGACTACTTCCCCTGACCTATTTTTTATGTAAAAATTCAGGGTCACTGAGCCAGCCTAAGGCATAAGTGACTATTCCTCCACCCTCTCTCACATATAAATTGTGTATTCAATGAAAGGTTGATCAAAGACTCAAACAATGTGATCATTTGTTATCTCCCTGTGACCTGGAAGCCCGCAATTCCAGTTATTTCACCTTCCCAGATCGAACCAAGGTGTATCTTATATGTATTGATTGATGTCTCATGTCACCCTAAATTTGTAAATTGCAGCCTGAACATCTTGGGCACACGTCATCAGGACCTCCTGAGGCTGTGTCATGGGTGCATTTTAACCTTGGCAAAATAGATTTCTAAATTCATTGAGACCTAGTAGATACTTTTGGATCACAAGCTCATGAACACAGAAAAGATCAAGATAGAATAAGGAAAAAATGAGTATAATGGAAAGCACAAATCAGTTCCAAAATCTCAACTCCTTCATATTTATTCACCATAGGGAAATGCTTTACAACTTTGTGGGATTAGAGTCCATTTGTGAAAGATTTTATATATATATATATAGTTTGTTTTGTTTTGTTTTTTGAGACGGAGTTTCAATCTTGTTGCCCAGGCTGGAGTGCAATGGTGCGATCTCGGATCACTGAAACCTCTGCCTCCCAGGTACTACGGATTCTCCTGTCTCAGCACCCCAAGTAGCTCAGATTACAGGCATGCATCACCATGCCCGGCTAATTCTTTTGTATTTAGTAGAGACTGGGTTTCATTATGTTAGTCAGGCTGGTCTTGAATTCCTGACCTCAGGTGATCCACCTGCCTCAGCCTCCCAAAGTGCTGAGATTACAGGTATGCGCCACTATGCTGGGCCAAAAGATATATTTCTAGTATTAGATTGAAATAAAAACCCATTCTATATAACTTTAGCTAATTTAAAACGCAAATAATAGATAATTACATAGATACACAAAACTTTATAATATTTCACTTAGTATTGCTATTACTATGTTCTTGGGGCAGAAGCTCAGTCTGTCAGATACATTACAAAAGGATGGTGTCTCCATAATTGTGCTTAGGACTCTGGTGCATAAGTGGATAAACTGTTAAACAGGATCCTAGGGGAGCTAGGGTGACAAAGTTCAAGTCCATTAAAACTAGCAACATACATTCCTTACTGCTCACGCATGACTCATGGTCTTAAGATGTTTACAGTTAAGAAAAGCAGCTTAATCATACCTGCAAGGACAAACTCCTACATAAACACAATGTCCAGATGACCCAATATCCCATGACAATGTATGCTTCTAAGCTAATTACAGTCATGCTTTCACGTACTTGCACACTAAAATACCAAGGATAGGTGTTTTTTTTTTTTTGATGGAGCTTCACTTTTGTCATCCAGGCTGGAGTGCAATAGGACAATCTCGGCTCATTGCAACTTCCACCTTCCGGGTTCAAGCGATTCTCCTGCCTCAGCCTCCTGAGTAGCTAGGATTACAGGCATGCACCACCACCCCCGGCTAATCGTTGAATTTTCAGTAGAGACGGGGTTTCATCACGTTCGCAAGGCTGGTCTCGAACCCCTGATCTCAGGTGATGCCCCCACGTCGGCCTTCCAAAGTGCCAGAATTACAGGCGGGAGCCAATGCAACCGGCCAAGGATAGCTTTAAATCAACAAAGTAATAAGTTTTGTTACACTGTCAGCCCACTGGCAGGTAGACATACCTTAGTTTTTACCTAAGCACCTATGTAAGAGAAACTTTAAGAGAAGGCAGTTCCCTTTGTTTTTGAGGTCGCCCTACTGTGTAACTGGTAGTTTTCTTTTTTTTTTCTTTTTTTTTTTAAGACGGAGTCTCGCTCAGGCTTGAGACACCTTGTCCAGCTGTATTTTTTATTATTATTATTATTATTATTATTATTATTATTATTATTATTATTTTGTTTTTGAGACTGAGTTTCACTCTAGTTCCCTGGGCTGGAGTACAATGTCATGATCATGGCTCACCACAGCTTCCATTTTCTGGGCTCAAGCGATTCTCCTGCCTCAGCCTCCGGAGTAGCTGGGACTACAGGCTCATGCCACCACTCCAGGCTAATTTTTATATTTGTAGTAGAGACGGGGTTTCTCTATATTGGTCAGGCTGGTCTCGAACTCCCGACCTCAGGCCATCCGCCGTCCTCAGCCTACCAAAGGGCTGGGATTACAGGCTTGAGCCACCGCGCCCGGCCTGAAGTAGAATATTTTAGAAAGTAATTAAACCTTTTTTCAGCATAATAACCCAGAGATGTACTTCTGAAGGACTTAGAATCTCTTCTTGAAAGGCAAGCAACAAGGGAGATAGTACCTGTAAGTCAGTAGGAAATTAAATATTTCAAACATCAGCTATTTCAAATTTAAAGCTACAGACTTTTAAATAATTCGGAACCTTGAGAGGAACGTGGTCATGCAACCTGAGTCCGGTGGCATGCAGGCGCAACTTCTACAAGTTTTCCTGGCCAGGCATGCAGGCTCAGGCCTGTAATCCCAGCACTCTGGGAGGCTGAGGCGGGCGGATCGCCTGACGTCAGGAATTAGAAACCAGCCTGGCCAACATGGGGAAACCCCGTCTCTACTGAAAATACAAAGCCATTAGCCGGGCATGGTGGCGCACGCCTGTATTTTCAGCTATTTGGGAGGCTGAGGCAGGAGAACTGCTTGAACCCAGGACGTGGAGGTCGTAGTGAGCCGAGATCACATCACTGCATTCCAGCCTGGGCGACAGAGCAGGACGCCTTCCCAAAACAAAACAAAACAAAACAAAATGTGCTATACAATTTAGTTTCCTAATATCAATTTTAAAAAGTTTTCGTGTAAATAATTAGGAAAACTAAGCAGCCCCAGAGATAAGACCTCCTGGCATCATTGTCCCTTCTTATGGAGTGATAATGTAACCTTCCTTGAAGTGTATCACTCCATCACCAGTCAAGCTGCCGCAGCCTATGCACTGGACTTGAATGGAAAATGTGGTGGTTCTGGGAAAGCTTCTCTGTATTTCCTTGTGTGTGTGAAATGTTAATGTCTCTACTTGGGAACGCTGACCCCATTCATTTGGAGTTGAGGTTTCCAGGTGGCTATTCTCATGCTTTGTGTCCAAATAAACTCTATAATTAATAATGTATTCTAAATTTCATTATTTACTGCTGACATCAGTTTCTGTTGGATTGTAGGAGCCTCACCAGAGAGGGCACCTGTCCGCCATGCTGTAAAACTCACACTTGCCAAAAATACATGGGTTAGGGTTTCTCCCCCTCCCTCAGGATGATGCTAGTTAGCTGACACAGATGGTCACCTCCATTACCAAGTAGAGCCAGGATGAATTATGTGTGACCAAGGGTGTTGTCAAGTCCTCTTCCCTGAGGACTGATCAGTGTTTATCTTGAAAACATGTATTTGGGTTGTATAGAACAGTGAAGTTTCTTTCTCTCTTTTCAACCTCTCAACTGTCCTCTATTTCCCATCACATGCTGGTCTAAGGCCTATTTATTAATAAAATAGTTTTTATTTCTTTCTCTGTTATCGTCGTGAAGATGATTTCTCATTTAGGGGAAGATTTTTTTAGTTTTCAATTGTATTTTCTCAACATTTAAGAGCGAAGTGAAGAGTATTTCTTGGGCCAGGCACAGTGGTTCACGCCTGTAATCCCAGCATTTCAGGAGGCCGAGGCAGGCGGATCACTTGAAGTCAGGAGTTCGAGACCAGCCTGGCCAACATGGTGAAACCCCGTCTCTACCCAAAATACAAAAATTAGCCGGGCATGGTGGCCTGTGCCTGTAATGCCAGCTATTCCGGAGGCTGAGGCAGGAGAATCGCTTCAACCCAGGAGGCAGAGGCTGCAGTGAGCCGAGATGTCACCACTGCACTCCAGCCTGAGCGACAGAGAAATACTCCGTCTTAAAAAAAAAAAGAAAAGAAAAAAAAGAAAGTAATAGATCTCTTCCACAAATGTGCTGGGACAATTAACTGGATATCCACATGGAAAAGAATAATGTTGTATCCCTATCTCACACAATCAAAATTTTATTTTAAAAATTAAAAGAGACGATGAGGGGAGCCCTGCGGGAGGGTGTGTTACTTTGTCGCCCAGGCTGGCCTGGACCCCCAGGCTCAGTGATCCTCCCGCCTCTGGCCCTCAGGCTCCCGCCCACCTGGCCGCATTCCTGCTATGTTTAAGCAGTAGGTGGTGACTTCACTCCTCCCTGGCCTGAACACTCCGTCGCGCATCCCAGGCGGAGGCCCTAGGGAAGTCTCTGAAGCTGAGCACAGGGTGGACTCTCCCTCCTGAGTGAATGGAGAATAGAAAGGGAGAGGATTTCTGTTCTGTTCTGTGGGCCGTCAGCATGAAATTGTACGTTCCGCCCAGGCAGGGCTTTGCATTTTACATTCTTGTTTGCATCCCCGTTCCAGACAATTCCAGGGCTTTCGAATCGTGCTTCAGCCTTCCTGACCGCTCTCGCCTCCAAAGCCCGAAAAATAGAGTCGCTGGGAGCGAGGCTGAGAGACGCACAGGTCCCGCCCCGGCCCCGCCCTCTGCCGGTTCTAAAGGGCAAGGTCTCTCCGCCTGGGGCCCCGCCTCTACCTCGATCAGGCCCCGCCCACCTTCTCGTTGGCTCCACCCAGGCCTGGCTTTAGTCCTGTGCGCACACATCCGCGCAGACCAGGAAGCGGATCCCGTGGAGTGAAGGTCGCACCGCGGCGGTGAGTTTTGCTCTGTGTTGTATTAAGTCTGCACTCCCCATATCCCCGGCACTTCCGTACCTGGGACGTGGGGTCACCACAGACCTGTAAATTCTCGCCCATCTTCCTTCAACCAGAGCAAATGCAGACGTTCCCCTGGGAATCCGGAAGTCGCTTCCTTTTGTGTTTAAAGTCGCCCTGAGGCTGTTCCCGTCTCCAGTCTTTCTGCTACAGGGCGCTGTATACACTTCCTATCGCGTAGTTTCTGTGCTCAAAACCGTTTTTTAACTCCTCCCTCCCCGCGCTTTTCAAAGTCCTCACCCGAGATGTGTATTTCCGCCTGGGCGCCTCCCAGTCTCAACCTTTAGGCGCCTGAAGCGCAAACGTCGCGATCCCAGTCTCAGGGAGGCCGAGTTCTCTGCCTGGTGCTGGGATCTTGTGGACCCCACCGAAGGCGTCGTCGCACCCCACCTCCCGCCTCATGCTGGGCCTTGCTGCACCCCAAGTCTCCCCTTAGCAGTCACCACTTTCCTTGAGCCAGCGTTGGGGAGGTGCCAGGGGCCAGTCCTGTGACACGGTGTGTTCTTGCCTGCCTAGCTCCAACCCCTGAAAAATGAGCCTCTCTGGGATGCAGGCGTCTTACTTCAAACCCTCCTGTGATTGTGTGGGCTAAAGAGATCAGGAGACAGAGAGTAGTAGAAAACCTGAGACAGAGAAAAGAAGAATGAGAAAGACCCATAACAGATGGCAAAGTAGAGGATGGGTGAGGGATTTGCCAAGAGACAGCAAAAGTGAAAAAAAAAAGATAAGAAAGCAGGAGGAGAAAAGCAACTGGAGAAATGTAGAGAAAAGCTAGATGTACAGAGAGATGAAGGACAGACAGCAAGGTAGAGAGGGGCAGCAAAGAGGGAGGCTCATCAGAGTGAGAGAGAGAGAGAGAGAGAGGAGGAATTTGGAGCCAGGGCAGACAGAGCAGAGTGGTGCTGGTGGCAAGGAGAACAGAGGGAGAACCACAGCAGGGAGGACGCCTGGGGATCTGGGGTGCTAGAGAGTGGGGACGGGGGGTAAAACAGAGAAGAGAGAATTTAACAGGGAGAGCGGCAGAGATGCAGAGATGGGATAAGAGGCGGAAATATATGGAGATTGAGGACGATCGAAGAATTGGGGAGAAGGAGCAACAAGAGATTAAATAAGACGTGAGGATGGAGCCCAGGTAATTTTTGTATTTTTAGTAGAGACGGGGTTTCACCATGTTGGCCAGGCTGGTCTCGAACTCCTGACCTCAGGTGATCCACCCGCCTCGACCTCCCAAAGTGTTGGAATTACAGGCGTGAGCCACCGCACCTGGCCACCCAAGCATTCTTGATTGAAAAAGTTTGCTTATGTCTTAGTTCTACAGCTGACCCTCTTTCCCTGCTTTTTGTTTGTTTGTTTGCTTGTTTGTTTTGAGATGCACTTTCGCTCTTGTTGCCCAGGCTGGAGTGCAATGGTGTGATCTTGGGTCACCGCAACCCTTTTTGGTTTTTTTTTTGAGACGGAGTTTCGCTCTTGTTGCCCGTGCTGGAGTGCAATGGTGCGATCTCGGCTCACTGCAACCTCCACCTCCCGAGTTCAAGCGAGTCTCCTGCCTCAGCCTCCCTAGTAGCTGGGATTACAGGCATGTGCCACCACACCAGGCTAATTTTGTATTTTTAGTAGAGATGGGGTTTCTCCATATTGGTCAGGTTGGTCTTGAACTCCTGACCTCAGGTGATCTGCCCACCTCGGCTTCCCAAAGTGCTGGGATTATAGGCATGAGCCACCGAGCCCGGCCTACTCACCACCACCTTTACCTCCCGGTTTTAAGCGATTGTCCTGCCTCGGCCTTCCTGAGTAGCTGGAATTACAGGCAAGTGCCACAACATCTAGATAATTTTTGTATTTTTAGTAGAGATGGGGTTTCTCCATGTTGGTCAGGATGGTCTCGAACTCCCGACATCAGGTGATCCGCCTGCCTCGGCCTCCCAAAGTGCTGGGATTACAGGTGTGAGCCACCGCACTCAGCCTCCCTGTTTTGAAGGTAACTAGCTGTGTCTTTGTACATCTGCATTTTATAAATGTTACTGTAATTTTCTTGTGAGGAAGAATTAAATGTTGGGAATCAGTGGCATCAGAACTTGCAAAGGAAGTTTCTTTATCCCAGGTATGTGAAAGAGGCTTCTCTAATTTTCAAGGATAGTTTTGATAAGGCCAACCCTTTCCTTTATCCCTTCCAGGCCACCATGTAAGAATTCCGTTACATCTTTTCACTCATCTCAGACCTTCTCAGCGTGACTCGGTGAAAATGTCCCCGTTCTGAGGATGTCACAGCTAAATCTAAAGCAGATCATGTCAGTCCCTGGCAGGGAACCCTCCATGGGCTTCCTGTGTTCCCCAGGACAAAAGCCCAACTCCTCACTGTCACTCCACAGCCCTGTGTCCAGGGCCCCTGCCACTGTCCAGGCTCCTCCTGGGAACTTGCCCTCATCTCATGACTCCCTCTGCCCCAGTCACATTTGCTTTTCTCTTTTCCCAAACATCAAAACCCTTCCCGTCTCAGGTCATTTTCACTGCTCTTACCCTATTTCTCTAAATGCTCACAGCACTGTCCCTTTCTCCTTCAGGTCCTGGCTCAGAAATGTCTCCCATGCCCTCCCACCCCCAACTGAATTTCCCTCTGCCCATCAGTCTCTATCACATTACTCAGGTTTTATTATCTCTGTGTCAGTCACATCAGAAACACACTTTTTTTCTTTTTCCAAAGAGTCTCGCTCTGTCCTCCAGGCTGTGAGTGCAGTCTTGTGATCTTGGCTCACTGCAACCTTTGTCTCCTGAGTTCAAGCAATTCTTGTGCCTTAGTCTCCCAAGTAGCTGAGATTACAGGTGTGTGCCACCATACTCTGCTAATTTTTGTATTTGTATTTTATTTTATTTTTGAGTCTTACTCTGTTGCCCTGGCTGGAGTCCAGTGGTGCGATCTTGGCTCACTGCAACCTCCACCTTCCAGGTTCAAGCGATCCTCCAACCT
This sequence comes from Homo sapiens, assembly GCF_000001405.40. Classification (NCBI taxonomy): domain Eukaryota; kingdom Metazoa; phylum Chordata; class Mammalia; order Primates; family Hominidae; genus Homo; species Homo sapiens. The sequence continues at coordinate 52,573,356 of NC_000019.10, forward strand.
CAGCCTCCCGAGTAGCTGGGCTTACCAATGCCCACCAAGCCCAGCTACTTTTTGTATTTTTAGTAGATATGGGGTTTCACCATGTTGGCCAGGCTGCTGTTGAACTCCTGAACTTGAGTAATCCTCCCACCTCAGCCTTCCAGAGTGCTAGTATTACAGGCATGAACCACCGCACCCAGCCCCAATTTTTGTGTTTTTAGTACAGACAGGTTTTCACCATGGTGGCCAGGCTGGTCTCAAACTCCTGAGCTCTACTGATCCTCCCCCTCAGCTTCCTAAGTAGCTGGGACCAGAGACACACAGACGTGCACCACCATACCTGGCTAAGTTTTTGTATTTTTGGTAGAGATGGGGTTTCACCATGTTGCCCAGGCTGGTCTCAAACTCCTGAGCTCAAGCGATGTACCCACCTTGGCTTCCCAGAGCGGTGGGATGACAGGCATGAGCCACCGCACCGAGCCTCTGCATGGGATTTGGTCAGGGCTGGGTCTGTGCCCTGAAAGGGAGCTCATTCCAGCCCAGCTCCCCACTGCTGCAGCGTGTGAGGGCTTCTCCAGGAGGGAAGCGAGAGTTTTCTTATAGAAATTTATTATCCCTGGTGCAGTGGGCAGCAGAGGTGACCATATTTTTTCAGAGTGAGGGCACCTTTGTATGTGTCATTGTGTTACAGGCAGGAGGTGTGTTGATTCTGAGCAGTAAACAACATATTTCTAACATTCAGGATTGACTTCTAAAGACTTGGTACGTGAGGAAAAAACACGGAAGAGGAAGAGGAAAGCAAAGGAGTCAGGGATGGCTCTTCTTCAGGTGAGATGATATTCTCGGGGGATTGTTCTGTCTCCTTCCTTTCAGAAATGCTGATCTTGGAGTTGGGAATCTTCTCTGAGTCTCAAGTGTCCTGCCTGACAGGTTTGCTCACACTCAACTCATGCCTTCCCTCAGTCCCTGTCATCTCACTTAGATTCCATCTCTTGTGACTGAGTGACATGAACTTGGGAAGAGGCTGCACTGGGCATGGTCCTGGGAAGGGCTCACACCCAGACATGTATGGAGATGGGGTGAGGGTCCCGCAGTGTCAGTGCTGTTGGGCAGCAGGGATTGTTCAGGGGCCACATCTGGATGCACTGTCAACTCTCTGTGGACCAGGATTAGAGCAGCTGCCAATGGAAGTGACCTATTAATGTGCACAAAGTACGTGGTAAATTCTAGAAAAGGAGACCAATAAGGGAAAATCTTTTCTCCCTAATTTTATACCACATTTTTAGGTAATTGAGTGAGTTACTGTGTTTCTGACTCAAAAAATTGTACTAATTAGAATGGAAAGTTCATAAACAGACATGAATGATACAGGGGTTTTATTCCATCCTTATTTAAAGAATATGAAATCAACCTAAATAATAGCAGGAGATTTATTAAACCATTCTTAGCAAATTAAGCTGATGGAGACAGTGGTGTTACTGTGGAGAGGCTTTTGAAACAGGTGTTTTTTGTAAAAATGGTTACAATTTTTCTCAAATATGGGAGCAGTACTTGCAGCTGCCAAATTATCCTTTTCCACCAAGATGAGATTCCTCTTCAGTTAAACAAAATTTGCATATATATATATATTTGTGTTTGTTTGTTTGTTTTTTCGAGACGGAGTCTCGCTCTGTTGCCCAGGCTGTAGTGCAGTGGCACGATCTCCGCTCACTGGAAGCTCCGCCTCCCAGGTTTACACCATTCTCCTGCCTCAGCCTCCTGAGTAGCTGGGACTACAGGCACCCCCCACCACGCCCGGATAATTTTTGTATTTTTTAGTAGAGACGGGGTTTCACCGTGTTAGCCAGGATGGTCTCGATCTCCTGACCTTGTGATCCACCCGCCTCAGCCCCCCAAAGTGCTGGGATTACAGGCATGAGCCACTGTGCCTGGCCTACTTTTTGTATTTTTAAAACCTTTATATATATACACACAACCCCATACATATACACACACATATATACATACACATACATATATACACACACACATATGTATATATTTTGAAAATCTGAGACAAATGACAACACTTTGTATTAACGTGGTTTTTTGTGAGTGTGTGTAGGTTTTATTTTTTTTTTAACATATACAAAATAGAATTTTGTACTTCGATTAATTTTATTTTCATGTATTTTATTTTATTTTGAGAGAGAGTCTTGCTTTGTTGCCCAGGCTAGAATGCCTTGGTGCAATCGCAGCTCACTGAAACCTCCACCATCAAGGTCAAGCCGTCCTCCCACCTCAGCCTTCCAAGTAGTTGGGACAACAGATGCCTGCCACCATACCCGGCTAATTATTTATTTCTAACGTAAGCAATTCATACTGAGAGGGTATCCTGAGCTCTTCAGAAAGTATAATCAAACACCACTGGGAAGACATCATGTGGTGAAGAATCCCTTACTTGGATTTGTCGGAACATTCTCTGCAATTAAATCCATGCTTTCCCCTCTCCTCTTCTCATTTTCTGTAAAGATAAGATCTCCTCCCATAACCATTTGCTTAAAATGTGTTTTCCTTTCAGGGTCTACTGACATTCAGGGATGTGGCCATAGAATTCTCTCAGGAGGAGTGGAAATGCCTGGACCCTGCTCAGAGGACTCTATACAGAGACGTGATGCTGGAGAATTATAGGAACCTGGTCTCCCTGGGTGAGGATAACTTCCCTCCAGAAGTGGGGATGTGCCCTTGTGGATCTTTGTATTTTCTCTTGTTGCCTCTTGGGAGCCACATCCTTGCTTGGCTAAAATGGAAGCCGTATTGAGTTAGAAATGAAAAGCTTCATGATGTAGCATCTGGACTTTCACTGTCCCCTTTAGATGTTCTGCATTCTTCATGATAGCTCAGTGGGGGTTCCAGAAGTAAAGTAAGCATAAAAGCTTATGGCAGGCCAGGCGTGGTGGCTCACACCTGTCATCACAGCACTTTGGGAGGCTGAGGCGTGTGGATCACTTCAGGTCAGGAGTTCAAGACCAGCCTGGCCAACATGGAGAAATCCCGTCTCTACTAAAAACACAAAAATTAGCCGGGCGTCGTGGTGCATGCCTGTAATCCCAGCTCCTAGAAAGGCTGATGAAAGAGAATCGCTTGATCCCGGCAGGCCAAGGTTCCAGTGACTGAGAACACACCACTGGACTCCAGCCTGGGCAACAGAGCAAGACTCTCTCTCAAAAAACAAAAAAACAAAACCTTATGGCAGACTTTAATCATATCCAGTTTCCTGTTTGCTTTTCCTGTGCTTTCGATTCAGTAGTTCTTGGAAGAGAGCTTGATGTCCACATATTACATGTTACAGTGCTCTCCAAGCATTCAGAAGGAGGCAGTCAGTGGAGCAATTAGTAAAATATTTTCCTAGATCCACCTGTAATGTCTTCTTTCCTACAGAAATATAGGGCTGGGACTCTACAAAAGCTCCAGCACGTCTTAGTACTTTCTTTTTATAAGCAGGAGTCTCATGCTGATATGTTATCTCCATGTTGGAGCAAGAGAAAGGGCCCTGGACTGTGGAGAGTGAAGTGAAAATATCAAAAAACTCCAGATGGGTGGGAATGTATTATAGGTGTAAATGCAGGTAAGAGCTCAGATGGGCAGAGTGGAAGCTCCACCTTCAAATAGTGTGTGGGGAAACTCTGCAAGTGGGAGAATTCTGTTGGAAAAGGAAAGTTTCAATCCTGAGATCTCTGAAATGACATCTTTCTTTGCCCCCACTTATCCCTCTGCTCTTCCTTTCTTTCTTTTTCTTATTTTATGAAAGAGTCTCACTGTGTTGCCCAGGCTACAGTGCAGTGATACGATCTTGGCTAACAGCAGCCTCCACCTCCCAGGCTCAAAGGATTTTTGTGTCCCAGCTTCCTGAGTAGCTGGGACTGTAGGCGCTCACCACCATGCCCAGCTAATTTTTGTGTTTTTAGTAGAGACAGGGTTTCACCATGTTGGCCAGCCTGGTCTCAAACTCCTGATCTCAAGTGATCCACCTGCCTTGGCTTCCCAAAGTGTGGACCTAAGATTACCTAGGTGCCAAGGCAAGAGACTGAAGGCACAAAGTGTTTCAGTATAATAAAGAAAATAGTTACAATAAGAAGAGTCATAATACAAATTAGATACAGAGATGATCATGGACAATTATCAATCATTAGCTTTTAATATTACTCTTTGTTGCATTATTAATATAACCTAGGAATAACTGGCAGGTATAGGGTGAGGTGCTGAAGGGACATGGTGAGAAGTGACCTAGAAGGCAAGAGGTGAGCCCTCTGTCACACCCGCATAAGGGCCGCTTGAGGGGTCCTTGGTCAAGCGGTAACACCAGTGTCTGGGAAGGCACCCGTTACTTAGCAGACCGCGAAAGGGGGTCTCCTTTCCTTGGAGGAGTCAGGGAACACTCTGCTCCACCAGCTTCTCGTGGAAGGCTGGATAGTATCCAGGCCTGCCCGCAGTCATCCGGAGGCCTAAACCCCTCCCTGTGGTGCTGTGCTTCAATGGTCATGCTCCTTGTCTACTTTCATGCTCCTCCCGTACTCCTGGCTCCTCTTTGAAGTTCATAGTAGATAGCGGTAGAAGGAATAGTGAAAGTCTTTGATCTTTCTTAGAAGTGCATAGAAGAGCCGGGCGCAGTGGCTCTTGCCTGTAATCCCAGCACTTTAGGGGTCCAAGGCGGGCAGATCAAGAGGTCAGGAGATCGAGACCATCCTGGCTAACATGGTGAAACCCCGTCTCTACTAAAAATACAACAAATTAGCTGGGTGTGGTGGCGGGCACTTGTAGTCCCAGCTACTCGGGAGGCTGAGGCAGGAGAATGGCATGAACCCGGGAGGCAGAGCTTGCAGTGAGCCGAGATCGCACCACTGCACTCCAGCCTGGGCGACAGAGTGAGACTCCGTCTCAAAAAAAAAAAAAAAAAAAAAAAAAGAAGTGTATAGAAGAAAACGCTAACGTATGCTGCCTTCTCTCTCTGCTTTGGCTACCTAAAAGGCAAGGGCCCCTTGTCCTATGATCACGTGACTTGCTTCACCTTATCAATCACTTAGAAGATTCACCCTCCTTACCCTGCCCCCTTGTCTTGTATGCAATAAATATCAGCGCACCCAGCTGTTTGGGGCCACTACCTGTCTCCGCGTCTTGATGGTAGTGGTCCCCCAGGCCCAGCTGCTTTCTCTTTATCTCTTTGTCTTATGTCTTTATTTATTACAATCTCTCATCTCCGCATAAGAGAACACCCGCTAAGCCCGCAGGGCTGGACCCTACACCAAAGCGCTGCGATTACAGGCGTGAGCCGCCAAGCTCAACTATTGTTATTATTTTAAACAGTTTTGTCTTTTAGTTCTTTGTAAACATGTAAATGGTTTAAACATGATTCCAGTGTGAATATAACAACTACGTTAGCGTCCATTTCTTTTATTTTTGTTGAAACGGAGTCTTGCTCTGTCGCCCAGGCTGGAGTGCAGTGGTGCGATCTCGGCTCACTGCAAGCTCCACCTCCCGGGTTCACGCCATTCTCCTGCCTCAGCCTCCCGAGTACCTGGGACTACAGGCTCCCGCCACCGCGCCTGGCTAATTTTTTTGTATTTTTATTAGAGACAGGGTTTCACCGTGGTCTCAATCTCCTGACCTCGTGATCCACCCGCCTTAGCCTCCCAATGTGCTGGGATTACAGACGTGAGCCACCGCGCCCCGCCGTGCCCATTTCTTTCAGTAAACAGAAATGAAGTGTGTTGTATAGATAAAATAAAAAGGCATGAAAAAAACACTGTACATATATGTTACCAGAAATGCAACATACACAGAAATAATTCCGACAAAAATAAAAAAAGTTCTAGAGGAGAAGTAGTTTTGGGAAGTGGTTATTGTTGCAGGTATGTTAAAGATCTTAAAGTTGGCCAGGCGCGGTGGCTCACGCCTGTAATCCCAGCACTTTGGGAGGCCAAGGCGGGTGGATCACCTGAGGTCAGGAGTTCAAGACCAGTCTCAACATGGAGAAACCCCGTCTCTACTAAAAATACAAAATTAGCCGGGTGTGGTGGCGGGCACTTGTAATCCCAGCTACTCGCGAGGCTGAGGCAGAATTGCTTGAACCTGGGAGGCGGGGGTTGCAGTGATCCGAGATTGTGCCATTGCACTCCAGCCTGGGCAACGAGAGCGAAACTCTGTCTCAAAAAAAAAAAAAAAAAAAAAAAAATCTTAAAGTTATAGCATAATAATGAAACCTAAAATTTTCATAACCTGGCCAGGTGTAGTGGCTCATGCCTATAATCCCAGTAATTTGGGAGGCTGAGGTGGGCAGATCACCAGAGGTCAGGTATTCAAATCCAGCCTAGTTAACATGGTGAAACTTCGTCTCTAGTAAAATTACAAAAATTATCCAGGCACGGTCGTGGGTGGCAGTAATCCCAGCTACTCAGGAGGCTGAGGCACGAGAGTTGCTTGAACCCGGGAGGTAGAGGTTGCAGTGAGCTGAGATCGCACCGTCGCACTCCAGCATGGGAGACAGAGTGAGACTCCATCTCAAAATAAATAAATAAATAAATAAATAAATAAAGTTTCATAACCTGCAAAAACTACTTCTCCTCTAGAATTATTATTATTATTTTTTTAGATGGAGTCTCGCTCTGTAGCCCAGGCTGGAGTGCAGTGGCACGATCTCAGCTCACTGCAAGCTCCACCTCCCGGGGTCACACCATTCTCCTGCCTCAGCCTCCCGAGCAGCTGGGGCTACAGGCGCCTGCCACCACACCCGGCTATTTTTTATTGTATTTTTAGTAGAGATGGGGTTTCTCTGTATTAGCCAGGATGGTCTCAATCTCCTGACCTTGTGATCCATCCACCTCGGCCTCCCAGAGTGCTGGGATTACAGGCGTGAGCCACCGCGCCCAGCCTTTTTAGAAATTTTTATTTTTGTCAGAATTATTTCTGTGTATGTTGCATTTCTGCTAACGTATATATACAGTGTTTTTTCATGCCTTTTTATTTTAAAAAATTTAGTTCTGAACTGGGATTACAGGTACCCACCACCGTGCCCAGCTAATGTTTTTGTATTTTTAGTAGATATGGGGTTGCACCATGTTGGCCAGGCTGGTGTCGAACTTCTGACCTCATGATTCACCTGCCTCAGACCCCCAAAGTGCTGGGATTACAGGCATGTGCCACCGTGCCCGGACATTAGTCAATTCTTATTCCTTATAGTGCTGTGTATAGTTTTGACCTCATACATCAGAAAGTAGTGACCTTAACATGTATTTCAATTCTTATGTTGTGTACTAGTGGTAAGTACAAGTTGTGGCTTTTTTCTTAATAGGGAATTGTTTACAATTCTGCAGGCTGCATACATGTACTTATTATTTTCTGGCTTGTTTTATCAAGCCAGAAAATATTTATCAATATTTTATTAACTGATTTTTATGACTTTACCTGTGAGTTTTCAGTATGTGATATGCAATATAACTGACACACTCCACTCGTTACTGTCACAAAGTGCTGCTGGGCACAGTGGCTCATGCCTGTAATCCCAGGACTTCGGGAGGCTGAGACATGTGGATCACCTGAGGTCAGGTGTTTGAGACAAACCTGGCCAATATGGTGAAACCCCATCTCTACTAAAAATATAAAAATTAGCCGGGCATGATGGTGCATGCCTGTAATCCCAGCTACTCAGGAGGCTGAGCAAAGAGACTTGCTTGAACCCAGGAGGCAGAGGCTGCAGTGAGCCAAGATCATGCCATTGCACTCTGTCCAGTGACAGAGTGAGACTCCATCTCAAAAAAATAAAAATACAAAATTTTTAAAAAAAAGTCACAAAGTGCCTGTTCCACATGGATATAGATAATTTTGTAACAGTTATTTAGAAAAATACGGTGTTAACATTTTTCTTTTTGAGAGGTAGTCTCACTCTGCCACTCAGGGTGGAGTGCAGTGGCACAATCTCAGCTCACCACAATCTTGGCCTCGCGGGTTCAAGCAATTCTCCTTCCTTAGCCTCCCAAGTAGCTTGGATTACAGGTGCCCACCACCACACCTGGCTACTTTTTGTATGTTTAGTAGAGAAGAGGTTTTGCCATGTTGGCCAGGCTGGTCTCGAACTCCTGACCTCAGGTGATTTGCCTGTCTCGGCCTCCTAAAATACTGGGATTACAGGCGTGAACCACCATGCCCTGCCTTGTTTCTTTAGAGATGGAGTCTCACTTTGTCACCCAGGCTGGAGTGCAGTGGTTCGATGTTGGCGCACTGCAACCTTTGCCTCTTGGCTTAAAGCAATTCTTGTGCATCAGCCGCTTGAGTAGCTGGGACTTTATAAAGGCGTGGGCCACCACACCTGCCTAATTTTTGTAATATTTTCTTATCTTCTCAGTGCTATGATTCTTTGACAATACAGAAATTCCATTGATTTTGATTATCCTTACAGGAGCTTGTTGTGGATTATTTACCAAAATAGTACCTTGTCTGGTTTTTTAGCATTTATTTATTTACACTAAGTACCCTATAAATATGAAGAATATATATTTTTCTCTTCTTTGATGTGACAGTGATACGTCTTTTGCAAAGTGTGATACACTTTAGGGTCACAGTAGAAAAACACTCCTGACTTTAGGCTTACACATGTTTGTGCCCTGTCAGTGTTTCGTCATGATATTGGAAATAGGCTTCCATAAAAATGATTTGAAGCACATGCAATCACCCTTTATTTATTAAAGGATCTTACTCCTTTTGTGTTCCTAAACTTTGAAGATCATGTTTGGGAAGTTTAAAATAAGTATTGTTTTTTATGTAATATTTACACATTTCAGTATTGTATAACTTCCGTACTTAATTTGAAACCTATTTGTGTTTATATTTTGTAGATACCTCTTCCAAATGCATGATGAAGATGTTCTCATCAACAGGACAAGGCAATACAGAAGTGGTCCACACAGGGACATTGCAAATACATGCAAGTCATCACATTGGAGATACTTGCTTCCAGGAAATTGAGAAAGATATTCATGACTTTGTGTTTCAGTGGCAAGAAAATGAAACAAATGGCCATGAAGCACTCATGACAAAAACCAAAAAGTTGATGAGTAGTACAGAGCGACATGATCAAAGGCATGCTGGAAACAAACCTATTAAAAATGAGCTTGGATCAAGCTTTCATTCGCATCTGCCTGAAGTGCACATATTTCACCCCGAAGGGAAAATTGGTAATCAAGTTGAGAAGGCTATCAACGATGCTTTCTCAGTTTCAGCATCCCAACGAATTTCCTGTAGGCCAAAAACTCGTATTTCTAATAAGTATAGGAATAATTTCCTCCAGTCTTCATTACTCACACAAAAACGGGAAGTACACACAAGAGAAAAATCTTTCCAACGTAATGAGAGTGGCAAAGCCTTTAATGGTAGCTCACTCTTAAAAAAACATCAGATAATCCATTTAGGAGACAAACAGTATAAATGTGATGTATGCGGCAAGGACTTTCATCAGAAGCGATACCTTGCATGCCATAGATGTCACACTGGTGAGAATCCTTACACGTGTAATGAGTGTGGCAAGACATTCAGTCACAATTCAGCCCTGTTAGTTCACAAGGCAATTCATACTGGAGAGAAACCTTACAAGTGTAATGAATGTGGCAAGGTTTTTAATCAACAATCAAACCTTGCACGTCATCATAGAGTTCATACTGGAGAGAAACCTTACAAATGTGAAGAATGTGACAAAGTTTTCAGTCGCAAATCACACCTTGAAAGACATAGGAGAATTCACACTGGAGAGAAACCATACAAATGTAAGGTTTGTGACAAGGCTTTCAGACGTGATTCACACCTGGCACAACATACTGTAATTCACACTGGAGAGAAACCTTACAAGTGTAATGAGTGTGGCAAGACCTTTGTTCAAAATTCATCTCTTGTAATGCATAAGGTCATTCATACTGGAGAGAAACGTTACAAGTGTAATGAATGTGGCAAGGTTTTTAATCACAAATCAAACCTTGCATGTCATCGTAGACTTCATACTGGAGAGAAACCTTACAAGTGTAATGAATGTGGCAAGGTTTTTAATCGAAAATCAAACCTTGAACGTCATCATAGACTTCATACTGGAAAGAAATCTTAGAAGTGTAAATTTGCAAGGTTTTTAGGCAACAGTCAAACCTTGCATGTCATCATAGACTTTATACTGGAGAGAAACCTTACAAATGTGAAGAATGTGACAAAAGTTTTCAATTTCAAATCACTCCTTGAAATACATAGGAGAGTTCATACTGGAGAGAAACCATACAAATGTAAGGTTTGTGACAAGGATTTCGGGTGTGATTCACACCTGGCCCAACATACTGGAATTCACACTGGAAAGGAACTGTACAAGTGTAATGAGTGTGGCAGAGCCTTTGGTGGTCAGTCAACACTTACTCACCATCAAGCAATCCATGGTATAGGGAAACTTGACTAATGTAATGATTGTCACAAAGTCTTCAGTAATATTACAGCCATTGCAAAACATTGGAGAATCCATAATGAAGGAGGTCTTACAAGTGTAATAAATGTGGCAAGTTTTTCAGACATCATTCATAACTTGCAGTTCATTGGCGATCTTATACAGGAGAGAAATCTTACAAATGTGATGATTGTGGCAAGGTCTTCAGTCAAGCTTCATCTTTTGCAAAACGGGAGAATTCATACAGGAGAGAAACCTCACAAGTGTGATGATTGTGAGCAAAGCCTTTACTTCACGTTCACACCACATTAGATATCAGAGGATCCATACTGGACAGAAATCTTACAAACGTCCTATGTGTGGCAAGGTCTTCAGTCCGAGGTTACTCCTTGCAGAATATCATAACGTTCATTTTTGAGGTAATAGTTACAAATGCGGTGAGCACAGCAAACCATCAAGGATTGACAGTAGAGTCAATTCAGAATTGACTTGAGTTTGAGTTGACTTAAAACATTCAGTTGAAGCATTAATTGACATTAAAGTGTTTATGTTAAGAGGATTGGGCCAGGCGTGTGGCTCACGCCTGTAAATCCAGCACTTTAGGAGCCCAAGGTGGATAGATCACTTGAGGTCATGAGTTTGAGATCAGCCTGGCCAACAGACGTGAGTCACTTTTCCCAGCCTGCTTTTTGTTTCTTTAACAAAAACCAATAGGGGTTTTTATAGGTATTGTGTTGAATCTGAATCACATTGGCTTATATAATAACAATATTGATTTTTCCAAACCATCAATGTGGGTTGTATATATATGTTTTTAATCATTTTGGTTAATGTTTGTAGATTTCAAGGTGTGAAATTCTCAGTTTTTTTATGTTTATTCCTAAGTATTTCTTACTTTAAGATCTCTAGCAAATGGAAGTGTTTTTTAATTTTCGTTTAAATTTTTTATTGTTTATGGAAATTCAATTAATTTTTGGTGCTGCTATTGCATTGTGCAAATCCACTGAATGTGTTGATTAGTTCCAGTAGTATTTTGGTTGACTCAGGCCCCGCCCACCTCTTCGCCTCCCGTCTGGCCTGACCCAGGCCCCGCCCACCTCCTCGGGGGTCTCCCCGCGGGTCTGGCTTCTGTACTGTGCTGATTGGCACAGACCCGGAAGCTGATGGCATGGACTGAAGGTTGCCCCGTTGAGTTTGCGCTTCCCAGTTCTCTGGTACTGCTATACCGGGGACGTGGGTGTCTCCACAGACCTGGAAATTCCGGCCCCTCTTTCTCAACTCAGAGCAAATTGAGACGTCCGGGTGGGAGTCCGTGAGTCTTTTCCTTTTGAGTTTAAAGTCGCCCTGAGGCTGGTCCCGTCCCGGTCTTTTCTGCAGTAGGGCCGTGCAGACACCTCCTGTAGCGAAACTTTCCTTCTCAAAACCCTTCCCGACCCGTCCTCCCGCCTCGCGCTGTTTCAGGTCCTCACCAGCGAGTTGGACTCTCGCCCTGGGCTCCTCATCGGCGCCTGGAGGGCAGCGCTGCAGCCCCACTCCCGGGAAGGCCGCGTCCTCTGCCTGGTCCTGGGATCCTGCAGACCCCACCCCTGTCCGAAGGCGCCATCGCCCACCACCTCCCTCCTCGTGCCGGCCCTGCTTCTCCCCAGTTCCAACCCCAGGAAAACGTGCTTCTCCTGGAGGCAACCCTCTTTTTCCACCCTCGCCCTGTTGTTCCCGGAAGGCAGGCCTGGAATGTGAAGTTTCCAGGTAGATGGATATTAAACATAGAATTGAAGAAAAAAAAAAAAACCCCACAAAGTAACAAAAGAATGAAGCGGCGAAAGCAGAAATTTACTCAACCAAGAAAGCACCCCACAGGGTGGGGGTGGGCCCAAGCGAGCGTCTCCAGGGCCCCATTTACAAAGTTTTTGGAGGTTATTTTTTTTTGAGGTCCCTATGGGCTACCCCTTATCTGGATGAAGAATTTGGCCCTTGGCCAAGGAAATAACTGAGGTAAATTGGCCTGAGGCCAGAGCAGATGGGTGCCCTATGCAGATGAAGGGGTGGCCGGTGCTTGGCCTTGGCCACTCCTGGGCTCTTTCTCTTTCCACCTGCGACCTGGTGGAAGGGGGAGGGTGTTAGGGAGAGTAGCCTTTGATCCTTTGTTACTTTGGGTGGGAAGATGGGGTTTTTCCTTTTAGTCTAGTTTTGGAAAGTTCGCGTTAATTGGTTTTAGATTCCCTGCCTCCCTAGACCCAGGACCCATGTGGTTTTTTTTGTTTTTGTTTTTGTTTTTTTGATGGAGATGGGGTCTTACTCTGCTGCGCAGGCCGAAGAGCGGTGACCGGATCACAGCTCACTGCAGCTTCAACCTCCTGGGCTCAAGGGATCCTCCCACCTCAGCCTGCAGAGTAGCTGGGACCACAGCCGCGCGCCACCACACCGCGCCAATTTTTGTGTTCTTGGTAGAGACCGGGTTTTGCCTTGTTGTCTAGGTTGGGCTCCAACTGCAGGGCTAAAGCGATCCAAGAGCATCAGCCTCCCAAAGTGCTGGGATTACAGGCTTGAGCCACCATGCCCGCCTTATTTCTTAATTTAAAAAAAAAAATGTATATGTAGACTGAACGCGGTGGCTCATGCCTGTCATCCCAGCACTTTGTGAGGCCGATTCTCCTCTATCCAGGAGACGGGTTTCACCATTTTGCCAGGTTTGTCTCAAACTCCTCGGCTTAACTGATCCGCTTGCTTTGGCCTTCCAAAGTGCTAGGATTACAGGAGTGAGCCACCACACGTAGCCAGTCCTGGCATTTTGTAGAAGGATGGCCAACGCAGCCTGTTGACCCTTCCTGGCCATCACATGAAAATCAGCGACTCTTCCTTCTTACAAAACTCGGAGCTTCTCAGGATAACTTGGTGAAACGTCCCCCGCTGTGAACCTCAGTGAGCCCACCTGTAATATACAGGTGAGGGAGAAGACCAGAAAAGCTCAGTCAGAGTGACACTGACCCCTGAAATGATGGGCACAATGGAGTGTGTGGCTTTTCCTGTAGGACAGGGAGGTATTTAGTTGTAGTTTGAACTTTAAAGGATTCCAGTCCTCCGAAAAACAGGATTAGACTCAAATCACCTTGAACCTTATCATCTCATGGCTTTGACCCACCTACATGGCTCCGTGTCCCCTGCAGGCCTCGCCCCGGAGCTCTACAATCCTGTGTGCAGTTGTCTCCGCAGCTCTCTGCTGGGACATCAAACAGGCATCTCCACCTTCATGTGTCTATAAGTGACTTCCTAAACCCCCAAACACATTCCCTTACAGTCCTACACATCTCAGATGAGGGTGACAGTGTACTTCTGGGTGCTTAGCTGAGGTTGACACCATGTATTTTAAATATGGAAAATAAATTACATTATTTGTAAGTGTTGTAATTTATAATGTAAAGAGAAAATTACATGTATACATGAAAGGAGTGAGAAAGTACATCATTTCCAAATTTATTTTGAGGTGTGGGAGAAAAATGTTTCAAGGCCTCATCCTTAGGGATCTGTGCTCCCGGGACCCCTCTGACTTCATCTCCTGCCTGTGTCCTCCTCACTCCCTCTGCTCCAGCCATACAGGCCTCTTTCCTTTTTCTGGGACTGAGGTTGCTCCTATCTCAGGGACTTCTCCTGGGCTGTCCCTCTGCCTAGGACTCTCTGGCCCCTCAACTGCAAGTGACAAGCAGCCTTTCTTCCCTAAGTCTTTGTTCTGATATTACTTTCTCTATGGAAACCTTTGTGATCTCCCACAGCCCCCCACTTGACATTGCAGCGCCACCTTCACCCCCACCTCTGGTCCATGTTGCCTGTTCTGTGTGATTCTTTTAGCTCCTTCACCGTTCACTGGATCCTGGTGAGAACAAGTCCGTAAGCGGAGAGCAGAATCAGAAGGTGGGGCTGTGCTGGGCTGGCGCCATCTGAGTGGAGCTCAACCCTGACTTCACATTACAGTTTTCAGGCATTTTGCAAATATATCTTTTGTTCTGTTTTATCAAAGATTGCTATTATCATAGGATGGGACACACCCTCAATAATACAATGGCACTGGTGATTCTCATCTGTGTCCAGCATTGAACATCAAGGCAGTTTCCTCCATATTGAGAACTGAGATCAGCCTGTGATCCACAGGGAGGTGAGGGGGCTGTGCTCTGCATGGGGTTTGGTTAGGGCCAGATCTGTGTCCTGAAGATCTGTGTCTTGCTGCATCGTGTGCGTGGACTTTTCCATCAGGGGAGCAAAATCCAAAAACAAGTCAAAATTACCCTTGTAGGTCTTCCTGTGGGATGTCCTTATGTCTGCATAATCTCTGGTGCAGTGGGCAGCAGAGGACCATCTTTGTCCCTGGTGAGGTCTCCCCTGTGTGTGTGTTTTGTCACAGGAAAGGAGGGAGTGATTTCTAAACACTAAATCTCAGCTGGGTGCAGTGGCTCACATCTGGAATCCCAGCTCTTTGGGAGGGTTGGGTGGGCAGATCTCAAGGTCAGGAGATCGAGACCATCCTGGCCAACATGGTAAAACCCCATCTCTAGTAAAAATAGAAAAATTAGCTGGGCCTGGCAGCGCATGCCTGTAATCCCAGCTACTTAAGAGGCTGAGGCAGGAGAATCACTAGAACCAGGGAGGCAGAGGTTGCAGTGAGCTGAGGTCATGCCACTGAACCACATTCTTGTGACAGAGCTAGACACCATCTCAAAAAAAAAAAAAAGAAAAATTAAATCTCATATTTTTTTACACACAGGATTGATTTCCAAAGACTCATGCTATGTAAGGAAGCCACCAAGAAGGGCAAAGAAAAGGAGCCAGGGACGGCTCTTCCTCAGGTAAAGTGATATTCCTCGGTGGATTCTTCTGTCTCCTTGTTTTCTTAAATACCAGGTATTGTGGTAGCCAGTCTTCTGTGATTCTGAAGCGTCCTAACTCACAAGTTTGCTCGCACTCACCCATGCCTTTTCTCAGTCCCTCTCATCTTAAATTCCATCTGCCTCTATTGCCCAGGCTGGAGTTCACTGGAGCAATCTGGGCTCACTGCAACCTCCACCTCCCAGGGTCAAGCGATTCTCATGCCTCAGCCTCTCAAGTATCTGGGATTACAGGTGTCCACCACCAGGCTTGGCTAATTTTGTATTTTTTGTAGAGACAGGTTTTCACCCTGTTGGCCAGGCTGGTCTCAAACCCCTGACTTCATGTAATCTCCTTGACGGTTTTTCACTGTTACCAAGAATAACACACTGGCTGCCTGTGAGCATGGTGACTTCACTGCAGATATCTGGAGAATTCCTGCAAAACTGATTACTTCTTTTTGGATTTGCTATTTCCTCTTTTACATCTGGGAAGATTCCATCCAGACCCCCAGCTGCAGAGGTGCCCTCTCTGACTGAGAACATGAGAAATTTCTCACTCTTTTAAGCAAATCTTACTCCTGTGGTCTTACCACCATGTTCTTTTTTGCATTCGGTGAAAATGAAAGCCCTTTTTATTTATATTTTCTATTCCTTGAGAGTCTGAGTAGATGTCATTAATCATGGACTTGTATATTTAAAATAGATTTTAATACTTTGCTGAGCATACTTTTCATGTGTTTTGAGAGCTATTTTGTATTCTTTAGTTCTTTATTTTTGCCCTGGTGTTTTGTTCACATTATGCATTTTTTTAGGATAAAACAGAAACGTTCTTTCACATGCCTGCTTTTTTTTTTTTTCTTTTAAGACGGAGTTTTGCTCTTGTCACCCAGGCTGGAGTGTAATGGCACGATCTTGGCTGACTGCAGCCTCCACCTCCCGGGTTCAAGCAGTTTTTCTGCCTCAGCCTCCCGAGTAGCTGGGATGACAGGCAGGTGCCACCACTCCCAGCTAAGTTTTGTATTTTTAAGAGAGATGGTGTTTCACCATGATGGCCATAATTTCTTTTGGCTTCTGAAATTAGAAATTTTTGGCCATTAATATCTTCCAACAGGCTTTTCTATTCCTTTCTTCCTCTCACTGTCTTCTGGGACTTCTGGTACTTTAAAAAAATTTTTTTGAGATGAAGTCTTGCTCTGTTGCCAGGCTGGAGTGCAGTGGTGCAAACTCAGCTCACCTCCAGCCTTTGTCACCTGGGTTTAAGTGATTCTCTTACCTCAGCTTCACAAGTAGCTGAGATTACAAGTGCGCACCACTACACCTGCCTAATTGTTATATTTTTCATACAGACAGGGTTTCTCTATGTTGGTCAGGCTGGTCTCGATCTCCCGACCTCAGGTGATCCACCCACCTTGGCCTCCCAAAGTGCAGGGATTTCAGGCATGAGCCACCGTGCCTGGCCTGTTTTTTTTATTGTTTTTTTTTTTTTGAGACAGTCTTGCTCTGTTGCCCAGGCTGGAGTACAGTGGGGCGATCTCAGCTCACTGCAACCTCTGCCTCCCATGCTCAAGTGCTTCTCCTGCCTCAGCCTCTAGAGTAGCTGGGACTACAGGAGCTCACCACCACAACCAGCTAATCTTTGTATTTTCAGTAGAGACAGGGTTTTGCCATAATGACCAGGCTGTTCTGCAAACTCCTGACCTCAGGTGATCCACCCACCTCGGCTTTCAAGTCCTGGTGTGAGCCACCTTGCCAGTCCCCTCTTCACTAATTTTTAATTTACATAATGAATTCTGATTTTGAACCCATGTATTGAGTTTTTCTACTTAGTTACTGTATGTTTAGCCCTAGGGTTTCTGTGTAGTTCTTCATAATTTCCATACGTTGGTTGACCTTCTCATTTTCTTCATGCATTGCTTTTATGATTTCTTGAAGCTGTCTCTTAACTCAATGAGTTTCCAACATTGTTTGGGTTGGAGGTGATGGGGTCTCACTGTGTCCCTCAGGCTGGAGGACAGTGGTACAATCTTGGGTCACTTTATCCTCTGCTCTCCAGGCTCAAGCGATCCTCCCACCTCAGCCTGGCATGTATCTGTGGATGTGTCCTCTCTAGGTTTTTGCTTATAATCTCCTAACTGAAGTTAATTTAAGTGTGTGTGGGTGTGATTTGTAGTGTGTACAGGAGAGCATTAATGGAGAAGCCTATGATTTTTTGTTTGTTTGTTTTTTGAGACAGTCTCATTCTGTCATCAGGCTAAAGTGCAGTGGCGCCATCTAGGCTCACTTCAACCTCCACCTCCTGATTTCAAAAGATTCTCCTGCCTCGCCCTGCTGAGTAGCTGGGACTACAGGCACGCACCACCATGCCCAGCTAATTTTTGTATTTTTAATAGAGACGGGGTTTTACCATGTTGGCCAGGATGCTCTTGATTTCTTGACCTCCTGATCCACCCATCTCGGCCTCCATAAGTGCTGGGATTATAGGTGTGAGCCACCACGCCTGGCCAAGCCCATGTTTTATGTAGAAAATACATTATTTTCAGTATATATATACATATATTTTATTTTGAGAGTCTCACTCTGTTGCCCAGGCTGGAGTGCAGTGGTGCGATCTCGGCTTACAGCAACTTCTGCCTCCAGAGTTCTATCGATTTTTCTGCCTCAGCTTCCCAAATAGCTGGGATTACAGGCGCTTTCCCCCACCGTGCCTAGCAAATTTTTATATTTTTAGTAGATACAGGTTTTCACCATGTTGGCCAGGTTGTTCTTGAACTCCTGACCTTAAGTAATCCACCCACCTTGGTTTCCCAAAGTGATGGGATTACAGGTGTGAGCCCCAATGCCCGGCCATATATATATATAGTTTGTTTGTTTTTTGACAGAGTCTAACTCTGCAGCCCAAGCTGAGTTGCAGTGGCACAATCTCAGCTCACTGCAACCTTCGCCTCTGGGGCTCAAGCAATTCTCCTGCCTCAGCCTCCCAAGTACCTGGGATTAGAGGTGGGCACCACCACACCTGTGTTCAAGCAATTCTCCTGCCTCAGCCTTCAAGTAGCTGGGATTACAGGCAGGTGCCACCACGCCCAGCTAAGTTTTGTACTTTTAGTAGAGATGGGGTTTCACCATGTTACCCTGGATGGTCTCAAACTCCTCAAGTCAGGTGATCCACCTGCCTTGGCCTCCCAAAGTACTGGGATTCCAGGCCTGAGGCACTGCACCTGGCCATATATTTTTTATATTGTCCATAAAACTGAGACTTCCACAGTGACTTAGGGGATTTTAAAATCTATCAAGGAAAAGTGCAATAAAATGCAACTATACAGAAAAAACTGTTCAAAAATACCTTAATGCGGCTTTGTCAGAACACCGTCTTGGATCAAATCGATACTTATTTTCTCTTTTCTCATTTCATGTGAAGGTGATGACTCACTCCTCCCTAATGTTTTGTTGAAATCTGTCTTTCATTTTAGGGACACTAGACTTTCAGGGATGTGGCTATAGATTTCTCTTTGGAGGAGTGGAAATGCCTGAACCCTGCACAGAGGGCTTTATACAGGGAAGTGATGTTGGAGAACTACAGGAACCTGGAGTTTGTGGGTGAGGAAAATATCCCTCCAGACATGAGGAATCTGCCCTTGTCTATCTTGGCTCTTCCTGGTTTTGTATTCTCTTTTGTGATGTTGCCCCATACATGCTTTTCATGTACATGTCATTGTTTTCTACAGTGATGACCCTCATATTTGTCATGGACAGCTTCTTAGAGACTCCCTTATGGAGTGGTTTTACATAAAACCAGAAAATTCATGAAGAACACTTTGACTAATAAGATTGAACATCATCCTGCTCTAGGCAGAGATGCCCCTGGAGGCCCTGAGCGGAATTGTCACCATGGCCCAGGATATGAGATAGAAAGCATCACACTGACTGACAAGTGTTTCCAGCTGCGCTTGTGGTTTTGTGTTTTTTGTTTCATTTTGTTTTTATGAGACAGAGTGTTGAACAGGTTGGAGTGCAGTGTCGTGATCTCAGCTCATTGCAACCTCCACCTTCTGGGCTCAAGCAATTCACATACCTGAGCCTCCCAACCTAACTGAAATTACAGATGCATGTCACCATACCTGGCTAATTTTGTATTTTTTTTATTTTTATTTTATTTTTATTTTTTTTATTGATCATTCTTGGGTGTTTCTCACAGAGGGGGATTTGGCAGGGTCACAGGACAATAGTGGAGGGAAGGTCAGCAGATAAACAAGTGAACAAAGGTCTCTGGTTTTCCTAGGCAGAGGACCCTGCGGCCTTCCGCAGTGTTTGTGTCCCTGGGTACCTGAGATTAGGGAGTGGTGATGACTCTTAAGGAGCATGCTGCCTTCAAGCATCTGTTTAACAAAGCACATCTTGCACCACCCTTAATCCATTCAACCCTGAGTGGATACAGCACATGTTTCAGAGAGCACAGGGTTGGGGGTAAGGTCACCGATAAACAGGATCCCAAGGCAGAAGAATTTTTCTTAGTACAGAACAAAATGAAAAGTCTCCCATGTCTACCTCTTTCTACACAGACACCACAACCATCCGATTTCTCAATCTTTTCCCCACCTTTCCCCCCTTTCTATTCTACAAAACCGCCATTGTCATCATGGCCCGTTCTCAATGAGCTGTTGGGTACACCTCCCAGACAGGGTGGTGGCTGGGCAGAGGGGCTCCTCACTTCCCAGTAGGCGCGGCCGGGCAGAGGCGCCCCTCACCTCCCGGATGGGGCGGCTGGCCTGGCGGGGGGCTGACCCCCCCACCTCCCTCCCGGAGGGAGCGGCTGGCCGGGCAGAGGGGCTCCTCACTTCCCAGTAGGGGCGGCTGGGTAGAGGCGCCCCTCACCTGCCAGATGGGGTGGCTGGCCGGGCGGGGGGCTGACCCCCCCACCTCCCTCCGGGACGAGGTGGCTGCCGGGAGGAGACGCTCCTCACTTCCCAGACGGGGTGGCTGCTGGGCGGAGGGGCTTCTCACTTCTCAGACGGGGCGGCTGCCGGGCGGAGGGGCTTCTCACTTATCAGACGGGGTGGCTGCCAGGCAGAGGGTCTCCTCACTTCTCAGACGGGGCGGCCGGGCAGAGACGCTCCTCACATCCCAGACGGGGTGGCAGGGCAGAGGTGCTCCCCACATCTCAGACGATGGGCGGCCGGGCAGAGACGCTCCTCACTTTCCAGACTGGACAGCCAGGCAGAGGGGCTCCTCACATCCCAGACGATGGGCGGCCAGGCAGAGACGCTCCTCACTTCCCAGATGGGGTGGTGGCCGGGCAGAGGCTGCAATCTCGGCACTTTGGGAGGCCAAGGCAGGCGGCTGGGAGGTGGAGGTTGTAGCGAGCCGAGATCACGCCACTGCACTCCAGCCTGGGCACCATTGAGCACTGAGTGAACGAGACTCCGTCTGCAATCCCGGCACCTTGGGAGGCCGAGGCTGGCGGATCACTCCCGGTTAGGAGCTGGAGACCAGCCCGGCCAACACAGCGAATCCCCGTCTCCACCAAAAAAATACGAAAACCAGTCAGGCGTGGCGGCGCGCGCCTGCAATCACAGGCACTCAGCAGGCTGAGGCAGGAGAATCAGGCAGGGAGGTTGCAGTGAGCCAAGATGGCAGCAGTACCGTCCAGCTTCGGCTCGGCATCAGAGGGAGACCCTGGAAAGAGAGGGAGAGGGAGACCATGGGGAGAGGGAGAGGGAGAGGGGACTAATTTTGTATTTTTATTAGAGATGGGATATGACCATGTTGGCCAGGCTGGTCTTGAACTCCTGGTCTCAAGCAATCCGCCTGCCTCAGCCTCCATCCAGGTGTTGGGATTATAGGCATGAGCCACCGCACCTGGCCTTTTGTTCTGTTTTTTTTGTTTTTTGTTTTTTGTTTTGAGACAGAGTTTCACTCTTGTTGCCCAGGCTGGAGTGCAATGGTGCGATCTCGGCTCACTGCAACCCCCACCTCCCAGGTTCAAGCGATTCTCCTGCTTCAACCTGCCTAGCAGCTGGGATTACAGGCATGTGCCACCAAGCCCGGCTATTTCTGTATTTTTAATAGAGACAGGGTTTCTCCATGTTGGTCAGGCTGGTCTCGAACTCCCGACCTCAGGTGATCTGCCCACCTTGGCCTCCCAAAGTGCTGGGATTACAGGCATGAGCCACCGCACCTGGCCCGTTCTGGTTTTTGAGGAGCATCACAGAAGCATCTTTCACTGGCACTGTGACAGTGTTCATCACATAAACTAATGATCATCTTCTCTAAGCAGCAGTCACTGCTGTAGAAATTCCTCCTACGGAGGACATCATTCAGGCTCACTGCCTCATATATAGGAGGCTCTTGACTGAACTCTTTTTTTCTGGACATGGAATTTTGCTCTTGTTGCCCAGGCTGGAGTGCAATGGCATGATCTCCACTCACTGCAACCTCCGCCTCCTGGGTTCAAGTGATTCTCCTGCCTTGGTTTCCCAAGTAGCTGGAATTACAGCCGCCCACCACCATGCCTGGCAAATTTTTGTATTTTTAGTAGAGATAAGGTGTTCTTAAACTTTGAAGATCACTTTTGGGACGTTTAAAATAACTGTTGCTTTTTGTGTAATATTTACACATTTCAATATTAACTATTATTTACCATCTGTACTTTTTTTTTTGAGATGGATTATTGCTCTGTCACCCAGGCTGGAGTGCAGTGGCATGATCTCGCCTCACTGCAAGCTCTGCCTCCAGGGTTCACGCCATTCTCCTGCCTCAGCCTCCCAAGTAGCTAGGACTATAGGCACCTATCACTACACCTGGCTAATTTTTTTGTATTTTTAGTACAGATAGGGTTTCACCATGTTAGCGAGGATGGTCTCGAGCTCCTGACCTTGTGATCCACCTGCCTCGTCCTCCCAAAGTGCTGGGACTACAGGTGTGAGCCACTGCACCTGGCCTACCATCTGTACTTAATTGGAAACCTATTGGTCTTTATATTTTTTAGATAGCTCTTTAAAATCCATGATGGAGTTCTCATCAACTGGGCACGGTAATACAGGAGAAGTGATTCACACAGGGACGTTGCAAATACATGAAAGTCATCACACTGGAGATTTTTGCTTCCCAGAAATCAAGAAAGATATTCATCACTTTGAGTTTCAGTGGCAAGAAATTTAAAGAAATGGCCATGAAGCACCCATGACAGAAACCAAAGAGTTGACAGGTAGTACAGACTGACGTGATCAAAGACATGCTGGAAACAAGCCTATTAAAGATCAGCTTGGATCAAGCTTTCATTCGCATCTGCCTGAACTCCACATGTTTCAGACCCAAGGGAAAATTGGTAATCAAGTGGAGAAGTCTATCAATGATGCTTCCTCAGCTTCAACATCCCAAATAATTTGTAGGCTCAAAACCCATATTTCTATTAAGTATGGGAAGAATTTCCTCTATTCTTCATTATTCACACAAATACAAGAAGTACACATGAGGGAAAAACCTTTCCAATGTAATGAGTGTGGCAAAGCCTTTAATCATAGCTCATGTTTAAGGAGACATCACGTAACCCATTCAGGAGAGAAACAGTATAAATGTGATGTATGTGGCAAAGTCTTTCATCAGAAGCAATACCTTGCATGGCACCATAGTGTTCATACTGGAGAAAAACCTTACAAGTGTAATGAGTGTTCCAAGACCTTCAATCAGAAGTCATCCCTTCAGTGTCATCATAGACTTCATACTGTACAGAAACATTACAAATGTGAAGAATGCAACAAAGTTTAGAGTTGAGGATCACAACTTGAAACACACAGGAGAATTCATACTGGAGAAAAACCATACAAACGTAAGGTTTGTGACAAGGCTTTCTGGGATAATTCATGCCTTTCATGCCGTAAGAGTTCATACTGGAGAGAAATGTTACACATGTAACGAATGTGGCAAGGCTTTTAGTAGAAAAGCAAACCTTGCACATCATGGACTTCATACTGGAGGGAAATCTTACAAATGTAAGGGTTGTGACAAGGTTTTCCACCATGATTTATGCCTTGCACAACATCAGAGAGTTCATACTGGAGAGAACCTTACACATTTCACGAGTATGGAAAGACCTTTGCTCAAAATTCAGCCCTTGTAATGCATAAGGCAATTCATACTGGAAAGAAACCTTACACATGTAATGAATGTGGCAAGGTTTTTAGTAGAAAAGCACACCTTGCATGTCATCATAGACTTCATACTGTCTAAGGTTTCTAATCAACAATCAAACCTTGCACAACATCAGAGAGTTTATACTGGAGAGAAACCTTACAAGTGTAATGAGTGGGGCAAAGCCTTAAGTGGGAAGTCGTCACTTTTTTATCATCAAGCAATCCATGGTGTAGGGAAACTTTGCAAATGTAATGATTGTCACAAAGTCTTCAGTAATGCTACAACCATTGCAAATCACTGGAGAATCCATAATGAAGACAGATCTTACAAGTGTAATAAATGTGGTAAAATTTTCAGACATCGATCATATCTTGCAGTTTATCAGCGAACTCATACTGGAGAGAAACCTTACAAATATCATGACTGTGGCAAGGTCTTCAGTCAAGCTTCATCCTATGCAAAACATAGGAGAATTCATACAGGAGAGAAACCTCACAAGTGTGATGATTGTGGCAAAGTCTTGACTTCACGTTCACACCTCATTAGACATCAGAGAATCCATACTGGACAGAAATCTTACAAATGTCTTAAGTGTGGCAAGGTCTTCAGTCTGTGGGCACTCCATGCAGAACATCAGAAAATTCATTTTTGAGATAACTGTTCCAAATACAGTGACTATAGAAGATCATAAAGCTTTAATTGACATTAGAGCCAAATAGGCATTGACTTGAGATTGAGTTGACTTAACCTTGAGTTTAAGAATTAATTTACATTAAAGTGTTTATGTTAAGAAGATTGGGCCAGGTGGGGTGGCTCATGCCTGTAATCCCAGCACTTTGGGAGCCCAAGGCTGATAGATCACAGCCACACCTGGCTATGAGAGTGTGTAGGTGGCCGTTGGGGTGGGACCTGATTAGAAGGGGCAGGGCCTTGAACAGAATCTGGGCGGGGCAAGAATGAGGAGGCTGCCTGGAGGCCGGGCCAGAGGGTGATCGTCATCTTGAGGGCAAGGTCTGGAAGTGGTGTTTTGAAGGGCAGGGTCTCGAGGGGGCGGGTCCTGGCTTTCTCCTCAGCTGGACCCCAGGTGTCGTCTGCTGTCATCCTCTTGCCCTGCAGGACTAGATTCTCCGGGTACTAATTGGTGGATAGTTTCTGATGTGCCGTGATATTACCCCTAATATCACAGGGATGCCTCCTGTCCATTTTAGAGACTTGCTCTGTCGCCCAGGCTGGAGGGCAGTGGCGCGATCTCGGCTCATTGCAAGCTCCGCCTCCCGGGTTCATGCCATTCTCCTGCCTCAGCCTCCCGAGTAGCTGGGACTACAGGCGCCCGCCACCATGCCTGGCTAATTTTTTGTATTTTCAGTAGAGACGGGGTTTCACTGTGTTAGCCAGGATGGTCTCGATCTCCTGACCTCGTGATCCGCCCGCCTCGGCCTCCCAAAGTGCTGGGATTACAGGCGCGAGCCACCGCGCCCGGCCCCTAAGTTAATATTTCAAACAATCGAAGGTAAAACAACATATTGTGTTGGGCCACCTGTACTGAACGCTGAATCGTTTTTCCTCTTAAGTTGAAAATGGTTTTAATGCAAAGCGCCTTTTTTGAGCAGGTAGAGTCACGCATCCGGCAGGCGGGGCGAGCTCCCCTCTGTCTGGGGCAGGGTGGGGGAGAGGGGCAGGGACCTCGGTAAAGGGGTGGAGTGGCGCGCTGGTTGCCGCGGGCACTGGCAATTAGAAGGGATTATTAAACTAAGCAAGGTCCTGGGTTGTTTGAGTGGATAATGGAAACTGAAAGGTGACGTGCAAAACTGCCTATTACTCCCAGGAGTGGAGGATAATTTCATATTTCATGGAAATAAACTCAGGGCCCGGAGCGGTGGCTCACACCTGTAATCCCAGCACTTTGAGAGGCCAAGGAGGGAGGATCGCTTAAGCCCAGGAATTCGAAATCAGCCTAGGCAACATAGTAAGACCTCATCTCTACTAAAAATAAAAAAAAACAGCCAGGTGTGTTAGTCCACACCTGTGGTCCCAGCTGCTTGGGGTGCTGAGGTGGGAGGATCACTTGAGCCAGAAAGTTGGAGGCTGCAGTGAGCTCTGATCTTGCCACCACACTCCAGCCTGGGTGAAAAAGCTAGACCCTGTCTCAAACAAGCAAATAAATGAGAGGTATAAGTCCTCCTTTAAAAGTAAAGGAAGAGATTTTTCTTTCCTTTTGTCTCTTAGAACATTCAATTAGAAAATTTGTAAATTCATTTTCTCTGTCTTCTGAGGTTTTTTTTTTTAGACAGAGTTTTTCTCTTGTTACCCAGGCTTGAGTGCAAGCCACGATCTCGCCTCACCACAACCTCCGTCTCCCGAGTTCAAGCGATTCTCCTGCCTCAGCTTCCCGAGTAGCTGGGATTACAGGTATGAACCACTATGCCCGGCTAACTTTGTTTTTTTTTTTTAGAAATTAAACCTTTTTTCAGCTTAATGACCCAGGGGTGTATTTTTGAAGGACTTGGGAGCTCTCTTTGAAAGGCAAACAACAAGGGAAACAGTACCTTTATCTCAGTAGGAAATTAAATAATTCAAACATCAAATAACTTCAATTTAAGGCTATGGACTTTGAGATAATTCTGAGCCTTGAGAGGAATGTGGTCAGGCAACCTGAGTCCAGTGGAATGCAGGTGCAACTTCTAAGAGTTTTCCTGTAAGTAATTAAGAAGACTAAGTAGCCCCAGAGATAAGACCTCCTCGGATCATTGTCCCTTCTTATGTAGTGATAAAGTAACCTTCCTTGAAGTGTATCTATCCGTAATCAATCAAGTTGCTGCAGCCTATGCACTGGCCCAGAATAAAAAACGTGGTGATTCTGCTAAAGCTTCTCTGTCTTTCCCTGTGTGTGAAATCTTAACGTCTCTACTTGGGAACGCTGATCCCATTCATTTAGAGTTGATGTTTCCACGTGGCTATTTCCAAGCTTTGCCTTCAAATAAATTCTGTACTTAATCATATATTCTAAATTTTATTATTTACTGCTGACATCAGTTTCTGTCGGATTGTAGGAGCCTCACCAGAGAGGGCCCCTGTCGCCATGTTGTAAAACTCACACTTGCCAAAAGTTGTGGGTTAGGGTTTCTCCCCCTCCCTCAGGATGACGCTAGTTAGCTGACACAGATGGTCACCTCCATTACCAAGTAGAGTCAGGATGAACTATGTGTGACTGTTCAACTATGTGTCCTCTTCCCTGAGGACTGATTAGTGTTTATCTTGAAAACATGTCCTTAATGGGTTGTATAGAACACTGAAGCATCTGATTTCAAACTCTTAGCTCTTTTCCTCTATTTCCCATCACATTCTGGTCTAAGGCTTATTTATTAATAAAATGATTTTTATTTCTTTATTATCGTGGAGATGATTTTTCATTTGGGGGAAGATCATTTTGTTTTCAAATATATTGTCTCAACATTTAAATAGTGAAGTAAAGAGTATTTCTTGTGCCAGGCATGGTGGCTCACGCCTGTAATCACAGCACTCTGGGAGGCCAAGGCAGGCAGATCACTTCAAGTCAGGAGTTTGAGACCAGCCTGGCCAACATGGTGAAACCCCATCTCTACCAATTATACAAAAATTAGCCGGACATGGTGGCGCGCTTGTAATGCCAGCTATTCCGGAGGGTGAGGCAGGAGAATCACTTCAACACAGGGTGTACAGGCTGCACTGAGCCGAGACCTTGCCACTGCACTCCAGCCTGGACGACAGAGAAATACTCTGTCTTAAAAAAAAAAAAAGGAAATTAAGAAAGTAATAGATCTCCTCCACAAATGTGCTGGGACAACTAACTTGATATTCACATGGAAAAGAATAATGTTGGATCCCTACATCACACAATCAAAATTTTATTTTAAAAAGTTAGAGAACGAGGAAGGGAGCCCTGCGGGAGGGGGTGTTACTTTGTCGCCCAGGCTGGTCTGGAACCCCAGGCTCAGCAACCCTCCCGCTGCTGCTTCCTGAGTAGCTGGGACCTCAGGCTCCCTCCCCAGTGCCCGCATCTCTGCTGTGTTTAAGCAGCAGGTGGTGACTTCGCTCCTCCCTGGCCTGAGCACTCCGTCCCGCATCCCAGGCGGTGGCCCTAGGGAAGTCTCTGAAGCTGAGCACAGGGTGGACTCTGCCCCCACCGCCGACCCGCCCTCCCCGACCCCGAGTGAATGGAGAATAGAAAGGGAGAGGATTTCTGTTCTGTCCTGTGGGCCCTCAGTATGAAATCGTAGTTCTGCCCAGGCAGGACTTTGCATTTCACATTCTAGTTTGCATCCCCGTTCCAGACAATTCCAGGGCTTTTGACTCATGCCTCAGCCTTCCCGGCCAGTCTCCCTTCCAAAACCCGAAAAACGGAGGCGCTGGGCTCAAGACTGACTCTGTCCCGCCCCGGCCCCGCCCTCTGCCGGTTCTAAAGGGCAAAGTCTCTCCGCCTCGCGCCCCGCTTCCGCCTGCCCAGGCCCCGCCCACCTCCTCCTGGACCCCGCCCAGGCCTGGCTTCTGTCCTGCGCGAGCAGATCAGCGCGAACCTGGAAGCGGAGAGCGTGGAGTGAAGGTCCCACGGCAGCGCGTGAGTTTCTCTCTGTTTTATATTAAGTCTGTGCGTCCCAGGTCCCCGGCGCGTCTGTACCTGGGACGTGGGGTCCCCACAGACCTGGAAATTCTCGCCCGTCTTCACCCAGAGCAAATTGAGACTTCCCTTTGAGAGTCCGGGGTTCACTTCCTTTTGGGTTTAAAATCGCCTTGAAGCTGGTGCGGTCTCTGGTCTTGCTGCTATAGGGCAATGTATACACTTTGTATTGGGTAGTTTTCCTGCTCAAAACCTTTTTCTAACTCCTCCCGCCCCGCGCTTTTTAAAGTCCTTACAGGTGAGGTGGATTCCCGCCCTGGGCGCCTCCCACCCTCGCCTTCGACGGCCCCTCGAGTGCAGCGCCGTGCCCCCAGTCCCGCGGAGGCTGCGTCCTCTGCCTGGTCCTGAGATCCTTCAGACCCCACCATTGTCTTAAGGCGCCGTCGTCCCCCACCTCCCTTCTCGTGCCGGGCCCTGCTGCTCCCCAGGTCTCCTCTCCGCCGTCACCGCTTCCCCTGAGCCCGCGTTGGGAAGGTGTCCGGGGCCTGTCCTGTGACACGGGGTGTCCTTGCCTGCCCAGCTCCAGCCCCTGGAAAATGAGCTCCCCCGGGATGCAGACGTCTTACTCCAAACCCTCCTGTAATTGTATGGGCCAAAGGAATCAGGTGAGAGAGAGCAGTAGAAAACCTGAGATAAGAAAAGAGCAGGAGGAGAAAAGCAACTGGAGAAATGTAGAGAAAAGCTAGATGTACAGAGAGATGAAGGACAGCAAGGAAGAGAGGGGGCAGCAAAGAGGAAGGCTCATCAGAGTGAGGGAGAGGAGGAGGGGTTTGGAGCCAGGGCAGACAGAGCAGAGTGGTGCTGGTGGCAAGGACAGAGGGAGAAGCACAGCAGGGAGGACTACTGTGGGTCTAGAGTGCCATAAAGTGTGGACAGGGATGTATAACAGGGAAGAGAGAATGTAACAGGGAGAGCAGAGGAGGCGCAGAGATGGGAGAAGAGGCGGAATCTATGGAGGTTGAGGACAATCCAAAGATTGTGGGAGAAGGAGCAATAAGAGGTTAAATAAGTAGCGAGGATGGAGCAGAAAAGGTGGAAGAGAAGTAATAGAGGGAAGAAGGGGATAAACAGCAGAAGAGGAGAGGGGCAAAAATGAGGCACGGAAGCCCAGGGAAAAAGACAAGAAAACAAGAGCTAGAGAGAGAAGGGGAGAATGAGAGATATGTACAGATTTAGCGAGGGAAGCACAGTAATGAAGACAGAGGGGCTGGGCGCAGTAGCTCACGTCTCTAATCCCAGCACTATAGGAGACTGAGACAAGGGGATTGCTTGAGTACAGGAGTTCGAGCAACATAATGAGACCTCCCCATCTCTGACCAAAAAAAAAAAAAAAAAAAAAAATTAACCGGGCGTGATGGTGCACAGCTGTAATCCTAGCTACTCTGGAGGCTGACGTAGGAGGATAACTTGAGCCCAGGAGGCCCAGGCTGCAGTGAGCCGAGATCATGCCACTGCACTCCAGCCTGGTCAACAGAGTGAGACACTGTCTCAAAAGAAAAAAAGGAGCGGGGGACTTTGGGTAAAGATGAGTAGGTTAGTTCACTGGATATCATTAGTCGTTGACTTCTTTGTATATAATCTGATAACTTAAAACTTGTTTAAATTATACAGATGAGGTTGAGAATTTTTAAACTCCTGTCTATGAGACATGTACCTGTAAATCTTAGCATCAGAGGTTAGCTTCCACCTGAAATCCCTATTCAGCCAAACAGCAGTGACTTATTCAGTTGTGAGTCACTCTCTTGCCTTTTCCCAGAGTTGGGTAGGAAGTGGAGCAGTGAAGTGGGAAAAAAAAAATTGGTGTTATTACATAATACTTTTAATTTAATTAATTAATATTTGGGATGGGCTCTGGCTCTGTAGCCCAGGCTCACGACTGTAATCCCAGCACTTTGGGTGAGGCTAGTGGATCACTTCAGGTCAGGAGTTTGAGACCAGCCTGGCCAACATGATGAAACTCCGTCTCTACTAAAAATACAAAAATTAGCCGAGCATGGTGGTACTCACCTGAAATCCCAGATACTAGAAAGGCTGAGGAAAAAGAATCGCTTGAGCCCAGGAGCAGAAGGTTGCAGTGAGCCAAGAGCCTGCCACTGCACTCCAGCCCAGGTGACAGTGCGAGACTCTGTTTCAAAAAGCAAAACAAAACCATCTGGGTGACTTTAAAGATAATCCAGTTCTGGCCAGGCACGATGGCTCACGCCTGTCATCCCAGCACTTTGGGAGGCTGAGGCAGGCGGATCACCAGAGGTCGGGAGTTCCAGAACAGCCTTACCAACATGGAGAAACCTTGTTTCTACTAAAAACACAAAATTAGCCAGGGGTGGTGGGGCATGACTGTAGTCCCAACTACTCGAGAGGCTGAGGTGAGAGAAGTCACTTGAACCCGGGAGGCGGAGGTTGTGGTGAGTTGAGATCGCGCCATTGCACTCCACCTTGGGCAACAAGAGTGAAATTCCGTCTAAAAAAAACAAAAAGATATCCATTTCCCTGTTTGCTACTCCTGTGTTTTTGATTCAGTAGTTCTTGGACGAGAGCTCGTTGTCCACATATTACATATGACTATTCTCCCTAAGCATTCAGAAGGAGGCAGTCAGTGGAGGAAATTGTGAAATATTTTGCTAGATCCATCTGTAATGTTTTCTTTCTTACTAAAACATAGGGCTGCGGCTCTAGAAAAGCTCCAGCACGTCATCTTCCTTTTTTTTTTTTTTTTTTTTTTTTTTTTTTTTTAATAAGCAGGAGTCTTTCTGACCTGTTATCTCCATGTTGGAGTGAGGGAAGGAGCCCTGGACTGTGGAGAATGAAGTGAAAATAACAAAAAAAATACAGATGGGTAGGAATGTATTATGGGTGTAAACACAAATAGGAGCTCAGATGGGCAGAGTGGAAGCTCCACCCTCAAATCTCTCTGCAAGTGGGAGAATTCGGCGGGAAAAGAAAAGTTTAAATCCTGAGATCTCTGAGTGGACATCTTTCTTTGCCCCCTCTTATGTCTCTGTTATTTATTTTATTTTATTTTATTTATTTATTTATTTATTTTGAGACAGCGTCTCACTCTGTTGCATAGACTGGAGTGCAGTGGCACAATAGCTCACTACGACCTCCACCACCTGGGTTCAAGTGATTCTCCTGCCTCAGCCTCCCAAGTAGCTGGAACTACAGGCATGCATCACCACCATACTAGGCTAATTTCTGCATTTTTGGTAGAGACGGGGTTGTGCCATGTTGGCCAGGCTGGTCTCGAACTCCTGACCTCAGGTGTTTTTCCTGCCTCGGCCTCCCAAAGTGCTGAAATTACAAGTGTGAGTCACCACGCCAGGCCCCTCTGCTCTTTAGATGTGTAGTAGTTTGATTTTTTTGTCCTCTAGTGATGCTGCAGCTCAGAGACAAAGGCAGAATCTTTATCCTGATGGGCAACACCGTGTCATCTGGCTTCTGTGACCTCATTGGTTTCTTGACTCTGGAACAGGGAGGGCTGTGTCAAAGGGGTCTCCTTCCCCTGTGGTCTCTCATTCTGTACTTGACTCCTTCTGACGCTCCATTCTCTGTCCCTATAGATAAGATCTGAGGCCTCCATACACCTACCCCTTGACCTACCAGGTTCCATCCCATTTCCTGTACTTGGAACACCTAATCAAGAGATCGGAAAACCTGGGCTGCTCCTCCTTTGCAACCGGGGCCCGGGATACTGCACAGAGCCCTCTCTGCTTGTTCAAATAGTTGGCTTGCCTATTTGAAGTAGGAAAAAAAGGCCATGCGCGGTGGCTCATGCCTGTAATCCCATCATTTTGAGAGGCTGAGGAGGGCGGATCACTTCAGGTCGGGAGTTTGAGACCAGCCTGGCCAACATGGTGAAACTCCGTCTCTACTAAAAATACCAAAAGTAGCCGGGTGTGGTGGTGGGTGCCTGTAATCCCAGCTACTCGGGAGACTGAGGCAGAAGAATCTCTCGAACCCGGGAGGTGGACTCTGCAGTGAGCTGAGATTCCGACACTGCACTTTAGCCTGGGCAACAAAGAAAGACTCCACCCCCCGCCAAAAAAAAGAAATACAAAAAAAAAAAAAGTGTTTTTCCTACTCTCTCATGCCACTGAGCACAGAATGCCTCAGTTCTGATCACCAAAATTTGTGGATTTCTCCCCAACCACATCTTGGAGTGCAATGGTGTGATCTTGGCTCACCACAAACTCTGTTTCCTGGGTTGAGATGATTCTCCTGCCTCAGCCTCCTGAGTATCTGGCAAAAGAGCAAGACCTCATCTCAAAATAAAATAAAATATGTGAGAACAAAATTACTCAAAGTACAAAAGGCTAATCAGAGACTCAAAGAAAACAACCATTTGTCTCTTATTTACCTATGTCCTGGAATCCACCCCCCACCCCGCTTTGGGTTGTTCCACCTTTCCCGACTTAACCAACGTACATCTGACACTTACTGATACGTCATGACTCCCTAAAATGTAAGCTCTACCTAGACCATATTGGGCACATGACATTAGGACCTCTTGAGCCTGTGTCGTGGGCATGCAGTTAACCTTGGCAAGATAAACTTTCTAAACTGATTGAGATTTGTCTCAGATACTTCGTTCACAAACTATTTTTAAAGTCCCAGGTAATTTATTTTAGCAGCTAAAAGAAAAATCTTGGCTGGCACGTTGGCTCATGCCTGTAATCCCAGCACCTTGGGAGGCCAAGGCGGTTGGATCACAAGGTCAGGAGTTCAAGATCATCCTGGCCAACATGGTGAAACCTTGTCTCTACTACAAATACAAAAATTAGTGGGCATCTTGGCATGTGCCTGTAATCCCCGCTACCTCAGAGGCTGAGGCTGGAGAATCGCTTGATCCAGGGAGTCATGGGTTGCAGTGAGCCGAGATTGTGCCACTTCACTCTAGCCTGGTGACAGAGAAGACTGTCCAAAAAAAAAAAAAAAAAAAAAAAAAAAAAAAAAAAAAGCTGGTTTCAGGGGTTTCTGGTTACAACAGGAAGTTTCAGCAGCCATACTTCAGAGAATCACGTTCTTGAAGCAATGTTTGTATCCTGAGTTCATTTTTCATCTGTCCTCTTGACTTTGGTTTAGTTGTGAGGCAGCCTCATTTTCTGGGGTAATACCTGATGTTCGTTGTCTCATGGCCACGGAAATCGAGGACACGGACACCCAAGAGTGGCGTTAAGAGTGGAAGTTCAATAGGCGAAAGAAAGTCAATAGCTCTCTGCTACAGAGAGAGGTCCTGGAAAAATGGTTTGCAGATTCGTGGCAAAACGTAGGGGTTTTATAGATGAGCTGGTGGGGAGGTAGTGTCTTATCTACATAGGACCAGATGTAACATTTGCATACGGCATGAATTTCTGGCAGCCCCCTCCCCAATCTTTTATTATGCAGGTTCTTTGCCTGAGCTGTGCCATGTTACCCATTTCTTTCTTACTGTACACGTGCTAACAAAAAAGGAAAGACGGAGCTTCCATGGTGGACATGCCTAGCCCCAAGGTAGCCCCTTTTCTATTGGCACAGCTGCTGACTTCCCCCATGCAAGCTTCCAGCTTGCTTACGTATGTTTGCAGATCGATTTTTCGGGCTGCTCTTTGTTAGAACAAAACGATATTTTGGGCAGCTTTTTGTTAGAAGGGAAGCTCTGCAGAGGAGTTTTTGCCCTTACTGTCTGCCTAAATAGTTTATTTTTACCTCCTGTATAAGTTGGATGTGGCAAGAGTGACCCAATTGATAAGATGAACTTTTATCACGGCAGAATTTTAAATTCACTTTACGTGCATTCTGCAAGTAACTAGAAAAGATACTTTTTATTTGCAAATTATAAGGTGTTTTGTTTGTTTGTTTGTTGTTATTTGAGACAATCTCACTGTGTCACCCAGGCTGGAGTGCAGTGGTGCGATCTCGACTCACTGCAACTCCCGCCTCCCAGGTTCAAGCAATTTTCCTGCTTCAACCTCCTGAGTAGCTGGGATTACAGGTGTGGGCCACCATGCCCGGCTAATTTTTGTATTTTTAGTAGAAACGGCATTTCGCTATGTTGGCCAGGCTGGTCTTGAACTCCTGTCCTCAAGTGATCTGCCTGCCTCGGCCTCCCAACGTGCTGGGATTACAGGCATGAGCCACCACACCTGGCCAATTATAAGGTATTTTATTTTTTATTATTTTTATTATTATTTTTTGAGACGGAGTCTCAGTCTGTCACCCAGGCTGCAGTGCAGTAGCACGATCTTGCCTCACTGCATCCTCCTTCTCCTGGGTTCCAGCAATTCTCCTGCCTCTGCCTCCCGAGTAGCTGGGATTACAGCCATAAGCCATTACTCCCAGCTAAGTTTTTTTTGTCTTTTTAGTAGAGATGGGATTTCACCATATTGGCCAGTCTAGTCTTTAACTCCTGACCTGGTGATCTGCGTGCCTTGGCCTCCCAAAATGCTAGGATTATAGGCTTGAGCCACCGCACCCGGCCCTGTAAGTTATTTTATACCTTTTCTTTGTTTTTCTTTCTGTCAGGTGTGGTAAGAAAACCTGTAACATAGATAGCCTTCAGAATATATTTGGATTTACTGTGGAGTCCTAATTAGGGAAAAGGAGTCTGGCTAGTGGGAACAGGGGGAAAGCAAAGAGATAAGGCAAATAAGCTATTTAAAAAACTAAACATTGAGCTACCATATCATCCAGCAAGCCCAGTGCTGGGTATATATACCCAGCACTAGGCTAAATACAAGAAATAAAAGAAATCAGTATATTGTGTGTATACTTATAGACAATGAAGTAATGTTCAGCCGTCAAAAAGTATGGCATCCTGTCATTTCCAACAACATGGATGCAACTGGAGAGAGATATATATATATATAAATATATATAATATATAAAAAATATATAATATATATAAATATATATTATATATAAAAAATATATATAATATATATTATATAAAATATATATGTAATATATATTATATATAAAATATATAATACATAAAATATATATGTAATATATATTATATATAAAATATATAATACATAAAATATATATTATATATGTAATATATATAATCTATATATAATATAGATTATATATATATATTTTTTTTTTGCTGAGACAGATTCTCGCTGTGTCACCCAGGCTAGAGTGCAGCAGTGCGATCTCTGCTCACTGCAACCTCCGCCTCCTGGGTTCAAGCGATTCTCCTGCCTCAGCCTCCCAAGTAGCTGAGACTACAATGGTGCACAACCACGCCCAGCTAAATTTTGTGTTATTTTTATTCGTATTCCCCATATTTACTTTTATTTCACAGTACTTTTTATATCCTTACTCTGTATGTATTTTTGCTCTATGTAAAGTAAAATGCATGCCATGTGTTCATTTGGGGCGTAAGAGAAAGGCATTTAGAAGAATACAAGTCCCACTTATCAATAGGGATGCAGGTTTGTCAGAGTGTGAAACTGCACTGCTATGGGATTTTCATCATGTTCATATAAGTATCCTAAGGCCGACTGCAGAGAGGATAACTGAAGTGGAAGGTGTGATTGTATGTTCTCAAATTGTATGATGTTTAATTCCATCATAAAAAAAATTGTAGGCTGGGCGTGGTGGCTCATGCCTGTAATCCCAGCACTTTGGGAGGCTGAGGCAGGCGGATCACGAGCTCAGGAGATCGAGACCAACCTGGCTAACACAGTGAAACCCCGTCTCTATAAAAATACAAAAAAATTAGCCGGGCATGGTGTGGCGGGCACCTGTAGTCCCAGCTACTTGGGAGGCTGAGGCAGGAGAATGGTGTGAACCCGGGAGGCGGAGCTTGCAGTGAGCCAGAGCTTGCAGTGAGCTGAGATCCTGCCACTGCACTCCAGCCTGGGCAACAAAGCGAGACTCCTTCTAAGAAAAAAAAAAATTGTAGCTCCTTCAGCCTTAGCAACCTGATGGCACATTGTTTGTGTTTAGACATGAAGGATCCTATAGAGGTGAGATAAAGCTATGCAGGTAGATGGAACATAATTAACTCAGTTATAAAAAAATTAAATGTTGTTAACACATGACATCTGTGATACATTCTAAATAAAACAATAGAAACTGTAGCCTAGCCATCACAGTAAAACCCCATCTCTACCAAAAAATACAAAAATTAGCTGGGCATAGTGGTGGTACACCTGTAGTCCCATATACTAGGGAGGCTGAAGCAGGAGAACTGGTTGAACCCAGGAAGCGGAGGTTGCAGTGAGCCATGATCGCTCCATTGCACTCCAGCCTGGGTGACAGAGTGAGACACTGTCTCAAAAAACAAACAATAGAGAATGTAATGCTGACAGTTTAAAAGGATTCCTAATCAAGGACATGCTATTGTGGGTTTTTTTTTTTAAAATAAACTCTCCTTTTTGGACCAGGCACAGTGGCTCACACCTGTAATCCCAGCACTTTTGGGAGGCCAAGCAGAAGGATCACTTGAGCTCAGGAGTTCAAAACCAGCCTGGGACACATAGTGAAACCCCGTCTCTACAAATAGAAAAAAAAAAGCTAAAAATCCCTCTTCTCTGTGGTAACTGCTCTTTTCAAGTTCAAGATTAAGAGAAATTTTTCCTCAATCTTGCTAAATGACAGCTACTGCCATTCAATGGAGATGTGGCTAACATGTCCCCTGCATTACCTCTACTGTATATGTAATCACTTCCTATTAACGTATTAATCTCCTCCAATAAAAACTGCAGCCTCTTAAGGTCTTGGACTGCTCTATTTCATGATTGGTTAGTAGAGCATTTCTTTCCTATAATCCACACTGGCCCTCTCTGTGAAGAATGCCCTGTATGCAATAATCTGACTGATATCACAGCTTTACATTATTCTCAGCCCCCTACAAATCTTAATTCAGCCATTTTTTTTCCTTTTTTTTTTTTTTTGAGACAGAGTCTCACTCTTGTCCAGGCTGGAGTGAAGTGGCACAATCTAGGCTCACTGCAACCTCTGCCTCACGGGTTCAAGTGATTCTCCTGCCTCAGCCTCTCTTGTAGCTGGGATTACAAGCATGCATCACCATGCCCGGCGCATTTTTGTATTGTTATAGTAGAGATGCGGTTTCACTTTGTTGCCCAAGCTGGTCTCGAACTCCTGATCTAAGGTAATATACCTGCCTCAGCCTCCCAAAGTGTTGGAATTACAGGCGTGAGCCACCATGCCTGGCCCATTCTGGTTTTTGAGGAGCATCACAGAAGCACATACATAGGCAACAATCTCCGTCTGGTTCTGTTTCCTTTTCTTTGTGTTTTTCTTTCTTTTTTTTTTTTTTTTTTTGAGATGGAGTCTCGCCTGTCACCCAGGCTGGAGTGCAGTGGCATGATCTCAGCTCACTGCAAGCTCTGCCTCCCAGATTCAAGCAATTCTCCTGCCTCAGTCTCCCGAGTAGCTGGGATTACAGGTGCCAGCCACAATATCTGGCCAATTTTTATATTTTTAGTAAAGATGGGGTTTCACCATGCTGGCCAGGCTGGTCTCGAACTCCTGACCTCAAGTGATCCACCCATCTCCGCCTCCCAAAGTGCTGGGATTAGCCAATATTCAGCCAGTAATTAATTTCAAAAGATAGTGTCCCTGTTTCACAGGAACATGGAGAGAAATGATTTCACCTAATGAAGTAGGCCATTGTTTCCTATTCCTGCCTATAGATCATGAAATGACTAAGAAAGACATCATAAAAACATTTCAAATGTCAGCTTGAAAGTCAACATTGGTAAAGAAGTCTTTCTCCTTCAATAATATAATACATTATTTCATGACCTGAAAGTAACTGGCCATTTCCAAATGTCCTTGAGTCTTTGATATATATGTCATGACTTTTAACATATTTTGAATTGTAATTATTCTGCAGAATGTAATATAAAAGATTTATGGTAGAGAATTAGACTTCCTATTGGCTGGGCACGGTGGCTCACGCCAGTAATCCCAGCACTCTGGGAGGCTGAGGCGGGCGGATCACGAGGTCAGGAGATCAAGACCATCCTGGCTAACACGGTGAAACCCCGTCTCTACTAAAAATACATAAAATTAGCCGGACATGGTGGCGGGCACCTGTAATCGCAGCTACTCGGGAGGCTGAGGCAGGAGAATGGCATGAACCCGGGAGGTAGAGCTTGCAGTGAGCCGAGATCTCGCCACTGCACCCCAGTCTGGGCAACAGAGTGAGACTCCATCTCAAAAACAATAACCAAAAAAAGAGAATTAGACTTCCTGTGAGCTCTCAGATGGATTATAGTTTGTGAATAATTTACCATATCATTACATTTGTAATGGATTGTTCCACTATAATTTTTATTTTTATTTTTTGAGATGGAGTCTCACTCTGTTGCCCAGGCTGAAGTGCAGTGGCAGGACCTTGGCTCACTGCAACCTCCGCCTCCCAGGTTCAAGTGATTCTCCTGCCTCAGCCTCCCAAGTAGCTGGGATTACAGGCACGCACTACCACACCTGGGTAATTTTTGTATTTTTAGTAGAGAGGGGGTTTCATCATGTTGGCCAGGCCAGTCTCAAACTCCTGACCTCATGGTCTGCCTGCCTCAGCCTCCCAATGTGCTGGGATTACAGGCGTGAGCCACCATGCCCGGGCTCCACTATGATTTTTTTTTTTTTTTTTGAGACAGAATCTCGCTCTGTCGACCAGGCTGGAGTGCAGTGGTGTGATCTCGGCTCACTGCAACCTCTGCCTGCCGGGTTCAAGTGACTCTCCTGCCTCGGTCTCCCAAGCAGTGTGGACTACAGGCGTGTGCCACCACCCCCAGCTAATTTTTGAATTTTTAGTAGAGACGGGATTTCACCATGTTGGTTGGCTAGGATGGTCTCAATCTCTTGACTTCATGATCCACCTGCCTCGGTCTCCCAAAGTTCTGGGATTACAGGCATGAGTCACTGGGTCCGGCCCTCCACTATGAATTTTTAATGAACCCTGAGGATGCATCTTAGATTAGTAACCTTTCCAGATTCACTACATTTGCCTGGTTTTTATTGAGTGGATCTCTCACGACAAAATCATGAATATTACACTGAAAGGCTTATTACATTATCTTTGTGTAGTTACTCTCCAGTATAAACCCTGTGATGTTCCGGTTTTGATGCCTGGGTAAAAGCTTAAGCATGCACGTTACATTTGTATGGTTTCATCAAAAAAGTTTTTGATGCCTAGTGAGACTTTGGCCTGCGGAAAATCTCTATCACATATAATTATTATAAATGCTCTTTAGTATGGATTCTCTGATGTTGATGAATGTTTGAAGTCATAATGGTTTCCCACTCTCAGTGTTTTTGTTTCTCTCAAGCATGAATTTTTGCAATATTGTACAATGTGAGAATTGTGCCAGAAGACCTTGCCACATTCATTACATTTGTTAGGTTTCTCACCAGCAAGAATTCTTTGAAGAATCCTGGTCTCAGATTTTACCTTAAGACCTTGCCACATTCAGTACATTAGTAAAGTTTCTGTCCTCTATGGTCTAGCTAACGGTTATTAAGCCTTGAACAAAAACTAAAGGCTCTGCTACATTCATTATACTTGCAAAGTTTTTCTCCAGTATAAATTATTGTATGTCTTACAAGGCTTTAATGCTAACTGAACACTCTGCCACATTAATTACATGTGTTAGATTTCTTTCCGGCATGAAATCTCTGATGACGTACAAGATATGAATTGTCGCGGAAGAGTTTGCCACATTCATTACATTTGAAATGTTTCTCTCCAGTGTGGATCGCATGATGATTAGTGAGGCTTGAACGCATACTAAAAGCTTTGCCACATTCATTACATTTGAAAGGTTTCTCTCCAGTGTGAATTTTCCGATGATGTGCTAGGGATGAGTTTAGACCGAAGACCTTCCCACATTCATTACATTTATAAGCTTTTTCTCCAGTATGAATTCTCCAATGATATGCAAGGTATGAATTTTGACTGAAGACTTTGCCACATTCATCACATTTGTAAGGTTTCTCTCCAGTATGGATTCTGTGATGTTGTACAAGATGTGAATTTTGACTGAATGCTTTGTCACATTCATCACACTTATAAGGTTTCTCACCGGCATGAATTATCAGATGTTGGGCAAGGTATGAATTGCGACTGAAGACCTTGCCACATTCATTACATTTGTAAGGTTTCTCTCCAGTGTGGATTCTCCAGTGATTTACTAGGGATGACTTGTGACTGAAGACCTTGCCACACTCATTACATTTGTAAGGTTTCTCTCCAGTATGAATTCTCCAGTGATTTACTAGGGATGACTTGTGACTGAAGACCTTGCCACACTCATTACATTTGTAAGGTTTCTCTCCAGTGTGGATTCTCTGATGTTGTGCAAGGTGTGAAATATGATGGAAGACCTTTCCACATACATTACATCTGTAAGGTTTCTCTCCAGTATGAATGATCAGATGTTGTACAAGGTAGGAATTGCGACTGAACACCTTGCCACATTTGTTACATTCGTAAGGTTTTTCTCCAGTATGAATTGTCCGATGTTGTGCAAGGTGTGAAATTTGATGGAAGACCTTTCCACATTCATTACATTTATAAGGTTTCTCTCCGGTATGAATTCTTTGATGTTGTGCAAGGTGTGAAATTTGATTAAAGACCTTGCCACATTCATTACATTTATATGGTTTCTCTCCAGTATGAATCCTGCGATGCTGTGCAAGGTGTGACATATTATGGAAGACCTTGCCACATTCATTACATTTATATGGCTTCTCTCCAGTATGAATTCTTTGATGACTTGCAAGGTTTGATTTTTTATTGAAGATCTTGCCACATATATCACATTTAAATTGCGTCTCTTTAGTATGGATTATTTGATGTATAGTAAAATGTAAGCCTTGATGAAAGGCCTTGCCACGCTCACTACATTTGTAGTGTTCTGTCCCAATATTTGCTTTCTCTTTTTGTGTGAATAATGAATCCACAAAATTACATTCATATGTATGAGAAATGTGGGTTTTGACAGTAGAAGAAATACGTTGGGGTGGGGAAACTAAGGAACTACTGTTGACAGATTTTTCCATGTGATCATATTTATATATTTTCCCTTCAGCTTGAAATAGCTGCAGTTCTGGTAGATGTGACTGCGGGTTTAATCCAAGCTGATTTTTAACAGGCTGCTTTTGTGCATCATCCTTTCTCCCATGCATGTCTCTTCTACCAATGAGACTTTCCTTATAGGTCACACGCACTCGCTTATAATGTCTTCAATCATGTTTCCACAGACACTGAGAGTCATGTACATTTTTCTGGGTTTCTCTGAAGCAAAAATCTTGTATGTCGTGGCTTTCATGTCTTTCCAACATTACTGTCTGGAATATTTCTCCTGTATTACTCTCCTTTTTTGGTGGTAATTCCTTGATCTCACATTTAGAAAAAATACCTACAAGATATAAGGATCCCACAGTTTCCAATTAATTACAGATAGTCAATAAATATCTCCTATTGAAATGTGTAATAGTACACTAAGAGTAATACTTATGTTAAAGAAAGTTATAAAACTCCCATTCATGATTTTTAACTTTTTGGAAAACAAAAGGAACAGATATTTTCTAATAGAGAAAGGGTGACTGCACATAATTCAAACTAATTGCAGAAAAGCCTAGTATAAAGAAACCTATGGCCAAACCACTTACATTGCAAAAATTTAGGTTAGCTCCCCAAAATTGAGATTTTTTCCAACATGAAGCCTGAGCATACTGCAATAGAAGGAAAACATATGGCTGTCTAATAGTTGAAAGAATTTTGTACTTAAGAAATTTATTGACTAAGGTCAGAGAAAACATTCTTTGGAGCAAACTGAAAAATAAAAAGGTATACAACACAACGAAGGCACCCATGGCCTAAATGTTTGCACTGACCAAAAGATCCTATTCCCCAATATTATGTTATTGCAAGTGGGGACATTGGGCAACAATTAGGCCATGAGGAGGAAGGGAGGAAGCTCTCATGAACAGGATTAGTGCCTGTATAAGAAAAACCAC
Source organism: Homo sapiens (assembly GCF_000001405.40). NCBI lineage: Eukaryota > Metazoa > Chordata > Mammalia > Primates > Hominidae > Homo > Homo sapiens. Next base: position 52,615,399 of record NC_000019.10, read on the forward strand.
TAGAGTACTTGCTTCCTCTCACTCTGACATATGATAGACACAGCAAGAAGCAGGTTGGGGCCAGGTGCGGTGGCTCATGCCTTTAATCTCAGCAACTGGGGAGGCCACGGTGAGTGAATCATCTGAGGTCAGGAGTTCCAGACCAGCCTGACCAACATGATTAAACCCTGTCTCTACTAAAAATACAAAAATTAGCAAAACTCCATCTCAAAAAAAAAGCAGACTGGGGTAAAATAGAAAGAAGGCACCACCCAGGAAGTGTTTTTATGCATTTTGATCTTGGACTTCACTGCTTACAGGTTTATGAGAAATTATTTCCTGAAGTTTAGGATGTAAGCATCTCAGTCTACAGTATTTCTTATGGCAGGCTGATGTGGTTAAGACATGAAAAGTTAGATGGATGAAAAGGTCCATCTAATGAACATGACAGAGACTGATAAATCTTTTTTTTCTTTTTGAGACGAAGTCTCACTCTTGTGCCCCAGGCTGGAGTGCAATGGCACGACCTCGGCTCGCTGCAACCTCCGCCACACGAGTTCAAGCGATTCTCCTGCCTCAGCCTCCTGAGTAGCTGGGATTACAGGCGACTGCCACCATGCCCAGCTAACTTTTGTATTTTAATAGAGACGGGGCTTCACCAAGTTGGCCAGGCTGGTCTCGAACTCCTGACCTTAGGTGATCCACCCACCTTGGGCTCCCAAAGTGCTGGGATTTCAGGTGTGAGCCACTGCGCCCAGCCAAATCTTTTCTTAAATAAAGTAACTTTTCCATCTTTACAAAAACTTCAATATTCCTAGCCGTCTACCAACACCAACTTGCCAAAAGAAACTTGGAGTAAATTATTGCTTTTCAAATAGAGTAGGTCCACCAATTTACACTGCAAGTAAGTGAGGTCAATGGGATTTGATCTTGGGCTGCAGATCCAGACATTTCTTAAAAGTGGATGCAGTATTGACCCAGCAATCCCATTACTGGGTATATACCCAAAGGATTATAAATCATTTTACTATAAAGGCACATGCACATGTATGTTTCTTGCAGCAATATTTACAATAGCAAAGACTTAGAACCAACCCAAATGCCCATCAAGGATATACTGGATAAAGAAAATGTGGCACATATACTGCATGGAATACTATGCAGCCATAAAAAAGAACGAGGTTGGCAGGACACAGTGGCTCACACCTGTAATCCCAGCACTTTGGGAGGCTGAGGTGGGCGGATCACCTGAGGTCGGGAGTTGGAGACCAGCCTGATCAACATGGTGAAACCCCGTCTCTACTAAAAATACAAAATTAGCCGGGCATGGTGGCGCATACCTGTAATTCCAGCAACTTCTGAGGCTGAGGCGGGAGAATCGCTTGAACCCGGGAGGCGGAGGTGGTGGTGAGCCGAGATTGTGCCACTGCACTCCAGCCTGGGCAACAAGAGCAAAAACTCCATCTCGGAAAAAGAAAAAAAAGAATGAGATCATGTCCTTTGTAGGGACATGGATGGAGCTGGAAGCCATCGTTCTCAGCAAACTAACACAGGAACAGAAAACCAAACACCGCATGTTCTCACTCATAAGTGGGAGTTGAACGATTAGAACACATGGTCACAGGGAGGGAAGCAACATAGAGCAGGGCCTATCAGGGGGTAGGGGGCAAGGGGAGGGAGAACATTGGGAAAGATACCTAATGCATGCAGGGCTTAAAACCTAGATGATGGGTTGATGGGTGCAGCAAACCACCACGGCACACATATACCCACACGACAAACCTGCACAACACGACACGACATGGCAAATAGATGCATAGAAAGGAATCATTTCAAGGGAGCTACAAGAACGGGGTTGTGTTGCTGACCATGTCACTTGGTAATCCTTCCTAGACAGCGGTATGTCCACCATCGTACAGAGCAGACATCGGTTTAGGCTGTGTTCTGAGAAAGCCGTCCTACAGATAAGCAAGTGTCTTTCCTTACATGGTGAGAGTAGCATGGGGACTGAGTACTGTGGATATTGAGGTGGTCAGAAATACAAAGATTAATATGTTAAGAAGTGACAGTAGGCCGGGAGCAGTGGCTCATGCCTGTAATCCCAACACTTTGGGAGGCCCAGGCAGGTGGATCACCTGAAGTCAGGAGTTCAAACACAGCCTGGCCAACATGGTGAAACCCTGTCTCTACTAAAAATACAAAAATTAGCTGGGCATGGTGGCATGTGACTGCAGTCCCAGCTACTTGGGAGGCTGAGGCAGGAGAATTGCTTGAACCCCAGAGGTGGAGGTTACAGTGAACCGAGATCGTGTCACTGCACTCCAGCCTGGGCAACAGAGTGAGATTGTCTCAAAAAAAAAAAAAAAAAAAAAAAAAAAATTCCCACCCATCTTATTTTCACTTCATGCTACACAGTCCAGGGCTCTTTGCCTTGCTCCAACAGGTTAGAAAGAGACTCCTGCTTATAAAAAGTAGGAAACATGACATGTTGGAAGTTTTCTAGATCCCCAGCCCTATGTTTCTGTAGGAAAGAAGACATTACAGATGGACTTAGGAAAATATCTCACAAATTCCTCCACTGACTGCCTCCTTCTGAATCTTTAAAGAGCACTGTAATATGTGGACACTGAGCTCTCTTCCCAGAACTACTGAATCAAAAGCACAGGAGTAGCAAATAGGGAACTGGATATCTTTAAAGTCTGCCATGAGGTTTTGTTTTGTTTTTGTTTTTTGAGACAGAATCTTGCTCTGTTACCCGGGCTGGAGTGCAGTCATGCATTCTCGGCTCACTGCAACCATTGCCTCCCAGGTTCAGGTGATAATCTTACCTTAGCCTTTCTAGTACCTGGGATTACAGACATGTGCCATCACGCCTGGATAATTTTTGTGTTTTTTTTTTTTTGAGATGGAGCCTGGCTGTCTCCCAGGCTAGAGTGCAGTGGCACGATCTCAGCTCACTGCAAGCTCCGTCCCCTGGGTTCATGCCATTCTCCTGCCTCAGCCTCCCAAGTAGCTGGGACTACAGGTGCCCACCACCACACCCGGCTAATTTTTTTTTGTATTTTTAGTAGAGACAGGGTTTCACTGTGTTCACCAGGATGGTCTCGATCTCCTGACCTTGTGATCCGCCCTCATCAGCCTCCCAGAGTGCTGGGATTACAGGCGTGAGCCACCGCGCCTGGCCAATTTTTGTATTTTTAGTAGAGATGACGTTTCGCCATGTTGGTGAGGCTAGTATCGAACTCCTGACCTGAAGTGATCCACAAGCTTTGGCCTCCCAAAGTGCTGGGATTACAGGCATGAGTCACCACGCCTTGCCAGCCATAAGGTTTTAAGCCTTCTTTACTTCTGGAACCCCCACTGAGCTATCATGAAGAACGCAGAACATCTAAAAAAGGGGACAGTGAAAGTCCAGATGCTACATCATGAAGCTTTTCATTTCAAAATCAATACGGCTTCCATTTTAGTCAAGCAAGGATGCAACTCCCAAGAGAAACAAGAGAAAATGCAAAGATACACAAGGGAACATCCCCACTTCTGGAGGGAAGTTATCCTCACCCAGGGAGACCAGGTTCCTATAATTCTCCAACATCACATCTCTGTATAGAGTCCTCTGAGCAGGGTCCAGGCATTTCCACTCCTCCTGAGAGAATTCTATGGCCACATCCCTGAATGTCAATAGACCCTGAAATGAAAACACATTTTAACCAAATGGTTATGGGAGGAGTTCTTATCTTTACAGAAAATGAGGAGAGCGGTGACAACAAGGATTTAATTGTAGTGAATGTTCTGACAAATCTGAGTAAGGGATTTTTCACCACATGATGTCTTCCCAGTGGTGTTTGATTATACTTTTTGAAGAGGTCATAATACCCTCTTGTTATAAATTTATTATGTTTGTGAAGAATACAAGAAACACTCAAATAAATAGATGCCTGGTTCCCATTATAGAAATGTTAGAAACTTTTGGCCAGGTGCTGTGGCTCACGCCTGTAATCCCAACACTTTGGGAGGCTGAGGCAGGTGGATCACAAGGTCAGGAATTCGAGACTAGCCTGGACAATATGGTGAAACTCTGTCTGTACTAAAAATACAAAAATTAGCTGGATGTGGTGGTAGATGCCTGTAGTCTCAGCTACTCAGGAGGCTGAGGCAGGAGAATTGCTTGAAGCCGGGAGGTAGAGGTTGCAGTGAGCCAAGATCATGCCACTGCACTCCAACCTGGGCAACAGAGTGAGACTCCATCTCCAAAAAAAAAAAAAAATGTTAGAAACTTTTATTGACACACCAAGTGACACTCAGTATCTAGATGAGATAGAGCATGAGTGATGCCTTCAAAGATGACAACGTCCACAGTGAAATAGCCGGGCTCAATGGCACATGCCTGTAATCCCAGCTACATGGGAGGCTGAGGCCGGAGACTTGCTTGATCCTGGGAGGCAGAGGTTGCAGTAATCCAAGATCACACCACTGCACTCCAGCCTGTTCAACAGAAACTCCATCTCAAAGAAAGAAAAAAAAATTTAGCTGGGCATGGTGGCAGGCATCTGTGGTTCCAACTACTTGGGAGGCCGAGGTGGGAGGATGTCTTTACCATGAGGGTACAGGTTGCAGTGAGCTATGATTGCACCACTGAGCTTCAGCCTGGGCAACAAAGCGAGGCCCCATCTCAAAATACAAGAAAACAAAATTACTCAAAGTACAAAAATACATTTTTTATATATATGTCCACAAAATAATAAAATTTACGCAGACTCACAAAAAACTAGAGTTGAATGCAAAGGGTTGTCATTTTCCCCAGATTTTCAAAATACAAAAGATTTTCAAAATATATACGTATGTGTGTATGTGTATATGTATATATGTGTGTGTATATCTGTGTGTGTATATCTCTGTGTGTGTGTGTGTGTGTGTGTATATATAGTTTCCTTTAACTGAAGAGGAATCTCATCTTGGTGGAAAAGGAACTTTGGCAGTTGAGGGCAGGGGAGAATCTGTTCAGTTCTAAGAAAACAGGAGATTACCCATCCTAGAAGCAATCACTCCTTCAACAGCCTTCCCTGGAGGAATCCTCAGATATCTGTAGTAATGCAGGTGAGCACAGAGGCAGTGACTATGGCACTCCTTATACAGAGAAAAGTCACAAAGGACCCATATGTTATTCAGCCAATTTCCAATGCAGGCATCAAAGAGGAAGGTAGCCATATTTACTAATATGAGAACATGTTAATTTTCACAACCAGCAGGATGAAATATCAGAGTAAAATATTTACTAAACACAAAGAAGAAAACAACAGACACTAGGCGTCAGGCCTCTGAGCCCAAGTCTGCACGTATACATCCAGATGGTCTGAGGCAAGCGAAAAGCACAAAAGAAGTGAAACAGCCAGCTTCTGTCTTAACTGATTGACCAACCTTATGACTTTCCATTATGACTTGTTTCTGCCCTGCCCCAACTGACCAATGGATCAACCTCATGACATTCTTCTTCTGGACAATGAGTCCTATGACCTCCCCACCATGCACTTTGTGACCCCCTCCTCTGCTGACAATAGATAACCACCTTTAATTGTAACTTTCCACTGCTTATCCCAGTCCTATAAAACTGCCACTCCCCTATCTCCCTTTGCTGACTCCTTTTTTGGACTCAGCCTGCCTGCACCCAGGTAAAATAAACAGCCTTGTTGCTCACACAAAACCTGTTTGGTGGTCTCTTCACAGGGACATACGTGACATTTGGTGAGATGTGGGACAGGAGGACTCCTTCAGGAGACTGATCCCCTGTCCTGATCTCCATGAGGAGCTCCAGCTACGACCTCAGGTCCTCAGACCAACCAGCCCAAGGAACGTCTCACCAATTTCAAATTGGGTAAGTGGTCTTTTTACTGTCTTCTCCAACTTTGTCACTATCCCTCATCATCTTTCTCCTTTCAATTTCAGCACCACCTTTCAATCTCTCCCTTCCCTTAATTTCAGTTCCTTTCCTTTTCTGGTAGAGACAGAGGAGACATGTTTTATCCATGAACCCAAAACTCCAGCGCTGGTCACGGACTTGGGAAGACAGTCTTCCCTTGGTGTTTAATCACTGCAGGGATGCCTGTCTGATTATTCACCCACATTTCAGACTTGTTCAATCACCACAGGGACACCTGCCTTGATCCTCCACCTTGGTGGCAAGTACCATTTCCTCTTTGTGGCAAGTACCACCCCACTCTCTCTGTGTCTCTACCCCTCTTTTCTCTAAACTTACGTTTTTACTATGGGCAACCATCCACCCTCCATTCCTCCTACTTCCCCCTTAGCCTGTGTTCTTAAAAACTTGAAACCTCTTCAACTCTCACCTGATCTAAAACCTAAGCATCTTATTTTCTCCTGCAACACTGTTTGGCCCCAATACAAACTTGATAATGGCTCTAAATGGCCAGATAATGGCACTTTTGATTTCTCCATCCTACAAGACCTAAATAATTTTTGTCATAAGATGGGTAAATGGTCTGAGGTGCCTTATGTCCAGGCATTTTTTCACTTCACTTCCTCCCTAGCTTCTGGTCCCAATGTGACTAGTCCCAAATGCTTCTTTCCCTCCTGCCTGTCCCTTCAGTCCCAACACCAACTGCTGCTGAGTCTTCTGAATCCTCCTTTTCTGAAGACCCCTCTTACCTCTCTCCCCCTCCCCAGGCCACTCCTCAGAAGGCTGAATCAAGTCCCAATTCTTCCTCAGCCTCCACTCCCCCACCCTGTAACCCTGCTGTCACCTCCCCTCCCCACACCCAGTTCGGCTTACAATTTCGTTCTGCAGCAAATACTCCCCAACCTGCCCAACAATTTCCTCTTTGAGAAGTGCCTGGAGCTGAGGGCATCGGCAGAGTGCATGTACCATTTTCTCTATCAGACCTTTCCCAAATTAATCAACACTTAGGCCCCTTCTCGTGAGACACCACTAAATATATACAGGAATTCCAGTATTTAATCCAATACTACAACTTAACCTGGAGTGACTTAAATGTCATCCTACCTTCTACCCTTTCCCCAGATGAGTGGGATAGAGTTTATACCCTAGCCCAGTCCCACACTGACACCTGCAGGCCTCATGAGCCAAACCTTCAACAAGGCATCTGGGTAGTTCCCCAAGAAGATCCCTAATGGGAATACCAGACAGGCTCCCCAGGTATAGCTAGGCAAGATTATGATTTCCTGCCTAGTTGAAGTGCTTAAAAAGGCAGCTTACAAAGCTGTTAATTATGACAAACTTAAACGACCCAAGGTAAAGATGAAAACCCAGCCCAGTTCATGGTTCATCTGGCAGCAATTCTGAGACACTTTACAGCCCTAGACCCTGAAGGGTCAGAAGGCTGTCTCATTCTCAATATGCATTTTATCAACCAGTCAGCTCCTGACATTAGAAAAAAGCTTCAAAAATTGGAATCCAGTCCTCAAACCCCACAACAGGAATTAATCAACCTCACCTTCAAAGTGTGCAATAATAGAGAGGAGGCAGCCAAATGGCAATGCATTTCTGAGTTACAATTACTTGCCTCTGCTGTGAGACAAAACTCAGCTGCAGCTCCAGCACACAAGAACTTCAAAACGCCTAAGCTGCAGTGGTCAGGCATTCCTACAGGACCTCCTCTCTCAGGATCTTGCTTCAAGTGCCAGAAATCTGGCCACTGGGCCAAGGAATGCCTGCAGCCAGGGATTCCTCCCAAGCCACGTCCCATCTGTGCAGGGACCCATGGAAATCAGACTGTCCAGCTCACCCAGAAGCCACTCCTAGAGCCCCTAAAGCTCTGGCCCATGGCTCTTTGACTCCTTCCCAGATCTGCTCGGCTTAGCAGCTGAAGACTGTCACTGCCCAATTGCCTCGGAAGCCCTCTGGACCATCAGGGATGCTGAGCTTTGGGTAACTCTTACAGTGGGGCGTAAGTCCATCCCCTGTTTAATTGATACAGGGGCTAACCACTCCACATTACCTTCTTTTCAAGGGCCTGTTTCCCTTGCCTCCATAACTGTTGTGGGTATTGATGGCCAGGCTCCTGGACCCCTTAAAACTTCCCAATTTGGTGCCAACTTGAACAATATTCTTTTATGCACTCCTTTTTAGTTATCCCCACCTGCCCAGTTCCCTTATTAGGCTGAGACATTTTAACCAAATTACCTGCTTCCCTGACTATTCCTGGACTACAGCCACATCTCATTGCCGCCCTTCTTCCCAACCCAAAGCCTCCTTCACGTCTTCCTCTTGTATCCCCCCACCTTAACCCACAGGTATGGGACACCTCTGCTCCCTCCCTGGCAACTGATCACACACCCATACCTAATCACCCTTACCCTGCTCAACACCAGTATCCCATCCCACAACAGGCTTTAAGGGGATTAAAGCCTGTTATCACTCGCCTGCTACAGCATGAGCTTCTAAAGTCTAAAAACTCCTTATGATTCCCCCATTTTAAGTGTCCAAAAGCTGGACGAGTCTTACAGGTTGGTTCAGGATCTGTGCCTTTTAAACCAAATTGTTTTGCCTATCCACCCTGTGGTGCCCAACCTGTACACTCTTTTGTTCTCAATACTGCCCTCCACAACTCACTATTCCATTCTTGATCTTAAACATGCTTTTTTCACTATTCCCCTGCACCCCTCATCCCAGCCCCTCTTTGCTTTTACCTGGACTGACACTGACACTCATCAGTCCCAGCAGCTTACCTGGGCTGTACTGCCGCAAGGCTTCCGGGATAGCCCTCATTACTTCAGCCAAGCTCTTTCTCATGATTTACTTTCTTTTCACTCCTCTGCTTCCTACCTTATTCAATACATTGATGACCTTCTACTCTGTAGTCCCTACTTTGAGTCTTTGCAAAAGGATATCCTCCTACTCCTTCAACATTTATTCTCCAAAGGATATCAGGTATCCCCCACCAAAGCTCAAATTTCTTCCCCATCCATTACCTACCTTGGCATAATTCTTCATGAAAACATGCATGCTATCCCTGCCAACTGTGTCCAGCTGATCTCTCAAACCCCAACCCCTTCTATAAAACAACAACTCCTTTCCTTCCTGGGCATGGTTGGATACTTTCACCTTTGGACACCTGGCTTTGCTGTCCTAACAAAACCATTGTATCAACTCACAAAGGGAAACCTAGCTGACCGCACAGATCCTAAATCCTTTCCCCACTCGTCTTTCCGTTCCTTGAAGACAGCTCTGGAGACTGCTCCCACACTAGCTCTCCCTGACTCATCCCAACCCTTTTCACTACACACAGCCGAAGTGCAGGGTTGTGCAGTCGGAATTCTTACACAAGGACCAGGACTGCACCCTGTAGCCTTTTTGTCCAAACAACTTGACCTTCCTATTATACGCTGGCCATGATGTCTCCGTGCAGCTACCACCACCCTAATACTTTTAGAGGCCCTCAAAGTCACAAACTATGCTCAACTCACTCTCCACATTTCTCATAACTTCCCAAATCTATTTTCTTCCTCACACCTGATGCATATACTTTTTGCTCCCTGGCTCCTTCAGCTATACTCACTCTTTGTTGAGTCTCCCACAATTACCATTGTTCCTGGCCCAGACATCAATCCAGCCTGCCACATTATTCCAGATACCACACCTGACCCCCATGACTGTATCTCTCTGATCCCCCTGACATTCACTCCATTTCCCCCTCCTTTCGTGTTCCTCATCCTGATCACATTTGGTTTATTGATGGCAGTTCCACCAGGCCTAATCGCCACTCACCAGCAAAGGCAGGCTATGCTATAGTATCTTCCACATCTATCATTGAGGCTACCACTCTGCCCCACTCCCACAGCCTCTCAGCAAGCAGAACTCATTGCCTAAACTCAGGCCCTCACTCTTGCAAAGGGACTACACATCAATATTTATACTGACTCAAAATATACCTTCCATATCTTGCACCACCATGCTGTTATATGGGCTGAAAGAGGTTTCCCCCCTATGCAAGTGTCCTCCATCATTAATGCCTCCTTAATAAAAACTCTTCTCAAGGCCGCATTCTCCTTATGTCAAGTCTACTCCCCCCATATTTGGACTCCCCACAACACAAGCTACTATTTCTGTGGTCACTCCATTATGTATCTCTCAGCAAAGACCCACTGGAATTCCCCTGGGGAACTTTTCACCTTCTCAATGCTCCTTCACTCTTCATCTCCAAAGCCCAACTACATATATCACAGAAACAATTGGGGCCTTCCAGCTCCGTATTACAGACAAGACATCTATCAATACTGGCAAACTTAAAAACATTATTGCTTAGGAAAACATTTACCCTGTATTTCACTCCATCCTTGGCTACCTTCCCCTTGCTCTTCAGACTCTCCTCCCAGGCCCTCTTCTTATTTACTTATATCCAGCCCCATAAATAACAGTGAAAGTTTGCTTGTAGACACTCAATGCTTTCTCATACACCATGAATATTGAACCTCCCCCTCTACACAGTTACCCCATCAGTCCCCATTACAACCTCTGATGGCTGCCGCCCTAGCTGGATCCCTGAGTCTGGGTAAAAGACACCTCTTTTAGCACTTCTTCTCATCTTTTCACTTTGCATTTCCAATTTTGCCTTGCAAAAGGCCTCTTCTTCTGTGGCTCCTCCGCTTACATGTGTCTGCCTGCTAATCGGACAGGGACATGTACACTCATTTTTCTCATTCCCAAAATTCAATTTGCAAATGGGACTGAACAACTTCCTATCCCACTCATGATACCAAACAGACAAAAAAGAGTTATTCCTCTAATCCCTCTACTTATAGGGTTAGGACTTTCTGCTTCCACTATTGCCCTTGGAGCTGGAATAGCAGGCATTTCAACTTCTGTCACGACCTTCCATAGCCTTTCAAATGACATTTCTACTAGCATTACAGATATATCACAAACTTTATCAGTCCTTCAGGCCAAGTCAACTCTTAGCCCCAGTTGTCCTCCAAAATTGCTGAGGCCTGGACTTACTCACTGCTGAAAAAGGAGGACTCTGTATATTTTTAAATGAAGAGTATTGTTTTTACGTAAATCAGTCTGGCCTGGTATATGACAACATAAACTCAAGGATAGAGCCCAGAAATTTGCCAACCAGGCAAATCATTACACAGGACCCATCTGGACACTTTCTAACTGAGTGTCTTGGCTACTCCCTATTCTTAGTCCCCTGGTACCTGTTTTTCTCCTTCTCTTATTCAGGCCCTGTGTCTTCCATTTAGTTTCTCAATTCATACAAAACCACATTCAGACCATCACCAATCATTCTATATGACAAATGCTACTTTTAACAACCCCACAGTACCATCCCCCGCACCAAGATCTCCCCACAGCCTAAATCCCTATTCCTTGTAACTCATTATAAAATTTTCCTTAAGGTGTCCACGCAGCTCCTAATCTCACTCGAAGCAACCCTGAGAAACATCATCCATTATCTCTCCATACCACCCCCAAAAATTTTTGCCACCCCAACACTTCACTATTTTGTTTTATTTTTCTTATTAATATAAGAAGACAGGAATGTCAGGCCTCTGAGCCCAAGACTGCAGGTATACATCCAGATGGCCTGAGGCAACCGAAAAGTACAAAAGAAGTGAAACAGCCAGCCCCTGTCTTAACTGATTGACCAACCTTATGACTTTCCATTATGACTTGTTCCTGCCCTGCCCCAACTGATCGATCGACCTTGAGAAATTCTTCTGGACAATGAGTCTTATGATCTCCCCACAATGCACCTTGTGACGCTCTCCTCTGCTGACAATAGATAACCACCTTTAACTGTAACTATCCACTGCTTACCCCAGGCCTATAAAACTGCCCCACCCCATCTCCTTTTGCTGACTTCTTTTTCAGACCCAGTCTGCCTGCACCCAGGTGAAATAAACAGCCTTGTTGCTCACACAAAGCCTATTTGGTGGTCTCTTCACACAGACGAGCATGACACTGCAGTCTAGTTGAGGGTGGAGGGTGGGAGGAAGGAGAGGCATAAAAAAGAAAAACTATTGGGGGCCAGGTGTTGTGGTTCATGCCTGTAATTCCAGCACTTTGGGAGGCCGAGGTGGGTGGATCACCTGAGGTCAGGAATTCAAGACCAGCCTGGCCAATGTGGTGAAACCCTCTCTCTACTAAAAATACAAAAATTAGCCAGGCATGATGGCAGGCACCTGTAATCCCAGCTACTGAGGCAGGAGAATCCCTTGAACCTGGGAGGCAGAAATTGCAATGAGCTGAGATCATACCAGTACTCTGGCCTGAGCAAAAGAGCAAAACTCAGTCTCAACTAAATAAATAAATAAATATTGGGTACTGGGCTTAATGTCAAGGTGATGAACTACTCTGTACAACAAACCCCGATGACACGAGTTTACCTGTGTAACAAACCTTCACATGTAGCCCCAAACCTAAAGTAAAAAAATGAATATTGTCAGGCCTCTGAGCCCAAGCTAAGCCATCATATCCCGTGACCTGCACGTACACATCCAGATGGCCAGTTCCTTCCTTAACTGATGACATTCCACCACAAAAGAAGTGAAAATGGCCTGTTCCTGCCTTAACTGATGACACTGTCTTTTGAAATTCCTTCTCCTGGCTCATCCTGGCTCAAAAGCTCCCCCACTGAGTACGTTGTGACACCCACTCCTGCCCACCAGAGAACAACCCCCCTTTTTCCTTTACCTACCCAAATCCTATAAAATGGCCCAACCCCTATCTATCTCCCTTTACTCTCTTTTTGGACTCAGCCCACCTGCACCCAGGTGAAATAAAGTTTTATTGCTCACACAAAGCCTGTTTGGTGGTCTCTTCACACGGACACGCATGAAATTTGGTGCCATGACTCAGATTGGGGGACCTCCCTTGGGAGATCAATCGCTGTCCTCCTGCTCTTTGCTCCATGAGGAAGATCCACCTACGACCTCAGGTCCTCAGACTGACCAGCCCAAGAAACATCTCACCAATTTCAAATCCGGTAAGTGGCCTCTTTTTACTCTCTTCTCCAACCTCCCTCACTATCCCTCAACCTCTGTCTCCTTTCAATCTTGGCACCACACTTCAATCTCTCCTTTCTCTTAATTTCAATTCCTTTCATTTTCTGGTAGAGACAAAGGAGACACGTTTTATCCGTGGACCCAAAACTCGGGCGCCGGTCACGGAGTAGGGAAGGCAGCCTTCCCTTGGTGTTTAATCATTGCAGGGACGCCTCTCTGATTATTCACCCAGGTTTCAGAGGTGTCAGACCACACAGGGACGCCTGCCTTGGTCCTTCACCCTTAGCAGCAAGTTCCGCTTTTCTAGGGAAGGTGTAAGTACCCCAACACCTTCTCTCTGTGTCTCTACCCCTTCTTCGCCTTTCTGGGGGGCAAGAAACCCCAACCCCTTCTCCTTCACCCTTAGCAGCAAGTCCCACTTTTCTAGGGGAGGAGCAAGTACCCCAACCCCTTATATCTCTGCACCCCAATCCCTTATTTCCATGCCCCAACCTCATATATCTCTGTGCCCCAACCTCTTATATCTCTGTGCCCCAATCCCTTATTTCCATGCCCTGACCTCATATCTCTGTGCCCCAACCGCTTTCCCACTTTTCTGGAGGTAAGAACCCCCAAACCCCTTCCCTCCGTGTCTCTACTCTCTTTTCTCTGGGCTTGCCTCCTTCACTATAGGCAATATTCCACCCTCCATTCCTCCTTCTCCCTTTCCTGTGTTCTTAAGAACTTAAAACCTCTTCAACTCTCACCTGACCTAAAATCTAAGCATCTTATTTTCTTCTGCAATGCCGCTGGACCCCAATACAAACTCGACAGTAGTTCCAAATAGCCAGAAAACAGCACTTTCAATTTTTCCACCCTGCAAGATCTAAATAATTCTTGTCATAAAATAAGCAAACGGTCTGAGGTGCCTGACATCCAGGCATTCTTTTACACATCGGTCCCTGTGCCCAGTCTCTGTGCCCAGTGCAACTCATCCCAAATCTTCCTTCTTTCCCTCCTGCCTGTTCCCTCAGTCCCAACCCCAAGCATCGCTGAGTCTTTCTAATCTTCCTTTTCTACAGGCCCATCTGAACTCTTCCCCTCCTCCCCAGGCTGCTCCTTGCCAGGCCGAGCTAGGTCCCAATTCTTCCTCAGCCTCCGCTCCTCCACCCTGTAATCTTTTTATCACCTCACCTGCTCACACCCGGTCCGGCTTACAGTTTTGTTCCGTGACTAGCCCTCCCCCACCTGCCCAGCAATTTACTCTTAAAAAGGTGGCTGGAGCTAAAGGCATAGTCAAGGTTAATGCTCCTTTTTCTTTATTCCAAATCAGATAACGTTTAGGCTCTTTTTCATCAAATATAAAAATCCAGCCCAGTTCATGACTCGTTTGGCAGCAACCCTGAGACACTTTACAGCCCTAGACCCTAAAAGGTCAAAAGGCCGTCTTATTCTCAAAATACATTTTATTACCCAATCTGCTCCCGACATTAAATAAAACTCCAAAAATTAAATTCCGGCCCTCAAACCCCACAACAGGATTTAATTAACCTCACCTTCAAGGTGTACAATAATAGAAAAAAGTTGCAATTCCTTGCCTCCACTGTGAGACAAACCCCAGCCACATCTCCAGCACACAAGAACTTCCAAACGCCTGAACCACAGTGGCCAGGCATTCCTCCAGAACCTCCTCCCCCAGGAGCTTGCTACAAGTGCCAGAAATCTGGCCACTGGGCCAAGGAATGCCCGCAGCCCAGGATTCCTCCTAAGCCGTGTCCCATCTGTGTGGGACCCCACTGAAAATCGGACCGTTCAACTCACTTGGCAACCACTCCCAGAGCCCCTGGAACGCTGGCCCATGGCTCTCTGACTGACTCCTTCCCAGATCTTCTTGGCTTAGTGGCTGAAGACTGACACTGCCCGATCGCCTCGGAAGCCTACAGGACCATCACAGATGCTCTAAGTAACTCTCACAGTGGAAAGTCAGTCTGTCCCCTTCTTAATCAATACGGAGGCTACCCACTCCACATTACCTTCTTTTCAAGGGCCTGTTTCTCTTGCCTCCATAACTGTTGTGGGTATTGACAGCCAGGCTTCTAAGCCTCTTAAAACTCCCCCACTCTGGTGCCAACTTGGACAACACTCTTTTATGCACTCTTTTTTAGTTATCCCCACCTGCCCAGTTCCCTTGTTAGGCTGAGATATTTTAACCAAATTATCTGCTTCCCTGACTATTCCTGGACTACAGCCGCATCTCACTGCTGCCCTTCTCCCCAACCCAAAGCTTCCTTCGCATCCTCCTCTCGTATCCCCCCACCTTAACCCACAAGTATGGGACATCTCCACTCCTTCCCTGGCAACTGCTCACATGCCCGTTACCATCCCATTAAAACCTAATCACCCTTACCCCACTCAACGCCAGTATCCCATCCCACAGCACGCTTTAAAAATATTAAAGCCTGTTATCACTCGCCTGTTACAGCATGGCCTTTTAAAGCCTATAAACTCTCCTTACAACTCCCCCATTTTACCTGTCCTAAAACCAGATAAGACTTAATAGGTTAGTTCAGGATCTGCACCTTATCAACCAAATTGTTTTGCCTATCCACCCCATGGTGCCAAACCCATATACTCTCCTATCCTCAGTACCTGCCTCTACTACCCATTATTCTGTTCTGGATCTCACACATGCTTTCTTTACTATTCCTTTGCACCCTTCATCCCAGCCTCTCTTCGCTTTCACTTGGACTGACCCTGACACCCATTAGGCTCAGCAAATTACCTGGGGCTGTACTGCCGCAAGGCTTCACAGACAGCCCCCATTACTTCAGTCAAGCCCAAATTTCTTCCTCATCTGTTACCTATCTCAGCATAATTCTCATAAAAACACATGTGCTCTCCCTGCTGATCGTGTCCAATTAATCTCCCAAACCTCAATCCCTTACAAAACAACAACTCCTTTCCTTCCTAGGCATAGTTAGTGTGGTCAGAATTCTTACACAAGAGCCAGAACGGCACCCTGTAGCCTTTCTGTCCAAACAACTTGACCTTACTGTTTTAGGCTGGCCATGATGTCTGCGTGCAGCAGCTGCTGCCGCCCTAATACTTTTAGAGGCCCTCAAAATCACAAACTATGCTCAACTTACTCTCTACATTTCTCATAACTTCCAAAATCTATTTTCTTCCTCATACCTGATGCATATACTTTCTGCTCCCTGGCTCCTTCAGCTGCACTCACTCTTTGTTAAGTCCCACAATTACCATTGTTCCTGGCCCGGACTTCAATCCGGCCTCCCACATTATTCTGGATACCACACCTGACCCTCATGACTGTATCTCTCTGATCCATCTGACATTCACACCATTTCCCCATATTTCCTTCTTTCCTGTTCTTCACCTGATCACGCTTGATTTATTGATGGCGGTTCCACCAGGCCTAATCGCCACACACCAGCAAAGGCAGGCTATGCTATAGTACAAGCCACTAGCCCGCCTCTTAGAACCTCTCATTTCCTTTCCATCGTGGAAATCTATCCTCAAGGAAATAACTTCTCAGTGTTCCATCTGCTATTCTACTACTCCTCAGGGATTATTCAGGCCCCCCTCCCTTCCCTACACATCAAGCTCGAGGATTTGCCCCCACCCAGGACTGGCAAATTAGCTTTACTCAACGTGCCCTGAGTCAGGAACTAAAATATCTCTTAGTCTAGGTAGATACTTTCACTGGATAGGTAGAGGCCTTTCCTACAGGGTCTGAGAAGGCCACTGCAGTCATTTCTTCCCTTCTGTCAGACATAATTCCTCAGTTTGGCCTTCCCACCTCTATACAGTCTGACAGCAGACCAGACTTTATTAGTCAAATCAGCCAAGCAGTTTTTCAGGCTTAGTATTCAGTGAACCCTTATGGTCCTCCATCTTCAAGAAAAGTAGAACGGACTAAAAGTCTTTTAAAAACACACCTCACCAAGCTCAGCCACCAACTTAAAAAGGACTGGACAATACTTTTACCACTTTCGCTTCTCAGAATTCAGGCCTGTCCTCAGAATGCTACAAGGTACAGCCCATTTGAGCTCCTTTTTATTAGGCCCCAGTCTCATTCCAGACACCAGACCAACTTGGACTGTGCCCCAAAAAACTTGTCATCCCTACTATCTTCTGTCTAGTCATGCTCCTATTCACCCTTGTCAACTACTCATAAATGCCCTGCTCTTCTTTACACTGCCAGTTTACACTGTTTCTCCAAGCCAGCACAGCTGATATCTCCTAGTGCTGTCCACAAACCGCCACTCTTAACTCTTAAAGTAAATAAATAATCTTTACTGGCAAGGCTATGCTGAACCTCCTTAGGCACTCTCTAGTATTAGATGTCGTAGTTCCTCCCAATTCTTAGTCCTTTAATACCTGTTTTTCTCCTTCTCTTATTCCGTTTAGTTTTTCTATTCATACAAAACTGTATCCAGGCCATCACCAATAATTCTAAATGATAAATGTTTCTTCCAACAGCCCCACAATATCACCCCTTACCACAAAATCTTCCTTCAGCTTAGTCTCTCCCACTCTAGGTTCCCACGCCACCCCTAATCCCGCTCGAAGCAGCCCAGAGAAACATCGTCCATTCTCTCTCCATACCACCCCCAAAAATTTTCACCGTCCCAACACTTTACCACTATTTCGTTTTATTTTTCTTATTAATATAAGAAGACAGGAATATCAGGCCTCTGAGCCCAAGCTAAGCCATCATATCCCCTGTGACCTGCACATACACATCCAGATGGCCTGTTCCTGCCTTAACTGATGACATCGTCTTGTGAAATTCCTTCTCCTGGCTCATCCTGGCTCAAAAGCTCCCCTACTGGGCACCTTGTGGCCCCCACCCCTGCCCACCAGAGAACAACCCCCCTTTTTCCTTTACCTACCCAAATCCTATAAAACGGCCCCACCCCATCTCCCTTCGCTGACTCTCTTTTCAGACTCAGCCCACCTGCACCCAGGTGAAATAAACAGCTTTATTGCTCACACAAAGCCTGTTTGGTAGTCTCTTCACACGGACGTGCATGAAAAATATAATTTCTTTTAATTTACTGCCGTTTTTTCCTAAAGTCTCATAATGATGCAAAAATACACGTGTACGAGACTTGCTCTGATAACCTGGCACAGAACTGACAGTAGCGGCTCCCCAGTGAGGCTGGAAGGAGGGTGGAGGATGTGACAGGGAAAGGAGACGCTTTATGGCCAAGGGCCTAAGATGCAGCTTTGCTTAGAGTTTTACCACAAAACAAATATATTCATTGGTCAGGTGTGGTGGCTCATGCCTGTAATTCCAGCACTTCGGGAGGCCCAAGGCAGGCGGATCACCTGAGGTCGGGAGTTTGAGACCAGCCTGGCCAACATGGAGAAACCTCATTTCTTCTAAAAATACAAAATTAGCCGGGCATGGTGACGCATGCCTGGAGTACCAGCTACTCAGGAGGCTGAGGAAGGCGAATCACTTGAACCCAAAAGGTGGAGGTTGCGGTGAGCAAAGATCACGCCATTGCACTCCAGACTGGGCAACAAGAGTGAAACTCTCTCAAAATAAATAAATAAATAACAAATATATACATCATGTGATGTTCAAATATAAAAATATATATTCATTATTAATTGGTGGGGCTGGGCACCGTGGCTCGCGCCTGTAATCACAGCACTATAGGAGGCTGAGGCAGAAGGATCACCTGAGGTCAGGACTTCGAGACCAGCCTGGCCAACGTGATGAAACCCTGTGTCTACTAAAAATACAAAAAGATTAGCCGGGTGTGGTGGCATGTACCTGTAATCTCAGCTACTCAGGAGGCTGAGGTAGGAGAATCACTTGAACTCAGAAGGCAGAGGTTGCAGTAAGCCAAGATCAGGCCGTTGCACTCCAGCCTGGGTGACAGAGCAAGACTCCATCTCAAAGCAACAACAATAATAATAATAATAATAATAGGTGGAATGAGAATATGGCTCCATCCTCTAGGATACAAAAGTGCTTCTCCCATAGTTGAGAAAAATAGTAACTATTTTTACCAAAAACACCTGTTTCAGAAGCCTCTTAACACCACAATCTCCACGAGCTTAATGTGCTAAGAATGGTTTAAAGAATCTCCTGCTATTATTCAGGTTGATTTCCTATTCTTAAAATAATGATGGAATAAAACACCTTGTATCATGCATGTCTGTGTATGAACTTTCCATTCTAATTAGTAAGATTTTTGGAGTCAGAAACAAAGTAACTCACTAAATTACCTAAAAATATAGTATAAAATCAGGGAGAAAAGATTTCCCCTTATTTGTCTCCTTTTCTAGAATTTACCACATACTTCGTGGACATTAATACGTGACTTCCATTGGCAGCTGCTCTAATCCTGGTCCACAGAGAGTTGACAGAGCATCCAGATGTGGCCCCTGAACAATCCCTGCTGCCCAACAGCACTGACACCACGGGACCCTCACCCCGTCTCCATCCATGTCTGGGTGTGGGCCCTTACCAGGACCATGCCCAGTGCAGCCTCTTCCCAAGTTCATGTGATTGGGTCACAAGAGATGGAATCTAAGTGAGATGAGAGGGACTGAGGGAAGGCATGGGTGAGTGTGAGCAAACCTGTCAGGCAGGACACTTCTTGAGACCCAGAGAAGATTCCCAACTCCAAGGCCCAGGGTTTCTGAAAGGAAAGAGACAGAACAATCCACCGAGAATATCATCTCACCTGAGGAAGAACCATTCCTGACGCCTTTGCTTTCCTCTTCCCCTTCCGGGTTTCTTCCTCATGTACCAAGAGTCCTTAGAAGTCAATCCTGAATGTTAAAAATATGTTGTTTATTGCTCAGAATCAATACACCCCATTCCTGTAACATAACAACACATACAAAGGAGACCTCACCCTGAGGAAATATGGTCCCCTCTGCTGCCCACTGCACCAGAGACGATAAACTCCTACAGGAAAACTCCCGCACCCTTCTGGAGAAGCCCACACCACACCCTTCTGGAGGAGTCCACACACGCTGCAGCAGTGGGGAGCTGGGCTGGAATGAGCTCCTCTTCAGGGCGCAGACCCAGCCCTGACCAAACCCCATGCAGAAACTGGGTGCAGTGGCTCATGCCTGTCATCCCAGCACTCTGGGAGGCTGAGGCAGGTGGATCGCTTAATCTCAGGGGTTTGAGATCAGCCTGGGCAACATGGTGAAACCCCATCTTTGCCAAAAATACAAAAACATAGCCAGGCATGAAGGTACACGTCTGTGTGTCTATGTTCCCAGCTACTTAGGAAGCTGAGGAGACAGAATCGCTTAAGCTCAGGAATTAGAGACCAGCCTGCCAACATGTTGAAACCCTCTACTAGAAATACAAAAATTGGGCTGGCCACAGTGGCTCATGCCTGTAATACTAGCACTCTGAAAGGCCAAGGTGGGCAGATTGTTTGACGTCAGGAGTTCGAGAGTAGCCTGGGCTACATGGTGAAACTCCATCTCTACTAAAAATACAAAAAGTAGCTGGGCTTGGTGGGCGTCTGTAATCCCAGCTAGTTGGGAGGCTGAAGCAAGAGAATCGCATGAATCTGGGAAGCTGAGATTGTGGTGAGCCGAAATCACGCCACTGCACTCCAGCCTGGGAAACAACAGGGAAATTCCAACTCAAAAAAAAAAAAAAACTATGTAGACCACGTGCGGTGGCTCTTTCCTGTAATCTCAGTACTCTGGGCGGCCAAGGCAGGAGGATACTTTGAGCCCAGGATTTTGAGACTAGCCTGGGAAACACAGTGAAACCTCGTTTCTACAAAAAAAAAAAAAAGAAAGAAAAAGAAAACTAGCCGGGCTTCTTGGTGGCTCATCACTGTGGTCCCAGCTACTTAGGAAGCTGACGTAGGAGGATTACTTGAGCCCAGGAGGACCAGGCTGCAGTTAAAGATCATGCCACTGCATTCCAGCCTAGGCAATTGGCCAGACCCTGTCTCTTAATGTTAGTTAATTAATTAAGTTAAAAATTATGTGTTAACAGAAAGGGATTTTTTTCTCACTTCACTGCCCCACTCCCTACCCCACTCTGGGAAAAGGGAACAGAGTGACTCACAAGTGAATAAGTCACTCCACTGTAGCTGAATAGGGATTCCAAGTGGAAGCTAACCTCTGAGGCCAACATTCATAGAATGTACATGTCTTATAGATAGGATTCTTAAAATTCTCAATCTCATCTGTATAATTTAAGCAGTTTTAAGTTACTAGATTATATACAAAGAAGTCAAATGTCACAACTAATCGTATCCAATGAACTCACCCACTCATCTAAACCCAAAGTCCTCCGCCCCTTTTTTTCTTTTGAGACAGGGTCTTGCTCTGTTGACCAGGCTGGAGTGCAGTGACATGATCTCGGCTCACTGCAGCCTGGACCTCCTGGGTTCAAGTGATCCTTCTGCCTCGGCCTTCAGAGTAGCTGGGATTACAGGTGCACACTATCATGCCCGGTTGTTTTTTTTTTTTTTTGGTAGAGATGGGGGTCTCACTATGTTGCCCAAGCTAGACTCGAACTCCTGTACTCAAGCAATCTTCTTGCCTCAGTCTCCTAAAGTGCTGGGATTACAGGCGTAAGCCACTGCGCCCAGCCCATCTTTCTTCATTACTGTGCTTCCCTCCCTAATTGTGTACATATCTCTCATTCTCCCCTTCTCTCTCTAGCTCTTGTTTTCTTTTCTTTTTACCTGGCATTCTGCTCCTCATTTTGTACCCCTCTCCTCTCCTGCTGTTTATCCCCTTCTTCCCTCTATTCCTTCTCTTCCACCTCTTCTGCTCCATCCTCGCAACTTACCTAACTTCTTGCTGTTCCTTCTCCCCAATCGTTCTATCGTCCTCAATCTTGATATATTTCCGCCTCTTCTCCCATCTCTGTGCATCCTCTGCTCTCCCTGTTAAATTCCGTCTTCCCTGTTATACCCCCTGTCCCCAATATGTGGAACCACAGATCCCCAGGTGTCCTCCCTGCTGTGGTTCTCCCTCTGTTCTCCTTGCCACCAGCACCACTCTGCTCTGTCTGCCCTGGCTCCAAATCCCTCCTCCTCTCCCTCACTCTGATGAGATTCCCTCTTTGCTGCCCCTCTCCCTACCTTGCTGTCCTTCATCTCTCTGTACATCTAGGTTTCTCTACGTTTCTCCAGTTACTTTTCTCCTCCTGCTTTCTTTTTTTTTCTTTTCACTTTTGCTGTCTCTTGACAAATCCATCACCCACCCTCTACTTTGCCCTCTGTTATGGGTCTTTCTCATTCTTTTCTCTGTCTCAGCTTTTCTACTGCTCTGTCTCCCAATGCCTTTGGCCGACACAATCACAGGAGGGTTTGGATAAGACGCCTGCATCCCGGAGGAGCTCGTTTTCCGGGGGCTGGAGCTGGGCAGGCAAGAACACCCCGTGTCACAGGACAGGCCCCGGGTACCTCCCCAACGCGGGTTCAGGGGAAGAGGTGACTGTGGAGGAGAGACCTGTGGAGCAGCAGGGCCCGCCACGAGGAGGGAGGTGGGGGGGAGACGGCGCCTTAAGACAAGGTTGGGGTCTGCAGGATTCCAGGACCAGGCAAAGTACGCGGCCTCCCTGGGACTGGGGCCCTGGCGCTGCGCTCCAGTGGCCTACGAAGGCGAGGGTGGGAGGCGCCCAGGGCGGGAATCCAGCTCTCGGGTGAGGACTTTAAAAAGCGAGGGGCGGGAGGAGTCAGAAAACAGTTTTGAGCAGGAAAACTACGCGACAGGAAGTGTATACATCGCCCTACAGCAGAAAGACCGGGGACAGCCCAGCCTCAGGGCGACTTTAAACCCAAAAGGAAGCGATATCCGGACTCTCATGGGGACGTCTCAATTTGTCCTGGGTGAAGGAAGAAGGGAGAGAATTTCCAGGTCTGTGGGGACCCCACGTCTCAGGTACAGCAGCGCCGGGGACCTGGTAAGCGCAGACTTAATAGAAGAGCGAAACTCACCGCCACGGTGTAACTTTCACTCCACATAATCCGCTTCCGGGTTTGCGCGCATGTGCGCGCGCAGTACAGAAGCCAGGTCTGGGCGGGGCCCGCGAGGTGGGCGGGGCCTGGATGAGGTAGGGGCGGGGTGGGAAGCCGAGAGACTTTCCCCTTTAGAACCAGCAGTGGGCGGGGCCAGGGCGGGACCTGTGAGTCTCTCAGCATCGTTCCCAGCGCAGAGGCATTTTTCGGGTTTTGGAGGCGAGACCGGCCAGGAAGGCTGAGGCATGATTCAAAAGCCCTGGAATTATCTGGAACGGGGATGCAAACTAGAATGTGAAATGCAAAGCCCTGCCTGGGCGGAAGGTACAATTTCATGCTGATAGCCCACAGAACCGAATAGAAATCCTCTCCCTTTCTATTCTCCATTCACTTGGGAGAGAGTCCACGCTGTGCTCAGCTTTAGAGACTCAGGCCACTGCCTGAGATGCAGGATGGAGTGCTCAGGCCAAGGATGGGTGAGGTCACCACCTGCGGCTTAAACACAGCTGGGATATGGGCGCGGGAGTGGGAGCCTGAGGTCCCAGCTATTCAGGAAGCAGCGGCGGGAGGATCGCCGAGCCTGGGAGTTCAGGCCAGCCTGGGCGACAAAGTAACACCCCCTCCCGCAGGGCTCCCTTCCTCGTCTCTCTCTCTCTTTTCTTTTTTATAATAAAATTTTTGATGATGTTACATAGGGATCCAACATTATTCTTTTCCACGTGGATATCCAGTTAGTTGTCCCAGCGTATTTGTGTAAGAGATCTATCAGTTTCTTTTTTTGTTTCTTGAGATGGAGTTTTGCTCTAGTTGACCAGGCTGGAGTGCAATGGCGCGATCTCTGTCTCCCAGGTTCAATCGATTCTCATGCCTCTATCTCCCAAGTAGCTGGGATCACAGGGATGTGCCACCATGCCCTGCTAATTTTGTATTTTTAGTAGAGATGGGATTTCTCCATGTTGGTCAGGTTGGTCTCAAATTTCCGACCTCAAGTAATCCGCCCGCCTCGGCCTCCCAAAGTGCTGGGATTACAGGTGTGAGCCACCGCGCCCGGCTTATTTTCTTTTATATATTTAGTTTTTTCTATTTTTTTTTTTTTTTTTTTTTGAGGCAGAGTTTTCTTTTTTGGCCAGGCTGGAATGCGGTGGCGAGATCTGGGCTCACTGCAGCCTCTGCCTCCTGGGTTGAACCGATTTTCCTGTCTCAGCCTCCGGAGTAGTTGACATTACAGACGCGCACAACCATGCCCGGCTAATTTTTGTATTTTCGATACAAACGAGGTTTCACTATATTGGCTAGGCTGGTCTCGAACTTCTGACTTCAAGTGATCTGACTGCCTCAGCCTCTGAAAGTGCTGGGATTATAGTCATAAGCCACACTTCCTGGCCCAAAAAATATTCATTTCTTTACTCTTTAAATTTTGAGAAAATATAATGGAAAACAAAAAAAATCTTCCCCCCAATGAGAAATCATCTTCACGATGATAATAGTGAAAGAAATAAAAACCACATTATTAATAAGTAAGCCTTAAACCAGAATGTGATGGGAAATTGAGGCAAACAGCTAAGAGGTTGAAAAGAGACAAGGAAACTTCACTGTTCTATACAACCCATTGAGTACATGTTTTCAAGATAAACACTAATCAGTCCTCAGGGAAGAGGACTTGACAACACTCTTGGTCACACATAGTTCATCCTGGCTCTATTTGGTAATGGAGGTGACCATCTGTGTCAGCTAATTAGCTTCATCCAGAGGGAGGGGGAAAACCCTAACCCATGTCTTTTTGACGAGTGTGAGTTTTACAACATAGCGACGCGTGCCCTCTCTGGTCAGGCGCCTACAATCCGACAGAAACTGACGTCAGCAGTAAATAATAAAATTTAGAATGTAAGATTAAGTACTGAGTTTATGTGAACACAAAGCTTGAAGAAAGCCACCTGGAAACACCAACTCCAAATAAATGAGATCGGCGTTCCAAAGTAGAGACGTTAAGGTTTCACACACAGGGAAAGACAGAGAATCTTTAGCAGAATCATGACAGCTTTCATTCAAGCCCAGTGCATAGGTTGCAGCAACTTGATTGGTTATGGATTGATACAATTCGAGGAAGGTCACTTTATCACTCCATAAGAAGTAACAATGATCCCATGAGGTCTTATCTCTGGGGCTGCTTAGTCTTCCTAATTATTAACAGGAAAACTCTTTTTTGTTTTTCTTTGAGAGGCAGTATTGCTCTGTCGCCCAGTGGTGCAATCTCAGCTCACTGCAACCTCCACCTCCTGGGTTCAAGCAGTTCTACTGACTCTAATTGTCAGTCCTCTCTGCAACCAGCGCCCCAGTCCACCCCTTTACTGAGGTCCCTGCCCTCCCCACTGCGCTGCCCCAGACTGAGGGGGGAGTTCGCCCCGACTGCAGGACTCTGCCTGCTCAAACAAGGCGCTTTGCATTAAAACCATTTTCAACTTAAGAGGAAAAACGATTCAGTGTTCAGTACAGGTGTCCTACTACAACATGTTGTTTTATCTTCGATTGTCTGAAACACTAACTTGAAATGGGCAGGAAACATCCCTGTGATATTAGGGGTAATATCACGGCACATCAGAACCAATCCACCAATCAGAACTCGGAGGATTTAGTCCAGGCGGGCAAGAGGATGACAGCAGGCGACATCTGGGGCCCAGCTGAGGAGAGAGCCCGAACCCGACCCTTGCCGGCCCCCACCCTTCAGAACAACACCCCCTCCAGACCCCGCCCCCAAGATGACGATAACCCTCTGGTTCTGCCCTTTCCCATTGTATGGCCTGGCCCCCAGGCGGCCTCCTCCCTCTTGCCCCGCCCCAGTCTTGTTCCAGGCACCGCCCCCACGCTCTAGCTCTCCTAGGTTCCTGCTTAAGTTTATACACTCATGGTCCACAGAGTCCTAAGCAGAAATATGGAAGACACCAAGCTCTGGTAATGTATCTATCTGACAGACTGAGCGTCTGCCTCAAGAACATAGCAATAGCAATACTAAGTGAAATATTAGGAAGTTTCACGTATGTATATAATTGATCATTTATTATTTGCAGCTTTAAATTGGCTAAAATTACATAGCATGGGTTTTTATTTTAATCAAATATTAGAAATATATCATTCATAAATGGAATCTAAGCACACAAAGTTGAAGAGCATTTCCCTATGTTGAATAAATATGAAGGAGTTCAGATTTTGGAACTGATTTAGTGCTTTCCATTACACTTAGTTCTTTTCTTTTCTTTTACTGTTTTTTGAGATGGAGTTTCTCTCTTGTTGCCCAGGCTGGAGTGCAATGGCGGCATCTCGATCATTTTGGAACTGATTTTGTGCTAGTTTTTTTCCTATTCTTTTTTTTCTGTGTTCATGAGCTTGTGAACCAAAAGTATCTAACAGGTCTCAATCAATTTAGAAATCTCCTTTGCCAAGGTTAAAAATGCACCTGTGACACAGCCTCAGGCGGTCCCGACCACAGGTGCCCAAGGTTTTCAGGCTGCAGTTTGGTTTTACATATTTTACAGAGACATGAGACATCAATCAATACATATAAGATGTACATTAATTCGGTCTGGAAAGGTGGAAAAACTGGAATTGGGGGGCTTCCGGGTCACAGGTAGATAATAAATTATCACATTCTTTGAGTGACTCATCAGCCTTTCACTGAATACACAATTTATATATGAGAGGGAGTAGAGGAATAGTCACTTATGCCTTAATCTGGCTCATTGACTCTGAATTTTTACATAAATAGGGCAGGGGAAGCAGTCAGATAGGCATTTGACTCAGGTGTACAGAGGGACGGGTTCTGTCCCACACCTGTGCAGATAAGCTATCAGTTTACATTGCCAGGGTAAAATTCAACAGAACTATTTTAGGGTGAAGAGCTTGAGGCTTCCAGTTTGTGAGGGGAGTATTGTAGCTTTTTTTTTTTTTTTTTTTTTTTTTTTTTGAGACAGTTTTGCTCTTGCCCAAGCTGGAGTGCAGTGGCCCAATCTCGGCTCACTGCAACCTTCGCCTCTTGGGTTCAAGCGATTCTCCTGCCTCAGCCTCTTGAGTAGCTGGGATTATAGGCAGGCACCACCACGCCTGGCTAATTTTGTATTTTTAGTAAAGACCGGGTATCTCCATGTCGGTCAGGCTGGTCTCGAACTCCCGACCTCAGGTGATCAACTGCACCCAGCCTCTAACTTTTTAAAAATCCTTGTAGCTATCTTGTTTAGGAATAAAACGGGAGGCAAGTTTGTCTGACACAGTTCCCAGCTTGACTTTTCTCTTTGGCTTAGTAATTTTTATTTTTCTTTCACCAGCTTGTGACAGACATAAGGCTTTGACACACTGATATTTCTTTATATACATTTTCCATAACAGTAAAGTCCAAGGGTCTATCATGAACTGGGTTAGTGGTGCATGTCTGTGTGTCTGTGGTCCCAGCTACTTAGGAAGATGAGGTGGGAGGATTACTTGAGCTCAGGGGTTCAAGACCAACCTGGTCAACATGGTGAAACCCTGTCTCTACTAAAAATACAAAAATTGGGCCGGGCACCATGGCTCATGCCTATAATACTAGCACTCTGGAAGGCTGAGATGGGCAGATTACTTGAGGTCAGGAGTGCAAGACCAGCCTGGCCAACATGGTGAAACCCTGTCTCTACTAAAAATACAAAAAGTAGCCAGGCTTGGTGGGTATCTGTAATCCCAGCTACTGGGGAGACTGAGGTAGGAGAATCGCTTTAACCTAGGAGTGGAGGTTCCAGTGAACTTGGGTGGTGGAGGTTGTAGTGAGCCGAAATCATGCCACTGCACTCCAGCTGGGCGACAGAGTGAGACTCAAAAATACAATAAACTAAAAATAAAAATACAAAAATTAGCCAGCTTTGTAGCACAAACCTGTAATCCTAGCTACTTGGGAGGCTGGGGCACAAAAATCGCTTGAACCCAGGAGACAGAGGTTGCAGTGAGTCAAGAAACAGAGACTGCACTCACAGGCTGGACCACAGAGTCAGACTCTGTCTCAAATAGAAAAAAAAAAAAAAGGCATTAACGATGTGAGTGATGCAGAGATAAAAATCCTGAGCAACTGTCGGGCATGGTGGCTCACTCCTGTAATCCTAGCACGTTGGGAGGCTGAGGTGGGTGGATCAAGAGGTCAGGAGATTGAGGCCATCCTGGTCAACACAGTGAAACCCCATCTTTACTAAAAATACAAAAAATTAGCTGGGTGTTGTGGCATGCACCTGTAGTCCCAGCTACTCGGGAGGCTGAGGCAGGAGAATTGCTTGAACCTGGGAGGTGGAGGTTGTGGTGAACTGAGATTGTGCCATTGCACTCCAGCCTGGGTGACAAGAGCAAAACTCTGTCTTAAAAAAGAAAAAAAAAAAATTCCTGAGTAACGTGAGAGACTGACAGGCAGAGGAATCTTCAGATGGGGGTGGGAGGGCATGGGAGACATCTCTGAGCCTAGACCTGAAGGAGGAGAAAGGGACAGTGCTGTCATCATTTAGGTACATAGTGTAAGAGCAGGGACAATAACCTGAGACAGGAAGGGTTTTGATGTTTGGGAAAAGAGAAAAGCAACTGTGACTGGGGCAGAGGTAGTCATGAGATGAGGGCAAGTTCCCAGGAGGAAGCTGGACACTGGCAGGGGCCCTGGACACAGGGCTGTGGAGCCACAGTGAGGAGTGGGGCTTTTGTCCTGGGGAACACGGGAAGCTGGTGGAGGGTTCCCTGCCAGGGACTGACATGACCTGCTTTAGATTTCGCTGTGATGTCCTCACACAGAGAAAGGCCCCGAAGATGGTCTCTGTGTCTGAGTCTACAACTCTGTTTCTTCCATTCTTCTTTTTTTTTTTTTCATTTTTAGGGTACTGCATCCCATTTAAAATTCTAATTACAACTGGACAGTCCCCTCTCACAGAAAAAAAGCCACATCCAGACACCCACTCTATTTTGCCAATCATTTCAGGGGCCAGGGTCACTCAGGTTGAGCTTTTCCGGTCTAGCCCCTCATCTGCAAGTTGCAGGGAGGCTCACTGAGGCTCAGAGTGAAGACATTTTCACCGAGTTACCCTGAGAAGGTCTGAGATGAGTGAAAAGATGTGTCTGAATTCTTACATGTGGGCCTGGAAGGGCTAATGGGAAGGGTTGGTCTTTATCACACCCATTATTGAAAATTAAAGAAGTGTCTTCCACATACCTGGGCTAAAAAAACCTCTTTTGCAAGGTTCTGATGCCATTGACTCCCAACATTTAATTCTTCATTACAAGAAAATCACAGTAACATTTATAAAATGCAGAAGTGTGAACACACAGTTATTGACCTTGAAAACAGTGAAAGAAGGTCAGCTGTAGAACTAAGACATGAGCAAATGTTTTCAATCAAGAATACATGGGTGGCCGGGTGCGATGGATCATGCCTGATATTGCAGCTTTTTGGGAGGTCGAGGCAGGTGGAGGTCTCAGGAGTTTGAGACCAGCCTGGCCAACATGGTGAAACTCCATTTCTACTAAAAATACAAAAAATTACCTGGGCATGGTGACAGGCACCTGTAGTCCCAGCAACTTGGGAGGCAGAGGCAGGAGAATAGCTTGAACCCGGGAGGAGGAGGTTGTGGTGAGCTGAGATCTCACCATTGCACTCCAGTCTGGGCAACAAGAGCAAAACTCCATCTTAAAAAAAAAAAAAAAAAAAAAGGGGGTGCTTTTGGCACAGCGTTCCGTGCCAATCCAACCCATCTTTCAACATTTGTCCAGAATGGACCAGAGGGCCTGAGGGAAACATGCACTTAATAGCTTACAGCTCAAGATTTTAACAAATGACATAAGGAAAGAAAACTGAAAAATAGACTAACTGGTTAAACTACACTTTGATGTTACGGTAAAAGGTCACTGACATCTTTACCGGGTACACACTGAAACAATCAAACCTCTGCATTAGGTACCAAAGGTTTCCAATAAATAATAAAGACTAGAAAGCATGCACATCTCGATTTGAACCAGACACAAACAGAAACTATTTTGAAATTGTTTTAAAAAATATAACAAATTCTGGGGTCAACAGGAAAATAACTGAAAAACATACATGTACAGAAAAAAATGATGTGAGCTGATTATAGGATGCAACAAAGGCATCTTTCAGAAGTGATTATGTATTAAAAAAGAAATTTTGAAAACTAAGATTTATCTTGGCCAGGCACAGATGCTCACGCCTGTAATCCCAGCACTCTGGGAGGCAAAGATGTGCAGATCACCTGAGGTCAGGAGTTTAAGGTCAGCCTGGCCAACATGGTGAAACTCCATCTCTACTGAAAATACAAAAATTAGCTGGGCGTGCTGACATATACCTGTAGTGCCACCTACTCAGGAGGTTGAGGCAAAAGAATCACTTGAACCCGGGAGACAGAGGTTGCAGTGAGCCAAGATCATGCCACTGCACTCCAGTGTGGGTGACTGAGTGAGATTCTGCCCCCCCCCAAAAAAAGGATAAAGAAAGAAAAATAGAAAAATGAAGAGGAAACAGAAAAAAAAATAAAGTAAATCTATTACACAAGAGAACAAAAGCAGTTTTCATGTTCCTGTTTTTGATTTTGTTTATTTTTTGTTTGTTTGCTTGTTTTTGTGAGATGGAGACTTGCTCTGCCACCCAGGCTGCAGGGCAGTGGCATGATTTCGGCTCACTGCAACCTCTACTTCCCAGGTTCAAGTGATTCTCGTGCCTCAGCATCTTGAGTAGCTGTGACTACAGGTGCATGCCACCACGCCCAGCTAATTTTTGTATTTTTAGTAGAGACCAGGTTGCACCATGTTGGCCAGGCTGGTCTTAAACTCCTGACCTTAGGTGACCTGCTCATCTCAGGTTCCCAAAGTGCTGGGATTACAGGCATGAGCCACCATGGTTTGATATTCCTTTAAAAAATTATATGTAGGCCAGGTGTGATGGCTAATCCCTGTAATGCTGGTACTTTGAGGGTCCAAGGCAGGAAGATCCTTTGCATCAAGGAATTTGAGACCAGCCTGGGAAACAGTGAAATCCCATTTCTCCAAACAACAACAACAACAAAACTAGCTGGGATTGGTGGCTCATGCCTGTGGTCCTAGCTACTCGGGAGGCCAAGGTACGAGGATCACTTGACCCCCGGAGGTCAAGGCTACAGTTAGAGGAGATCACTCCATGGCACTCCATCCTGGGTGATAGAGCCAGATGCTATCTGAAAATATTAATTAATTAGTTAATTAAATTAAAAGTATTATTGAGGCAGAAATTAAAGAAGAAAGCAAATTTTCCTCTGCTGAGCTCACTCACTCCAAGGATAGTAACATGAAAGGCCATAGAAAGGTTTGTGGTGACCCAGTCTAAGAAACTGGATACATCCCCCCCAACTACACATGGTTAAGAAAACAAATTCCTTTACTGTCTCTCCTTTCCCAGAATCATTAATTTTGACTATTTTTGCAAATGTCTGCATGTCTGTATTTAGCAAACTCTGTAAGTTCCTGTTTTTCTTTTGATGCATCTGCAAGGTCACAGCTAAGCAAGGCCACAAGTTATACCAAGGCAGCAGTTATGGTATAGATTACATAACCTGTCACTGTATGATTTACTGTCTTTGTCCTGCTTCTGTAAGCTTGCCTATATAAGCCCAGCTCTGTCTTTGTTCTGGGCTTAGCTTTCTGGATGTGAGTCCACTGAGCTGGTGTGCACCTTAATAAAACTCCTATGTTTCACCCATTGATCTCTCCAGTCCTCTCATTTCCCACATTATGTAATAACAGAAAGTGGTTTTTTTCCCACCTCACCGCCCCACTTCCTACACCACCCTGCAAAAAGGGAAGAGAGTGAGACTCTCAAGTGAATAAATCACTATCCTGTGGCTGAATAGGGATTCCAAGTGAAAACTAACCTCTGATGCCAAGATTTATAGAATGTACATGTCTTATAGATAGGCATTTTAAAATTCTCAGTTTCATCTGTATAATTTAAATAATTTATTTATTATATACACAGAAGTGAAGATGTCACAAGTAATCATATCCAATGAACTCACTCACTCATCTGCCTTGGCCTCTAGAGTAGCTGTGAGTACAGGTGTGCACCATCATGCCCTGTTAATTTTTGTTTTTTGGAAGAGATGGGGGGTCTCACTATGTTACCCACACTGGTCTCAAACTCCTGGACTCAGGCAATCCCCTTGCCTCAGTCTCCTAAAGTGCTGGGATTACAGGCATTAGTCACTGTGCCTGGCCCCTCTGTCTTCATTACTGTGCTTCCCTCCCTAATTCTGTAAATATCTCTCATTCTCCCCTTCTCTCTCTAGCTCTTTTTTTTCTATTTCCCTGGGATTCTGCACCTCATTCTGTACCCCTCTCTTCTGCTGCTGTTTATTCCCTTCTTACCTCTATTCCTTCTCTTCCACCTCTTCTGCTTCATCCTTGGAACTTATATAACCTCTTGTTCCTCCTTCTCCCCAGTCTTTCAATCATCCTCAATCTCCATATATTTCCACCTCTTCTCCCATCTCTGCACCTCCTCTTTTCTCCCTGTTAAATTATCTCTTCCCTGTTATACCCCTCTGTACCCACTCTCTGGCACCCTAGATTCCCAGCTGTGTTCCCTGCTGTTGTTCTTCCTCTGTTCTCCTTGCCACCAGCACCACTCTGCTCTGTCTGTCCTGGCTGCAAATCCCTCCTCCTCTCCCTCACTCTGATGAGCCTCCCTTTTTGCTGCCCCTCTTCCTGCCTTGCTGTTCTTCATCTCTCTGTACATCTAGCTTTTCTCTACATTTCTCCAGTTGCTTTTCTCCTCCTGCTTTCTTATCTTTTTTTTTTTTCACTTTTGTCACCTCTTGGCAAATCCCTCACCCCTCCTCTACTTTACCATCTGTTATGAGTCTCTCTCATTCTTCTTTTCTCTGTCTCAGGTTTTCTACTGCTCTATGTCTGTCTCCTGATCCCTTTGGCCCACAGAATTGTGGTAAAGGTTAAAAAGAAAAAGAAACAAGTTTTCTTCTGCTTAGCAGCTCACTTCAAGGAAAGTTATAAGATAACGCTGTCCAAAAAGCTAAGGCTAAAGTAATGGGCTCTAGACACTTTTTAAATTCCAGAACAAAGTGAAGGAAAAAAAAAAGAGAGAGAGAGAGAAAGACAAATTCTTCTACTGTTACTCATTTCCCTAGTCTCTTAAGCATGACTATGTTTTACAAATGTCTGTATTTAGCCAGTTCTTTTTTTTGACACAGCTACAAGGCCACCAGCTATGTAGAATCCAACTTCTCTAAGACTCATACAATATAAGCCCTATACTGTAATCTTGTTCAGTCCCGCTGCTGTTAAAGTTGCAGGTGTTGTGCCTTAGATCCACCACAGTCAGCTGAAACTGGCAGCTCAAGACAAGTAGACAAGCCAGCAGGACCCAGATCATCCAACTCATCCTGAGATGAGATCAACCTGCTGCTAAAGAAGACTGCCTGCTCTAGTCACTACGGAGTCTGACCAGTCTATGCACAGCTGAAGCTTGAGGGAACAAGCCCTGTTCTAGTCACACACCAGAAGCTGACTAGTCTATGCATGGCTGAAGCTTGAAACTCCAGGCCCTACCTCCACCTCCACCCTCTAACCAGGCCCAGCTTCCAAAGCAGCCTCCACCCTCTTGCCCAGCTCCAGCGACAGTTTTCATGCCCTGCCCCCTCAACGACCTTTCCCTTCTCCCGCCGGGTCCCCACCCACTGTCCAGAACCCACCCAGACAGGGTTGAAGGCCCACACACGGTTGTTCTTCAGCACTCGAGGCTGACACAGGTGAGTGGTTTTTTTGTCTTCCTGCTTCAAACCTGGCTTTCGCAGCACCCCAGCACCAATTCCAGCCACACCAGGAATCTGCATGCTTTGGGATATTGAAATCCCCCACGTGAGTTTGTGCAGTTGTCAGGAAGTCCCAACTTCTCCAAGGGAAGCAGGCAGGCTGGTGGCTTTGCAGCTTTTGTATCGTTTTATAAAATGATACAAAAGATCTTGTATGAGCCGGTATGACACATCTGACAACTTTACAGGTAATATTGGAGTATTATATATAAGGCAGTTGATTTGCAGGACTGCTATGAGAGTTTGGGAACGTAAATACCTATCCAGCCAAAACGTTCCCATTGTAGACCAGAAATTCCCGACCCAAGATCCTCAATGGGATAACGACACAGTCCACTAAAAATTCATGAAA
The DNA here is from genome assembly GCF_000001405.40 of Homo sapiens. Classification (NCBI taxonomy): domain Eukaryota; kingdom Metazoa; phylum Chordata; class Mammalia; order Primates; family Hominidae; genus Homo; species Homo sapiens. The sequence goes on from NC_000019.10 coordinate 52,649,547, forward strand.
GATATAAGGGAAATGATAATTAAAGGAATTCAGGAGTCAGTGCCCTGTGCTCAGAATCTTCCCCGAGCATTTTAGATAAAACAGAAAAAAGATGAAAGCCCTAAAAACTTTCTAAAAAGACTATGAGAACAAATGAGAAAATATGCACATTTGGATCCAGAAGACCCTAGCAGGCAAGAAATGTTAAAGCTACATTTTGTTACCAATAGCTAGCCATTGGTAGCCATTTAGCAAGCCATTGCAAAAAAAGTTACAGAAACTAGAAAACTGGAAAAAACAGTCTATACGGGAATTCTTAGAATAAGCTCAAAAAGTATATGTAAGGAGGGATGAAGAAAAACCAAAGCAAAAAGAAAAATTTTCTGACAGAATGCACCAGAGGCCAAGCTTAAGCCTCCATTTGCCAGGCCTCACAAAAGATATGAGACAGGGGGGCCACAGAACTCAAAGACAGGTAAAAAGGGAAAGCAAACCCAGTACCCTAAGACTCCAAAAACTGAAAAGGGAGAGGGACAAGACAAATGTTACAAGTGTGGAAAATTAGGTCATTTCAAAAGAGAATGTCCTGAGTGGAGAAAGGAGAAAAAAAAATCCCACTTAAGGAATTTAAAGAATAAGGAAGTCAAGGGCTCTGTCTTTTCTATCTCCAGTCCCACTGAGAGCCCGTGGTAAATTTAAAGGTGGGACCAAAACATGAGCTTGTTACTTTTCTTTCTTTTTTTTTTTTGAGACAGAGTTTTGTTCTTGTTGCCCAGGATGGAGTGCAATGGCGTGATCTTGGCTCACTGCAACCTCTACCTCCCAGGTTCACGTGATTCTCCTGCCTCAGCCTTCCCAAGTAGCTAGTATTATAGGCATGTGCCACAAAGTCTGGCTAATTTTGTATTTTTAGTAAAGATGGGGTTTCTCCATGTGGGTCAGGCTGGTCTCGAACTCTCGACCTCAGGTGATCCGCCCACCTTGGCCTCCCAAAGTGCTGGGACTACAGGTGTGAGCCATGGCACCCAGCCGAACTTATTACTTTTCTAATAGACTCAGGAGCTTCCCACTCCTCTGTTTGTTTTGTGCCCTCTAATATAAATTGTTTATTAGAAGAACTTCAAGTTTTAGGAGTCAAAGGGGAAGGATTTAAAGCCAAAGTCTCAGAAAAAACAGAAGTCAGATTTGAAACCCGATCAACCAATGTTAAATTTTTGCTACTTCCTAAGGCTGGGACAAACTTGTTAGGAAGTGGCCTAATGGCAAAGTTAGGTATAGGCTTGCGTGTAAGCCCAGAAGGATTCTTCACTTCATTAAACCTGTTTACTACAGCAGAAGAAAGCTACATCAATGCTAATGAGTGGTCAAGGGAGGGAAATTGAAGGAAGCTACAAGTTCCTCCAATTCACATAAAGTTAAAAACTCCCAGGGAAACAGTGAAAAGAAACCAATATCCAATTCCCTTAGAAGGTAGATTAGGTTTAAAACCTCTAATTGAGAGCCTTATCTGAGATGGGCTACTTGAACTGTGCATGTCTCCCTATACTACTCCAATATTACTTGTAAAGTAGTCAGATTGGTGATACTGACTTGTAGAAGATCTTCAAGCCATTAATCAAACTGTTCAAACCACTCATCCTGTTGTTCCCAATCCATATACTATTCTCAGCAAAATTCCATATGACCATCAGTGGTTTACAGAAATAGACCTGAAAGATGCCTTCTGGGCATGTCCTTTAGCTGAAGATAGTCAGGATATATTCACTTTTGAATGGGAAGATTCTCACTCTGGGTGAAAACAACAATACTGCTGGACAGTCTTACCCCAAGGATTTACAGATTCTCCTAACTTGTTTGGCCAAATTCTTGAGGAGGTGTTAGAAAAGATGAGCATCCCAAAGTGTATATCTATGCTCCAGTATGTGGATGATATACTAGTGTCAGGGAAAGCTGTAGAACAAGTATCTGGCTTTTCCATCAGCCTTCTCAACCATCTCTGTGGAGAGGGACTATGTGGTGTGGTGGCACACATCTGAAATCCCAGCTACTTGGGAGGCTTAGAAAAGAGAATTGCTTGAATGCAGGAGGTGGAGGTTGCAGTGAACCAAGATTGTGCCATTGCACGCCAGCTTGGGCGACAAGAGAAAGACTCTGTCTCAAAAAAAAAAAAAAAAAAAAGAAAGAAAGAAAAGAAAAGAAAGAAAGAAGGAAAGAAAAAACAGGCTGGGCAAACTGGTTCAGGTCTGTTGGCCCAGCTGGTCTCAAACTGCTGACCTCAAGTGATCTGCCTGCCTTGGCCTCCCAAAGTGCTGGGATTATAGGTGTGAGCAACTGCACCCTGCCCATTCTTCTTGACGTAAACACTTTTTATGTCAATTAATGCTTGAACTCAATGTTAAGTCAACTCAAACTCTAGTCAATGCAGAATTGACTCTAATGTCAATTAAAGTTTGTCATTTTCTATAGTCATTGTATTTGGGACAATTATCTCAAAAATGAATTTTCTACTGTTCTGCAAGGAGTGACCTCAGACTAAAGACATTGCCACACCTATTCCATTTGTAAGATTTCTGTCCAGTATAGATTCCCTGATGTCTAATGCGGTGTGAATGTAAAGTAAAGACATTGCCACACTGGGCGTGGTGGCTCATGCCTGTAATACCAGCACTTTGGGAGGCCGAGGCAGGCGGATCACAAGATCAAGAGTTGAGAGCAACCAGGCCAACATGGTGAAACCCTGTCTCTACTAAAAACATAAAAATTAGCCAGGCTTGGTGGAGCATGCTTGTAGTCCCAGCTACTCAGGAGGCTAGGAAGGAGAATCGTATGAACCTGGGAGGTGGAGGTTGCCGTGAGCCGAGATCACGCCACTGCACCCCAGCCTGGACAAAAGAGTAAGACTTCATCTGAAAAAAGAAAAAAAAATGACTGCCACAATTATCACAGTTGTGAGGTTCTCTCCCATATGAATTCTCCTGTGTTTTGCATAAGATGAAGCTTGACTGAAGACCTTGCTGCAATCATGACATTTGTAACGTTTCTTTCCAGTATGAGTTCACTGATGAACTGCAAGCTATGAACAATGTCTGAAATATCTGCCACATTTACTACACTTGTAAGATCTCTCTTCATTATGGATTCTCTAATGATTTGCAATGCTTGTAGCATTACTGAGGACTTTGTGAGAATCATTACATTTGTAAAGTTTCCCTATACCATGGATTGCTTGATGATGAATAAGTGATGACTGCCCACTAAAGGCTTTGCCACACTCATTGCACTTATAAGGATTTTCTCCAGTATGAAGTCTATGATGGCATACAAAGGATGACATATGACTGAAGGTCTTGCCACACTCATTGCACTTGTAAGGTTTCTCTCCACTATGAAGTCTATAATGGTATACAAAGGATGACATATGACTGAAGGTCTTGCCACACTCATTACACCTGTAAGGTTTCTCTCCAGTATGAACTCTCTGATGTTGTGCAAGGTTTGACTGTTGATTAAAAACCTTGCCACATTCATTACACTTGTAAGGTTTCTCTCCAGTATGAATTGCCTTATGAATTAGAAGGGATGAATTTCGAGCAAAGGTCTTGCCACACTCATGACAGTTGTAAGGTTTTTCTCCGGTATGAAGTCTACGATGGCCCACAAGGGATGACTTCTGACTGAAGGTCTTGCCACACTCATTACACTTGTAAGGTTTCTCTCCAGTATGAAGCCTATAATGACATGCAAGGTGTGCTTTTTGATTAAAAACCTTACCACATTCATTACATGTGTAAGGTTTCTCTCCAGTATGAACTCTCTGATGTTGTGCAAGGTATGAATCACGCTGGAAAACCTTGCCACATTCATTACATGTGTAAGGTTTCTCTTCAGTATGAACTCTGTTATGGCGTGAAAGGCATGAATTATGCCTAAAAGCTTTGTCACAAACCTTACATTTGTATGGTTTCTCTCCAGTATGAATTCGCCTATGTGTTTCAAGTTGTGATCTGCAACTGTAAACTTTGTCACATCCTTCACATTTGTAAGGTTTCTCTCCAGTATGACGTCTACGATGCCCTACAAGGGATGACGTCTGACTGAAGGTCTTACCACACTCATTACACTTGTAAGGTTTTTCTCCAGTATGAAGTCTATGATGGCGTGTAAGAGATGACTTGTGACCGAAGGTCTTGGAACACTCATTACACTTGTAAGGTTTTTCTCCAGTATGAACTCTATGGTGCCATGCAAGGTATTGCTTTTGATGAAACACTTTGCCACATACATCACATTTATATTGTTTCTCTCCTGAATGGGTTACATGATGTCTTCTTAAATGTGAGCTATAATTAAAGGCTTTGCCACACTCATTACATTGGAAAGGTTTTTCTCTCATGTGTTCTTCCTGGATTTGTGTCAATAATGAAGAATGGAGAAAGTTCTTCCCATACCTATTAGAAATATGGGTTTTGAGCCTACAAGAAATTCTTTGGGATGTTGAAACCAAGGAAGCATTGTTGATAGACTTCTCCACTTGATTATCAATTTTCCCTTCAGTCTGAAATTCGTGCAGTTCAGGCAGATGTGAATAAAAGCTTGATCCAAGCTGATCTTTAATAGGCTTGTTTCCAGCATGCCTTTGATCACGTCGGTCTGTACTACCAGTCAACTTTTTGATTTTTGTCATGGGTGCTTCATGGCCATTTCTTTTAATTTCTTGCCACTGAAACTCAAAGTCATGAATATCTTTCTTGATTTCTGGGAAGCAAAAATCTCCAATGTGATGACTTTTATGTCTTTGCAATGTCCCTGTGTGGATCACTTCTCCTGTATTACCGTGCCCTGTTGATGAGAACTCCGTCATGGATTTTAAAGAGCTATCTAAAAAATATAAAGACCAATAGGTTTCCAATTAAGTACAGATGGTAAATAATATTTAATACTGAAATGTGTTAATATTACACAAAAAGCAATACTTATTTTAAAATTCCCAAATATGATCTTCAAAGTTTAAGAACACCCTGTCTCTATTAAAAATACAAAAATTAGCCAGGCATGGTGGTGGATGCCTGTAATCCCAGCTACTCAGGACGCTGAGGCAGGAGAATTTCTTGAACCTAGGAGGCAGAGATTGCAGTGAACAGAGATCACATCATTGCACTCCAGCCTGGGCAACAAGAGCAAAATTCCATGTCAAACAGAGTTCAGTCAAGAGCCTCATATATATGATGCAGTAAGCCTGAATGATGTCCTCCCTAAGAGGAATTTCTACAGCAGTGACTGCTGTTTAGAGAACATGATCATTAGTTTATGTGATGATCACTGTCACAGTACCAGTGAGAGATGCTTCTGTGATGCTCCTTAAAAACCAGAACAAAAGGCCAAGGGTGGTGGCTCAGGTTTGTAATCCCAACACTTGGCTAGAGGCTGAGGTGGGCAGATTGCTTGAGACAAGGAGTTTGAGACCAGCCTGGCCAACATGGTGATTCCCCATCTCTAATAAAAATACAAAAATTAGCAAGGCATGGTGACTTGCATCTGTAATTCCAGTTAGGTTGGGAGGCTGAGGTATGAGAATTGCTTGAATGCAGGAGGCGGAGGTTGCAATGAGCTGAGATCACAACAGTGCACTCCAGCCTGAGCAAGAGAGGGAGACTCTGTCTCAAAAAACAAAACAAAACAAAAGCAGAATCACAGCTGGAAACACTTGTCAGTCACTGTCATGCTTTCTAGCTCATCTCCTGGGCCACCCTGACAATTCTGCTCAGGGCTACCAGGGGCATCTCTGCTTAGAGCAGGATGACGTTCAATTCTATTAGTCAAAGTGTTCATGAATGTTCTGTTTTTATGTAAAACCACTCCATAGGATAGTCTCTAAGAAGCTGTCTATGACAGACAGGAGGATCATCACTGCAGAAAACAATGACATGTACATCAAAAGCATGTATGCGGCAAAATCACAAAAGAGAATACAAAACCAGGAAGAGCCAAGATAGACAAGGGCAGATTCCTCACATCAGGAGGGACATTTTCCTCACCCACAGACTCCAGGTTCCTGTAGTTCTCCAACATCACGGCCCTGTATAAAGCCCTCTGTGCAGGGTTCAGGCATTTCCACTCCTCCAAAGAGAATTCTATAGCCACATCCCTGAAAGTCAAGCATCCCTAAAATTAAACACACATTTCAACAAAACATTAGGGAGGAGTCATTACCTTCACACAAAATGAGAAAAGAGAAAATAAGTATTGATTTGATCCAAGACGGTGTTCTGACAAACCCACATTAAGGTATTTTTGAACATTTCTTTTTGTGCAGTTGCATTTTATTGTACTTTCCCATGATAGATTTTGAAATCTCCTAGTCACTGTGGAAGTCTCAGTTTTATGGAAAATACAAAAAATATATGTCTGGGCACGGTGGCTCACACCTGAAATCCCAGCAGTTTGGGAGGCTGAGGTGGGTGTATCAACTGAGCTCAGGAGTTCGAGACCACCCAGGGCAACATGGTGAAACCAAGTCTCTACTGAAAACACAAAAACATTAACTGGGTGTGGTTGTGCATGCCTCTAGTCCCAGCTATTTGGGAGGCTGAGGTAGGAGTATAGCTTGAGCTCCAGAGGCAAAGGTTGCGGTGAGCTGAGATTGTGCCACTGCAATTCAGCTTGGGCTGCAGAGTGAGACTCCGTCTCTCTCTCTCTCTCTCTATATATATATATAGCCAGGCATGGGGGCTCACACCTATAATCCTGTCACTTTGGGATACCAAGGTAGGTGGATCACTTAAGGTCAGGAGTTTGAGACCAACCTGGGCTACATTGTGAAACCCCATATCTACTAAAAATAGAAAAATTAGCTGGGCATGGTGGGGGAATGTGCCTGTAATCCCAGCTATTTGGGAAGCCGAGGCAGGGGAATTGCTTCAACTCTGGAGGCAGAGGTTGTGGTAAGCTGAGATGACAGCACTGCACTCCAGCCAGGGCAACAGAGCAAGTCTTTCTCAAAATAAAAATATATGTATGTATATATTGCAAATAATGTGTTTTCTACTAAAACCATGGGCTTGGCTTGGCATGGTGGCTCACACCTATAATCCGAACACTTATGGAGGCTGAGGCATGTGGATCACAAAGTCAAGAGATTAAGACAAGCTGGGCCAACATGCTGAAACACTGACACTATTAAAAACACAAAAATTAGCTTGGTATGGTGGTGTGCGCCTGTAGCCCCAGCTACTCAGGAGGCTGAGGCAGAAGAATCACTTGAACTCGGGAGGCTGAGGTTGCAGTGAGCTGAGATAGTGCCATTTCATTCCAGCCTATCGACAGAGCGAGACTCCGTCTCAAAAAAAAAAAAAAAAAAAAAATCATGGGCTTCTCCATTAATGCTCTCCTGGACACATTGCAAATCACACCTACACACACTTCAATTAACTTCAGTCGGGACATTATAAGCAAAGACCTAGAGAGGACACATCCACAGCTACTCACGAGGCTGAGGTGGGAGGATTGCTTGAGCCTGGAGAGCAGAGTTTGAAGTGATCCAAGATTGCACCACTGCACTCCAGCCTGGGGGACACAGCGAGACCCTATCACCCCCACCCTCCCAAAAGTTGGAAGCTCATTGAATTAAGAGACAACTTCAAGAAATCATAAATGCAATGCATGAAGAAAATGAGAAGGTCAGCCAACATACAGAAATTACGAAGAACTACACAGAAACTCTCGGGCTAAAAATACAGTAACTAAATGGAAAAACTCAATACATGGGTTCAAAATCAGAATACATTATGTAAATTAAAAATTAGTGAAAAGGGGACAGGTGAGGTAGCTCATATCAGGAATTTGGGAGGCTGAGGTGGGTAGATCACTTGAGGTCAGCAGTTCGGAGACCAGCCTCATCAATATGGTGAAACTTTGTCTCTACTAAAAATACAAAGATTAGCTGGGTGTAGTGGTGGGCTCCCCACTGCACTCCAGCCTGGGTGACAGAGTGAGACTGTCTCAAAAAATAATAAAATAATTTTTTAAAAAAGGCCAGGCATGGGCCAGGCACAGTAGCTCATGCCTGTAATCCCAGCACTTTGGGATGCCAAGGCAGGCGGATCACCTGAGGTCAGGAATTCGCGACCAGCCTGACCAACATAGAGAAACCCCGTCTCTACTAAAAATACAAAATTAGCCAGATGTGGTGGTGCATGCTTGTAATCTCAGTTACTTAGGAGGCTGAGGCAGGAGAATCGCTTGAACCTGGGAGGTGGAGGTTGCAGTGAGCCGAGATTGCATCATTGCACTCCAGCCTGGGCAACAAGAGAAAAACTCTGTCTAAAAAAAAAAACAGGCATGGTGGCTCATGACTGTAATCCTAGCACTTTGGGAGGCCAAGGCGGGGGGATCACCTGAGGTTGGTAGCTCAAGACCAGCCTGATCAACATAGAGAAACTCTGTCTCTACTAAAAATACAAAATTAGCCGGGTATGGTGATGCATGCCTGTAATCCCGGCTATTCAAAAGGCTAAGGCAGGAGAATTGCTTTAACCATGAAAGCGGAGGTTGCAATGAGCCAAGTTCATGCCATTGCACTCCACCCTCGGCAACCAGAGTGAAACTTCATCTCAAAAAAAAAAAAAAAAAGTAGTGAATAGGAAAAGAAACAACAACAAAGAATAAAGAAAAATGAAGGGAGTCTAAACAGACTAACAGGACACCATCAAGGACACCATCCTACACATTATGAAAGTCCCAGGCCAGGTTCTGGCTCATGCCTGTAATTTCAGCACTCACGCCTGTAATTCCAGCACTTTGGGAAGCCAGGGTGTGGGGATCACCTGAGGTCAGAAGTTCATGACCGGCCTGGCCAACATGGTGAAATTTCATCTCTACCAAAAATACAACAATTAGCCAGGTGTGGTGGTGCGCACCTGTAACCTCAGTTACTTGGGAAGCTGAGGTGAGAGAATCGCTTGAATCCAGAGGCAGAGGCTGGAGTAAGCCGAGATTGCACCACTGCACTCCAGCCTGGGTGACAGTGTTGGGATTTACTCAAGATAGGGGCAGAAATATTAAAGAGAAATATTAGGGAAAGTTATAGGGAATAGTCACAAACCTTTTGGAAGGCCGAAAGGTTATATAGCTTGTAATAATTGAACAGGCTGAAGGCACCCGGTTCTTACCTTAGAGCATTAGGTCATAGGGTAAATACTAGGGACAATAGAGGCTTCCCCAGTTAAGCCTGTTTACCCTACCTCCATTAACTAACCTTTGAGCCAGATGGCCCTCTAGCGGGAGGCTGACCAGGGAAATTGCCCCTTAATGGTATTTACTTCAGATCACAGTACCTGAGCTTTAATCATTCATGAAACTACTCTCTTAACCATGCTAATTATCCTCAAGTGTGTTTACTCAAACTTCTGTTGTTAATTCTATTCTAAATAAATGCCTGGAGTGCGAGCTGCTCAGGGCCGGCTCTTGGTGTGCAGGCGATTGGGCACCCAGCAGGACTGGCAAAGCAGAATATCTATGTGTCGGTGTACGTTTCATTCATCCGTCTGGGCCAGGGTCCGTGGGCAGACCCCCGCAGCTAATGCCCTCTTGTGAGGAGCAATACCTCAGTTGATGTCCTGTGTGAGGAAAGTCAGGGATCTGCAGAAACAGACCCCCCACAGTTCAAGCCTCTCTTGAGGCAACCTGTGAAGGAAGCGTGAGGACCGCCCTCTTGAGGAAAGCTGCGATGGAAGCATGAGGAACGCGACCCCCGAAAACAAAGGCAAAGAAGGATTTCGTGGTCAAGCCAGTGAGTAATCAGTAAGTCATTGGTGCCCACTCGAGGTTACCACCTTCTGGGGGAAGTTGAGTCAAGCTAAGGTTTCATCACGGGACAATAGTTGTCAGCTCAACAGAAACGGTATATAAAAATGTTCAGACAGTTGCTTAAGGCTACTGGTCGGAAACACAGCAGAACTAGCAAAACGGAATTATCTGTGTGTCAGTGTATGTTTTATTCATATGTGGTTTAGGTCAGGGTTGACATGCAGATCCCACAGCTAATGCTCTCTTGTGAGGAGCAATACCTCAACAGAGCAAGACTCCAACTCAAAAAAAAAAAAAAGAGTACCAGAAGTCACAGAAGTGAGTGAGAAGAAGAAAGGAACAGAAAAGCTTGTTGGAAGGCATAATGGCAAAAATTTCTAATTTCAGGATGCAAAAGAAACAAATTCAACACCTTAAGAATATCCAACATGGATAAATCTAAGTAAGAGACCTATAACAAACAACATCATAATAAAACTGTCAAAATTCAGAGATAGAGAAAGAATCCTAACAACAGCCAAAAGAAGAGCTAACTCTCACCCAAGAGGGAGCTCCTGTAATATTATCAAGATATTTCTCGGCTGGGTGGGCGGTAACTCACGCCTGTAATCCCACGACCTTGGGAGGCTGAGGCGGGCAGATCATGAGGTCAGGAGTTCGAGACCAGTCTGGCCAACATAGTGAAACCCATCTCTACTAAAAATACAAAAAATTAGCGGGGTGTGGTGGTGTGCGACTGTAATCCCAGCTACTCAGGAGGCTGAGGCAGGAGAATTGCGGTGGTAAGACCATGGTGGTAAGAATCATGGTGGTAAGACCACAGTAGTAAGCTTTGCTTAAGTGAGTGGGAAATTTTGCATAGTCTTAGTCAGAGAGGGCACCTCTGCAGCTGGGGGTAGGGATGGAATCTTCCCACATCTAAAAGAGGAAATGGCAAATCCAAGAAGAAGCAATCAGTTTTCAATGCCCCAACTTGCAGGAAACTTCCAGATATCTGCAGTGAAGTCACCATGCTCACAGGCAGCCAGTGTGTTATTCTTAGCAACAGTGAAAAACTGTCAAGGAGATTAAGTGAAGTCAGGGATTTGAGACCAGCCTGGCCAACATGGTGAAATCCTGTCTCTATTAAAAATACAAAATTAGCCCAGAGTGGTGGTGGACACCTATAATCACAGCTGCTTGGGATGCTGAGGCATGAGAATCTCTTGACCCTGGGAGGTGGAGGTTACAGTGATCCCAGATTGCTCCAGTGAACTCCAGCCTGGGCAATAAAGGGAGATAGAATTTAAGATGACGGGGACTGAGAAAAGCCTTGGGTGAGTGCGAGCAAACTTGTGACGCAGGACGCTTCAGACTCACGGAAGTCTGCCTACTACAATACCTGGTATATCAGAAAAGAGAGAGAAGAATCCACTGAGGAATATCACTTTACCTGAGGAAGAGCCATCCTTGTCTCCTTTTCTTTGGTCTTCTTGGTGGCTTTCTCATGTAACATGAGTCTTTGGAAATTAATTCTGTGTGAGAAAAAAATATGATATTTAATTAATTTTTTTTGAGATGGAGTCCAGCTCTGTCACCATGATGGGGTTCAGTGACATGATCTCGTCTCACTGCAACCTCTGCCTCCCCAGTTCAAGGAATTCTCTTGCCTCAGTGTACCAAGTAGCTGGGATTCAAGCCATACTCCACGATGCACAGCTAATTTTTGTATTTTTAGTAGACATGGGGTTTCATCATGTTGGCCAGGAGAGTCTCAATCTCCTGACCTTGAGATCTGCCCACCTCAGCCTCCCAAAGAGCTATGATTACAGGGGTAAACCACCAGACCCAGCTGAGATTTAATGTTTAGAAACCACACATTCCTTTCCTGTGACAAAACATACACAGGGGAGACCTTACCCGGTATAAAGACTGTCCTCTACTGCCCACTGCACCAGAGATCATGCAGAGATAAGAAAGCCCCACAGGAAGACCTACAAGGGTAATTTTGACCCATTTTCAGATCTTGCTCCCTCCTGAAAATGTCCACACACACGCTGAAGCAGGGCACAGACCTTCAGGACACAGATCTGGCCCTAACCAAACCCCATGCAGAGCACAGCCCCCTCACCTCCCTGTGGATCACAGACTGACCTCAGTTCTCAATATGGGGGAAACTGCCTTGATGTTCAATGCTGGACACAGATGAGAATCACCAGCGCCATCGTATTATTGAGGGTGTGTCCCATCCTATGATAATAGCAATCTTTGATAGAATAGCATAAAAGATGTATTTGCAAAATGCCTGAGAAACCTAATGTGAAGTCAGGGTTGAGCTCCACTCAGAGGGTACCAGCTGAGCACAGCCCCACCTTCTGGCTCTGCTCTCCCCTTGGGGACTTGTTCCCACCAGGATCCAGTGAACAGCGAAGGAGCTAAAAGAATCACACAGAACAGGTAACATGGACCAGAGGTGGGGGTGAAGGTGGGGCTGCAATGTCAAATGGGGCCTGTGGGAGATCACAAAGGTTACTGTAGATAAAGTGATGTCACAACAAAGACTTAGGGAAGAAAGGCTGCTTGTCACTTGCAGCTGATGGGACAGAGAGTCCTAGGCCGAGGGACAGCCCAGGTGAAGGCCCTGAGACAGGAGCAACCTCAGCCCCAGAAAAAGGAAAGAAACCTGCGTGGCTGGAGCAGAGGGAGTGAGGAGGACACAGGCAGGAGATGAGATCAGGGAGGTCCTGGGAGCACAGATCCATAGGGATGAGGTCTTGAAATATTTTTCTCCCACACTTCAAAAGAATTTTGGAAATGATGTATTTTCTCACGCCTTTCATGTATACACACAACTTTTCTTTACGTTATAAATTACAACATTTACAAATAATGGAATTCATTTCTCATTTTAAAAATACATGCTGTCAAGTTTGGCTAAGTCCCCAGAAGTACCCTGTCACCCTCATCTGAGACATGTAGGACTGCAAGGGAATGTGTTCAGGGGTTTAGGAAGTCACCTATGGAAATGTGCATTTGGAGACGCCTGTTTAATATCCCAGCAGAGAGCTGAGGAGCCAACTGAACACAGGATTGCAGAGCTCAGGGGAGAGGCCTGTAGGGAACATGGAGTCGTGTAGGTGGGTTAAAGTTGTGAAATGACACGATATGGAAGGGCAGTGGGTGTGGACAGAGACAAGGAGAGGTTCAAGATGATCTGAGTCTAATTACCTGTTTTTTCCATTCTGGTACTTGTGTTTTTTATATTTTTGGAGAACAGTAACTTATTTAAAATTCATATTACACCTGAGCATTACCATCTCGTATAGAAAAAGCCACAAACTATTTGGCCAATCATTTCAGGGGTCAGTGTCACTCTGACTGAGCTTTTCTTGTCTTATTCCTCACCTGTATATTACAGATGGGGGTCACTGAGGTTCAGAGTAGGAGACATTTCACCAAGTTATCCAGAGAAGCTCTGAGTTGAGTCAGAAGGAGGTGCGGCTCATTCCTATGTGATGGACTGGAAGGGCCAACAGAATGTGTTGGTTTTTTCTCTAGAAAATTGCAGGATGGGCCAGGTGTGGTGACTCATGCCTGTAATCCCAGCACTTTGGGAGGCTGACAGGGGTAGATCACATGAGCCCAGGAGTTTGAGACCAACCTGGGCAACACGGTGAAATCCCGTCTCTATGAAAAGTACAAAAAATAGCCAGGCATGGTGATGTGCATCTGTGGTCCCAGCTATTTGGGAGGCTGACCAGGGAGGATCACTTGGACCTGGGAAGCAGAGGTTGCAGTGAGCCAAGATCGTATCACTGCACTCAAGCATGGCTGACAGAGTGACACTCCATCTCAAAAAAGGAAAAAAAAAATTCCAGGACCATCTGTTATATACCTGAGCAAAAGAAATGTCTCTTTCAATGTCTAAGGTCCTGATGGCATGAATCCTAAACATGCAATTATTTTCCCAGAAAAATGACAGTAATACGTTCAAAATACACACAATTGTGAACCCCTAGCTATAGGTATTTAAAACACTGAAAGAGAGGCAGTGGTAGAAATGAGATCTGAGCAAATGTTTTCTTCATGAACACATGGACTCTGCTGGAACAAGGTTCTAAGTCAATCCAGCCCATCCTTCAACATCTGCAAAGAATATTATGGACCAGAGGAACTTGAGGAAAATGTTTACTTAGAGGCTCACAGCTCACCATTTAATCAGATGACATGAGGAAAGAAAATGGAGTAATAGGCTACTTGAACTAAATTTTGATGTTAGTGTAAAGAAAAAATTTCCTTGATATCTTTATTGAGTACACATTGAAACAACCTAAAATCATTTATCAGGTACCAGAAAATGTTTCCAATACATAATAAAGACTAGAATGCAGGCAGTGCTCAATCTAAACTGAACACAATAAATTTCAGAGAAAAACAATTTTAAAATGGTTAAAAAATATACATCTAATGAAATGTGAGGTCAAAGAAGAAAATTCAAAACACATATAATAGTTTGAAAATGATAATGTGATGTCGTAAGATTCTACCAAAGCTTATTTGAGAAGCAGTTATTTATTTTACTTTATTTTATTTTATTGAGACGGAGTCTCGCTCTGTTGCCCGGCTGGAATGCAGTTATGCGATCTCGGCTCACTGCAACCTCCACCTCCCGGATTCAAGCTATTCTCCTGCCTGTCTCCCCAGTAGCTGGAATTACAGGCAAGCATCACCATGCTCAGCTAATTTCAGTATTTCAGTTGAGATGAGGATTCACCATGTTGGCCAGGCTGGTCTCGAACTCCTGAAATTAGGTGATCCACCAGCCTTGGCCTCCAAACTGCTGGGATTACAGGTGTGAGCCACTGCACCAGGCCTATTTTTTTTTTTTTTTTTTAATTAAGAACAAGCTGGGTGTGGTGGCTCATGCCTGTAATCCCAAGACTTTGGGAGGCCGATGCGGCTGGATCCCTTAAGCCCTAGAGTTCGAGACCAGCCTGGGCAACATGGAGAAAGCCCGTCTCTATGAGGAACACAAAAATTTGCCCTATGCGGTGGCATGTAGCTGTGGTCCCAGCTACTCTGGAGGCTGAAGTGGGAGGATCCGTTGAACCCAGGAGGTTTATGCTGCGGTGAGCTCTGATCCTGTAACAGCTCTCCAACCTGGGTGTCAAAGTGAGACCCCATCTCCAATTAAAAAAAGAAGAAGAAGGAACCACTGGGTCCTGGGTCTAGGGGCAGGGAATCTAAGGCCAATTAACACGAACTTTTAAGTCCACGCCATCTGCTTCTGGGTCTGTGCCAATTAGGGCAGGACAAAAGCCAGGACTGGGGGGTGGAACCCCAGGAGGTGAGCCGGGCCTGAGCAAGGCCAGGAAGGGATGCAGATTAAGTGGGTGGGGCCTGAGTGAGGCCAGGGTGGGGCATGAAGGACAAGGGGCCTGGTGTGGGGGGGTGAGGGGGGAAGAGGCCTGGGCTGTGAGGGGTTCGCAGGGGAATGAAGGGGTCAGGGCCTGAGCTTCCCTCTATCTCACTCTCCGTGTTTCTGTTTTCCAGGTTTTGAAGGCGAAACCCACCAGTGAGGCTGGAACAGCTCAGGAGTCAGGGAAATAGTACCTCCCTGAGAAGTGAACATGGGGTGGTAATTAGATCCAGGAAAGTTCCTTACTATTGAAATTAATTTTAGCAATTTAATTCCAAAACCTCAAAGTTGTCTAGGGCAGGAATGCAAACTAGAATGCGAAATGCAAAGTCCTGCCTGAGCCAAATGTACAATTTTATGCTGACGGCCCACAGAACCAATTAGAAATCCTCTCCCTTTCTATTCTTCATTCACTGGGGTGGGAGAGTCCACCCTGTGCTCAGCTCCAGAGACTTTCCTAGAGCCACTGCCTGGGGTGGGGAGCAGAGGGCTCAGGCCAGGGAGGAGTGAGGTCACCACCTGCTGCTTAAACACAGCAGGGATGTGGGTGGGGTGGTGGGAGCCAGGAGTCCCAGCTACTCAGGAAGCAGGGGTAGGAGGATAGCTGAGCTGGGAAGTCCAGGCCAGCCTGGGCGACAAAGTAAGACCCTCTACCCCAGAGTTCCCTCCTCCGTCTCAATAAGAAAAAAAGTGATTAAAAAAAAAAGCACTGACCTTGTAACAGTGCATATAAATTGCCCAGTTGTTCCTTACATTTGTTATTTTATGCTGCACTTGTTAGATATGAGTTCTAAATTTCTCTTCAAAGAATCAATGTGTCAGTATGTGCAATTATTTGCCTTCTACTTTTAAACTTAACTTCCTCATAAAGCAACCTTTTTTAATCACCTGCTCCACCCTGAGTAATTCTCCAACCTGACTCATTCCATAATCATTTTTCCCACCAAACCACTCACCCCATCACTCTTTTTAAATTAGCCAATCGGAATTAGCTTAGCCTGTGCGGTCTAATCCTAGCCGATAGGGGAATGACACAGCAGCAGGGGCCTCATGCGTCTGGAGTAAGAACCCCTTCCTGTCCCTTGCCCAAGTGTGCACTCACCATTGCTCCATCTATGAGGACGCACCCTTCTATAGAAGTAAATTGCCTTGGCCATGTGCGGTGGCTCACACCTGTAATCCCCCCACTTTGGGAGGCTGAGGTGGGCAAATCACGAGGTCAGGAGATTGAGACCATCCTGGCTAACAGTGAAACCCCGTCTCTACTAAAAATACAAAAAAAAAAAATTAGCCGGGCATGGTGATGGGTGCCTGTAGTCCCAGCTACTTGGAAGGGTGAGGTGGGAGAATGGTGTGAACCCGGGAGGCGGAGCTTGCAGTGAGCCAAGATCGCACCACTGCACTCCAGCCTGGGCAACAGAGCAAGACTCCATCTCAAAAAAAAAAAAAAAGAAAGAGACAGAGAGTCAAAGAGAGAGAGAGAAAGAGACAGAGAGACAAAAAGGGAGTCAAAGAGAGAGGGAGAAAGAGACAGAGAGTCAGAAAAGAGAGAGAGAGAGTAGTAGTAGAGAGAAAACAGTATACCCTATTCCTTTAAAAGCCAGGGTAAATTTAAAACCTATAATTGATAATTGAAGGTCTTCTCCATGACCCTATAACACTCCAATACCACCCTGTTGTCAGTGTAAACAATGGCATATCCTGAAAGCACTGAGGCCACTGACAACCCATAGCTTACCTATCAAAAATCCTTAACCCAGTAAACCGCGGATGGCCCAAATGCATTCAATCTGTAGTGGCAACTGCTCAGCTAACAGAAGAAACAGAAAAATAACTTTTAGAGGAAACCTCATTGTGAGCACACCTCATCAAGGAAGAACTATCCTAAGTCAAAAAAAAAAAAAAAAAAAAAAGGCAAAATGGTAGCTTACTGACTCAAGAATCTTCAAGTATGAGGCTATTCTGGTAGAAAAAGATGATTTAACATTAACCACTGAAAATTCCATTAACCCAGCAGGTTTTCTAACAGGGGGTCTAAATCTTAATTATTTACCATGCAAAGGTCTGACCAGGCCTAGGAGGAACTCCCTTCCAGACAGGACTATACAGGGTTTCTCCCAGGTGACTGAGGGAAAAAGACATAATGGGTATTCAATAAGTGATAAAGAAACTCTTGCAGAAGCAGAGTTAGGAAAATTGCCTAATAATTGGACTGCTGAAATGTGCAAGCTGTTTGCACTCAGCCAAACTTTAAAGTAGTTACAGAATCAGGAAGGAGGCCACCTATACCACTTCTAAGTTAATATGGACTGAACAAGGTCTTATTAATAGCAAAGAATTGAAATCCCAAACTTACAACGTTTTCAACGAAAGTCAAGTTTGCTAAAAGTTAACATTGTAACATGTATTATCCTAACTTCTAATCTTGTGACCTTAGGCAGTCTAGTTCACAGACATGAAGGAAGTTCACTTTGGGAAAGAATGGTTATCATCTTTGAAAAAAAAAAAAAAAAAAAGGAGGAAGGAGAATTTATGTAAAAAGAATGTTATATGGTAAATTCTTGTCCTAAAATAAATCAAATGGTGGTTTAAAGAAAGGGATGTTTGCAACAATTCAGAAAGTTGAGGCATGTTGAAGAATTGTCTGTCAAAGTTGTGAAAAAAGAAAAGTTATAAGAGGGAATTTATGCAAGAAATGTCATATAATTTGAAAGTAATTAGTCCTCCTGATTGTAAAACTGTTGAAGAAACAGTTTATGTGCAAGTTGTGTAAGGAAAGTAAAATATACTTTTGGTAAAAGGATTATAGGGAGGCAGAAGAATGTGGATTTTTACCTACATTGAAAGATTAAAAAAATTTGTTTTAAAGGTTTAAGCAAGTTTCAAAATGTTAATTGTAAAGGAAATTCTGTGTGTAAACATACTGGCAAAAGTTAAAGGGGTAATATCCAGTTTTTCTGTGAACTGGATATTAAAATAAAAGCACAACCAGTTTTTCTTAAAGCACTAACATGCTCTTCAACAAAAATTATAAAAGGTTAAAGAGTCTATAAAAATCTTACCTTATGGTCAGACATTAACATTGGATAAATATGTCTACAAGGTTTTATTAAAATTAAGTTTAACATTAATAAAACACTAATATAAAGGTGAAATGTAGCTTATCTGGTATAAAAATCATACATGAAGTGTTAAATATAAAATGGTATTTGGCTTTCTTTGGTCTAAAAACTAATAAAAATAGGTGCTAAAGAAAATTTCTCAGCAAGAAGGCACCAAGGATTATAAAGTCCACTGCTGATGTCCCCACGTTTAAAACAAATGATAAATTTCTTAGAAATTATATACTTGGTTTATCCTCCACCTTCTCTTCCTTTAAAACAAGAGTCTCTCAGCACAGGCGCCAGCTTCGGAGTTTCCAGTACATCAGCATCGGCCTGGGGATGACGTTCTCATCAAAGGATGGAAAGAATGGAAACTCGAGCCAGCCTAGGAAGGACCCTATCTTGTGCTGCTAACCACTGAGACTGCTGTTCATACAGCAGAAAGGGAGGGACACATCACACCTGAGTCAAGCAGGTGCCATTATCATCAGAATCATGGGCCACTGTTCCTGGATCAAGCCCTACCAAATTAAAGCTAAGGAAAGCTTAGTCTATCTATCTTTTCCTTTCCTTTCCTTTCCCAGTGCTTATATCCATTACTATTCCTACCACTAGCAACTCTAACCCAACTTTAGAGCATTTCTATGGTTTAGGAGCAGAGGTCACTGGAAAGGATCCTATAGGCTTCTTTAGGGTGTGCTTTTTTCTCCCTCCTCCACCTCCTACAGCTGCCCCTTTCCCAAATCTATGAAATCAAACTATGACATGCCTCGTGCCAAATGACAAAAGCAAGTTCTCAGTAGTAGAAATAGGAGACCTAAGGCAAACCATAGCTATTGAAACAGGGTATAAAGATGTAAATGCCTGGCTAAAATGGATCAAATATTCCCTCTGCATGTTGAACAAAGGCAATTGTTATGCTTGTGCACATGGCAGGCCAGAGGCCCAGATTGTCCCCTTTCCACGAGGGCTGTCCTCCAGTAGACCAGGTGTGGGCTGGATGCTAGCTCTTTTCCAGGATTCTACATCCTGGGGTAACAAGTTATGCCAAGCTCTCTCTGTCTGCTATATCCCAAAGTTCGACACCCTGTGGGTCAGCCCTCCAGGGCCATCCAGCTTCCAACTCCCAACACTAAGTTCACTTTATGTCCCTCATGACAGGGAGGAAACTTAACATTCCTTGGAGACCTGAAGGGATGCAGAGAGCTTAAAATTTTTCAAAAGTTTACCAATCAGCCACTCTTTATTCATCCCTGAGCAGATGCATAGTGGTATTATGGTGGACCTTTACTGGACACTTTACTGAGTAACTGAAGTGGCACTTATGCTTTAGTCCAATTGGCTATCCCTTTCACCCTGGCATTTCATCAACCAGAGAAAGGAAAAATAAGACACCATAAAGCAAAAGAAGTCCCTTATGGGTCTTTTGACTCTCACGTCTATTTAGACACAATTAGAGTCCCATGGGGAAGACTAGATCAATTTAAAGCCCAAAATCAAATAGCTGCAGGATTTGAGTCAATGTTTTGGTGGGTGACAATTAATAAAATGTAAACTGGATAAACTAATCTATGACAACCAACAGCTATCTATTAATTACACTAGAGATGCTGTTAAAGGAATAGCTGAGCAATTAGGGGCTACCAGCCAGATGTCTTGGGAAAATGGGATAGCCTTTGACATGATATTAGCATAAAAAGGAAGAGTTTGCATCATAATTAAAACTCAGTGTTGTACCTTCATCCCAAACAACACTGCGCCCATTGAAAGTAAAACAAAGACATTGCAAGGTCTGACTGCTCTGTCCAATAAGTTAGTGAACAACTCAGGGGTAAATGACCCCTTTTCAGGATGGCTAGAAAAGTGGTTCGGTAGATGGAAAAGAATAGTAGCCTCAATTCTTACTTCCCTCACAGCCGTAATGGGTGTACTTATTCTTGTCAGGTGCTCTGTCACACCATGCATCCGTGGGTTGGTGCAGAGGCTCATAAAAATGGCAGTTACTAAAATCTCCCTTAACTATCCTCCACCTTATCCAAAGAAGCTTCTTCTTATTTTGGAAAATCAAACCGAATGACTAAGCCAAGACATGTTAAAGAAGTTTGAAGAGAAAGAGCTGTAAGGAAAATGCAAGAGAAGGGAATGTTAGATATGAGTTCTAAATTTCTTTTCAAAGAATCAATAAGTCAGTATGTTCAATTCTTTGCCTTCTACTTTTAAACTTAACTTCCTCATAAAGCAACCTTTTTCGATCACCTGCTCCACCCTGACTCATTCCAATCACCTGCTCCACCTTGACTCATTCTGATCACCTGCTCCACCCTGCCTCATTCCAATCACCTGCTCCACCTTGACTCATTCTGATCACCTGCCCCACCCTGACTCACTCCGATTACCTGCTCCACCCTGACTCATTCTCCACCCTCATTCCATAACATTTTTCCTGCCAAACCACTCACCTTGTCACTCTCTTTAAATTAGCCAATTGGAATTAGATTAGCCTGTGTGGTCTAACCCTCGCCAATAGGGGAATGACACAGCAGCAAGGGCCATGTGCATCAGAAATAACCCCTTCCCCTCCCTTGTTCAGGTACGCACTCACCATTGCTCCCTCTGTGAGGGCACAACCTTCTATATAAGTAAATTGCCTTTCTGAGAAGAAAAAAAGAAAATTTTATATTTGGTGCTATTTCTTTTGCAGCACCGAAACTTTATTTACAACACACTTAAAATGAGTTATATTTGTCATGGAAAAGAGTCAAACTCTGTAAAATATTTTAAAATATTTATTCTGCACTAAATATGAATAATCATGGCCCATGACACAACTCTCAGGAGGTCCTGAGAACATATGTCCAAGGTGATGGGGAACAGCTTCTTCTTAGACATTTTAGGGAGGCATTAGACATCAATCAAATACATTTAAAAGATGCATTAATTTTGTTCAGAAAGGTGGGACAACTCAAAGTGGGAGCTTCCAGGCTACAGGTAAATTTAAACATTTTCTGATTAGAATTGGTTGAGTTTGTCTAAATACCTGGGATCAATAGAGAGGAAATGTTCAGGTTAAGATAAAAGATGTTGGAGACCAAGGTTCTTTTGAAGTCCTCTGCTGGCTGCCTTCAGAGAAAATAGATGATGAATGTTTTTTATTCAGACCTTTAAAAGGTGTTAGATTTTTAGTTATTCTCTTCAGGATTGGTAGGGCCTAGAAGAAAAAGATCTAGCTATGTTAACAGAGATTCTTTGCAGACGCACATGAACCCCTCACAAACGATACCTTTGAAGGACCATTTCAAAATATGGCACAGAAACATGTTTTGAGGTCAAATATTTTGACTTTCTTCTTTGCCATATGTTTTGTGGTTTGTAAGGCATGACCCCCTAGACTCTTTACATAGGAATTTGGACAAGATAAAAAAATCAGAGCTTACACCTCATTCTCAAATACTTTTTTTTACAGTTCTTCCCTGCAATATAACTACTTTTACGATAAATGTTGTTGACAACATAATATGCTAACATCAATAATTTATAAATGTATTGTAATATTAAATTCACTCTATGTGCCTTCTGAAAAAATTAGAAAATGTACCTTTTATCTTCAAGTTGTACTTTTTTTTTTTCCTTCAGACAGGACCTAGTTCTGTCACCCCGGCTGGAATGCAGTGGCAGGAACACTGCTCCTTGCACCCTCAACCTCTGGTGCTCAAGCAATCCTCCCGCCACACCTCCCAACTAGCTGGAGCTGCAGGCCCTCACCACCAAGCCTGGCTAATTTGTTAGTACTTTGTAGAGGGGTGGTCCCACTATGATGCTCAGGCTAGCCTTCAACTCCTGGACTCAAGCGATCAACCCACCTTTGCTTCCCAAAGTGTTGGGGTTACAGGCAAGCCACCACACCCATCCAATTGCAATCTATTTTAGGTGTTTTCTTTGTTATTCTCTCCTGAGTGTTCTATCAGGTGGGAATAACAAAGGCTATAAAATATGCAGTCTTTAAATGTTAGGATTTATTTTCATATAGAGAAAGATCATGAAATATTACTAAGAATACATTGCAGTCAAGTTATTCCGTTTTACTTGGGCCCTGAAAAAATATAACTAAGTTATAAAATTGGCTGGGCACATTGACTCACACCTGTAATCCCAGCACTTTGGGAGGTCGAGGCAGGTGGATGACCCAGAGGTCAGGAGATTGAGACTAGCCTGGCTAACATGGTGAAACCCCATCTGTACTAAAAATACAACAATTAGCTGGGTAAGGTGGCACAAAACTGTAATCTCAGCTACTCAGGAGATTGAGGCAGGAGAATCTCTTGAATCCAGGAGGCAGAGGTTGCAGTGAGCAAAGATCTCACCACAGCTCTCCAGCCTGAGCAAAAGAGTGAGATTCTGTCTCAAAAAAATAAAAATAAAAATAAAATGAAATTATAAATCACCTCATTTCTGCATGTAATACTTTTATGACTATATCTGTAAGTTAACATGTACTATGAACTATGTTTTTCTCCCACATCCCTAGCTATGGAAGAATTCATCTATCAAACACTAGTAATTAGCTAAAATATGATTACATTTAGAAGGGAAATTAGCATATCTAGAATATTAGCAAGTTTAAAAAAGCATAATGTCGTCAGGCATGGTGGCTTGTGCCTGTAATCCGAGCATGATGGGAGGCTGAGGCAGGAGGATGGCTAGTGCCCAACAGTTGGAGTCCAGCCTAGGCAACATAGCACCTCATCTTTATGTTTTAAAAATTAATTAAGTTACTTATTTATTTTTGAGATTGAGTTTGGTTCTTGTTGCCTAGGCTGGGGTGCAATGGCACGGTCTCGGCTCACTGCAACATCTGCCTCCTGGGTTCAAATGATTCTCTTGCCTCAGCCTCCCAGGTAGCTGGGATTATTGGTGCTCGCCATCATGCTGGGTTAATTTTTGTATTTTTAGTAGAGACGGGGTTTCACCGTGTTGGCCAGGCTGGTCTCCAAATCCTGACCTTCCAAAGTGCTGGGATTACAGACATGAGCCACCGTGCATGGCAAAAAAGTTTATTTTAATCAGAAATAATTAATAAATAGAACATGATAATGGGTACAAAAAATAGAATAAGACCTATTATTTCATAACACAACAGAATGACTGTAGTCAATGATTAAATTGTACATATAAAAATGGGGATGGCCAGGTGTGGTGGCTCAAACCTATAAGCCCTGTCTCTACCAAAAATACAAAAAAAACTGGATGTGAGCCTGTAATCCCAGCTACTCAGGAGACTGAGGCATGAGAATCACTTAAACCCAGGGAGCAGAGGTTGCAGTGAGTGGAGATTGCACCACTGCATTCCAGACTGTGCGAAAGAGCTGGACTCCATCTCAAAAAACTAAACAAATGGCTGGGCACAGTGGCTCATGCTTGAATCCCAGCACTTTGGGAGCCAAGATGGGTGGATCCCCTGAGGTCAAGAGTTCGAGACCAGCCTGACCAACATGGTATAACCCTGTCTCTAAAAAAATACAAAATTAGCCGAGGGTGATGGCGCATGCCTGTAATCTCAGATATTCAGGAGGCTGTGGCAGGAGAATCATTTGAGCCAAGAAGGCAGAGGTTGCAGTGAGCTGAGATCGCACCACTACACTCCAGGGTACACAAGAAGAGTGTAACTCCATCACACACACACACACACACAAAATGCTATAAACAGAACATCAGAAAAAAAATATAGAAAGTCACATGTATTTAAAAACCTTAAGCTTTTGAAAGCTGTTTTCCCAAGTAATCAAAAATGAGCCAATAACGATGCAAATATTATCTTTTTGTTTTTTGTTTTTTCTGGAGACAGAGATCATGCAACTGCACTCTAGCCTGGGTGACAGAGTGAGACTCCAACTCAAAAAAATAAATAAATAAAAAATTATTAGGCCAGGAGCAGTGGCTCTTTGGGAGGCTGAGGTGGGCCAATCACCTCAGGTCAAAAGTTCGAGACCAGCCTGGTCAACATGGTGCAACCCTATCTCTACTAAAAATACAAAAAATTAACCGGGCCTGGTGGTGTGTGCCTGTAATCCCAGCTACTAGGGAGGCTGAGGCAGGAGAATTGGTTGAAGCTGAGAGGTGGAGGCCGCAGTGAGTCGAGATCATGCCACTGCCCTGCAGCCTGGGTAACAGAGTGAGACTCCATCTCAAAAAAAAAAAAAAAAAAAAAAATTACCAATGTCAACTGAACTTGGAAAGCACCACACATTTGCACACTCACACAGACACAACCCTCTGATATGGCTCTAGACCAAATCCACAGGTTAAAAAGCCCTCAAATGAACTCTTGGGCCTTAAGCCTTTCAAAAGATCACCTGTTTCCTGTGAGGTTGGGGCTGTGGCCCTGATGTGTGAAGACTTAGGACCATCCTGTCATCATAGAAACCCTAAACAAAATAAAGAAGGAAATTTACCTCAACAATATAAAAGACCATCCATGAAATGACCACAGCTGAAATAACCAATCAGGAAAAATTGAATGCTTTTCCTGTAGGATCTCACATGATGCTAGAACGTTCTCACCCTTTCTATTCAATCAATACTGACTGTCCTAGCCAGAGCAATGAAATAGCAAAAGAAATCAAACTCATCCAAATCAGAAAGAAATAAATAAAATTTTATTTGTTTGTAGATGACACGATCCTCTGTGTAGAAAGTCACAAAGACTCAACCAAAATACAAGTGGAACTAATAAACATTCAGTGGATTTGCAGAGTACAATATTAGCACCAAAATTAGTTGAATTTCCATGCAATAACAGTAAAAAATTTTAAAAGGAAATTAAGAAAACACTTCCATTTTCTAGAGAATTTAAACTAAGATATACTTAGGAATAAACGTAAAAATGCGAGAAGTTTCTACCTTGAAATCTATGAACATTGATCAAAATGATTAAAAACATAGAGATACAACCAATATTGATAGATTGGAAAACTTAATCTCGTTAAATGATTATACAACCCAAGATGATTTAGATTTAACACAACGCCCATACAAATCCCTATCAGTTTTTGTCAAAGAAACAAAAAACCGGCTGGGAAAAGTGGCTAACCTCTGTTGGCCAGGCTGGTCTAAAACTTCTGACATCAAGTGATCTACCCACCTTGGGCTCCCAAAGTGCTGGGATTACAGGCATGAGCCACCACGGCCAGCTACTCTAAGCTATTTCTGACAAGACAGTGAAATGAGTGACACAGGAAAAGGGGCATCTAATCACCAATGTCACTGAAGGCTGACAAATCTTATTAAACAAAGGAAGTTCAGAATCTGTACTATAAAGCTTGCGTTACTTGAAGCCATCTAATAGCATTAACTTGTTTTAAAAACCTGGGGGCAAATTAACATTACTTCTCAAATAAGGACACCAGGCCCACAGTGTTCATGTACTTCACCCCAATTTGCATGTACGGTAAGTGAGGGACAAGACTTGATCCTAGGCCTGAAGGATCCCACGACATGTACTTAAGCACAATAGTATGCCCAGGCAGTACAGGAAATGACCAGTCACAGAAAATACAAGAACAGAAAGAAATATATCAAGGGGGATACAAGGGCTGAGCTGGGACACAAGCGCTGAGCTGCGCTGCTGACAGTGGTTCTGAAGCCATCCCTCATGGATCATGTGCTGAGTCATCATACCCTGCACACACTGATTTAAGCGGCCTCCTATAATTTTGTCCAGTGGATGAACAAGGTCTTGACTTACTCAGTGAGAGTGGTGTTGGAGGGGATGGGCTCACGGGGAAATTGGGGTGTTCAGCATTACAAAATCGATAGGCTGAAAAGAAACAGTATTTGCATCCAGATCAATGTACCATGTGATGCAAGGCCAGGAAAGGAAGGGCAAGGGTGGAGGGCAGAAGTAATGGGCATGTAGGAGTGAATTTTGTGCATGCATGTCTGTGGGAATATAATTCCACTAGGATAGACCAAATCTTGAGCTTGGACGAAAGTGGAACTAATTTAGCAAATGGTAAAATATTGACCAGAGGTTAACTATACAAATTACAATATGGGCAAAGGACAAGAATGAACGACATTCAGGCCAGGTGCAGTGGCTCATGCTTGTAATCCCACCACTTTGGGAGGCCGATGCAGGCAGATCATGAGGTCAGGAGTTCAGGACAGCCTGACCAACATGGTGAAACCCTGTCTCTACTAACAATACAGCTCTCGCTCTCCCTCTCCCTCTCCCGCTCACTGCAACCTCCCTGCCTGATTCTCCTGCCTCAGCCTGCTGAGTGCCTGCAATTGCAGGCGCGCGCCGCCACGCCTGACTGGTTTTCGTATTTTTTTGGTGGAGACGGGGTTTCGCTGTGTTGGTTGGGCTGGTCTCCAGCTCCTAACCGTGAGTGATCTGCCAGCCTCGGCCTCCCGAGGTGCCGGGATTGCAGACGGAGTCTCGTTCACTCAGTGCTCAATGGTGCCCAGGCTGGAGTGCAGTGGCCTGATCTCGGCTCACTACAACCTCCACCTCCCAGCCGCCTGCCTTGGCCTCCCAAAGTGCCGAGATTGCAGCCTCTGCCCGGCCGCCACCCCGTCTGGGAAGTGAGGAGCGTCTCTGCCTGGCCGCCCATGTCTGGGATGTGAGGAGCCTGCCCCGGCCCGGCTAGCCTCCCCGTCCGGGAGGGAGGTGGGGGGCAGCCCCCGCCCGGCCAGCCGCCCCGTCTGGGAGGGAGGTGGGGGGCGCCTCTGCCCGGCCGCCCCTACTGGGAAGTGAGGAGCCCCTCTGCCTGGCCACCACCCCGTCTGGGAGGTGTGCCCAACAGCTCATTGAGAACGGGCCAGGATGACAATGGCGGCTTTGTGGAATAGAAAGCGGGGAAAGGTGGGGAAAAGATTGAGAAATCGGATGGTTGCCGTGTCTGTGTAGAAAGAAGTAGACATGGGAGACTTTTCATTTTGTTCTGCACTAAGAAAAATTCCTCTGCCTTGGGATCCTGTTGATCTGTGACCTTACCCCCAACCCGGTGCTCTCTGAAACATGTGCTGTGTCCACTCAGGGTTAAATGGATTAAGGGTGGTGCAAGATGTGCTTTGTTAAACAGATGCTTGAAGGCAGCATGCTCCTTAAGAGTCATCACCACTCCCTAATCTCAAGTAATCAGGGACACAAACACTGCGGAAGGCCGCAGGGTCCTCTGCCTAGGAAAACCAGAGACCTTTGTTCACTTGTTTATCTGCTGACCTTCCCTCCACTGTTGTCCTATGACCCTGCCAAATCCCCCTCTGTGAGAAACACCCAAGAATGATCAATTAAAAAAAAAAAGAAAAAAAGAAAAAAAAATAAAGGAAGAAGATACAATCAAAAAAACAAAAACAAAAACAAAACAATCAAAATCAGCCTGCAGTTCACACCACAAAGCATGAGTGAGACTGGGCTGGAAGTTGGTGAGGGGCATTTTGCTTTTGAATATTAAAGACAGACAAATTGAGAAGTAAAAAAAAAAAAAAAAAAAAAAAACAAAAATTAGCCGGGTGTGGTGGTGCATGCCTGTAATCCCAGCTACTCAGGAGGCTGAGGCAGGAGAATTGCTTGAACCCTGGCAGTGGAGGTTGCAGTGAGCTGAGATGTGGCCACTTCACACCAGCATGGGTGACAGAGTGAGACTCTGTCTCAAAAAGAAAAAAAGAAAAAGAGATCCAAAAAATCAGCAGTATGGCGGTCTGAGGTAAAAGCAGTTTTACGTCTCTTAAATTAAATGGCCTCTGATTTCCAGTGTCAAATGAATACTCAACAAAATCCCCCTTGTAGATTGCAGAATTGTGTATACACATGAAAAAATGAGTAAACTCTATGAAGAGTACAGCAATGGGGGAGACCACAGGCGTGAAGAATGATCCCTAGCTGAGTAGGTAGAGATCGGTTTGTGAAAAAAGAGCCAGGCCAGAGGGGATGGCTCATGCCTGTAGTCCCAACACTTTGGGAAGTGGAGGTGG
Organism: Homo sapiens; assembly: GCF_000001405.40. Lineage (NCBI taxonomy): Eukaryota > Metazoa > Chordata > Mammalia > Primates > Hominidae > Homo > Homo sapiens. Next base: position 52,677,807 of record NC_000019.10, read on the forward strand.
GTGGATCATGAGGTCAGGAGTTCAAGACCAGCCTGACTAGCATGCTGAAACCCCATCTCTACTAAAAAAATACAAAACATTAGCTGGGCATGGTGGCACGTGCCCATCATCCCAGCTGCTCGGGAGGCTGAGGCAGGAGAATTGCTTGAACCTGGGAGTCGGAGGTTGCAGTGAGCCAAGATTGCACCACTGCACTACAACCTGGGTGACAGAGTGAGACTGTCTCAAAAAACAAAACAAAACAAAAAACAAAACAAAACAGACCCAGATGGAGATTGTTGCCTACATGTGTGATTGGTCAAATTAGTGAAGAAAAACAATAATGCGCTAACTAAAATGGTTGCATATGAAAATTAGAGGATAAGGCCAGGCTCGGTGGCTCAAGCCTGTAATCCTAGCACTTTGGGAGGTCGAGGCAGGTAGATCACAAGATCAGTAGTTCAAGACCAGACTGGCCAAGATGGTGAAACCCCGTCTTACTAAAAATATAAAAATTAGCCAGGCATGGTGGCAGGCGCCTATAATCCCAGTTACTTGGGAGGCTGAGGCAGGAGAATCACTTGAACCTGGGGGACAGAGGTTGCAGTGAGCTGAGATTGCACCATTGCACTCCAGCCTGGGTGACAGAGCGAGACTTCATCTCAAAAAAAAAAAAAAAGAAAAAAGAAAAAAAAACTGGAGGGTAAATCTTGTTTCTTATGTAAAAACAAGGGTGTCTCTTTTCCTGGTTCCTATATTATTTGAAGTCATATCCCTGGACTTTTAAACACAATCTCTGGAATAAATGAGACATGAAAAGTGAAGGTGACAGACTAGCAAATGCCAGGCCCTCATATCCTCATGGAGACACCAACTCAACAAAAATGTTTCATCAAAAATATCTTTGTAGGCCAGGCATGGCTCATGCCTGTAATCCCAGTACTTTGGGAGACCAAGGTGGGTGTATCACCTGAGGTAAAGAGTTCAAGACCAGCCTGGCCAACATAGTGAAAACCTGTCTCTACTAAAAATACAAAAATTAAGCCAAGTGTGGTGGTACATGCCTGTAATCCCAGCTACTCAGGAGGCTGAGGCAGGAGAATCACTTGAACCCAGGAGGCCAAGGTTGCAGTGAGCTGAGATCACACAACTGCCTCCACCCTGGGTGACAGAGCAAGACTCCATCTCAAAAAAAAAAAAAAGAAATGAACACTAAAATATAGGGATTTCATTCAACCTCACAAGCTCCCTTAATAAGATTGATGAAAACCATATCTGTTACAGGGTTGATTCTACAACAAATTGAACAAAGGTTTTCTTGTTAAAAATGAACAGTGACACATATTGGTGTGAAAAATGTGAAATGAACAACAGTTCAGTCAAGAGCCTCATAGGAGGCTGTGAGCCCAAATGACATCCTCAGTAGGAGGAATTTTAACACCACTGACTGCTGCTTAGAGAAGACGATCATTAGTTTATGGGATGAACATTGCCACAGTGCCACTGAGAGAAGCTTCTATGATGCTCCTCAAAAACCAGAATGGCTCAGGCATGGTGGCTCATGCCTGTAATCCCAGCACTTTGGGAAGCCAAGGTGGGTGGGTCACCTGTGGTCAGGAGTTCAAGACAAGCTTGGGCACCAAGATGAAACTCCGACTCTACTAAAAATACAAAAACTGGCCAGGTATGGTGGAGCATGCTTATAAGCCCTGCTACAAGGGAGGCTCAGGCAGGAGAATTGCTTGAACCCAGAAGGTGGAGGTTGCAATGAGCACAGATTGCACCACTGCACTCCAGCATGGGTGACAGAGGGAGACTGTATCTCAAAAAATAAATAAATAAAAGAAAGCATGACAGCTGGAAACACTTATCAGTCAGTGTGATGCTTTCTATCTCATAACCTGGTCCACGCTGACAATTCTGCTCAGGGTTTCCAGGGCGCCTCTGCCTAGAGCAGGATGATGTTCAATCATAACAGTCAAAGTGTTCTTCATGAATTTTCTGTTTTTATGCAAACTCACTCCATAGGGGAGTGCCTAACAAGCTATCCATGACTGATAGGAGGGTCATCACTGCAGAAAACAATGACACGTACATCAAAAGCATGTATGGGGGCTGGGCACAGTGGCTCACACCTGTAAGCCCAGCACTTTGAGAGGCTGAGGCGGGTGGATCACCTGAGGTTGGGGTTCGAGACCAGACTGACCAACATGGAGAAGTCCTGTCGCTACTAAAAATACAAAATTAGCCAGGCGTAGTGGCACATGCTGGTAATCCCAGCTACTTGAGAGGCTGAAGGAGGAGAATTGCTTGAACCTTGGAGACAGAGGTTGTGGTAAGAAGAGATCACACCACTGCACTCCACCCTGGACAACAAGAGGGAAACTGTCTCAAAAACAAACAAACAAGAAAGCAGGCATGGGGCAAAATCACAAAACAGAACACATAACCAGGCAGAGCCAAGATAGACAAGAGCAGATTTCTCATGTTTGCAGGGACATTTTCATCACCCACAGACTCTAGGTACCTGTAGCTCTCCCACATCACTTCCCTGTATAAAGCCCTCTGCGCAGGGTTCAGGCATTTCCACTCCTCCAAAGAGAATTCTATAGCCACATCCCTGAAAGTAAAATGTCCCTAAAATGAAACACACATTTCCACAAAACATCATGGAGGAGTCAGTTATCACCTTCCCACAAAATGAGAAAAGAGAAAATAAGTACTAATTTGATCAAAGACTGTGTTCTGACAAACCCACGTTAAGGTATTTTGGCACATTTTTTCTCCACAGTTGTGTTTTATTGTACTTTTCCACAAAATATTTTTTTTTTTTTTTTTTTTTTTTGAGACGGAGTCTCGCTCTGTCGCCCAGGCTGGAGTGCAGTGGCGCGATCTCGGCTCACTGCAAGCTCCGCCTCCCGGGTTCACGCCATTCTCCTGCCTCAGCCTCCCGAGTAACTGGGACTACAGGCGCCCGCCACTACGCCCGGCTAATTTTTTGTATTTTTAGTAGAGACGGGGTTTCACCGTGTTAGCCAGGATGGTCTCGATCTCCTGACCTCGTGATCCGCCCGCCTCGGCCTCCCAAAGTGCTGGGATTACAGGCGTGAGCCACCGCGCCCGGCCTCCACAAAATATTTTAAGATCCCTTAAGTCACTGTGGATGTCTCGGTTTTATGGACAATGTAAAAAATATACAAATAAAAAGGAAACACAGGGCTTGGTGTGGTGGCTCATGCCTGTAATCAAAACACTTTGGGAGGCCAAGCCGGGCAGATCATTTGAGGTCAAGAGTTGGAAACCAGCCTGGCCAACATGGTAAAACCTCTTCTCTACTAAAAATATAAAAAGTAGCCAGGCATGGTGGCAGGCACCTGTAATCCCAGCTACACAGGAAGCTGAGGTAGGAGAATCTCGAGCCCAGGAGACGGAGGCTGCAGTGAGTTGAGATCACACCACTGCACTCCAGCCTGGGTGACAGAGTGAGACTTTCTCAAAAAAAAAAAAAAAAAAAAAGCAAACGAACATAGAGTTTTCTCTACAGATAGTATGTTCAACATAACAGGTGATATTCATTACCTAGATGAGCTGAAATACAAGTGGTGTCTAGAGAGGACAAAGTCCAATGAATTTGATAGAAAAGAAAAGAGAGTAAAGTCCAAAACTGAAAACTGTTGTGATGACAGCAATAGCCATGAATAACATTTTTGAATGCTTCCCATGTGCTATACACTGTTCTAAGTGCTTCCCATGTCTTAAGCCATAAAATAACATACTGTCCCATGAAGAAAGATCTGTACTTGGAGACAAGTGCATCACACATACTAGGAAAATTACCACAAATCAAATAGCTAAAAATGTCAACACAAGCACTGAATCCAGATGTCTGGGATTCAGATTTGAATATAACCACCTAAGTAAAAGATACAGCTTCAAAACTAAACTGACACAGGTTTATCTAATGGAGAGAACATGAAATAGGTTCAAGGGTAAGAACATGGAGCATCCTACAAGGTCATTGAATGGACACACAGGGCATGAATATAATACTGTACAATCCTTCTTACTATTTTTCCTTTTAAGACAGAGTCTCACTCTGTCAACCAGCCTGAAGTGCAGTGGCACAATCTCAGCTCACTGCAACCTCGTTTGCCCAGGTCTAAGCAATTCTCCTGCCTCAGCCTCCCAAGTAGCTGGGATTACAGGCACCTGCCACCACACCCAGCTAATTTTTGTATTTTTAGTAGAGACGAGGTTTCACCATCTTGGCCAGGCTGGTATTGAATTCCCGACCTCATGATTCACCCTCTTCAGCCTCCCAAAGTGCTGGGATTACGGGCATGAGCCACCGTGCCTGGCCTGTTTTTACTATTAACTCATTATTGTGATAGTTGACAACAATGAAAAATACTTAAAATTATTAAAATTATAAAAAAAAAACTTATTGCAAATGATGTGTTTTCTACGTAACCATGGACTTATCCATCCATGTATTCTCCCAAGATGGGAGGATCCCTAGAGGTCAGTAGATCAAGGCTATAGTGAGCTATGATTGCACCACTGCACTTCACCCTGGACAGAATAAAAATACAATATAAAAAATAATTCTGGAAGTGGTGGCTCATGCCTGAAATCCCAACACTTTGGGAGGCTGAGGTGGGCAGATCACAAGGTCAGGAGTTCAAGACCAGCCTGGCCAACATGGTGAAACTCCATCTCTACTAAAAACACAAAAATTACCCAGGCATGGCAGTGCATACCTGTAGTCCCAGCTACTCAGGAGGCTGAGGCAGAATTGCTTGAACCCAGGAGTCAGAGGTTGCACTGAGCTGAGATTGCACCACTGCTCTCCAGCCTAGGCAACAAAGCGAGACTCCATCTCAAAAAACAAGAAAAAGAAAAAGAAAAAGAAAAAGAAAAAGAAAAAGAAAAGATGTAGCTATGTGTGGTGACACATGCCTATCCTTCTAGCTCTTTGGGAGGCTAAAATGGGGATCACTTGAGCCCAGGAGTTCAAGGCTGCTGTAAACTAGAATTTTGCCATTGTACTCCAGACCTGGGCCACAGAGCGACACCTTCTCTCTCTGTCTCTCTTTTTTTTTCTAGATGGAGTCTCTCTCTGTTGCCCAGGCTGGAGTACAGTGGCACCATCTCGGATTACTGCAACCTCCACCTTCCGGGTTCAAGTGATTCTCCTGTCTCAGCCTTTTGAGTAGCTGAGATTATAGGCATGTGCCACCACACCCAGCTAATTTTTGTATTTTTAGTAGAGATGAGGTTTCACCATGTTGGCCAGCTGCTCTCAAACTCCTGACTTCAAGTGATCCACCCGCCTTGGCCTCCCAAAGTGCTGGCATTACAGGGGTGAGCCACCACAGCCAGCCCCACATTTACATTATGGCATCTTGACTTGATCCTCAGCTCCTCAGCTGCCCTGTGACTCTGTGTGTGTGTGTGTGTGTGTGTGTGTGTGTGTGTGTGTGTGTGTGTGTGTGTATGCTCACGTGTTGTGACAGGCAAGGAAAAGCCAGTAGAGCATCATCGCCACTGGCCTGGCAGGAGGAGGTGGCCCTCGGGCTGCAGTTCACTGTGCTGTTTGCACTCTGATTCTTGGAAGAATCTTTCCTGAAGTCACGGAGCCTCCAGCTCCTCCGGAACAGAACTAGTTGTGTAGGAGTGTGTCCTTCATGCCCCTCAGGTCCCTGACCTTCTCCCCACCCTTCCTGAAGGGAATCCAAAGGGAAGGGCAAAGTCCCTGCCCATAATGGCCAAACTGGGTCCTGGTGATGTGCAGAGCATGGAAGACCTGGGAGCTGGAGTGAGGCAGTTCACACAGATGACAAAAATGGAGATGCCTCAGGACTGGCTGAAGATGCAGGGTCTGGTCTGTAGGGCTTTTCTGACCTTAGAGAGGCCTTCTCCTCTTATTTTGACTAAAACAAATTGCCACAGGAAGTTTAGATCAATTAGAGTTGAAATTTCCAGAAGAAATGTGGGAACATCCTCACATTTGCCCCAGCCCCTCAGTCTTCCGAGGACACCTCAGCATCTAAACTGCAACCCCAGAGTAGGTGCTGCTGTTGTCCTGTGGCCAAGATGGTAATTGTGCATCCTTCAAGTAAGGGAGACACAACACACAAAGTAATCCATGCAGAAGGGTGTTTCTGGGCGGGCACAGTGACTCCCGTCTGCAATTCCAGTACACCGGGAGACCAAGGCAGGTGGATCACCTGAGGTCACGAGTTTGAGATTAGCCATGCCAACATGGTGAAACCCTGTCTCTACTAAAAATACAAAAATTGAGCTGGGTGCAGGGCTCATGCCTGTAATCCTAGCACTCTGGGAGGCCGAGGCTGGTGGATCACTTGAGGTCAGGAGTTTGAGACCAGCCTGGCCAACATCGTGAAACTGCATCTCTACTAAAAACATAAAAAGTAGCCTGGCTTGGTGGGCATCTGTAATCCCAGCTACTCGGGAGGCTGAGGCAGGAGAATTGCTTGAACTCTGGTGGTGGAGGTTGTAGTGAGCCGAGATCACACCACTACACTCCAGCCTGGGTGACAGAGTGAGACTCAAAAATAAAATATAATAAAATAAAAATAAAAATACAAAAATTAACCAGGTGTGGTGGCACACCCCTATAATCCCAGCTACTTGGGAGGCTGAGGCACAAGAATCACTTGAAGCTAGGAGACAGAGATTGCAGTGAGCCAAGATCACAAGAGTGCACTCATAGTTTGGACAATAGAGTGAGACTCTGTCTAAAAAAAGAAAAAAAAAGGAAAGAAAGAAAAAGTGCTTCTGATATGATTGATGCAGAGATAATAAAACCTGAGTAACGTGATAGAGACTGGTGGGCAGAGGGAACTTCAGATGTGGGTGGGAGGGCATGGGAGACAGCTCTGAGCCTAGAACTGAAGGAGGAGAAAGGGACAATGCAGTGATCATTTAGGGACATAGGGTAAGAGCAGGGACAATGACCTGAGACAGAAAAGGTTTTGGTGTTTGGGAAAAAAAAAATGTGACTGGGGCAGAGGGAGTCATGAGATGAGGGCAAGCTCCCAGGAGGCTGGACACTGGCAGGGGCCCTGGACACAGGGCTGTGGAGCCACAGTGAGGAGTTGGGCTTTTGTCCTGGGGAACACGGGAAGCCGGTGGAGGGTTCCCTGCCAGGCACTGACATGACCTGCTTTAGATTTGGCTGTGATGTCCTCATACAGAGAAAGGCCCCGAAGATGGTCTCTGTGTCTGAGTCTACCGCTCTGTTTCTTCCATTCTTCTGCTTTTCTTCATTTTTGGGGTACTGCATCCCATTTAAAATTCTAGTTACAACTGGGCACTCCCCTCTCCCAGAAGAAAAGCCACACCCAGACACCCACTCTATTTTGCCAATCATTTCAGGGGCCAGGGTCACTCAGGGTGAGCTTTTCTGGTCTAGCCCCTCATCTCCAAGTTGCAGGGACGCTCACTGGGCTCAGAGCGGGGACATTTTCACCGAGTTACCCTGAGAAGATCTGAGATGAGTGAGAAGGTGTGTCTGAATTCTTACATGGGGGCCTGGAAGGGCTAACGGGAAGGGTTGGTCTTTATCACCCCTATCCTTGAAAATTACAGAAGCATCTTTCAAATACCTGGGCTAAAGAAACTTCCTTTACAAAGTTCTGATGCCACTGATTCCTGACATTTAATTCTTCCTTAAAAAAAAATCACAGTCACATTCATAAAATGCAGAAGTGTGAACACACAGTAATTGACCTTGAAAACAGGGAAAGAAAGTCAGCTGTAGAACTAAGACGTAAGCGAACTGTTTCAATCAAGAATATATGGGTGGTCAGGCACGGTAGCTCTTGCCTGTAATCCCAGCACATTGGGAGGTCGAGGTGGGCAGATCACCTGAGGTCAGGAGCTCGAGACCAGCCTGGCAAACATGGTGAAACCTTGTCTCTACTAAAAATACAAAAAATGAGCCAGGCATGGTGGCAGGCAACTGTAATCCCAGCTACTCAGGAGGCTGAAGCAGGAGAATCACTTAAATCCTGGAGGCAAATGTTTCTGCAAGCTGAGATGGCACCATTGCACTTCCAGCCTGGGGAACAAGAGTGTAACTGTCACAAAAAAAAAAAAAAAAAAAAAAAAAAAAATACAGGAGTGCTTCTGGAACAGCATTCCATGCCAATCCAACCCATCTTTCAACATTTGTCCAAACGCACCAGAGGGCCTTGAGGGAAACATGAACTTAATAGCTCCCAGCTCAAGATTTTAACAAATGACATAAGGAAAGAAAACTGAAAAATAGACTAACTGGTTAAACTGCATTTTGATGTTAAGGTAAAAGGTCACTGACATCTTTACCAGGTACACACTGAAACAATCAAACTTCTGTATGAGGTACCAAAGTTTTCCAATAAATAATAAAAACTAGAAAGCATGCAGACCTCGATCTGAACTGGATGCAACTAATTTCAAACCGAAACTATTTTTAAATTGTTTTAAAAAAAAATCTAACAAACTCTGAGGTCAACGGGAACTTAACTGGAACATATACATGTACAGAAAGGAATGATGTGAGCTGGTTATAGGATGCCACAAAGCCATCTTTCAGAAGTGATTAAGTATTAAAAAAGATACTCTTAAAACTAAGATTTTTCTCAAACTCCAACTGCAAAAAAATTACATATATATATATATATATATATAAATAAATGAGAAACCAGAAAGAAAAAAAAAAAGAAATCTATTACACAACAAGAACAAAAGCACTTTTGATACCCCTTTTATTTTTTATTTTTTGTTTGTTTGTTTTTCTGAGATGGAGACTCGCTATGCCACCCAGGCTGCAGTGCAGCAACATGATTTCAGCTCACTGCAACCTCTACCTCCCAGGTTCAAGTGATTGTGTACCTCATCTTCCTGGGCAGCTGGAACTACAGGTGCACGCCACCATGCCTGGCTAAGTTTTGTATTTTTCATAGAGACGGCGTTTCACCATGTTGGCCAGGCTGCTCTTGAACTCCTGACCTTACGTGATTCTCTCACCTCGGTCTCCCAAAGTGCTGGGATTACAGGCATGAGATACCACACCTGGCTTTGATGTCCATTTTAGAAAGTACTATGGGCTGGGTGCAGTGGCTCACATCTGTAATCCCAGCACTTTGGGAGATCGAGGTGAGCAGATCACCTGAGGTCAGGAGTTTGAGACCAGCCTCTCTAACATGGAGAAACCCTGTCTCTACTAAAAATACAAAATTGGCCCAGAGTGGTGGCGCATGCCTGTAATCCCAACTACTCAGGAGGCTAAGGCAGGAGAATTGCTTGAACCCAGAAAGCAGAGGTTGCACTAAGCTGAGATTGCAACATTGCCCTCCAGCCTGAGCAACAAGAGTAAAACTCCATCTCAAAAAAAAAAAAAAAAGTACTATGTAGGCCAGGCGCAGTGCCTCAACCCTGTAATCCCAGTACTTTGGGAGGTCAAAGCAGGAGGATCCTTTGAGCCCAGGATTTTGAGACCAGCTTGGGAATTTAAAACCCCGTTTTACAATTATATATATAGATATATAATTTATATAGCTATATAAATTATAATATAAATTATAATTTATATATATATAATTTATATAGCTATATAAATTATAATATAAATTATAATTTATATAGCTATATAAATTATAATATAAATTATAATTTATATATCTATATAAATTATAATTTATATAGATATATAAATTATATATAAATTTTATATATAAATTATATATATAAATTATATGTGTAAATTTTATATATATATAAATTTTATATATATATATATATAATGTATATATATATAATGTGTATATATATATATAATGTATATATATATATATATATATATAATGTATATATATATATAACTAGCCGGGCTTGGTGGCTCATGTCTGAGGTCCCAACTACTCAGGAGGCTGAGGTAGGAGGATCACTTGACCCCAGGGGGCCAAGGCTGCAGTTAGAGGAGATCACGCCACTGCACTCCAGCCCGAGTGATACAGCCAGACCCTGTCTCAAAATATTAATTAATTAAATTAAAAGTATTGTGTAATAACAGAAAGTGATTTTTGTTGCACTTCACTGCCCCACGTCCTACCCCACCCTGGGAAAAGGGAAGAGAGTAACTTCCAACTCAATAAGTCACTGCTCTCTGGCTGAATAGGGATTCCAACTGGAAGCTAACCTCTGATGCCAAGATTTACAGAATGTACATGTCTCATAGACAGGAATTTTAAAATTCTCAATCTCATCTTTATAATTTAATCAAGTTTTAAATTATTAGATTATATACACAGAAGTCAACATGTCACAACTAATCATAGCCAATAAACTCACCTACTCATCTGATCCCAAAGTCCCCCTGCCCCTTCTTTTCTTTGGTAACAGGGTCTCACTCTGTTGACCAGGCTGCAGTGCAGTGGCATGATCTTGGCTCACTGCAGCCTGGACCTCCCGAGCTCAAGTGATCCTCCTCCCTTGGCCTCCAGAGTAGCTGGGATTACAGGTGCGCACCATCATACCCGATTAATTTTTTTTTTTTTTTGGCAGAGATAAGGATCTCACTATGTTGTGCAGGCTGGTCTAGAACTCCTGGACTCAAGCAATCCCCCTGCCTCAGTCTTCTAAAGTTCTGGGATTACAGGCATGAACCACTGTACCCAGCCTCTCTTTCTTCATTACTTTGCTTCCTTCCCTGATTCTGTACGTATCTCTCATTCTCCCCTTCTCTCTCTAGCTCTTGTTTTATTTTCCCCCGGGGTTCTGCTCCTCATTTTGTACCTCTCTCCTCTCCTGCTGTTTATCCCCTTCTTCACTCTATTCCTTCTCTTCCACCTCTTCTGCTCCATCCTTGTAACTTATCTAACATCTTGCTGCTCTTCTCCCCAATCTTTTGATCATCCTCTATCTCTATATGGACAGAAATTTAAAAATAATAAGTACTGCATTTATTCACTCCAAGAAAAGTAAAAGCTAAGGCCCACAATGTGGCAAGGCAAGGTTTAAAAATAAAAAGAAAAGAACAAGTTTTCCTCTGCCTGTCAAGCTCACATCAAGAACGGTTACAGGATAACGCTGTCCGAATAGCCAAGTCTAAATGAATGGGCTCCAGACACCCCCACCTTCCAGAGCAAGGTTGAAGGAAAAAAAAAAAAAAAAAAAAAAGAGAGAGATTATTTTACTGTTACTCTTTTTCCAGGCTTCTTAAGCATTATTATGTTTTACAAATGTCTGTATTTAGTCAGTTCTTGTTTTTCCTTTGATGCAGCTACAAGGCCACCGGCAACCCAAGGTCACAAGATATGTTATGCTATAGATTACACAACCTGTCACTGTATAATTAACTGCTTTTGTTTTGCTTTTGTAAGGCCACTTATAAAAACCCTGCTCTGTCTTTGTTCAGTGCTCAGCTTTTTGGATATGAATCCACTGAGCCAGTGCGTACCTAAAATAAACAATTCTGTTTCTCTCATATTGGTCTCTCCATTCTTCAGTTTCCCCTAACACAAATATTTCCGCCTCTTCTCCCATCTCAGCGCCTCCTCTGCTCTCCCTGTTACATTCTCTCTTCCCTGTTATACCCTCATCCCCACTCTCTAGCACTCCAGATCCCCAGGTGTCCTCCCTGCTGTGCTTCTCCCTCTGTTCTCCTTGCCACCAGCACCACTCTGCTCTGTCTGCCCTGGCTCCAAATCCCTCCTCCTCTCCCTCACCCTGATGAGCCTCCCTCTTTGCTGCCCCTCTCCCTACCTTGCTGTCCTTCATGTCTCTGTACATCCAGCTTTTCTCTACATTTCTGCACTTGCTTTTCTCCTCCTGCTTTCTTATCGTTTTCTTTTCACTTTTGCTGTCTCTTGGCAAATCCCTCACCCATCCTCTACTTTGCCATCTCTTATGGCTCTTTCTCATTCTTCTTTTCTCTGTCTCAGGTTTTCCACTGCTCTCTGTCCGTCTCCTGATCCCTTTGGCCCACACAATCACAGGAGGGTTTGGAGTAAGACGCCTGCATCCCGGAGGAGCTTATTTTCCAGGGGCTGGAACTGGGCAGGCAAGAACACCCCGTGTCACAGGACAGGCCCCGGGCACCTCCCCAACGCGGGCTCAGGAGAAGCGGTGACTGCGGAGGAGAGACCTGGGGAGCAGCAGGGCCCGGCACGAGGAGGGAGGTGGGGGGCGACGGCGCCTGAGGACAAGGGTGGGGTCTGCAGGATCCCAGGACTAGGCAGAGGACACGGCCTCCCCGGGACAGGGGCCGCGGCGCTGCGCTTCAGAGGCCGACAAGGGCAAGGCTGGGAGGTGCCCACGGCGGGAATCCACTTCGCGGGTGAGGACGTTAAAAAGCGCGGGGCGGGAGGAGTCTGAAAATGATTTTGAGAAAAAAAAAAAAAAAACAACAACAACTACGCGATAGGAAGTGTATACATTGCCCTAGAGCAGAAAGACAGGGGATGGGACCAACCTCAGGGCGACTTTAGACCCAAAAGGAAGCGACTTCCAGACTCTCACGGGGATGTCTCTATTTGCTCTGGGTGAAGACGGGAGAGAAGTTCCAGATCTGTGGGGACCCTAGGTCCGAGGGACAGAAACGCTGAGGACCTGGGAAATGCAGACTTAATACAAAACAGCGAAACTCACCGCCGCGGTGTGACCGTCACTCCACGCGATCCGCTTCCAGATTTGCGAGAATCTGCGCGCGCAGGACAGAAGCCAGGCCTCGGCGGGCCCCGCGAGGTGGTGGGCGGGGCCTGGGCCGGGTGGCGGCGGGGCGCGAAGCAGAGAGACTTTGCGGTTTAGAACCGGCAGAGGGCGGGGCCGGGGCGGGACCTGTGTGTCTCACATCCTGGCTCCCAGCGCCTCTGTTTTTCGGGTTTGGGAGGCGACAGCGGCCAGGAAGTATGAGGCATGATTCAAAAGCCCTGGAATTTTCTGGAACGGGGATGCAAACTAGAATGTGAAATGCAAAGCCCTGCCAGGGCGGAACATAGGATTTCATGCTGACGGCCCACAGAACAGAACAGAACTCCTCTCCCTTTCTATTCTCCATTCACAAGGGAGGGAGGGTCCGCCCTGTGCTCAGCTTCAGAGACTTCCCTAAAGCCACTGCCTGGGGTGCGGGACGGAGTGCTCAGGCCAGGGAGGAGTGAGGTCACCACCTGCTGCTTAAACACAGCAGGGGTGCAGGCGCGAAGGCGGGAGCCTGAGGTCCCAGCTACTCAGGAAGTAGGAGCAGGAAGATCGCTGAGCCCTGGGGTCCAGGCCAGCCTGGGCGACAAAGTAACACCCCCTCCCGCAAGGCCACCTTCCTTGTCTCCCTCTCTCTCCGTCTCTCTCTCTCTCTCTCTCTCTCGCTTTTTAAACCTTTTTAAATAAAATTTTTGATGGTGTGACATAGGGATCCAACATTATTCTGTTCCGTGTGGATATCCAGTTAGTTGTTCCAGCACATTTGTGGAAGAAATCTATTACTTTTTTTTCACGTTTTTCTTTTCTTTTTCTTTGAGGGAGTCTCCCTCTGTCGCCCAGGCTGGCGTGAAGGGGCGTGATCTCTGCTCACTGCGACCTCTGCCTCCTGGGTTGAAGCGATTCTCCTGCCTCAGCCTCCGGAGTATTACAGTATTACTGGTATTAGAGGCACGAGCGACCATGCCCGGCTAATTTTTGTATTTTTGATAGAGGCGGGCTTTCACCATGTTGGCCAGGCTGGTCTCAAACTCCGAACTTCAAGTAATCTACCTGCCTCGGCCTCCTAAAGTGCTGGGACTACAGGCGTGGGCTACCTTGCATAGCCTAAGGAATGCTCTTTACTGTTTAAACGTTGAGAAAATATAATTGAAAACAAAGAAAATCTTCCCCCAAATGGGTAATTATCTCCACGACAACAGAGAAATAAATAAAAACCATTTTAATAAAGAACCTTAGACTCAAATGTGATGGGAAATAGAGGCAAACAGCTATGAGGTTGAAAAGAGAGAAAGAAATGTCACTGTTCTATACAACCCATTAAGCACATGTTTTCAAGATAAACACTAATCAGTCCTCAGGGAAGGGGATTTGACAACCCCTTGGGTCACACATACTTCATCCTGGCTTTACTTGGTAATGGAGGTGACCATCTGTGTCAGCTAATTAGCTTCATCCCGAGGGAGGGGGAAAAACCCTAACCCATGTCTTTTTGACAAGTGTGAGTTTCACAACATGGGGACAGGTGCCCTCTCTGGTGAGACTCCTACAATACGACAGACACTGATGTCAGAGGTAAATAATAAAATTTAGAATATATGATTAAGTGCAGAGTTTGTTTGAACACAAAGCTTGGAAATAGCCACCTGGAAACATCAACTTCAAATGAATAGGATCAGCGTTCTCAGGTGGAGACGTTAAGATTTTACACACATAGGAAAAGACAGAGAAGCTTTACCAGAATCACATTTTCCATTCAAGACCAGTGCCTAGGGTGCAGCAACTTGACTGGTGATGGATTGATACACTTCAAGGAAGGTTACTTTATCACTCCATAAGAAGGGACAATGATGCCAAAAGGTCTTAACTCTGGGGCTGCTTAGTCTTCCTAATTATTTACAGAATAACCTTTTTTTTTTTAGTTGTTTGTTTGTTGTTGCTGTCATTTTTTCAGACAGCGTCTAGCTCTGTCACCCAGGCTGGAGTGTACTGGCACTATCTCGGCTCACTGCAACCTCCACCTCCCGGGTTCAAGCAGTTCTCCTGCCCCAGTCAGCCAGGTAGCTGCGATTACAGGCCAGTGCGACCACGCCTGGCTAATTGTTTTCTGTTTTTAGTAGATACTGGGTTTCACCATGTTGGGCTTCTCCATTAATCTCTCCTGCACACTTCAGACCACATCCACACACACTTAAATCAACTTCAGTTCAGAGATGAGAAGCAAAAACCTAGAGAGGACACATCCACAGTTACTCACCAGGCTGAGGTGGGAGGATTGCTTGACCCTGGAGAGCAGAGGTTGAAGTGACTCAAGATCGCACCACTGCCCTCCAGCCTGGGGGACATAGTGAGACCCCGTTACCCACATCCACCAAAAAGTTGGAAATGCATTGAAATAAGAGACAGCTTCAAGAAACTATAAAAGCAATGCATGCAGAAAATTCAAAGGTCAACCAACATACAGAAACTATGAAGAACTACACAGAAACTCTTGGGCTAAAAATAGAGTAACTAAATGAAAAAACGCAATACATGGGTTCAAAATCAGAATTCATTAGGTAAATTAAAAATTAGTGAAGAGGGGATGGGTGAGGTGGCTCACACCAGGACTTTGGGAGGACAAGGTGGGTGGATCACTTGAGCTCAGGAGTTTGGAGACCAACCTGGCCAATGTGGTGAAACCTTGTCTCTACTAAAAATACAAAGATTAACAGGGTGTGGTGGTGAGCTCCTGTAGTCCCAGCTACTCTAGGGGCTGATACAGGAGAAGCACTTGAACATGGGAGGCAGAGGTTGCAGTGAGCCGAGATCACCCCACTGCCCTCCAGCCTGGGCGACAAAGCAGGACTGTCTCAAAAAATAATAATAATAATAATAATAAAATAGGCCAGGCCTGGTGGCTTATGCTTGTAATCCCACTATAAAAAAAAAATACAGAAAATTAGCCAGGCGTGGTGGTGGGCACCTGCAGTCTCAGCTACTCGGGAGGCTGAGGCAGAAGAATGGCATGAACCTGGGAGGTGGAGCTTGCGGTGAGCTGAGATCATGCCACTGCACTCCAGCCTGGGCGACAGAGCAAGACTCCATCTCAAAAAAAAAAAAAAAAAGAAATTTATCCTTACTACTTACTGTCTACACATAGATAATCAAAGGCAAGTAGTTAAAGACATAGTTAAAAATATGACAAAACTGGCCGGGCATGGTGGCTCAAGCCTGTAATCCCAGCACTTTGGGAGACCGAGGTGGGTGGATCACAAGGTCAGGAGATCGAGACCATCCTGGCTAACACGGTGAATCCCCGTCTCTACTAAAAATACAACAAATTAGCAGGGTGTGGTGGCGGGCGCCTGTAGTCCCAGCTACTCCGGAGGCTGAGGCAGAAGAATGGCGTGAACCCGGGAGGCGGAGCTTGCAGTGAGCCGAGATCAACCCACTGTACTCCAGCCTGGGCGACAGAGCAAGACTTCGTCTCAAAAAAAAAAAAAAAAAAAAAAGACAAAACTGACACATGTGCCCATACAAGTGTAGCATGGATTCAACCCTGATGCCATGTTTAGAAAGTAGTTCCCAGCACTAGGAGGATTTAAAACTCTTATAATAGGAGTTATTATAGTAATAGAAACCTGCTTACTGCTGCCTTGTTTGCTACCTGTACTTCTTCAAACGATAAAAAGCTTCATCGCTATTTTAGTTCACCAAAATGCTTCAGCACAAGTGTACTATATGAATCACTATCAATCTGTTGCACAAAAAGACATAAGCAGCAAAAATAAGAGTGAGAATTCCCACTAATAAAAAGTGAGACTCTCAAAGGGGGGAAATGAGGGAAGAGAGAGAGACCCTCTCATATTGTTTTATATTGTTTTATACTCAGTACCTGTTTTAAGAAAAAAACAAGGAAGTGAAACCAAAGGCAGGCATCCCGATGCCAGGCATCAGACCTAAAACCAGACCTGAAACCAGGCCTCGGCCTGCCTGGCCTAAACCTAGTAATTAAAATTCCACCCCTGACCTAGCAACTGATGTTATCTATAGATCCCAGACATTGTATGGAAGGACATTGTGAAACCTCCTGTTCTGTTCTGTTTCACTCTGACCACCAGCGCATGCACCCCCTGTCACATACCCCCTGCTTGCTCAAATCAATCACTACCCTTTAATGTGAAATCTTTAGTGTTGTGAGCCCTTAAAAGGGACAGAAATTGTTCACTCAGAGAGCTCGGATTTTAAGACAGTAGCTTGCCAATGCTCCCAGCTGAATAAAGCCCTTCCTTCTACAACTCGGTGTCTGAGAAGTTTTGTCTGTGGCTCATCCTGCTACAACCTGAGGGCAGGAGTTCAAGACTAGCTGGGCCAAAATGGTGAAACCCCATCTCTACTAAAAATACAAAAAAAATTAGTTGGGGGTGGTGGCACTGGACTATAATCCCCAACTTTTTGGGAGGCTAAAACAGGAGAATTGCCTGGGAGGCAGAGTTTGCAGTGATCTGAGATCATGCCACTGAACTCCAGCCTGGATAACAGAGACTTTGTCTCAAAAAAAAAAAAAAAAGGCCAGAAGAGGTGGCTCACGCCTGTAATCCCAGCACTTTAAAACGCTGAGGCGGACGGATCACGAGGTTATGAAATCCAGACTGTCATGACTAACAAGGTGAAATACCATCTCTACTGAAAATACCAAAAAATTATCCGGGCGTGGTGGCACTCACGTGTAGTCCCACATACTTGGGAGCCTGAGGTAGGAGAATCACTTGAACCCAGGAGGCAGAGTTTGCAGTGAGCCGAGATCACGCCACAGCACTCCAGCCTGGCTACCGGGTGAGACTCCATCTCAAAAAAAAAAAAAAAAAAAAATTAACCGGCCATGGTGGAACTCACCTGTGGTCCCAGCTACTTGGGAGGCTGAGGTTGGGAAATGGCTTGAGCCTGAAGGAGGTTGCAGTGAGCTAAGATCACGCCATTGCTCTCCAGCCTAAGCGACACAGCAAGACCTTCTCTCAAAATAAAATCAAATATATGAAAACAGAATAACTCAAAGTACAAAAATCCATTTTGTTGATATAGGTCCACAAAATAATAAAACAGAGACTCGCAAGAAACTACATGCTAATAAAAAAAAGTTGTCATTTTCCCCAGATCTTTTCTTTCTTCCTTTTTTTTTTTTTTTTTTTTTTTTTAGACAGGGTCTCGTTCTGTCGCCCAGGCTGCAGTGCAGTAATGCAATCTTGGTTCACTGCAACCTCTGCCTTCTGGGTTCAAGTGGTTCTCCTGCCTCAGCCACAGAGTAGCTGGGATTACCGGTGCCCACCACCATGCCCGGCTAACTTCTGTATTTTTAGTAAAGATGGGGTTTCACCATGTTGGCCAGGCTTGTCTTGAACTCCTGAGCTCAGGTGACCCACCAACCTCAGCTTCCCAAAGTGCTAGGATTACAGACATGAGTCACCACATCCAGCAAATTTTCAAAATATATACATATATGTGTGCCAATGTGTACGTATATGTATGTGTGTGTGTGTGTGTATATATATATATAAAGATTTTTAAAATATAAAAAGTAGCAAGTTTTGTTTAACTGAAGAGGAATCTCATCTTGCTGGAAACGGATACTTTGATAGTTGGGGACAGGGAGGAATCTTGTCAGATCTAAGAAAACAGGAAATGTCCCCTCCTAGAGGAAGCAATCACCCTTTCAACTGCCTGACATGGAGGAATCTTTAGATATCTGTAGGAATGCAGGCATGCTCAGATGCAGCCACTATGGCACTCTTTATACAGAGAAAAATTGCAAAGGACCCACATACTGTCATTCAGCCAATTTCCAATGCAGATGTCAAAGAGCAAGCTAGCCATGTTTACTAACATAACAACATGTAAATTTTCACAACTAGCAGGATGAAATATCAAAGTAAAATATTTACTAAAACACAAAGAAAACAATAGACGCTGGGGTCTAGGTGAGGGTGGAGATGGGGAGGAGAGAGGAGCAGAAAAAATAGCTAATGGGGCTGGGCACAGTGGCTCACGCCTGTAATCCCAGCACTTTGCTAGGGCAAGGGGGTTGGATCACCTGAGGTCAGGAGTTCAAGATCAGCCTGGCCAACATGGTGAAACCCTGTCTCTACTAAAAGTACAAACATTAGCCAGGCATGGAGGCATGTGCTTGTAATCCCAGCTACTCAGGAGGCTGAGGCAGGAGAGTTGCTTGAACCCAGGAGGCAGAGGTTGCAGTGAGCCGAGATCATGCCATCATACTCCAGACTCAAAAAACGAGCAAAACTCAGTGTCAAAAAAAAAAGAAAAGAAAAAAAGCTACTGGGTACTGGGCTTGATACCGGTGTACAACAAACTCCAATGACATGAGTTTGCCTATGTAACAAACCATCACATGTAGCCCCAATCCTAAAGTAAAAACATAACTATAAAACATTTTATTTTTTTAATTTACTACGGAATTATTTTTAAAGTCTCATAATGATGCAGAAATACAGGTGTACAAGACTTGCTCTGACACTTGGCACAGAACTGACAGTAGCGGCTCCCCAGTGAGTTTGGAAAGAGGGTGGAGGACGTGACAGGGAAAGGAGATGCTTTGTGGCAAAGGGTCTGCAGCTTTGCTAAGAGTTTTACTAGAAAACAAATATATCCATCCTGTGATGTTTAAATATCAAAATATATATTTAATAAACATTGGTAGAGCTGAGCACGGTGGCTCGTGCCTGTAATCCCAGCACTCTGGGAGGCTGAGGTGGGTGGATAACCTGAGGTCAGAACTTTGAGGCCACCCTGGCCAACATGGTGAAACCCCATCTCTACTAAAAATACAAAAAAATTAGCCGGGCGTGGTGGCACACGCCTATAACCCCAGCTACTTGGGAGGCTGAGGCAGGAGAATCACTTGAACCCAGAAGACAGAGGTTGCAGTAAACTGAGATCATGTCACTGCACTCCAGCTTGGGTGGCAGAGGCTGACTCCATCTCAAAAAATAAATTGTAACCATTTTTACCAAAAACACCTGTTTCACAAGCCTCTCCACAGTAACCCCACAGTCTCCATGAGCTTAATGTGTTAAGAATGGTTTAATGAATCTCCTGCTATTATTTAGGTTGATTTCCTATTCTTAAACTAATGATGGAATAAAACACCTTCTATCATTCATGTCTGTGTATGAACTTTCCACTCTAATTAGTTCGATTTTTGGAGCCAGAAACACAATAACTCACTCAATTACCTAAAAATGTAGTATGAAAGTGAAGCGGTGGGTTGCCCCTCCACACCTGTGGGTGTTTCTCGTTAGGTGGAATGAGAGACTTGGAAAAGAAAAAGACACAGAGACAAAGTGTAGAGAAAGAAATAAGGGGGCCCAGGGGACCAGGGTTCAGCATATGGAGGATCCCGCCAGCCTCTGAGTTCCCTTCATATTTATTGATCATTTTGGGGTGTTTCTCAGAGAGGGGGATGTGGCAGGGTCATAGGATAATAGTGGAGAGAAGGTCAGCAGATAAACACGTGAACAAAGGTCTCTGCATCATAGACAAGGTAAAAAATCAAGTGCTGTGCTTTAGATATGCATACACATAAACATCTCAATGCCTTACAGAGCAGTATTGCTGCCCGCATGTCCCACCTCCAGCCCTAAGGTGGTTTTCCCCTATCTCAGTAGATGGAACATACAATCGGGTTTTATACCGAGACATTCCATTGCCCAGGGACGGGCAGGAGACGGATGCCTTCCTCTTGTCTCAATTGCAAGAGGCGTGCCTTCCTCTTATACTAATCCTCCTCAGCACAGACCCTTTACGGGTGTCGGGCTGGGAGACGGTCAGGTCTTTCCCTTCCCATGAGGCCATATTTCAGACTATCACATGGGGAGAAACCTTGGACAATACCTGGCTTTCCTAGGCAGAGGTCCCTGCGGCCTTCCGCAGTGTTTGTGTCTCTGGGTACTTAAGATTAGGGAGTGGTGATGACTCTTAAGGAGCATGCTGCCTTCAAGCGTCTGTTTAACAAAGCACATCTTGCACCGCCCTTAATCCATTTAACCCTGAGTGGACACAGCACATGTTTCAGAGAGCATGGGGTTGGGGGTAAGGTCATAGATTAACAGCATCTCAAGGCAGAAGAATTTGTCTTAGTACAGAACAAAATGGAGTCTCCTATGTCTACTTCTTTCTACACAGACACAGTAACAATCTGATCTCTCTTTCTTTTCCCCACATGAAAGCAGGCAGAAAAGATTTTCACTTATTGGTTTCCTTTTCTAGAATTTACCACGTACTTTGTGCACATTAATACGTGACTTCCATTGGCAGCTGCTCTAATCCTGCTCCACAGAGAGCTGACAGTGCATCCATATGTGGCCCCTGAACAATCCCTTCTGCCCAACAGCACTGACACCACGGGACCCTCACCCCGTCTCCATCCATGTCTGGGTGTGAGCCCTTCCCAGGCCCATGCCCAGTGCAGCCTCTTTCCAACTTCATGTCACTAGGTCACCAGAGATGGAATCTAAGCGAGATGAGAGGGACTGAGGGAAGGCATGGGTGAGTGTGAGTAAACGTATCAGGCAGGAAGCTTCAGACTCAGAGAAGATTCCCAACTCCAAGGCCCAGGGTTTCTGAAAGGAAGGAGACAGAACAATCCACCGAGAATATCATCTCACCTGAGGAAGAGCCATCCCTGACTCCTTTGCTTTCCTCTTCCTCTTCCGGGTTTCTTCCTCATGTACCAAGAGTCTTTAGGAGTCAATCCTGAATGTTAAAAATATGTTGTTTGTTGCTCAGAATCAACACACCCCCTCCCTGGAACACAACCACACATGCGAAGTGTCACGCACGTCTGTGGGAAGAGGCCACCAAACACGCTTTGTGTGAGCAACGAGGCTGTTTATTTCACCTGGGTGCAGCCGGGCTGAGTCTGGAAAGAGAGTCAGCAAAGTGTGGTGGGATTATCATTAGTTCTCATAGGTTTTGGGACAGGCGGTGGAGTTAGGGGCAATGCTTTGCAGGCAGGGGGTGGATCTCACCAAGTCCATTCTCAAGGGTGGGGAGGATTACAAAGAGCCTTCTGAAGGGTGGGGGAGATTACAAAGCACATTGATCAGTCAGGGTAGGGCAGAAACAAATCACAATATTGGAATGTCATCAGTTAAGGATATTTTTACAGTTGCTTCAGGCTATCTGGATGTATACGTGCAGGTCACAGGGGATATGATGGCTTAGCTTGGGCTCAGAGGCCTAACTAAAGACCTCACCCTGAGGAAATAGTGCCCCCTGCTGCCCTCCTCACCATGGATGATAAACTCCTACAGGGAAACTCCCGCTCCCCTTCTGGAGGAGTCCACACACAAGCTGCAGCAGTGGGGAGCTGGGCTGGAATGAGCTCCCCTTCAGGGCACAGACCCAGCCCTGACGAAACCCCACGCAGAGGCTGGGTGCGGTGGCTCATGCCTGTCATCCCAGCACTCTAGGAGGCTGTGGCAGGTAGATCGCTTGAACTCAGGAGTTTGAGAACAGCCTGAGCAACATGGTGAAACCCCATCTCTACCAAAAATACAAAACTTCGCCAGGTATGGTGGTGCACGTCTGTGTGTCTGTGGTCCCAGCTACTTAGGAGGCATAGGTGGGAGGATCACTTGACCTGAGGAGTTTGAGAGCAGCCTGGCCAACATGGTGAAACCCTGTATCTACTAAAAATACAAAAATGGGCCGGGCGTGTGGGTCATCCGGTAATCCTAGCACTCTGGAAGGCCGAGGTGTGCTGATTACTTGAGGTCAGGAGATCGAGACCAGCCTGGCCAACATGGTGAAACGCTGTCTCTACTAAATACACAAAAAGTAGCCGGGCTTGGTAAGTGTCTGTAATCTCTGCTATTCAGGAGACTGAGGTAGGAGAATTGCTTGAACCCGGGAGGTGGAGGTCGCAGTGAGCCGAGATGGCGCCACTACACTCCAGTCTTGGTGACAGACAGACTCAAAAATAATATAAAATGGAAGTTAAAATACAAAAATTAGCCGGGTGTGGTGGCAGACACACCAGCTACTTGGGAGGCTGAGGCACCAGAATTGCTTGAACCCAGCAGACAGAGGTTGCAGTGAGCCAAGATCAAGAGGCTGCACTCATAGGCTGAAAGATAGAGTGACTCTGTCTCAAAAAAAAAAAAAAAAAAAAAATGCATTTCTGATGTGATTGATGCAGACAATGAATCCTGAGTAACGTGATACAGACTGATGGACAAGGGAACTACAGCCGGGGGTGGGAGGGCATGGGCGACAGCTCTGAGCCTAGACCTGAAGGAGGAGAAAGTGACAGGGTACGTAGGGTAAAACCAGGGACAACGACCTGAGACAGGAAGGGTTTTGATGTTTGGGAAAAGAGAAAAGCAAATATGACTGGGGCGGAGAGAGTCATGAGATGAGGGCAAGCTCCCAGGAGGAGGCTGGACAGTGGAAGGGGCCCTGGACACAGGGCTGTGGAGCCACAGTGAGGGGTTGGGCTTTTGTCCTGGGGAACACGGGAAGCTGGTGGAGGGTTCCCTGTCAGGGACTGACATGACCTGCTTTAGATTTTGTTGTGATGTCCTCATACAGAGAAAGGCCCCGAAGATGGTCTCTGTGTCTGAGTCTACCTCTGTTTCTTCCATTCTTCTGCTTTTGTTTTTCATTTTTAGGGCACTGCATCCCATTGAAAATTCTAATCACAACTGGGCACTCCTCTCCTCAAAAAAATTTAAAAAAAAAGCCACACCCACACACGCACTCCATTTTGTCAATCATTTCAGGGGTCAAAGTCACTAGGGTTGAGCTTTTCTGGTGTAGCCCCTCATCGCCAAGTTCCAAGGAGGCTCACTGGGGCTCAGATTGGAAGACATTTTCACCAAGTTGCCCTGAGAAGGTCTGAGATGAGTGAGGTGTGCCTGAATTCTTACATGGGGGCCTGCAGGGACTAATGGGAAGGGTTGATCTTATCACCCCCATCCTGGAAAATTAGAGAAGGCTCTTTCACAAACCTGGGCTAAAGAAATTTCTTTTGCCGGGCACGGTGGCTCAAGCCTGTAATCCCAGCACTTTGGGAGGCTGAGGCGGGTGGATCACCTGAGGTCAGGAGTTTGAGGCCAGCCTGACCAACACGGAGAAACCCCGTCTCTATAAAAATACAAAATTAGCTAGGAGTGGTAGTGCATGCCTCTAATCCCAGGTACTTGGGAGGCTAAGGAAGGAGAATCACTTGAACCCGGGAGACGGAGGTTGCAGTGAGCCGAGATCGTGCCACTGCACTCAAGCCTGGGGGACAAGAGCGAAACTCCGTCTCCAAAAAAAAAAAAGAAAAGAAAAAAAAGAAACAAACTTCTTTTGCAAGGTTCTGAGGCCATTGACTCCTGACAGTTTGTTCTTCCTTACAAGAAAATCACAGTAACATTTATAAAATGCAGAGTTGTGAACACATAGCTATTGACCTTGGAAACAGGGAAAGAAGGTCAGGTGTACAACTAAGACATAAGCAAATTGTTTCAATCAAGAATACATGAGTGGTCAGGCACGGTGGCTCACGCCTGTAATCCCAGCACTTTGGGAGGTCGAGGTGGGCAGATCACCAGAAGTCAGTAGTTTGAGACCAGCCTGGCCAACACAGTGAGAGCCTGTCTCTACTGACAATGCAAAAACCTAGCCAGGAGTGGTGGAGGGCACCTGTAATCCCAACTACTTGGTAGGCTGAGGCAGGAGAATCACTTGAACCCAGGAGGCAGACGTTGTAGTGACACCAGATCGCACCATTGCAGTCCAGCCTGGGCAACAAGAGCAAAACTCCATCTCAAAAAAAAACCCCCAAAAAAACAAAAAGAAAAACAAAAAAAAAACCGAGGCTGGGAGCAGTGGCTCACACCTGTAATCTCATCACATTGGGAGGCCAAGTCGGGTGGATCACAAGGTCAGGATTTGAGACCAGCCTGACAAACGTGATGAAACCCCGTCTCTACTAAAAATACAAAAATTAGCCAGGCATGCTGGTGGGTGCCTGTAATTCCAGCTACTCAGGAGACTGAGGCAGGAGCATCACTTGATCCCAGGAGGCAGAGGTTGCAGTGAGCTGAGATTGCACCACTGCCCTCCATCCAAGGCGACAGAGCAAGATTCCATTTCAAAAAAGAAAAGAAAAGAATACACGGGTGCTTTTGGAGGAGCGTTCTATGCCAATCCAGCCCATGTTTCAACATTTTTCCAGAATGGACCAGAGGGCCTTGAGGGAAACACGCAATAAATAGCTCCCAGATCAAGATTTTAACAAAGGACATAAGGAAAGAAAACTGAAAAACAGACTAACTGGTTAAAGTACATTTTGATGTTTAGTTAAAAGGCCACTGACATATTTACCAAGTACACACTGAAACAATCAAACTTAAGTTTAGGTACCAAAGGTTTTCAATAAATAACAAAGACTAGAAAGCATGCAGACATTGATATGAACTGGATGCAACTAATTTAAAACAGCAACTATTTTGAAATTGTTTTTTAAAAAAATCTAACGAATTCTGGGGTCAACCGGAAAATAACTGGAAAATATACAAGTACAGAAACGAATGATGTGAGCTGATTATAGGATGCTGCAAAGGCATCTTTCAGAAGTCATTATGTATTAAGAAATACAACTTTTATAACTTAGATTTATCTCAAACTCAAACTGCAAAATAAATAAATAAATAAATAAAAAATAAAGAGAGAAATGAAGAGGAACCAGAAAGAAAAAGAAGGAAGTCCATTATACGAGAAGAAAAGCATTTTTGAGGTCTTTTTTTGTTATTTTTTGTTTGTTTGAGATGGAGACTCACTCTGCCACCCAGGCTGCAGTATAGTGGCACAATTTTGGTTCACTGCAACTTCTACCTCCTAGGTTTAAGCAATTCTCATGCCCCAGCCTCCCAAGTAGCTGGAACTAAAGGTGCACACCAACACCCCCGGCTAACTTTTGTATTTTTAGTAGAGATGGGGTTTCACCATGTTAGGGTGCTTTTGAAATTGTGACCTTAGGTGACCAGTTCACATGGGTCGACCAAAGTACTCTGATTGCAGGGATGAGCCACCACGTACCGAGGCTTTGATATCCTTTTTTTTTTTTTTTTTTTTGAGATAGACTCTCACTCTGTCGCCCAGGCTGGAGCCCAGTGGTGCGATCTCGACTCCCTGCAAGCTCCGCCTCACAGGTTCATGCCATTCTCCTGCCTCAGCATCTGGAGTAGCTGGGACTACAGGCGCCAGCCACCATGCCCAGCTAATTTTTTGTATTTTTAGTAGAGACAGGGATTCACCCTGTTAGCCAGGAAAGTCTCGATCTCCTGACCCCGTGATCTGCCTGCCTCGGCCTCCCAAAGTGCTGGGATTATAGGCATGAGCCTCCGTGCCTGGCCTCATATCCCTTTTAAAAATTACTATGATATATCCCTTTCAAAAAGTACTAACTGAAAAAAGTACTATCTCTTTAAAAAGTACTGGCTCAAAAAAATAATAGAAAATAAGAAACAAAAAACAGGCTGAGAAAAGTGGCTCACATCTGTTGGCCATGCTGGTTTCAAACTCCTGACCTCAAGTGACCTATGTGCCTTGGCCTCCCGACGTGCTGGGATTACAGGTCGGAGCCACCACACCTGGCCCCATCCTCTTAACATAAACACTTGAATGTCAATAAAGGCTTGAACTCAATGTTAAGTCAACACAAACTCAAGTCAATGCTGAATTGACTCCAATGTCAATTAATGCTTGATGGTTTGCTATACTCATTTCATTGGGAACGGTTATCTCAAAAATGAATTTTCTGATGTTCTGCATGGAGTGATCTTGGACTGAAGACCTTGCCACACTGATGACATTTGTAAGATTTCTGTCCAGTATAGATTCTCTGATGTCTAATGACGTGTGAACGTGAAGCAAAGGCTTTGCCACAATCATCACACTTGTGAGGTTTCTCTCCTGTATAAATTCTCCTATGTTTTGCATAGGATGAAGCTTGACTGAAGACCTTGGCACAGTCATGACATTTGTAAGGTTTCTCTCCAGTATGAGTTCACCGATGACCTGCAATATGTGAACGATCTCTGAAAAATTTGCCACATTTATTACACTTGTAAGATCTCTCTTCATTATGGATTCTCCAATGATTTGTAATCGTTGTAGCATTACTGAAGACTTTGTGACAATCATTACATTAGTCAAGTTTCCCTACACCATGAATTGCCTGATGGTGAATAAGTGTTGACTGCTTGCCAAAGGCTTTGCCACACTCATTACACTTGTAAGGTTTCTCTCCAGTGTGAAGTCCAGTATGTTGTTCCAGGTGTGAATCACTCCCAAGTCTTGTCAGAAACCTTACATTTGTAAGCTTTCTCTCCAGTATAAATTCTCCTATGTCTTTAAGGTGTGATTTCCAAATGGAAACTTTGTCACATGCTTCACATTTCTAAGGTTTCTCTCCAGTATGAATTCTATGATGACGTGAAAGGTGTGATTGTTGATTAAAAGCCTTCCCACATTCATTACACTTGTAAGGTTTCTCTGCAGTGTGAATTCTGGTATGTCTTGACAGGAGTGAATTACGCACGAAAGCCTTGTCACAAATTGTACATTTGTAAGATTTCTCTCCAGTATGAAGTCTACGATGGTATATAAGGGATGAGCAGTGACGGAAGGTATTGCCACACTCATTACACTTGTAAGGTTTCTCACCACTATGAAGTCTACGATGGCAATGAAGGGATGACCTGCGACTGAAGGTCTTGCTGCACTCATTACACTTGTAAGGTTTCTCACCACTATGAACTCTATGATGGCATACAAGGTATGACCTGTGACTGAAGGTCTTGCTGCACTCATTACACTTGTAAGGTTTCTCTCCACTATGAATTCTAGTATGTTTTGCCAGATAGGAATGACACGCAAAAGCCTTGTCACAAACCTTACATTTGTATGGTTTCTCTCCAGTATGACCTATCTTATGTGTCTCAAGGCTTGATTTACGACTGAAAACCTTTTCACATTCATCACATTTGTAAGGTTGCTCCCCAGTATGAATTGACTTATGAATTAAAAGATCTGAATTTTGACCAAAGGTCTTCCCACATTCATTACACTTGTAAGGTTTTTCTCCACAGTCAATTCTAGTATGTTTTGCCAGTTGTGAACTCCACACAAAAGCCTTGTCACAAACCTTACATTTGTAAGATTTCTCTCCACCATGAAGTCTATGATGGCATACAAGGGATGACTTGTGACTGAAGGTCTTGCCACACTCATTACATTTATAAGTTTTCTTTGCAGTATGAATTCTTCTATGTCGAGCCAGCTGTGAATGCCACGTGAAAGCTGTGTCACAAACCTTACATCTGTATGGTTTCTCTCCAGTATGAATTCTCTTATGTGTCTCAATGGTTGATTTCCGACTGAAAACTTTGTCACATTCTTCACATTTGTAAGGTTTCTCTCCAGTATGAATTCTATGATGTGAAAGTTGTGATTGTTGATTAAAAGCCTTGTCACATTCATTACACTTGTAAGGATTTTCTCCAGTATCAATTGCCTTATCAATTAGAAGGGCTGAATTTTGACCAAAGATCTTGCCACACTCATTACAATTGTAACGTTTTACTCCAGTATGAAGTCTACGATGGCAGGTAAGGGATGACTCCTGACTGAAGGTCTTGCCACACTCTTTACACTTGTAAGGTTTCTCAACAGTGTGACATCTATCATGGCATGCAAGGTATTGCTCGTGATTAAAGAGCTTGCCACATACATCACATTTATATTGTTTGTCTCCTAAATGGGGTATCTGGTGTTTCCTTAAGAGTGAGCTACAATTAAAGGCTTTGCCACTCTTATTACATTGGAAAGATTTTTCTCTCATGTGTACTTCCTGTTTTTGTGGGAGTAATGAAGAATTCAGGGGATTATTCCCATAGTTATTAGAAATCTGGGTTTGGGGCCTACAGGAAATTCTTTGGAATGTTGAAACTGAGGGAGCATCATTAGTAGACTTCTCAAGTTGATTACCAATTTCACCTTTGATCTGAAATATGTGGAGTTCAGGCAGATGTGAATAAAAGCTTGATCCAAGCTGATCTTTAATAGGCTTGTTTCCAGCATGCCTGTGATCATGTTGGTCTGTGCTACCAGTCAACTTTTTTATTTTTGTCATGGGTGCTTCAAGGCCATTTCTTTCATCTTCTTGACACTGAAACTCAATGTCATGAATTTCTTTCTCAATTTCCTGGAAGCAAAAATCTCCAATGTGATGACTTTCATGTCTTTGCAATGTCCCTGTGTGGATCACTTCTGTATTGCCTTGCCCTGTTGACAAGACCTCCTTCATCATGCATTTGGAAGAGATATCTACAAAATATAAACACCAATACATTTCCAATTAAGTACAGATGGTAAATCACACTGAAGTGCATAAATATGACACAAAAAACGATACTTATTTTGAACTTCCCAAACATCATCTTCAAAGTTTAGGAAAACGAAAGGAGCAATATTCTTTAGTAAATAAAGGGTGATTACATGTCCTTCAAGACAATTCTATGAAAGCCTATTTCCTATGTCATGACAAAACACTGACAGGGCACAAACATGTGTAAGCCTAAAGTAAGGAGTATTTTTCCACTGTGACCCTGAACTGTATCACAATTTGCAAAAAGCATATCACCATCACATCGGTGAAGAGAAAAATATATACTCTTCATATTTAAAGCATATTTACTCTATACAAATAAATGCTAAAAAAAAAAAAAAAACTCCCCACACAACATACTATATTGGTAAATAATCCACAACAAGCTCATGTAAGGATAACCAAAAGCAATGGAAATTCCGTATTGTCAAACAATTATAGCACTGAGAAGATAAGAAAAGATTACAAAAATTAGCCAGGTATGGTGGCCCATGCCTGTAGTCACAGCTATTCAGGAGGCTGAAGCACAAGAATCACTTAAACCTGGGAGGTAGAGGTTGCAGTGAGCCAGGATCACACCACTGCACTCCAGCCTGGGTGACAAAGTGAGACTCTACCTAAAAAAAAAAAAAAAAAGTTAATAGAATATTTTTCTGAATAAATGTCATAAAATTACCTATAAGAACAGGCACTTTGTGACTTTTCAAAAATTTTTTGTATTTTTATTTTTTTGAGATGGAGTCTTGCACTCCAGCTTGGAGTGCCATGGTGCCATCTCAGCTCACTGCAGCCTCTGCCTCCTGGGTTGAAGTGATTCTCCTGCCTCAGCTTCCAGAGTAGCTTGGACTACAGGCATGCACCACTATGCCTGGCTAATTTTTGTGTTTTTAGTAAAGATGGGGACCATATTGGCCAGGCTGGTCTCAAACTCCTGACCTCAAGTAATCCACCCACCTCGGCCTCCCAAAGTTCTGGGATTACAGGTGTGAGCCACTGCACCTGGTGGCACTTTGTGACATTAACGAATAGTGCATGTCAGTTATATTGCATACCACATACCGAAAAGCCATATGCAAAATTATAAAAATTAATTAATAAAATATTGTAACCCAAGATAAAACCAGCAAGCAAATAAGTACATTTATACAGCCTGCAGAATTCTAAACAACTCCCTCTTAAGAAAAAAGCCACAACTTCTACTCAACCACCAGCACACAATATAAGAACTGAAATACATGTTAAGATCACTACCTTCTGATGTATGAGGCCAAGAAAATACACAGCATTAGGCCAGGCGCCTTGGCTCAAGCCTGTAATCCCACCACTTTGGGAGGCCGAGTCAGACGGATCACGAGGTCAGGAGATTGAGACCATCCTGGCTAACACAGTGAAACCCCGTCTCTACTAAAAAAATACAAAAACATTAGCTGGGCATGATGGCTGGTGCCTGTAGTCCAAGCTACTCTGGAAGCTGAGGCAGGAGAATGGCATGAACCTGGAAGATGGAGACTGCAGTGAGCCCAGATCGCGCCACTGCACTCTAGCCTGGGTGACAGAGCGAGACTCTGTCTCAAAAATGAAATAAAATAAAGAAAATACACAGCATCTTAAGAAATAAGAATTGGCTAATGGCTGGGCACGGTGGCTCACACGTGTAATCCCAGTACTTTGGCAGGCCAAGGCATGTGGATCATGAGGTCAGGAGTTCAAGAACAGCCTGACCAACATGGGGAAACCCCATCCTACGAAGAATACAAAAAAATCAGCTGGGCCTGGTGGAGGGCGCCTATAATCTCAGCTACTTTGGAGGCTGAGGCAAAAGAATCATTTGAACTCAGGAGGTGGAGGGTGCAGTGAGCTGAGATCGCACCATTGCACTCCAGCCTGGGTGACAGGGCAAGACTCCGTCTCAAAAAAAAATAAACAAAGGAAGAAAGAATTGACTAATAGTATAGAAAAGTGTAATTATGATGTCACAACTACACTTATGTAACAGCCAGGCAATACAGCAATTTTATATATATGCATTCCCCATAGTTATCTAGTTCACTATGCATAAAATATAAAACATAGAATGTGTACTAGGAAAATTTATTAACTGAGATCAGAGAAAACATTGTATAAAACAAATTGCACAATAAGAACAAAAAATATGATGTATGTTCCCTGGCCCGAATGTTCGCATTGGCTAAAAGCCACTATCAGATTTCTTATTCCCCAATAGGATGTTCCTGCAGTTGGGGTCTTTTAGAGAGTTTTGTAATGGGTGTTGACTAATTATGAATAGCACTAGGGCTTTTAATTGTATTTTTTCTTTCTTTTTTTCTTTCTCTCTTTACTATTTATTTTTATTTATTTATTTTTTGAGAGGGAGTATCACTGTGTAGCCCAGCCTGGAGTGCGGTGGTGCAATCTTGGCTCACTGCAACCTCTGCCTCCCGGGTTCAAGCGATTCTCCTGCCTCAGCCTTCAGAGTAGCTAGGACTACAGGCATGCACCACCATGCCCAGATAATTTTTATATTTTTAGTAGAGAAGGGGTTTCACCATGTTGGCCAGGATGGTCTCAATCTTTTGACCTCATGATCCGCCCTCCTCGCCTCCCAAAGTGCTGGGATTACAGGCGTGAGCCACCATGCCCGGACTCTTTATTTATTTTTGAGACAGAATTTCGCTCTTGTTGCCCAGGCTGGAGTGCAATAGCGTGATCTAGGATCACCACAACCACCGCCTCGCAGGTTCAAGCGATTCTCCTGCCTCAGCCACCCGAGTAGCTGGGATTACAGGCATGTGCCACCACTCCCGGCTAATTTTGTAGTTTTAGTAGAGATGTGGTTTCTCCATGTTGGTCAGGCTGGTCTCAAACTCCCGGCCTCATGTGATTTGGCTGTCTCAGCCTCCCAAAGTGCTGGGATTGCAGGCGTGAGCCACCATGCCCGGCAAAGACTAGTGCTTTTATAAAAAGAGACAGTAAAGAGCTCATTGCCTGCTCCTCTTTACACCACATCAGGACACGGCAGGAAGACGGCTGGGCTAAACCATGAAGAAGGCTCTCACCAGGAGCCAATCTAGCTGACATCTTGTTCTTGGATTTCCCACTTTCCAGATTCATGAGCAACAAATTTCTATGTCTTAAGCTTTCCAGTTTCAGCTATTTCTTTTTTTGTCTGTTTTTGAGACTGAGTAATGCTTCATCACCCAGGCTGGAGTGCAGTGGCACGATTCTCCTACCTAAAGAGATTCTCATGCCTCAGCCTCTTGAGTAGCAGGGAGTACAGACACATGCCACCATGCCTGGCTAATTTTTTTTTTTTTTTTTTTTGGGAAACAGAATCTAACTCTGTCACCCGGGATGGAGTAAGTGGTGCAATCATGGCTCACTGCAACATCCAACTCCAAGGTTCAAGTGATTCTCATGTCTCAGCCTCACGAGAAGCTGGGATTACAGGTTCATACCAACACACCCAGCTAACTTTTGTATTTTTACTAGAGATGGGGTTTCACCATGTTGGCCAGGCTGGTCTAGAACTTCTGACCTCAAGTGATCCACCCGTCTCGGCCTCCCAAAATATTGGGATAATAGGTGTGAGACATCATGCCCGTCCAATGTTTTTTAATTTAGTAGGTTCAAGTTTTCATTATGTTTGCCCGACTGGTCTCAAACTCCTGACCTCAAGCCATCTACCCACCTCAGCCTTTCAAAGTGCTGGAATTAGAGGCCAAAGCCACTGCGGCTGGCCAGTCTAAGCTATTTCTAACAGGACAGTGAAAAGAGTGAGACAGGAAAGGGGGCATCTCATCATCAACATTACTGAGGGCTGACAAATATTATTAAACAAAGGAAGTTGAGTGTGTACTATAAAACTTATATGAAGCCATCTAATAGTACTCATTTGTTTTAAAAAGCAGGTGGATGAATCACTAGTAGAAACTCCATCTCTGCTAAAAATACAGAAATTAGCCAGGCTCGCACCAGGCATAATCCCAGCTACTTGGGGGATTATGTCCTGAGGCAGGACAATCACTTGAACCCAAGAAGTGGAGGTTGCAGTGAGCCGAGACTGCACCACTGCAGTCCAGCCTGGGCAACAAGAGGGAAACTCCATTTAAAAAAAAAAAAAAAAAGGCCAGGCACAGTGGCTCATGCCTGTAATCCCAGTACTTTCGGAGGCTGAGGCAGGTAGATCACTTGAGGTCAGGAGTTCGAGACCAGCCTGGCCAACATGGTGAAACCCCCATCTCTACTAAAAATACAAAACTTGCCAGGCGTGGTGGCACTTGCCTGTAATCCCAGCTTCTCGGGAGGCTGAGGCAGGAGAACCATTTGAATCCGGGAGGTGGAGGTTGCGGTGAACTCAGATTGTGCCATTGCACTTCAGCCTGGGAAACAGGAGCAAAACTCTTTCTCAAACAAAACAAAACTAAACAAAAAACAAAAAAAAAAACCAACCCTGGAGGCAAATTAACATTATTTCTCAAATAATGACAGCAGGCCCACAGTGTTCATGTACATGACCCCAGTTTGCACGTACGGTAAGTGAGGGACAAGACTTGATCCTGGGCATGAAGGATCCCACGACATGTTCTTAGGCACAATAGTCAGCGCAGGCAGGACAGGAAATGACCAGACACAGAAAATATGAGGAGAACAGAAAGAAGTACATCAAGGGGGATACAAGGACTGAGCTGGGACACAAGCGCTGAGCTGCGCTGCTGACAGTGGTTCTGAAGCCATCCCTCATGGATCATGTGCTGAGTCATGATGTCCTGCACACACTGATTTAAGCGGCCTCCTATAATTTTGTCCAGTGGATGAACAAGGTCTTCACTTACTCAGGGAGAGTAGTGTTGGAGGGGAGGGGCTCACGGGGAAATTGGGGTGTTCACTTTTACAAAGTCAATAGGCTGGTATTTGCATCCAGATCAATGTATCATGTGAGTCAAGGCCAGGAAAGGAAGGGCAAGGGTGGACGGCAGGAAGTAATGGGCATGTAGGAGTGAACTTTGTGCATGCACCTCTGTGGGAATATAATTCCACCAAGATAGACCAAATCTTGAGCTTAGAGGAAAGTGGAACTAATTTAGCAAATGGTAACATATTGACCCAAGGTTAAATATGCAAATTACAATATGGGCAAGGGACAAGAATGAAAGAGATCCAACAATGCAGCAGTACGGTGGCCTGAGGTGAAAGCAGTTTTACATCTCTTAAATTGAATGCCTCTGACTTCTAGTTTCAGGCATGTACTCAACAAAATCCTCTGTGTAGATTCCAGAAATGCATACAAACACACACACAAAAAAACAACTAAACTCCATGAAGAGTACAGTAGAGCAATGTAGGAGACCATGGGGGTGAACAAGGATCCCCTGGCTGAGTAGGTAGAGATGTGTTTGTGAAAACAGAGCCAGGCTGAGTGCAGTGGCTTACTTCTGTAATCCCAGCTCATTAGGAAGACGGGTGGGTGGATCATGTTGTCAGGAGTTCAAGACTAGCCTGGCCAGCATGCATGGTGAAACACTGTCTCTACTAAAAAAAAAAAAAAAAAAAAAAAAAAAAAAACATTGGCCGGGCATGGTGATGCACATCTATGACCCCAGCTACTTAGGAGGCTGAGGTAGCAGATTGCTTGAACCCAGGAGGCAGAGGTTGCAGTAAGCTGAGATTGCACCACTGCACTCCAGCATGGGTGACAGAGCAATACTCCGTCTGAAAAAAAAAAAAAGAAAGAAACTGTACCTTTAATAGACATATGGTTTTGCCACATTGTCTAGGCTGGTCTCGAATTCCTGACCTCAGGTGATTCACCCACGCACTTCCAAAGTGCTGGGATTACTGGCATGTGCGACTTCACCCAGCTGACATTATTTATTATAGTAAAGAGAAGAAACCAACCCAGATGTCCATTGACAGATAAATATACGAACAAAATGTGGTACACACATACAGTGGAATATTATTCAGCCTTAAAAACAAACTCGGAAGGGGCCAGGGGCTGTGGCTCATGCCTGTAATCCCAGCACTTTGGGAATCCAAGGCAACTGAATCACGTCAGGCCAGGCTATCAAAATCAGCCTGGCCAACATGGCAAAACTGCCATCTGTAATAGAACTACCAAAAATTAGTCGGGTGTGGTGACACATGCCTGTAATCCCAGCCACTCAAGAGGCTGAGGCAGGAGAGTCGCTTGAACCCAAAAGGAGGAGGTTGCAGTGAGCCAAGATCATGCCACTGCACTCAAGCCTGGGCAACAGAGTGAGACTCTGACTCAAAACAAACAAACAAAAAAACAACAACATAGAAATGAACAAGTTGAAAGCCACTGTGTCTTAAGGAAATGACAGTAGAACTAAACAATGGAAACCTCATTCAACCTCAAAAGCTTCCTCAATAAGATTGATGAAAACCATATCTCTTACAGGGTTGATCCTACAACAAACTGAACATAGGTTTTCTTGTTAAAAATGAACAGTGACACATATTGGTGTGAAAAATGTGACATGAACAAGAGTTCAGTCAAGAGCCTCATACATATGAGGCTGTGAGCCCGAATGATGTCCTCGCTGGGAGGAATTGCAACACCACTGACTGCTGCTTAGAGAAGATGATCATTAGTTTATGGGATGAACATTGTCACAGTGCCAGTGAGAGACGCTTCTGTGATGCTCCTCAAAAACCAGAATGAGCTGGGCATGGTGGCTCACGCCTGTAATCCCAGCACTTTGGGAGGCCGAGGTGGGTGGATCACCTGAGGTCGGGAGTTAGAGACGAGCCTGACCAACATGGAGAAACCCCATCTCTACTAAAAATACAAAATTAGCTGGGTGTGGTCTCGCATGCCTATAATAACAGCTACTCAGGAGGCTGAGGCAGGAGAATCACTTGATCCTGAGGGGCGGAGGTTATGGTGAGCCAAGATCATACCATTGCACTCCAGCCTCGGCAATAGGAGCGAAACACCATCTCAAAAACAAAAAACAAAAAACAAAACCCATGTATGGGGCAAAATCACAAAAGAGGATACAAAGCCAGGATGAGCCAAGATAGACAAGAGCAGACTCCTCATGTCTGCAGGGACATTTTCCTCACCCACAGCCTCCAGGTTCCTGTAGTTCTCCAACATCACTTCCCTGTACAAAGCCCTCTGTGAAGGGTTCAGGCATTTCCACTCTGCCAATGAGAATTCTATAGCCACATCCCGGAAAGTCAAGCGTCCCTAAAATGAAACACACATTTCAACAAAACATTATGGAGTAATGAGTTATCACCTTCACAGAAAATGAGAAATGAGAAAATAAGTATTTATTTGATCAAAGATTATGTTCTGACAAAAGGATGTTAAGGTATTTTTGAATATTTTTTCCCTATAGTTGCGTTTTATTGTAGTTTTCCTTGAAAGATTTTAAGATCCCATAAGTCACTACGGAAATCTCGATTTTATGGACAATATAAAAACTATAAAAATAAAAAGGAAAAACAGGGCCAGGCATGGCAGTTCACGCTTGTAATCCCAACACTTCAGGAGGCCAAGGCGGGCAGATTATTTGCGGTCAAGAGTTCGAGACCAGCCTGGCCAATGTGGTGAAAAACTGTCTCTCCTAAAAATATAAAAATTAGCCGGGCATGGTAGAAGGCACCTGTAATCCCAGCTACACAGGAGGCTGAGGCAGGAGAATCACTTGAACCCGGGAGATGGAGGCTGCAGTGAGCCAAGTTCGCACCACTGCCCTCCATCCTGGGCAACAGACTGACACTCCATCTCAAAAAACAAAACAAAACAAAACAAAAAAACAATGCCGGGCAGTGACTGTCACCTGTAATCCCAGCACTTTGGGAGACCAAGACGGGCAGATAATGTGGTCAAGAGATTGAGACCATCCTGGTCAACATGGCAAAACCATGTCTCTACTAAAAATACAAATATTAGCTGGGTGTTGTGGTGCAGGCCTGTACTCCCAGATACTCAAGAGGCTGAGGCAGGAGGATCGCTTGAATCCGGGAGGCGGAGGTTGCAGTGAGCCAAGATCGCACCACTGCACTTTAGCCTGGCAACAGAGCAAGACTCCATCTCACACACACAAAAACAAAACAAAACAAAACAAAAAAACAAATACAGGGTTTTCTCTATAGACATGCCAGATATTATGTTCAACATACCGGGTGATATTAAGTCTCTAGATGAGCTAAGATACATGTGGTGCTTCAGAGAGGACAAAGTCCAATGGCTTTCAAAGAAAAGTCCAAATCTAAAAACTGGCACAGTGGCTCATGCCTGTAATCCCAGCACTTTGGGAGGCTGAGGTGGGCGGATCACAAGGTCAGGAGTTCGAGACCAGCCTGGGAACATGCTGAAACCCCTTCTCTACTAAAAGTACAAAAATTAGCTGGGCGTGGTGGTAGGTGCCTGTAATCCCCAATACTGGGGAGGCTGAGGCTGGAGAATTGCTTGAAACCAGGAGGCAGAGGTTGCAGTGAGCTGATACCATGCCGGATACAAAATCTCTCTCCTTATTATTCTCCTTTTCCAGAATTAACCACACATCTGTGCACATTAACATATGTATTTCATATGTAGTTTCTCTGAGCTGACATCCAGATGTGGCCCGTGAACAACCCAGGCTGCCCAGCAGCACTGACATCAACGGGCTCACACCCCATGTTTATCCATGTCAGGGTGTGAGCCCTTCCCAGGACCATGCCCAGTGGAGCCTCTTCCCAAGTTCATGTCACTGGGTCACAGGAGATGGAATCTCAGAGCAGCTGAGAGGAACTGAGGGCAGGCATGGGTGAGTGCGAGTGAACGTGTCAGACAAGATGCTTCAGACTCAGAAAAGACTGGCTGCTACAATACCTGGCATTTCAGAAACGAAAGACACAGATTAATCCACAGAGGAATATCACTTCACCTGAGGAAGAGCCATGCCTGGCTCCTTTCCTTTCCTCTTCTGAGCTGCTTCCTCACGTAACATGAGTCTTTAGGAATCAATCCTGTATGTGAAAAAAAATGAGACTTCATGTTAGAAATGACTCACTCCCTTCCTGTGACAAAAACACACGAACGGGGGAGACGTCACCCTGTAGAAAGAAGTCCCCCACTGCCCACTGCACCAGAGATCATGCAGAGATAAGGAAGTCCCACAGGAAGACCTATGAGTGTATATTTGACCCCAGTCTTCAGATCTCACCTCTCTCCTGGAGAAGCCACCACACACGAGGCAGCAGTGGGGAGCTGGGCTGGACTGATCTCCCCTTCAGGGCACAGACTCATCCTTCATCAATTGCCATCCAGAGGACAGCCCCTCACCTCTCTGTGGATCACAGGCTGAGGTCAGCCCTCAGAAATGCAGGACTCAGAGCTTCCATGCTCAATGCTGCACACAGATGACAAGCACCTGGGCCACTGCAGGTATTACTGAGGGTGGGTTCCATCCCGTCAGAATAAGAATCCCTGCTAAAGTGGCACAAAAGCTCTATTTGCAAAATGCCTCGACTCTAACGTGAAGCCAGGGTTGAGCTCCACTCAGAGGGGGCGAGCCCAGCACAGCCCCATGTTCTGGCTCTGCCCTCCCCTTGGGGCCTTGTTCTCACCAGGATCCAGACAGTGGATGACAAAGGCACAAAAATAATCACACAGAACAGGCAATGTGGAGAAGGGGTAGGGTGAGGGTTGGGCTGTGTGTAAGGAAAATAAATCTTGGGGCCCCAAATCACTAAGCAAAAGGGAAAAGTCAAGCTGGGAACTGCAAGGGAACCAGACTCCCCTTCTATTCAAAGTCATCCCTCTGCTCCCTGACACAGATGCATATCTGAGTGCCTCCTTCAAAAGACTAATTAGAAACTCAAAAGAAGGACCCAGCACAGTGGCTCAGGACTGTAATCCCAGCACTGTGGGAGGCCAAGGCAGTCAGACCACTTGGGGTGAAGAGGTAGGGACTAGCCCAGCCAACATGGTGAAACCACATCTCTACTAAAAATACAAAACTGATCCGGGCATCTACTTGGGAAGCTGAGGCAGGAGAATCACTTGAACCCAGGAGGCAGAGGTTGCAGTGAGCCGAGATTGTGCCACTGCACTCCAGCCTGGGGGACAAAACGAGACTTCATCTCAAAAAAAAAAAAGGAAACTCAAAAGACTGCAACCATTTGTGCCTCAGTTCTCTGTGAACTAAAAGCCCCTTCCCTGCTTCAAGTCTTCCTGCCTTTATTTAAAGTTGTCCCACTTTCCCAGACCAAACCAACGTACTTCTTACATATGTTGATGTCTCATGTCTCCATAAAATGTATAAAATTAAGCTCTGCCCCGACTATCTTGGGCAAAATAAACTTTCTAAATTAACTCAGATCTGTGTAAGATTTTCTGGTTTTACAGTGGCAATGTCAAATGGGAGATCACAAAGGAAACCCGGAGAAGATGATACCAGAACAAGGACCTAGAAAAGAAAGGCTGCTTGTCACTTGCAGCTGAGGGGAAGAGAGTCCTAGGCAGAGGGACAGCTCAAGTGAAGGCCCTGAGACAGGAGCAACCTCAGCCCCAGGAATAGGAAAGCAGCCTGTGTGGCTGGAACAGTGGAAGAGAGGAGGGCACAAGTAGGAGATGAGGAGAAAAATGTTCAAAATATACACAACTGTGCACACACAGCAATAGGTGTTTAAAACACTGAAAAAGAGGCAGCTGTAGAAATGGGATCTGAGCAAATGCTTTTCTCATGAACACATGGGCTCTGCTAAACCAAGGTTCCAAGTCAATCCAGCCCATCCTTCAACATCTGTAGAGAATATTA
Source organism: Homo sapiens (assembly GCF_000001405.40). NCBI lineage: Eukaryota > Metazoa > Chordata > Mammalia > Primates > Hominidae > Homo > Homo sapiens. The sequence goes on from NC_000019.10 coordinate 52,717,707, forward strand.
TGGACCAGAGGGAATTGAGGGAGACACTTACTTAGAAGCTCACAGATCACCATTTTTTCAGATGATATGAGGAAAGAAAATGGAATAGGCTACTTGAACTAAATTTTCATGTTAGGGTAAGGAAAAAAGGTCCTTGATATCTTTATCAAGTACACACTGAAACAACCTAAAATTATATATCACGTAGTAGAAAACGTTTTCGATATATGATAAAGACTAGAAAGCACACAGACCTCAATGTAAACTGAACACAATCTCATAGAGAAACAATTTTAAAATGGTTAAAAAATATAGATCTAATGAAATCTTGGGTCAAAGGAGAAATATTTGAAAATATACCATACTTTGAAAACAATGAGGCCAGGCATGGTGACACGCCTATAATCCCAGCACTTTGGGAGGCCAGGGCATGATCACAAGGTTAGGAGTTCGAGACCAGCCTGGCCAACATGGAGAAACCATGTCTCTACTAAAAATACAAAAATTAGCAGGAAATGGTTGTGCACACCTGTCGCCCCAGCTACTCTGGAGGCTGAGGCAGGAGAATCCCTTAACCCCAGGAGATGAAGGTTGCAGTGAGACGAGATCATGCCACTGCACACCAGCCTGGGTGACAGAGTCTCAATAAATAAAAATATATATCTAAACATTAGCCAGGCCTGGTGGGGCGTGCCTGTGGTCCCAGGGAATCCAGAGGCTGAGGTGGGAAAATCACTTGAGCCCAGGAGGTTGCCGCTGCACTGAGCTGTGATCCTGCCACTGCACTCCAGCCTGGACAGCAGTAAGAGTGTCTCAAAAAAACAGAAATTAAAGGCCCGGCAGCTGCTCATGCCTGTAATCCCAGCACCTTGGGAGGCTGAGGTGGGAGGATCACCTGAGGTCAGGAATTCAAGACCAGCCTGACCAAGATGGAGAAACCCCATCTCTACTAAAAATACAAAATTAGCCGGCCATGGTGGTGCGTGCCTCTAATCATAACTACTCAGGAGGCTGAGGCAGGAGAATCACTTGAACTCCAGAGGCGAACTTTGCAGTGAACCAAGATCATGCCATTGCACTACAGCCTGGGCAACAAGAGCAAAACTCAGTCAAAAAACAAACAAACAAACAAAAAACAAAAAACCCGACAACAACAAAAATAAGTAAATTAAAAGTAAACTTAAAAAATGAAAAGCAACTAATGAGGCAAAGCATGGTGGCTCACACCTGTAATCCCAGCACTTTGGGAGGCCAAGGCGGGTGGATCACGGGGTCATGAGTTCAAGAGCAGTCTGGCCAAGATGGTGAACCTCTGTCTCTGCTAAAAATAAAAAGTCAGACAGGTGTGGTGGCAGCTGCCTATAATCCCAGCTGCTTGGGAGGCTGAGGCAGAGCATTGCTTGAACCCGGGAGGTGGAGGTTGCAGTGAGTCAAGATCACTCCACTGCACTCCAGCTTGCCTGACAGAGAAAGACTCCATCTCAAAAAGAAAAAATAAATGAATAAAAACACACAAAAAAACCAACCACATGAATGAAATGAAGAGGAACTAGAAAAAAGGAAACCAATTACAAAAAGAGAACAAAAGCACTTTTAATACTCCTTTCATCACGTTCCATATAGTAACAGAGACTCAGTCACTTCTTACCCTACTTCTCTCCCCCACTCCCCACCCCAGCCATGAAAAGGGAAGAGGGTGATCCACAACTAACGAGTCAAGTCACTGTCCTCTGGCTGAAGAGGGGTTGCAGAGGGAAGCTGCCTCTGATGCCATCATTATAAAATGCACCACACTTAGACACAGGAGTTTGGCAACTCTCATTCTCATCTGTATAATTTAAACTAATTTTAAATTTGTTACCTTATAAACAGAGAAAGCAACATGTCATCACTTCATCATCACATCCAATCAACTCACCGCTCATCTGCACCCAGGGTCCCCCTTCATCTTCATTACTGTTCCATCATTCTATACATAGCTCTTTCTCACCTTCTCTCTCCATCTGTTTCTTTTCTGCATTTCCCCCTGGACTTCTGCTCATTTTATGCCCCTCTCCTGTTTTGCTTCATTCTTTTTTGTTTTGTTTTGTTTTTTAGTATTTATTGATCATTCTTGGGTGTTTCTCAGAGAGGGGGATGTGGCAGGGTCATACGACAATAGTGGAGAGAAGGTCAGCAGATAAACACGTGAATGAAGGTCTCTGGTTTTCCTAGGCAGAGGTCCCTGCGGCCTTCCGCAGTGTTTGTCTCCCTGGGTACTTGAGATTAGGGAGTGGTGATGACTTTTAAGGAGCATGCTGCCTTTAAGCATCTGTTTAACAAAGCACATCTTGCACCGCCCTTAATCCATTTATTTAACCCTGAGTTGACACAGCACGTTTCAGAGAGCACGGGGTTGGGGGTAGGGTTACACATTAACAGCATCTCAAGGCAGAAGAATTTTTCTTAGTACAGAACAAAATAGAGTCTCCTATGTCTACTTCTTTCTACACAGACACAGTAACAATCTGATCTCTCTTGCTTTTCTCCACATTTCCCCCTTTTCTTTTCGACAAAACCGCCATCGTCATCATGGCCAGTTCTCAATAAGCTGTTGGGTACACCTGCAGAAAGGCTGTCACTTCACACTTGGAAGATTGCACAGCGGCCAGGCAGAGGCGCCCCCCACCTCCCCGACGGGGCGGCCGGGCAGAGGCGCTCCCCACTTCCCAGATGGGGCGGCCGGGCAGAGGCACTCCTCACTTCCCAGAAGGGGCGGTTGCTGGACAGAGGCGCTCCTCACCTCCCAGATGGGGCGGCCGGGCAGAGGCGCTCCTCACCTCCCAGATGGGGCGGCCGGGCAGAGGCGCTCCTCACCTCCCAGATGGGGCAGCCGGGCAGAGGCGCTCCTCACTTCCCAGACGGGGCAGCTGCTGGGCAGAGGCGCTCCTCACCTCCCAGACGGGGCAGCCGGGCAGAGGTGCTCCTCACATCTCAGACGGGGCGGCTGCTGGGCAGAGGCGCTCCCCACCTCCCAGATGGCGTGGCCGGGCAGAGGCACTCCTCACATCCCAGACGGGGTGGCCAGGCAGAGGTGCTCCCCACTTCCCCGATGGGGTGGCGGCTGGGCAGAGGTGCTCCTCACTTCCCAGATGGGGCGGCCGGGCAGAGATGCTCCTCACTTCTCAGATGGGGTGGCTGGGCAGAGGCGTTCCTCACCTCCCAGACAGGGTCGCAGTCAGGCAGAGGCGCTCCTCACATCCCAGACGGGGCGGCCGGGCAGAGGCACTCCTCACTTCCCAGACGGGGAGGCCAGGCAGCGGTGCTCCTCACTTCCCAGACGGGGCGGCCAGGCAGAGGCGCTCCTCACTTCCCAGACAGGGCAGCCGAGCAGAGGGGCTCCTCACTTCCTAGACGGGGCGGCCAGGAAGAGACGCTCCTCACTTCCCAAACGGGGTGGTGGCTGGGCAGAGGCGCTCCTCACTTCCTAGATGGGATGGCGGCCGTGCAGAGGTGCTCCTCATTTCCCAGACTGGGCAGCCGGGCAGAGAGGCTCCTCACATCTCAGACAATGGGTGGCCAGGCAGAGACGCTCCTCACTTCCTAGATGGGGTGGTGGCCGGGCAGAGGCTATAATCTCAGCACTTTGGGAGGCCAAGGCAGGCGGCTGGGAGGTGGAGGTTGTAGCAAGCCAAGATCACGCCACTGCACTCTAGCCTGGGCAACATTGAGCACTGAGTGAGCAAGACTCCGTCTGCAATCCCGGCACCTCGGGAGGCCAAGGCGGGCAAATCACTGGAGGTCAGGGGTTGGAGACCAGCCCGGCCAACATGGCGAAACCCCGTCTCCACCAAAAATACAAAAACCAGTCAGGCTTGGTGGCTTGTGACTGCAATCCCAGGCACTCAGCAGGCTGAGGCAGGAGAATCAGGCAGGGAGGTTGCAGCGAGCCCAGATCACGGCAGTACTGTCCAGCCTCGGCAACAGAGGGAGACCGTGGAAAGTGAGAGGGGAAAGGGAGAGAGGGAGGGAGAGGGAGAGGCAGAGGCAGAGGGAGAGGGAGAGGGAAAGGGAGAGGGAGAGAGAGAGGGAGAGGGAGAGCTTTTTTTTGTTTTTTGAGATGGAGTTTCGCTCTTGTTGCCCACACTGAAGTGCAATGATGCGATCTCAGCTCACCACAACCTCTGCCTCCTGGGTTCAAGTGACTCTCCTGCCTCAGCCTCCTAATCCAAAATTATCAGGGCACGGTGGCCCATGCCTGTAATCCCAGCTACTCAGGGGGTAGTATCGCAGGAGAATCGCTTCAACCCTAAAGGCAGAGATACTCATTAGCCAAGATTGTGCCATTGCACTCCAGCCTGGGCAACAAGAGCAAAACTCCACTGCAAAATAATAATAATAATAATTAGTATGTAGGCCAGGTGCGGTGGCTCATCCCTATAATCCCAGTACATTGCAAGGCCAAGACAGGAGGAACCTTTGAGCCCAGGATTTTCAGTCCAGCCTGGGAAACATACTGAAACCGTTTCTACAAAAAAAATAAAATAAAATAAAAAATAAATAAATAACTAGCCGGGCTTGGTGTCTCACACCTGTGGTCTCAGCTACTCAGGAGACTGAGGGAGGAGGATCACTTGAGCCTAAGAGGTCGAGGCTGCAGTTAGAGTAGATAACGCCATTGTACTCCAGCCTGGGCAATAGGGCCAGACCCTGTCTCAAAATATTAATTAATTAATTAATTAATTAAAAGTATTATGTAATAACAGAAAGTTGTTTTTTTCTTTTTCCCCACATCACTGCCCCACTTTCTACCCCACCCTGGGAAAAGGGAAGAAACTGACTCACAACTGAGTAAGTCACTGCCCTCGGGCTGAATAGGGATTCCAAGTGGAAGCTAACCTCTGACACCAAGATTTATAGAATGTACATGACTCACATAGGAATTTTAAAATTCTCAAACTCATCTGTATAATTTAAACAAGTTATTAGATTATATACACAGAAGTCAACATGTCACAACTAATCATATCCAATGAACTCACACACTCATCTGTATCCAAAGTCCCCCACCCTTTTTTTCTTTTAAAACAGGGTCTTGCTCTTTTCACCAGGCTGGAGTACAGTGGCATGATCTCTGCTCACAGCAGCCTGGACCTCCTGGGCTCAAGTGATCCTCCAGCCTCTGCCTACAGAGTAGCTGAAATTACAGGTGCACATTATCATGCCTGGTTTTTGTTTTCGTTTTTTTTTTTTTTTTTTTGATAGAGATGGGGGCAATGACTATTTTGCCCAGGCTGGTCTTGAACTCCTGGATTCAAGCAATCTCTCTGTCCCAGTCTCCTAAAGTGCTGGGATTACAGGCATGAGCCACTGCGCCTGGCCCCTCTTTCTTCATTACTGTGCTTCCCTCCCTAATTCTGTGCATATCTCTCATTCTCCCCTTCTCTTTCTAGCTCTTGTTTTCTTTTCTTTTTCCCTGGGATTGTGCTCCTTATTTTGTACCTCTCTCCTCTCCTGCAATTTATCCCCTTCTTCCCTCTATTGCTTCTCTTCCACCTCTTCTGCTCCATCCTCACAACTTATTTAACCTTTTTTTTTTTTTTTTTTTTGAGACGGAGTTTCCATCTTGTTGCCCAGGCTGGAGTGCAATGGTGCGATCTTGGCTCACTGCAACCTCCGCCTCCCAGGTTCAAGCAATTCTCCTTCCTCAGACTTCCTAGTAGCTGGCATTACAGGCATGTGCAACCGTGCCTGCCTTATTTTGTATTTTTAGTAGAGACGGGGTTTCTCCATGTTGGTCAGGCTGCTCTCAAACTCTGGACCTCAGGTGATCCGCCCACCTCAGCCTCCCAAAGTGCTGGGATTATAGGCATGAGCCACAGCGTCTGGTCCTTATTGAAGGGGGCCAGCCCCTCCACACCTGTGAGTATTTCTCATCAGGTGAGATGAGAGACTGAGAAAAGAAATAAGACAGAGACAACGTATAGAGAAAGAACAGTGGGCTCAGAGGACCAGCACTCAGCATACGGAGGATCCGCACCAGCCGAGGTCTCTGAGTTCCCTCAATATTTATTGATCACTATCTCTACCATCTCAGAGAGGGGGATGTGGAAGGACTGTAGGGTAATGGTGGGGAGAAGGTCAGCAGGAAATCATGTAAGCAAAGCTCTCTGTGTCATAAATAAGTTTAAGGAAAGATGCTGTACCTCGATGTGCATGTAGGGTAGATTTATGTTTGACTTTACACAAACATCTCAGTGCAGTAAACAGCAGTATTGCCACCAGCATGTCTCACCTACAGCCATAAGGCAGTTTTCTCCTATCTCTGTAAACAGAACATACGATTGGGTTTTACACCAAGATATTCCATTCCCAGGGAGGAGCAGGAGACAGAGGCCTTCCTCTTATCTCAACTGCAAAGAGGGCTATCTCTTTCACTAACCGTCCTCAGCACAGACCCTTTACGGGTGTCTGGCTGGGGGATGGTCAGGTCTTTCCCTTCCCACGAGGCCATATCTCAGGCTGTCTCAGTGGAGAGAAACCTTGGACAATACCCAGGCTTTCTTGGGCAGAGGTCCCTGCGGCCTTCCACAGTGTATTCTGTCCCAGGGTACTCGAGACTGGAGAATGGCGATGACTTTTACCAAGCATACTGCCTGCAAACACATTTTAACAAAGCACAGCCTGCACAGCCCTAAATCCATTAAACCTTGGGTCAACACAGCACATGTTTCTGTGAGCACAGGGTTGCGGCTAGGGTTACAGATTAACAGCATCTCAAAGCAGACTAATTTCTCTTAGTACAGACCAAAATGGGGTTTCTTATGTCTACTTCTTTCTACATAGACACAGTAACAGTCTGATCTCTCTTTTTTTTCCCCAAACCTTATTTAACCTCTTGTTGCTCCTTCTCCCCAATCTTTCAATCGTCCTCAATCTCTATATATTACCGCCTCTTCTCTTATCTCTCCATCTCCTCTGCTCTCCCTGTTAAATTCTCTCTTCCCTGTTACAGCCCCCAGTCCCCACTCTCTAGCACCCCAGATCCCCAGGTGTCCTCCCTGCTGTGGTTCTCCCTCTGGTCTCCGTGCCACCAGCACCACTCTGCTCTGTCTGCCCTGGCTCCAAATCCCTCCTCCTCTCCCTCACTCTGGTGAGCCTCCCTCTTTGCTGCCCCTCTCCCTATCTTGTCCTTCATCTCTGTACATCTAGCTCTTCTCTACATTTCTCCAGTTGCTTTTCTCCTCCTGCTTTCTTATTTTTTCTTTCACTTTTGCTGTCTCTTGGCAAATTTCTCACCCATCCTCTACTTTGCCATCTGTTACGGGCCTTTCTCATTCTTCTTTTCTCTGTCTCTGGTTTTCTACTGCTCTCTCAGTCCCTCTCTCTATCTCCTCATCTCTTTGACCCAAACAATCACACGCGGGTTTGGAGTAAGAGGCCTACATCCTGGAGAAGCGCATTTTCCAGGAGGTGGAGCTGGGCAGGCAAGAACACCCGGTGTCATAGGACAAGGCCCTGGGACCTCCCCAACGCTGGCTCAGGGGAAGCGGTGACTGCGGAGGGAAGACTTGGGGAGCAGCAGGGCCCGGCACGAGGAGGGACATAGTGGGAGACGGCGCCTTAAGACATGGGTGGCACCTGCAGGCTCCCAGGACCAGGCAGAGGACCCAGCCTCCCCAGGACTGGGGCCCCGGCGCTGCGCTCCAGGGGAGGCCGACGGGGGCTGGGAGGCGCCCAGGGCGGGAATCCAGCGCACGGGTGAGGACTTTAAAAAGCAAGGGGCAGGATGAGTCAACAAGGTTTTGAGCAGGAAAACTATGCGATAGGAAGTGTATACATTGCCCTATAGCAGAAAGACCGGGGACGGGACCAGCCTCCAAGCGACTTCAAACCCAAAAGGAAGCAACTTCCAGACTCTTATGGGCGTCTCAATTTGCTCTGGGTGAAGGAAGACAGGCAAGAATTTCCAGGTCTGTGAGGACCCCACGTCCCAGGGACAGAAGTGCCAGGGACCTGGGAAGTGCAGACTTAATACAAGGCAGAGCAAAACTCACGCGCCTCGGTAGGACCTTTACTCCACGTGATCCACTTCCGGGTTTGCTGCGCAGGACAGAAGCCAGTCCCGGGTGGGGCCCCCGAACATGGTGGCGGGGCCTGGGTGGGACAGAGGCGGGGCGCGAGGCGGAGAGACCTTGCCCTTTAGAACAGGCAAAGGGCGGGGCCGGGACCGGACCTGTGCATCTCTCCGCCTCGCACCCAGCGCCTCTGTTTTTCGGGTGTTTGGAGGTGAGAGCGGCCAGGAAGGCTGAGGCATGATACAAAAGCCCTGGAATTATCTGGAACGGGAATGCAAACTAGAATGTGAAATGCAAAGCCCTGCCTGGGCGGAACATACGATTTCATGCTGATGGCCCACAGAACAGAACAGAACTCCTCTCCCTTTCTATTCTCCATTCACTCAGGAGGGAGAGTCCACCCTGTGCTCAGCTTCAGAGACTTCCCTAGAGCCTTTGCTTGGGATGCGGGACTGGGTGCTCAGGCCAGGGAGGAGTGAGGTCACCACCTGCTGCCTAAACGCAGCAGGGATGCGGGCGTGAGGCCGGAAGCCTGAGGTCCCAGCTACTCAGGAAGCAGCGGCGGGAGAATCGCTGAACCTGGGGGTCCAGGCCAGCCTGGGCGACAAAGTAACACCCCCTCCCGCAGTGCTCTCTTCATTGTCTCTCTCGCGCGCTCTTTTTCTTTTCTTTCCTTTTTATTTATTTTTATTTTTTGAGACGGAGTCTTGCTCTGTCACCCAGGCTGGAGTGCAGTGGCATGATTTTGGCTCACTGCAAGCTCCACCTCCCGGGTTCACGCCATTCTCCTGCCTGAGAGTTGAGTAACTGGGACTACAGGTGCCCGCCACGATGCCCGGCTACTTTTTTGTATTTTTAGTAGAGAAGGGGTTTCACTGTGTTAGCCAGGATGGTCTCGATCTCCTGACCCCGTGATCCACCTGCCTCAGCCTCGCAAAGTGCTGGGATTACAGGTGTGAGCCACCATGCTCGGCCTTGTGTTTTTTTTTTTTTTTTTCTTTTTAAACAAAATTTTTCATGGTGTGACACAGGGATCCAACATTATTCTTTTCAATGTGGATATCCAGTTAGTTGTCCCGCACGTTTGTGAAAGAGATCAATTACTTTCTCTTTTTTTACTTTTTTCTTTCCTTTTACTTTTGAGACAGAGTATTTCTCTGTGGCCCGTGCTGGGGTGCAGTTGTGAGATCATGGCCCACTGCAGCCTCTGCCTCCTGGGTTGAAGCTATTCGTCTGCCTCAGCCTTTGGAGTAGCTGGTATTACAAGCGCACATGACCATGCCCAGCTAACTTTTGTATTTTTGGTAGAGATGGGGTTTCACCATGTTGGCCAGGCTGGTCTAGAACTCCTGACTTCAAGTGATCCGCCTGCCTTGGCCTCCCAAAGTGCTGGGATTACACTCGTGAGTCACTGTGCCTGGCCCAGGAAATATTCTTTACTTCACTTTTTAAATGTGAGAAAATATAATTGAGAAACAAAGAGTCTTGCCCCAAATGAGAAATCATCTCCACGATGATAATAGAGAAAGAAAGAATAACTATTTTATTAATAAATAAGCTTTAGACCAGAATGTGATGGGAAATAAAGGCAAACAGCTAAGAGGTTGAAAAGAGAGAAAGAAACGTCACTGTTACTATACAACCCATTTAGTACATGTTTTCAAGATAAACACTAATCAGTCCTCAGGGAAGAGGACTTGAAAAGCCCTTGGTCACACATAGTTCATCCTGGCTCTACTTGGTAATGGAGGTGACCATCTCTGTCAGCTAACTAGCTTCATCCCGAGGCAGGGGGAGAAACCCTAACACTAACCCTAACACAAAAATTAGCTGGACGTGGTGGCAGGCGCCTGTAATTTTTCTGTATTTTTAGTAGAGACAGAGTTTCACCAAGCTGGCCAGGCTGGTTTCGAACTCCTGACCTCAAGTGATCTGCCCACCTTGGCATATCAATGTATTGGGATTACAGGCTTGAGCCACCAGGGTCAGCCAGGAAAAACTCTTAGAAGTTGCACCTGCATTCCGCTAGACTCTGCTTGCATGACCACATTCCTCTCAAGGCTCAGAATTATTTACAGGTCCATAGCTTTAAATTTGAATCATTTGATGTTTGAATTATTTAATTTCCTACTGAGACACAGGTACTATCTATCTTGTTGTGTGCCTTTTTTTTTTTTTTTTTTTTGAGACGGAGTCTCGCTTTGTTGCCCAGGCTGCAGTGCAGTGGTGCAATCTCAGCTCACTGCAACCTCTGCCTCCCAGGTTCAAGCAATTCTGCCTCAGCCTCCTGAGTAGCTGGGACTACAAGCATGTGCCACCACACCCGGCTAATTTTTTTGAATTTTTAGTAGAGACAGGTTTTCACCATGTTGGTCAGGTGGTCTTGAACTCCTGACCTCGGGATTGGCCAGGCTTGGCCTCCCAAAGTGGTGGGATTACAGGCGTGAGCCACTGCACCTGGCCGTTGTTTGCCTGTCAAAGTGAGCTCCCAAGTTCTTCAGAAATACATCCCTGGGCCGGGCGTGGTGGGTCACGCCTGTAATCCCAGGACTCTGGAAGGCCGAGGCTGGAGGATCATCTGAAATCAGAAGTTCAAGACCAGCCTGGCCAACATGGTGAAACCCCATCTCTACAAAACTATAAAAATCAGCCAGGCATTACAGCGGGTGCCTGTAGTCCCAGCTACTTGGGAGGCTGAGGCAGGAGAATCACATGTACCCGAGAGACAGAAATTGCAGTGAGCCGAGATCGCACCATTTAACTCCAGCCTGGGCAACAAGAGTGAAACTCCATGTCCGAGAAAGAAAAGAAAAGAGAAAGAAAGAATACTACCCTCAGAAAACAGAAAATGCATTTGCAAATTTTCTAAATAAATCTCCTAAGAAAAGAAATGAAAGGAAAGAAAATCTCTTTCTTTATTTTCAAAGGAGGAATTAAACCTCTCATTTACTTCCTTGTCTGTTTGAGATAGGGTGTAGCTCACTCACCCAAGCTGGAGTGTGGTGGCAAAAACAGGGCTCACTGCAGCCTTCAACTCCCTGGCTCAAGTGATCCTCCCACCTTTTTCATCAAGCATTTGGAAGAGATATCTACAAAATATAAACACCAATACGTTTCCAATTAAGTCCAGACGGTAAATCATACTGAAATGTGTAAATATGACACAATAAACAATACTTACTTTAAACTTCCCAAACATAATCTTCAAAGTTTAGGAACATAAAAGGAGTAAGATTCTTTAATAAATAAAGGGAGATTACATGTCCTTCAAATCATTTCTATGGAAGCCTATTTCCAATACCATGACAAAACACTGACAGGGCACCAACATGTGTAAGCCTAAAGTAAGGACTGTTTTTCCACTGTGACCCTAAAGTGCATCACAGTTTGCAAAAAACATATCACTGTCACATTAATGAAAAGTATATATTCTTCATATTTACAGAATATCTTCTGTATACAAATAAATGCTAAAGGACCACAAAATATACTATACTGGTAAATAATCCACAACAAGCTCATGTAAGGGTAACCAAAATCAATGGAAATGCTGTATTGTCAAATAATCATAGCACAAAGAAGATAAGAAAAGATTACAAAATTAGCCAGGCATGGTGGCTTGCGCCTGCAGTCCCAGCTACTCAGGAGACTGAGGCACAAGGATCGCTTGAACCTGGGAGGGAAAGGTTGCAGGGAGCCAAGATTGCGCCACTGCATTCCAGCCTGGGTGACAGAGCGAGACTCCATCTCAAAAAAAAAAAAAAAAAAAAAAAAAAGAAAAGAAAGAAAAAGAAAACAATGTTAATACAATATTTTTCTGAATACCTGTCATAAAATTACCTATAACCACACAGAACAGGCACTTATTGAAATTAACAAGTGCAGTGTATCAGTTATATTACATATCACATACTGAAAAGCCATATGTGAAATCTTAAATATTAGTCAGTAAACTATTGTAACCCATGATAAAACCAGCAAGCAAATAAGTACATTTATATAGGCTGCAGAATTCTAAACAATTCCCTCTTAAGAAAAAAGCCACAACTTTTGCTTATCACCAGCACACAATATAAGAATTGAAATACGTGTTAAGATCACTATCTTCTGATGTATGAGTTCAAGTAAATACACAGCATTATAAGGAATAAGAACTGACTAACCATGTCGGAGGGTGCAATTATGATGTCACAGGTACAGCTGCATATCACCAGGCAATACAGCAATTTTGTATATATGCATTGTCCTTCGTTATCTAGTCAACTGTGCAAAAAATATAGAAAGTGTACTGGGAAAATTTATCAACTGAGATCACAGAAAACATTGTATAAAACAAATTGCACAATAAAACCATAAAAAACATGATGTAGGCCGGGCGCGGTGGCTCAAGCCTGTAATCCCAGCACTTTGGGATTCCGAGGCGGGCGGATGACGAGGTCAGGAGATCGAGACCATCCTGGCTAACATGGTGAAACCCCATCTCTACTAAAAATACAAAAATTAGCCGGGCATAGTGGCGGGTGCCTGTAGTCTCAGCTACTCGGGAGGCTGAGGCAGGAGAATGGCATGAACCCGGGAGGTGGAGGTTGCAGTGAGCCGAGATTGCATCACTGCACTCCAGCCTGGGCGACAGAGCCAGACTCCGTCTCAAAAAAAAAAAAAAAAAAAAAAAAAAAAAAAAACATGATGTAGGCTCCTTGGTCTGAAAGATTATATTGGCCAAAAGCGATGTTCAGAGTTGTGTCCAATAGGATGTTCCTGCAGATGGGGCCTGTGAGAGAATTTGGTCATGGGTGTTGACTACACATGAATAGGTCTAGTGCTTTTATTTTTATTATTTATTTATTTGTTTACTTTTTGAGACGGAGTTTCCCTCTTGTTGCCCAGGCTGGAGTGCAATGTCACGATCTTGGCTCACCGCAAACTTTGCCTCCTGGGTTCAAGCAATTCTCCTGCCTCAGCCTCCTGAGTAGCTGGGATTACAGGCATGCACCATCACACCCAGCTAATTTTGTATTTTTAGTAGAGACGGGGTTTCTCTATTTTGGTCAGGCTGGTCTCGAACCACCTACCTCAGGTGATTCACCCGCATCAGCCTTCCAAAGTGCTGGGATTACAAGTGTGAGCCCCCGCACACAGCCAAGACTACTGCTTTTATAAAGAGAGACATTAAAGAGCTGATTGTTATTTCTTTTTGTTTGTTTGTTTTTTGAGACCAAGTCACGCTCTATCACTCAGGCTGGAGTGTAGTGGCATGATTCTCCTGCCTCAGCCTCCCAAGTAGATGGGACTACAGATGCATGCCACCACCCCTGGCTATTTTTTTTTGGGGGTGGGGGAGACAGAGTCTCACTCTGTCACCCAGGCTGGAGTGCCGTGGTGCGATCGTGGCTCACTGCAACCTCTGCCTCCCAGCTGGGTCCAAATAATTCTCCTGCCTCAGCCTCCAGAGTAGCTGAAATTAGAGGCGTGTGCCACCACGCTCAGCTAATTTTTGTATTTTTGGTAGATACAGGGTTTCATCATGTAGGCCAGGCTGGTCTCAAACTCCTGACCTTAAGTGATTTGCTCCCAAAGTGCTAGGATTACAGGCATGAGCCACCACGCCTGGCTTTGATGTTCCTTTCTTTTTCTTTATTTTTTTTTCAGACGGACTCTAGCTCTGTTGCCCAGGCTGGCATGCAGTGGCGCAATCTCGGCTCACTGCAACGTCTGCCTCCCGGGTTCAAACAAACCTCTGCCTCCTGAGTAGGTGGGATTACAGGAGTCTGCCATCACTACCGGCTAATTTTTGTATTTTTTTTTTTGTAGAGATGGGGTTTCACTCTGTTGGCCAGGCTGGTATCGAACTCCTGACCTCGTGATCCACCCACCTTGGCTTCCCAAAGTGCTGGGATTACAGGCTTGAGCCACCGTGCCCTGATGTCCCTTTTGAAAACTACTATGGGCTAGGCGTGGTGGCTTACGCCCGTAATCCCAGCACTTTGGGAGGCCGAGGCAGGTGGATCACCTCAGGTCGGGAGTTAGAGACCAGCCTGGATCAACATGAAGAAACCCTGTCTCTACTAAAAACACAAAATTAGCCGAGCGTGGTGGTGCATGCCTGTAATCCCAGCTATTCAGGAGGCTGAGGCAGTAGAATCGCTTGATGCTAGGAAGCCAAGGTTGTGGTGAGCTGAGATCATGCCATCGCACTCCAGCCTTGGCAACAAGAGCAAAATTCCCTCTCAAAAAAAGAAAAAAAAATGGCCGGGCGGGTGGCTCACGCCTGTAATCCCAGCACTTTGGGAGGCTGAGGCGGGCGGATCACGAGGTCAGGAGATTGAGACCATCCTGGCTAACACGGTGAAATCCTGTCTCTACTAATAATACAAAAAATTAGCTGGTAGTGGTGACAGGAGCCTGTACTCCCAGCTACTCCGGAGGCTGAGGCAGGAGAATGGCGTGAACCCGGGAGGCGGAGCTTGCAGTGAGCTGAGATCGTGCCACTGCACTCCAGCCTGGGTGACAGAGCAAAACTCCATCTCAAAAAAGAAAAAAGAAAACAGAATAACTCACAGTATTGAGTTATTCTGAATAACTCACAGTATTGAGTTATTCTGAATAACTCACAGTATTGAGTTATTCTGAATAACTCACAGTATTGAGTTATTCTGAATAACTCACAGTATTGAGTTATTCTGAATAACTCACAGTATTGAGTTATTCAGAATAACTCACAGTATTGAGTTATTCAGAATAACTCACAGTATTGAGTTATTCAGAATAACTCACAGTATTGAGTTATTCAGAATAACTCACAGTATTGAGTTATTCAGAATAACTCACAGTATTGAGTTATTCTGAATAACTCACAGTATTGAGTTATTGAGTTATTCAGAATAACTCAATGTATTGAGGGCTAAGTAGGCCAGACACGGTGGCTCCTCCCTGTAATCCCACCCGTAATCCCAGTAATTTGGGAGGCCAAGGCAGGAGGATCCTTTGAGCCCAGGATTTTGAGACCAGCCTAGGAAACATAGTGAAACTCCGTTTCTACAAAAAAAAAAAAAAATACAAAAACTAGCCGGGCTTGGTGGCTCATGCCTCTGGTCTCAGCTACTCAGAAGGCTGAGGAAGGAGGATGGCTTGAACTTAAGAGGTCGAGGCTGCAGTTAGAGGAGATCACGCCACTGCACACCAGCCTGGGTGATAGAGTCAGACCCTGTCTCAAAATATTAATTAATTAATTAATTAAATGTATTTTGTAACAACAGACAGTGACTATTTTCCCACTTCACTGACCCACGTCCTACCCCATCCTAGGAAAAGGGGAGACAGTGATTCACAACTGAATAAGTGACTGCCCTCTGGCAAATAGGGATTCCAAGTGGAACATAACCTCTGATGCCAAGATTTATAGAATGTACATGTCTTATAGATACGAATTTTAAAATTCTCAATCTCATCTGTGTAATTTAAACAAGTTTTTAGTTATTAGATTATATATACAGAACTCAACATGTCACAACCAATCATATCCAATGAACTCACCCACTCATCTGAACCCAGTCTCTCGCCCCTTTTTTTTTGTTTGGAGACAAGGTCTCGCTCTGACGACCAGGCTGCAGTGTAGTCACATGATCTCAGCTCACTGCAGCCTGGACCTCCTGGGCTCAAGTCATCCTCCCAGCTTGGCCACCAGAGCAGCTGGGAGTACAGGTGCACACCATTATGCCCGGTTATTTACTTACTTTTTTGGCGGGGGGGAGGTCTCACTATGTTGCCCAAGCTGGTCTCGAACTCCTGGACTCAAGCAATCCCCTTGCCTCAGTCTCCTAAAGTGTGGAGACTACAGACTACAGGCGTGAGCCACTGTGTCCAGACCCTCTTTCTTCATTACTGTGCTTCCCTCCCTAATTCTGTACATATCTCTCATTCTCCCCTTCTCTCTCTAGCTCTTGTTTTCTTTTCTTTTTCCCTGGGATTCTGCTCTTCATTTTGTACCCCTCTCCTCTCCTGCTATTCATCCCCTTCTTCCCTTTATTCCTTCTCTTCCACCTCTTCTCCTCCATCCTCACAACTTATTTAACCTCTTATTGCTCCTTCTCCCCAATCTTTCAATCGTCCTCAATCTCCATCTATTTCTGCCTCTTCTCCCATCTCTGCGCCTCCTCTGCTCTCCCTGTTAAATTCCATCTTCCCCGATATACTCCCTTGTCCCCACTCTGTGTCTCCCCAGATCCCAGCTGTCCTCTCTGCTGTGGTTCTCCCTCTGTTCTCCTTGACACAAGCACCACTCTGCTCTGTCTGCCCTGGCTCCAAATCCTTCCCTCTCTCCCTCACTCTGATGAGTCTCCCTCTTTGCTGCCACTCCCCCTACCTTGTGATCCTTCATCTCTCTGTACATCTATCTAGCCTTTCTCTACATTTCTCCGGTTGCTTTTCTCCTCCTGCTTTCTTAGGTTTTTTTTTTTTTTTTTCACTTCTGCCATCTCTTGGCATATCCCTCACCAATCCTCTATTTTGCCATCTGTTATGGGCCTTTCTTATTCTTCTTTTCTCTGCCTCAGGTTTTCTACTGCTCTCTGTCTCCTGATTCCTTTGGCCCACACAATCGCAACACGGTTTGGAGTAAGACGCCTGCATCCCGGAGGAGCGCATTTTCCACGCCCTGGAGCTCCGCAGGCAAGAATACCCCGTGCCGCAGGACAGGCCCCTGGGACCTCCCCAGTGCAGGTTCAATGAAAGCGGTGACTGCGGAGGGGAGACCTGGGGAGCAGCAGGCCCCGGCATGAGGAGGAAGGTGCGGGGCGGGGGGGGGGGGCGCGACGGCGCCTTAGGACCAGGATGGGGTCTGCAGGATCCCAGGACCTGGCAGAGGACTCGGCCTCCCCGGGACTGGGGCTGCGGCGCGGCGCTCCCGGGGCTGAGGAGGGGGAGGCTGGGAGGCGCCCTGGGCAAGAATCCACATCGCGGGTGAAGACTTTAAAAAGCGCGGGGCGCGAGGAGTCAGAACAAGGTTTTCAGCAGGAAAACTACGCAACAGAAAGTGTATACATTGACCTATAGCAGAAAGACCGGGGACGAGACCAGCCTCAGGACGACTTTAAACCCAAAAGGAAGCGACCCTCGGGCTCTCACGGGGATGTCTCAATTTGCTCTGGGCAAAGGAAGACGCCGGAGAATTTCCAGGTCTGTGGGGACCCCACGTCCCAGGGACAGAAGCCCTGGGAACCTAGTTAGCGCAGACTTAATACAACACAGAGCAAAACTCACCGCGGCGATATGACCTACACTCCACCCGATCCGCTTCCGGGTTTGCGTTAATCTGCGCGCGCAGGACAAAAGCCAGGCCTGGGCGGGAAGTGGGAGGTAGGCGGGGCCTGGGCGAGGTAGGGGCGGGGCGCGAGGCGGAGAGACCTTGCCTTTTAGAACCGGCAGAGGGCAGGGCCGGGGCGGGATCTGCGCGTCTCTCAGCCTCGCTCCCAGCGTCTCTGTTTTCAGGTTTTGGAGGCGAGAGCGCCAGAAAGTCTGAGGCATGATACAAAAGCCCTGTTGAGAGAAGAGAGAGACCCTCTGACATTGTTTTATATTGTTTTATAGTCAGTAAAAACAACAGGAAGTAAAACCAAAGACAGGCAGCCCCGCGCCAGGCCCGAAACCAGGCCTGGATCCGCCTGGCCTAAACCCAGTAGTTAAAAATCAACTTATGATTTAGAAGCTGATGTTAGGCATAGATTCCAGACATTGTATAGAAGAACACGGTGAAACTCCTGCCCTGTTCTCTCTCTCCCTGATCACCGGTGCATGCAGCCCCTGTCACGTATCCCTTGCTTGCTCAATCAGTCACTATCCTTTCATCTGAAATCTTTAGTGTTGTGAGCCCTTAAAAGGGACAGAAATTGTGCACTCGGGGAGCTTGGATTTTAAGGCAGTAGCTTGCCAATGCTCCCAGCTGAATAAAGCCCTTCCTTCTACAACTCGGTGTCTGAGAGGTTTTGTCTGCGACTCGTCCTGCTACACTGTAATTGTCTGGAACAGGGATACAAACTAGAATGTGAAATGCAAAGCCCTGCCTGGGCGGTATGTACCATGTCATGCTGAGGTCCCACAGAACAGATAGATATCCTCTCCCTTTCTATTGTCCATTCACTCCGGAAGGAGACTCCGCCCTGTGCTCAGCTTCAGAGACTTCCCTGAAGCCACCGCCTGGAATGCCGGACGGAGTGCTCAGGCCGAGAAGGAGTGAGGTCACCACCTGCTGCTTAAAGACAGCAGAGGCGCGGGGGCGGGAGCCTGAGGTCCCAGCTACTCAGGAAGCAGCGGCGGGAGGATCCCTGAGCCTCGGGTTCCAAGCCAGCCTGAGCGACAAAATAACGCCCACTGCCGCGGTCTCCCTTTCTTGTCTCTCTCTCTCTCTTTTTTTTTAAAAAAAACTTTCGCAAATAAAATTTTTGATTGTGTGACATAGGGATCCAACATTATTCTTTTCCATGTGGATATCCAGATAGTTGTCCTAGCACATTTATGGAAGAGATCTATTACTTTCTTGTATTATTATTATTATTATTATTATTATTATTATTATTTTTGAGACAGAGTATTTCTCTGTTGCCCAGGCTGGAGTGCAGTGGCGAGATCTCGACTAAATGCATCCTCTGCCTCCTGGGTTCAAGCGATTCTCCTGCCCCAGCCTTGGGAACAGCTGGCATTACAGGCGTGCGCCACCATGCCAGGCTAATTTTTGTATTTTTAGTAGAGACGGGGTTGACCATGTTGACCAGGCCGGTATCGGACTCCTCACTCCAAGTTATTTGCCTGCCTCAGCCTCCTAAAGTGCTGGGGTTACGGCGTGAGCCAACATGCCTGGCTAATTTTTTGTATTTTTAGTAGAGATGGGATTTCATCGAGTTAGCCAGGACGGTCTCTATCTCCTGACCTTGTGATCCGCCCGCGTCGGCCTCCCAAAGTGCTGGGATTACAGGCGTGAGCCACCGCGCCCGGCCAGAAATATTCTTTTTTTTTTTTTTTTTTTTTTTAAACGGAGTCTCACTCTGTCGCCCAGGCTGGAGTGCAGTGGCGCAATCTCGACTCACTGCAAGCTCCGCCTCCCGGGTTCACGCCATTCTCCTGCCTCAGCCTCCGGAGTAGCTGGGACCACAGGCTCCCGCTACCACGCCTGGCTAATTTTTTTGGGTTTTTTTTTTTTTGTATTTTTTTTTAGTAGAGACGGTGTTTCACCATGTTGGCCAGGATGGTCTCGATCTCTAGACCTCGTGATCCACCCGCCTCCGCCTCCCAAACTGCTGAGATTACAGGCGTGAGCCACCGTGCCATGCCGCAGAAATATTCTTTGCTTCGCTTTTTAAATGTTGACAAAATATAACTGAAAACTAAAAAGTCTCCTCCCAAATGAGAAATCATCTCCACGACGATAACAGAGAAAGAAATAAAAACCATTTTATTAATAAATAAACCTTAGACCAGAATGTGATGGGAAATAGAGGCAAACAGCTAAAAGATTGAAAAGAGAGAAAGAAACTTCACTGTTCTATACAACCCATTAAGGACATATTTTCAAGATAAATACTAATCAGTCCTCAAGGAAGAGGACTTGACAACACCCTTGGTCACACATAGTTCATCCTGGCTCTACTTGGTAATGGAGGTGACCATCTGTGTCAGCTAACTAGCGTCATCCTGAGGGAGGGGGAGAAACTCTAACCCATGTCTTTTTGGCAAGTGTGAGTTTTACAACATGGCGACAGGTGCCCTCTCTGGTGAGGCTCCTACCATACGACAGACACTGATGTCAGCAGTAAATAATAAAATTTAAAGTATATGATTAAGTACAGAGTTAATGTGAACACAGAGCTTGAAGAAAGCCACCTGGAAACATCAACTCCAAATGAATGGGATCAGCGTTCCCAAGTAGAGACGTTAAGGTTTCACACACAGGGAAAGACAGAGAAGCTTTAGCAGAATCACCACACTTTCCATTCAAGACCAGTGCACAGGCTGCAGCAACTTGACTGGTGATGATTTGATACACTTCAAGGAAAGTTACTTTATCATTACATAAGAAGGGACAATGCTCTGAGGAGGTCTTATCACTGGGGCTCTGTAGTCTTCCTAATTTTTTTATTGTTATTGTTATTTATTTATTTATTTTGAGATGGAGTCTCGCTCTGTCACCAGGCTGGAGTGCAGTGGTGCAATCTCGGCTCACTGCAACCTCCGACTCCCTGGTTCAAGTAATTCTCGTGGCTCAGCCTCCCGAATAGATGGTACTACAGGCAAGCACCAACATGCCCAGCTGATTTTTGTATTTTTTTTAGGGATGAGATTTCACCATGTTGGCCAGTATAATCTCTATCTCTTGACCTCGTGATCTGCCAGAATCAGTCTCCCAAAGTGCTGGGATGACAGGCGTGACCCACTGTTCACGGCCAGTTTTCCAAATTATTTACAGAAAAACTCCTAGAAGTTGCGCCTGCATTCCTCTGAACTCAGGTTGCATGACCACATTCCTCTCAAGGCTCAGAATTATTTAAAGGTCCATGGCTTTAAATTGGAATCACTTGATATTTGAATTACTTAATTTCCTACTGAGACACAAGTGCTATCTCTGTTGTTTGCCTTTCAGACAGAGCTCCCAAGTCCTTCGGAAATACATTCCTGGGTCATTAAGCTAAAAAGCGGTTTAGTTAGTTTCTAAAAAAATTCCATTTCTGTCCGAGCGCGGTGGCTCACGCCTGTAATCCCAGCACTTTGGGAGGCAGAGGCGGGCGGATCGCCTGAGGTCGTAGTTTGAGGCCAGCCTGACCAACATGGAAAAAACCCTTCTCTATTAAAAATACGAAATTAACTGGGCATGGTGGCACATGCCTGCAATCCCAGCTACTCGGGAAGCTGAGGCAGGAGAATCTCTTGAACCTGGGAGACAGAGGATGCCGCGAGCGGAGATCACGCCATTCCACTCCAGCGTGGGCTACAAGAGCGAAACTCCATCTCAAAAAAAAAAAAATACTGTTTCAGAAGACAGAGAAAATTCATTTACACATTTTCTAAATAAATGTCCTAAGAAAAGAGTCTACAGGAAAGAAAATCTCTTACTTTATTTTCGAAGGAGGAATTATGCCTCTCACTTATTTGCTTGTTTGTTTGAGACAGGGTCCAGCTCTGTCATCCAGGTTAGAGTGTGCTAGTGAGATCAGGGATCAGTGCAGCGTCCAACTCCCTGGCTCAAGTGATGTTTCAATCTCAGTGCCCAAAGCAGCCGAGAACACAGGTGTGCACCACCACACCTGGCTGAGTTTTTTTATTTTTAGTAGAGACGAGGTCTCACTATGTTGCTCAGGCTGATCACACACTCCTGGGCTCAAGCAATCCTCCGGCATTGGCCTCTCAAAGTGCTGGGATGACAGGTGTGACCCACCGCTCGGAGTTCTGGCTTTATTTCCATGAAATAAGAAATTTTCTTCCACCTTCTGTGTATAATAGGCAGTTCTATATGTCACCTTTCTACTTTCATTATCCGCTCAAACAACCCAGGACCTTGCTTGGTTTACTAAGCCATTCAAATTATCAGTCCCCGTTGTAAGCAGCGCCCCACTCCACCCCTTTACCGAGGTACCTGCCCCTGTACCCCAACCTGTCCCAGCCTGAGGGGAGCTTGCCCCGCCTGCAGGACGCGCGACTCCACCTGCTCAAAAAAGGCACTTTGCCTTAAAACCATTTTCAACTTGGGAGAAAAAACGATTCAGCATTCAGTACAAAATGGCCCACTACCAAATGTTATTTTACCTTCGATTGTTTGAAATGTTAACTGAAAACGGGCAGGAAGCCTCCCTGTGATATTAGGGGTAATATGACGGCACATCAGAAACAATCCACCAATCAGAACCCGGGGGATCGAGTGCTGGAGATCAAGAGGATGACAGCAGGCCACATCATGGACCCAGCTGAGGAGAGAGCCCCGACGCATCGCTGCCAGGCCCCGCCCTTAAGAACAACACCCCATTTCAGGCCCCGCCTCCAAGACCAGGGTAAACCTCCGGCCCCCCAGCACCGACCCGCTGTCCAGCCTGGCCTCCAGCCTCCTCCCTCTTGACTCACCCCAGGCCCCGCCCCCACCTTCTAACCAGGCCCCGCCCCCAAATTGTGGAGTCAAATGCATTAGTAAATCAGATACAAAATATCTCCCCTTATTGGTCTCTTTTTCAGAATTTACCGGTTATCTGTGCACATTAACATATATATTTCACATGTTATTTCTCTGATCTGGTCCACAAAGAGCTGACATCCAGATGTGGCCCCTGAACCATCCAGGCTGCCCAGCAGCACTGACACCATGGTGCCCACACCCCGTGTCCATCCATGTCTGGGTGTGAGCCCCTCCCAGGACCATGCCCAGTGGAGCTTCTTAAGAAGTTCTTGTCACTGGGTCACAGGAGATGGAATCTCAGAGCAGCTGAGAGGAACTGAGGGCAGGCATGGGTGAGTGTGAGTGAATGTGTCAGGCAAAATGCTTCAGACTCGGAAAAGACTGGCTGCTACAATACCTGGCATTTCAGAAAAGAAAGACACAGATTAATCCACAGAGGAATATCACTTCACCTGAGGAAGAGCCAGCCCTGGCTCCTTTCCTTTCCTCTTCTGAGCTGCTTCCTCATGTAACATTAGTCTTTAGAAATCAATCCCGAATGTGAAAAATGAAAGGGGCCTGCCACTCCACACCTGTGGATATTTCTCGTCAGGTGGAGACGAGAGACTGAGAAAACAAATAAGACACAAAGACAAAGTATAGAGAAAGAACAGTGGGCCCAAAGGACAGGCACACTCAGCATGCGAAGACCCGCACCAGCGCTGGTCTCTGAGTTCCCTCAGTATTTATTGATGACTATTTTTACTATCTTGGCAAGGGGAGTGCAGCAGGGCAACAGGGTGATGGTGGGGAGAAGGTCAGCAGGGAAACGTGAGCAAAGGAATCTGTATCGTGAATAAGCTTAAGGAAATGTACTGTGCCTGGATTGTAGGGAAAAGAAAGAGAGATCAGATTGATACTGTGTCTATGTAGAAAAGGGAACTCGATTTTGATCTGTACTAAGAAAAATTGTTTCTGCTTTGAGATGCTGTTAACCTGTAACTTTAGCCCCAACCCTGTGCTCACAGAAACATGTGCTGTATTGAATCAAGGTTTAATGGATTTAGGGCTGTGCAGGATGTGCCTTGATTTGTTTTGTTTTTCGGAGGTGGAGTCTCATTTTGTCGTGCTGGCTGCAGTGCAGTGGCATGATCTCGGCTCACTGCCACCTCTGCCACCTGGGTCAAGCGATTCTCCTGCCTCAGCCTCCCGAGTAGCCGGGATTACAGGCACCGGCCACTACGCCCGGCTAATTTTTGTATTTTTAGTAGAGACGGGTTTTCAACATGTTGGTCAGGCTGGTCTCGAACTCCTGACCCGCCTCGGCTTCCCAAAGTGCTGGGATTACAGGCGTGAGCCACCATGCCCGGCCAGGATGTGCCTTGTTAACCATGTTTGCAGGCAGTATGCTTGGTAAAAGTCATCGCCATTCGCCATTCTCAATTAACCAGGGAGAAAATGCACTGTGGAAAGCCGCAGGGACCTCTGCCCAAGAAACCCTGGGTTTTGTCCAAGGTTTACCCCCACTGAGACAGCCTGAGATATGGCCTCATGGGATAGGAAAGGCCTTACCATCTGCCAGCCCACCCATAAAGGGTCTGTGCTGAGGAGGAGTAGTGAAAGAGGGAGGCCTCTTTGCAGTTGAGATAAGAGGAAGGCTTCTGTCTCCTGCTCATCCCTGGGAATGGAATGTCTCAGTATAGAGCTGACCATTCCCATTCGTTCTATTCTGAGATAGGAGAAAACCGCCCTGTGGGCGGGGGCGAGATATGCGGGCAGCAATACCGCTCTGTTACTCTTTCCCACACGGAGATGTTTGGGTGAAGAGAAACATAAATCTAGCCTATGTGAACATTGGGGCACAGTTCCTTTCCTTGAACTTATTCATGATACAGATTCCTTTGTTCACATGTTTCCCTGCTGACCTTCTCCCCACCTGTTGCCCTGCTACACTCCCCTCACTAAGATAGTAAAAATAATGATCAATAAACACTGAGGAAACTCAGAGACTGTGCGGGTCCTCCGTATGCTGAGCGCTGGTCCCCTGGGCCCACTGTACTTTCCCTATACTTTGTCTCTGTGTCTTATTTCTTTTCTCTGTCTCTCGTCCCACCTGATGAGAAATACTCACAGGTGTGGAGGGGCTGGCGCCCTTCACTGGATGTGCACGTAGGCCAGATTTATGTTTCACTTTACACAAACATCTCAGCGTAGCAAAGAGTCACAGAGCAGTATTGCTGCCAGCATATCTCACCTCCAGCCACAGGGCAGTTTTCTCCTATCTCAGAATACAAAGAATGGTCAGCTTTACACCTAGACATTCCATTCCCAGGACGAGCAGGAGACAGATGCCTTCCTCTTATCTCAATTGAAAAGAGGCCTCCCTCTTTCACTAATCCTCCTCAGCACAGACCCTT
Source organism: Homo sapiens (assembly GCF_000001405.40). Taxonomy (NCBI): domain Eukaryota; kingdom Metazoa; phylum Chordata; class Mammalia; order Primates; family Hominidae; genus Homo; species Homo sapiens. The sequence continues at coordinate 52,742,288 of NC_000019.10, forward strand.
CACTGGTGTTGGGCTGGGGGATATAAGGTCTTTCCTTTCCCACAAGACCATATCTCAGGCTGTCTCAGTGGGTGGAAACCTTGGACAATACCCAGGCTTACTTGGGCAGAGGTCCCTGTGGCTTTCCGCAGTGCATTGTGTCCCTGGTTAATAGAGAATGGAGAATGGCATGACTTTTACAAAGCATACTGCATGCAAAAATACTGTTAACAAGGCACAGCCCACACAGCCCTAAATCCATTAAACCTTGATTCAATACAGCACATGTTTCCGTGAGCACAGGGTTGGGGCTAAATTTACAGATTTATAGTATCTCAAAGCAGAACAGTTTTGCTTCATACAGATCAAAATGGAGTTTCTTATGTCTTCCTTTTCTATATAGACACAGTAACAATCTGATCTCTCTTTCTTCTCCCCACAAAAAAAAATATGAGACTTCATGTTAGAAATGACTCATTCCCTTCCTGGGGCAAAAACCCACAGACAGGAGAGATTTCACCCGTAGAAAGATGGTCGTCTGCTTCCCACTGCACCAGAGATCATGCAGAGATAAGAAAGTCCCACAGGAAGACCTACAAGTGTATATTTGACCCAGGTCTTCAGATCTCACTCCCCTCCTAGAAAACACCCACATACGAGGTAACGGGGGGGCGGGGGGGAGCTGGGCTGGATTGATCTCCCCTCGGCACAGACTCGTCCCTCATCCCTCATCAATCCCCATCTGGAGGACAGCCCCTCACTCTCTGTGGATCACAGGCTGAGCTCAGCACTCAGAAATGGAGGACACAGAGCTTCCATGCTCAATGCTGCACACAGATGACAAGCACCTGCGCCACTGCAGGTATTACTGAGGGTGGGTTCCAACCCATCAGAATAAGAATCCCTGCTAAAGCAACACAAAAGCTCTATTTGCAAAATGCTCTGCACTCTAATGTGAAGCCAGGGTTGAGCTCCACTCAGATGGGGCGAGCCCAGCACAGCCCCAAGTTCTTGCTCCGCCCTCCCCTTGGGGCCTTGTGCTCACTAGGATCCAGAGAGTGGATGACAAAGGCACAAAAGTAATCACACAGAACAGGCAAGATAGACCAGAGGTGGTGTGAGGGTTGGGCTGTGTGAAAGGAAAATAAATTTGGGGACCCCAAATCACTAAGCAAAAGGGAAAAGTCAAGCTAGGTACTGCTTAGAAAACCAGACTCACCTTCTATTCAAAGTCACCACTCTGCTCCCTGACATACATGCTTATCTGAGTGCCTCCTTTGGCAACGCTAATCAGAAACTCAAAAGAAGGACCCAGCACAGTGCCTCAGGACTGTAATCCCAGCACTTTGGGAGGCCAAGGCAGGCAGATCACTTGGGGTGAAGGGTTCAAGACTAGCCCGGCCAACATGGTGAAACATCTCTACTAAAAATACAAAAGTTATCTGAGCATGGTGGCATGCACCTGTAGTCCCAGCTACTTGGGAAGCTGAGGCAGGAGAATCACCTGAATGCAGGAGGCAGAGGTTGGAGTGAGTCAAGATCCTGCCATTGCACTCCAGCCTGGGCCACAGAGCAAGACTTCATCTCAAAAGAAAAAAAGAACCTCAAAAGATCGCAACCATTTGTGCCTCACTTATCTGTGACCTGGAAGCCCCCTCCCTGCTTCAAGTTCAAGTCTCCCTGGCTTTGTTTAAAGTTGTCCTGCCTTTCCAGACCAAACCAACGTACTTGTTACTATATTGACTGGTGTCTCCCTAAAGTGTATAAAATTAAGCTGTGCCCCGTCCACCTGGGGCACATGTCATCAGGAATTCCTGAGGCTGTGCCACGGGTGTGTCCTCAACCTTGGTGAAATAAACTTTCTAAATTAACTGAGATCTGTCTGAGAAGTCCTGGGCTCACAGCTGCAATGTCAAATGCGGATCTGTGTGAGATCACAAAGGTTTCCACACAGAAGGTGATACCAGAACAAACACCTAGGGAAGAAATGATGCTTGTCACTTGCAGCTGAGGGGACAGAGAGTCCTAGGCAGAGGGACAGCTCAAGCAAAGGCCCTGAGACAGGAGCAATCTCAGCCCCAGGAAGAGGAAAGTGGCCCGTGTGGGTGGAGCAGTGGAAGAAAGGAGGGCACAGATAGATGAGGTCAGAGAGGTCCTGGGGGCACAGATCCATAGGGACAAGGTCTTCAAACATTTTTCTCCCACAACCCAAAAGAATATTGAAAACCAACTCTGATCCCAGCTATTCGAGAGGCTGAGGCAGGAGAATCGCTTGAACCCGGGAGGTGGAGGTTGCAGTGAGCCGAGATCGCACCACTGCACTCCAGCCTGGGCCACAGGGCGAGAGTCAGTCTCAAAAACAAACAAACAAACAAACAAACAAACTGAGCACTAACCTCTCGAGAAGAAAAGCCACACACTGTATTTTGCCAGTCATTTCAGGGGTCACTGTCACTGTGACTGAGCTTTTCCAGTCTTATTCCTCACCTCTATGTTAAGGGGGGCTCACTGAGGCTCACAACGGGAGACATTTCACCAAGTTATCCTGAGAAGCTCTGAGGTGAGTAGAAAATAGGTGTGGCTGACTCCCACGAGATGGCCTGGAAGGGCCAATAGGCTGCCTTGGTCTTCCTCCTCTGGAAAATTGCAAGATCAGACGGGAGTCGTGGCCCAGCTGGGTAATCCCAGCACTTTGGGAAGTTGAGGCAGGCAGGTCATTTGAGCCCAGAAGTTTGAGACCAACATGGGCAACAAGGGAGTCTGGTTTAATAACTATATTTCCTACAACTAGCATATAAGGGGGCTTTACACAACTTTGCAAAGGAACTGTTAGACTGGAATTTAGGTCGATAGTATAAAATGGCTTACGATCTCTTGTTTCTATAGCTTGATTTCCAGACCAAATTTTAATGCGGTATGAGGCCACAGTAAGACTCTATAATTTTGGATGTTCAGGACCAGAAACAGAACTTATTATCTTTGTTCTTGGAGTAGAGATTTTTTTTTCTCCCCATTCCCAAGGGTAGAAAGACGGCAATTTTTTGTGCTTATGTTTGGCTAAACTTTTTGTTAAGTCACTGTTAACAGCTGGACTCACTTCTGCACTGGGACATGACTGAGTTTGTCCTGTGCAATTGTGGTAGAATTGACCTCGAGGTGCCCAATCTATAATAGTTCCGAATTTATCATTTTGTAATATCACCGCACTATTGGCCACACATTCTTCCCAAACTAAAACTTTTGTGTCTTTTGATCCTTTGGGATTTTTTGGGGGTAAGGCTTTCCTTTAGGCCTAAATTTTAATGATCTTTGATAAGAAAAGTCTTGTAAATAATTTACCTGTGGCCTGAGTGACATTCCACTTACCGCGTGATTAGTGAATCTACTGGTGGTACCGACAGTAGGTACTTCTACCAACCAATTTTTGACTGCAGGCATTAAACATCCTGGTGCTCTCCCGAGGCAAATAGGAGGATAATGATACCCAGTGGAAATATTTATCATCATTCCTTCTTCCTCAGGTTTGGCAGGGCAACGATCATCTGTGGGGCCAGGTACCCATACACTATTATTAACGTATACTTCAATAGGATTATCCATCCATGAGACTGCCCGAATTAAGGGCGGGAAAGGCACATAGGCCCAGTAGGTATAATTAGCTGCAGCTGCTCCTGCAGGCGTGGGGAGACTTACCACCGTTGATACAATCATCAAAGCTGCAAGCAGCGTGTTCTCTGGAGTTTGTGTCACCTTTGTGTTCTCTAGGCTTTTTTAAGCTAACTGTGTCAGCTTTTAAATTGTGCCCAAGTTGGCAGCTCCGCCTTCGTGGTGGATGGCAACTTCATCTGTTTTTTTGACATCACCATTTTGTTTATCTTGTGAGTCAATGGTGCTCGATTGCGGTGTTTCCGTCTCTGTGGAGGCGCTTTTTTTTTTGTTTGTTTGCATCTCTAATGGGTTCATTGTAGAACTTTAAATGTCTAGTGGGTATCTAAACAGGAAGCTGATTTTCTCCTGGTGAAACACAAGCAAAACCTCTCCCCCACGTTACCACCTTCCCTATTTCTCATGTCTTATTGTTGTTGTCTTTTTATCAAATCAGTTTTCCTTCACGTAGGCTGTTCTTTTTACCAGTAAGATGTTGTTTTGCAGAGGTAGTAGTCTGATTTCTATAAGTGTTTAAAACATTTAAAGTATAGAGTGCTAGATTAAGTTGCATCTGAGGAGTGGTACACTCCTTACTGTCTCCCCCTTCTCTTTAACTGAGTTTTGAGTGTTCTATTAGTTTTTTTAACTATGGCCTGTCCTTGGGAATTATAGGGAATTCCTGTTTTGTGTGTAATTTTCTACTGATTTCAGAATTTTTGGAAAGCTTTACTATAGTATCCAGGTGCATTGTCAGTTTTGATTTTTTTCTGGAACTCCCATGACAGCAAAACAAGATAATAAATGTTTTTTCACATGGGAAGTACTTTCTCCTGTCTGGCAAGTTGCCCACATGAAATGTGAATAAGTACCAACTGTTACACGGACACATCATAATCTTTTAAATGAAGGTACATGTGTGACATCTATTTGCCATAATGCATTAGGACATAGACTTCTGGGATTAACTCCTGCCTCTTGAGTGGGCAGGTGTAGGACTTGACACTGGGTGCAATGTTGTACAATATCTTTTGCCTGTTTTCATGTGACATCAAATTTGTTTTTTAATCCTGCTGCATTTACATGAGTCAAAGCATGAAGTTCTTGTGCTTTTATGAATGCAGATGGTACCAGTAAGTCAGCTTGTTCATTTGCTTTAGCTAAAGGCCCTGGTAAATTAGTGTGTGCTAAAATATGAGTAATATGAAATGGGAAATTTTTTTTTCAGTTTGTTGTAATAAACTGAACAGCTCGTTTAACTGATCATCTATGCTATATTTAATTAGAGCTGTCTCAACATCCCTTGTAGCCTGCGCTACATATGCAGAATCTGATACAATATTAATAGGTTGATCAAAGTCTTATAACACTGTAATGACTGCAACCAACTCTGCTCTTTGAGCCGATTGATATTGAGTTTTGATGACTCGCTGTTTTGGCCCTGTGTAAGCTGCTTTTCTATTGCTGGAAGCATCAGTAAACACTGTCAGAGCATTTTCCAAAGGTTTATGTCTGGTAATTTTAGGTAAAATCCAAGTAGTCAATTTTAAAAACTGGAAGATTTTTGTTTTTGGGTAATGATTATCAATAATTCCCACAAAATTAGTAAGACCAATCTGCCATGCATCAGAATTGATAAAGGCTTGTCTAACCTGTTCCTTGTTTAAAGGAACAACTATTTTGTCTGCGTCATTTTCACACAATTTTATTATTTGTAATCTTGCCTGACCAATTAATGTAGCTATTTGATCCAAGAACAATGTAAAAGTCTTAATTGTACTGTGAGGAAGGAATGACCACTCCACAAGATCAGTATTTTGAACAATGATGTCTGTTGGAGAATGTGCAGTAGCAAAAATCAAAAGTTGGAGTGGGGTTAAGGGACCTTTGTGCTGACTGATTTTTTTCTTTTACTAACTTAATTTTTTTTGTTGCCTCTGGGGTTAATATTCTTTTACTATTTAAGTCTGGGTCCCCTCTTAAGATAGAGAACAAATTTGACATGGCATAAGTAGGAATGCCTAGAGTTGGCTGAATGTAATTAATATCTCCTAGCAAGTTTTGAAAGTCATTTAATGTTTTTAATGTGTCTTTTCTTATTTCTACTTTTTGTGGCTTAATTTTTCTATTTTCTATCTGCATCTCTAAATAATGAAAAGGAGTAGAGGTTTGAATCTTATCAGATGCTATTGCCAGTCTTGCGTTGGCAACCTCTGCTTGCAGAAATGTGTAACAGTCAGTTAATTTGTCTCTTGTTTCTGCAGCACACAAAATATCATCAACATAATGAATGATATAACAGTCTGAAAACTTATCTCTAACTGGTTGAAGAGCTTGACCTACGAAAGTCTGACAAATAGTTGGACTATTAAGCATTCCCTGAGGTAACACTTTCCACTGAGACCTGGTGGCTGGTTCCTTATAATTTATGGCTGGTATAGTAAAGGCAAATTTTTCAAAATCTTTCTCCACCAGAAAAATGGTAAAAAAGCAATCCTTTAGATCAATTATAATTAAAGGCCAGTCTTTTGGGATCATGACCAGAGAGGACAACCCGAGTTGAAGAGGCCCCATGGGTTGAATGATGGCATTTACGGCTCTTAAGTCAGTTAACATACACCATCTGCTGGATTTTTTCTGAATTACAAACACAGGAGAATTCTAAGGAGAGAAAGTGGGTGAAACGTGTCCTTTTTAAGTAGTTTTTTAACTATTTTATGTAGCGCCCCCAAATTTTCCTTAGGGAGCAGCCACTGTTTGACTCAGACAGGATGCTGCAAGGCAAGTCTGAATTGCTCCTTCACCATAATGAACTGTAAGTTGGGCAATAATGGGCACAGCGAGCCAAGTTGCAGTGAGCCTAGTTTCAGGCTCCCTCCCCCAGCACTCACTTGGCTGAGGAGGAGGTGGCCATCGTGGTTTTAGCCCCTATGACCCCGATGATTCTGGACCTTTTTCTTTTAACTTTAATGTTTCAGAATATATTACCTCTTGTAATTGATTGTAGTCAACATTTTGCTTTGACCGACCCATTACAGACTCTGCTACATATTTACAATGTGAACTTTCCGTTCCTTTCTGGGATTCTGTCCCTGTCTCTTCTTCACAATCTATTACATAGCTTTTAGGGCCATCAGAAACTGAAACGCTGTCTTCTCCTGTTTGAAACGGTTTTAAAGCTGCTTTAATAATGGCCCAATCATTCCATACCATAAGTGGGATGATTTTACCCTCCCTACTTCTCTGTTTTAATTCTTTGCCAATTTTTTCCCAATCTTTTAGATCTAAAGTTCCCTGTTCTGGAAACCATGGGCAGAATTGTTCTATTGTTTCAAATAGCTTGATTAGATTTTCTGTAGAGACTCTAACTCCCCCTTTTCTTAAAAGAATTTTAATAAAGCTGAGATAAGAGGCATATTTACTTTTAGCTTGTCCCATTGTTACCCTGGCTTTTTTCGAGCTCAGGAGCTTACCGCAAGGCTGACCGTAGAAGTACTTGGGAATCTCTCGTTGACTTGTCCTCAATAACCACGCTCAAGCGTAGGTTTACCCTAGAGAAAAGCCCCACATTAGACACCAGGTGAAGGTGGCCAGCCCCTCTACACCTGTGAGTCTTTTTTGTCAGGTGGGACGAGAGACTGAGAAAAGAAATAAGACACAGAGACAAAGTATAGAGAAAGAACAAAGTATAGAGAAAGGACCGGCGCTCAGCATATGGAGGTCCTGCACAGGCACTGGTCTCTGAGATTCCTCACTATTTATTGATCATTATCTCTACCGTCTCAGAGAGGGGGATGTGGCAGGACAATAGGGTAATAGTGGGGAGAGGGTCAGCAGGAAAACATGTGAACAAAGATCTCTGTGTTATGAATAAGTTTAAGGAAAGGTGCTGTGTTTTGATGTGTACGTACACAAACATTTCAGTGCATTAAATGGTAGTATTGCTGCCAGCATGTTTTACCTCTAGCCCTAAGGTGGTTTTCTCTTATCTCAGTAAACAGAACATACGATCAGGTTTTACACCAAGACATTTTATTTTTAGGGAGGAGCAGGAGACAGATGCCTTCCTCTTATCTTAACTGCAGAGGCCTTCCTCTTTTATTAATCCTCTTCAGCACAGACCCTTTATGGGAGTCAGGCTGGGGGACAGTCAGGTCTTTCACTTCCCATGAGACAATATCTCAGGCTATCACATGGGGAGAAACCTTGGACAATACCTGGTTTTCTGAGGCAGAGGTCCCTGCGGCCTTCCGCAGTGTATTGTGTCCTTGGGTATTTGAGATTAGAGAATGGGGATGACTTTTACCAAGCATACTGCCTTTAAGCACTTTTTAAACAAAGCACATCCTGCACAGCCCTAAATCCATTAAACCTTGAGTTGACACAGCACATGTCTCTGCAAGCACAGGGTTGGAGCTAGGGTTACAGATTCACAGCATCTCAAGACAGAAGAATTTCTATTAGTACAGAACAAAATGGAGTCTCTTATGTCTACTTCTTTCTACATAGACACAGTAACAGTCTGATTTCTCTTTCTTTTCCCCTCACTTATCTTTTCTACCATCTGACCATTTTGTTCAGATCTGCTGAACATAGTGTGAACGTGACACATAGACTGAGAAGTGCAATTCAAGCTAAATATCCCTTAGGGGACCAGTCAATAATGATTCCATGGGAATCATTGTGCAGCACCTCTGCCTGTTCTGCAATGCAATCTTGCTAAACAAATACGTTCATTTTTTCTAACTGAGTCCAATCCTGTTTACAAATAGGTTTTTGGGGGTTGTATGCCTCAATTACAGGAGCAGATTTATTATGGTAAATACTGAGATCAGAAAGCATGTGTAACTGTGTCATACAGTGATTTACATCCAGGCATTATTACCAGCTAAGATTGATAAATATGCCTAATAAGTACAATTGTTCTCTGTGTCAGCCTTTGTTGAAGGAATACTCACAGAAATGGTGATCACTGCCATCATAGCTACCATTAAATTATTCACTGTGAGTGGTTGTCCTGCTTTCCTCAGGTTGTCTTCCTGGATCTGTGACAGCTTCTTGATCTGTCTCCAGGTCGGTGGCTGTATTCGATGGGTGTTGCTCGTGACAGTTGGGGTCCTCCTCGGCACCAGCCTTGACATGGCTGCAACCGGGGGGGTCCTCAGGATCCTCCCGGAATCTCTTCCTTGGCATCTGGCCCATGACAAGATTTCAGGTGTCTTGATGGTATCCAAACTGACTGATGATTTTGGCCTGGAGAAACACAAGCATAACCTCTACCCCAAGTTATTATTTTACCTATTTCCCAAATTTTTGTTATTGGATCTCTCTGCCAAATCATTCTTCTGCTTCTGTCTTTGCAGCTGGTTTCTGTAGATGCTGTTCAGCTGCTGATAACATCTGGCCTTTGGGCAGGCTCAAAAAATTTAAAGTTAATAATGCCAGATTCAGTTGCTCCTGTGGTGTTCCATATTCTCTGTCTCCCCCTTTCTGCTTTTGCAACTGCTGTTTTAGGGAGAGATTCATTCTTTCCACTATGGCTTGTCCTTGAGAATTGTACGGGATACCAGTAATGTGTTTAATATTCCTCATAGAGAAAAATGTAGCTAGAACTTGGCTAGTATAGCCTGGGGCATTATCTGTTTTTATAGAAGCGGGAATGCCCATCACCACAAAACACTGCAAAAGATGACATTTAACACAGGCAGAAGACTCTCCTGTTTGGCATGTAAGCCCAGACAAAGTGAGAAAAGGTGCCCACACATACATGTACATAAGCTAGTCTCCCAAACGAGGGAACATGTGTGACATCCATTTGCCAAACCGAGTTAGGTTCCAATCCTTGAAGATTAACTCCTCCTGTAAAAGATGAGGAATGTATCATTTGGCAAGTTGGGCATCAGTGGATAATATTTTTAGCTTCTTTCCAGGTAATGCTGTATCTGCATTTGAGACCAGAGGCATTAACGTGGGTTAAATGGTCAAAATGTCTAGCATTAGATATTGCATTAGCAACTAAGTGATCAGCCATTTGATTCCCTTCAGTCAAAGGTCCTAGAAGAGGTGTATGAGCCCAAATGTGAGTGATGCAAAAATGGTGCATTCTACTTCTAACTGCTGTTTGCAATTGGGTAAATAAAGTCATCAGTTGTTCATCTGTATGAAATTGTAATTGAGCATTTTCAATTAACTGTGTGGAATGAACCACGTATGAAGAATCAGAAATCACATTAATAGGTATATCAAAAGCAGTCAATAACTCAATTACAGCTACTCAGCTTTTTGAGCTGAAGTATAGGGCGTCTGAAAACTTTACTTTTTGAGCCAAACTAAGAAGCTTTACCATTACTAGACACATCTGTGAAACAATGAAAACGCTTAGCAGGCTGCAGGTTGTTTACTGCAGGAATTGTAAATGCAAACCATTCACAGTCTTGTTCAGCTAAGGGGATAGTAAAGAAACAGTCTTTTAAATCTATGACTACTAAAGGCCAATTTTTGGAATTTTAGTAAGAGAAAGCAATCCTTGCTGTAATGCTCCCATAGGTTATATAGTTGAATTGATAGCTCTTAAGTCAGTTAACATCCTCCATTTACCTGATTTTTTCTTAATTATGAAAACTGGAGAATTCCAAGGGGAAACTGTTGGAGCAATATGCCCATTTTCTATCTGTTCAGTAACTAATTTCTCTAAAGCCTCCAGTTTCTCTTTACTTAGTGGCCATTGTTCTATCCAAATTGGCTTATCTGTGAACCATTTTAAAGGTATAGGTTCTGGAGGCTTAACAATGGCCACCATCAAAAATTATTTCCTAATCTTTGGCGGGAACTTTTTAAACCTTGCAAATTTTTTTGTAGTCCCATACCAGGGACATACCCCATTTCATGCATCATATGTTGACTTTGAGGGCTATATAATTGTTCTGGAATTAGAACTTGGGCTCTGCATTGTTGTAATAAATCTCTTCCCCATAAATTTATAGATACAGAAGTTATAATTGGTTGAATAGTCTCGGGTTGTCCATCGGGCCCTTCACAAGGCAAAACAGAACTACTCTGATATACTTCAGGGGCTTCACCAACTCCAACTATGTTAAATTGAGTGGGTTGAATTGGCCACGTGGACGGCCAGTGCTGTAGAGAAATGATTGAAATGTCCGCTCTTGTATCTACCAAACCTTTAAATTTCTTTCCCTGAATAGTTATTTCACAGGTAGGACATTTATCAGTAATTTGGTTGACCCAATAAGCTGCTTTGCCTTGTTTATTTGTGCTTCCAAATCCTCCTGTTCGTTTAATTTCACTTTTTCCCATTTCCACATATGGCACAATCAGGAGCTGTGCTATGGGCTCTCCTGGCTCTGCTTTCCAGGAAACATAAGTAGGTATAACAATTTGAATTTCCCTATTGTAATCTGAATCAATGACTCCTGTATGTATTTGTACCCCTTTTAAACCTAAACTAGACTTTCCTAAAAGTAATCCGATTGTACCCGCTGGCAAGGGTCCACAGACTCCTGTTGGGACCTTTTGCGGGGGTTCCCCAGGTAGAAGTCTCACAGCTTTTATGCAGCATAAATCTACTGTGGCACTACCGGCTATGGCGGGGGACAGACATTGTACAGGGGTGAGGGAATGGTCTGAGCTGGAAATGCCCCCGTTTAGAATGGGGCCCGGGACAGGCCCCTCATGGCATTTCCCGAAATCGTATTCCCATCTTTATGAAACTTAGAGGGACACTGATTAGCCCAATGTTTTCCTTTTTTACATTTTGGACATATTTCAGGATCTGCAGTTTTCTTTTTTCCCCTATCTGGTGGCCTGATTCGCTGATTTTTTCTACATTTGTTTTTAGTATGACCATGCTTCCCACAGTTAAAACAAGCGCCAGGAAATGGAGTATTTCCTTTGTCCACTCTCAGTCCTGCCATTGCCTGTGCCAACAAGGCAGCTTTATGCAGATTACCTCCGATACCATCACAAGCCTTGATATAATTAACTAAATGTGCTTTCCTTCTAATAGGTCACAGAGCAGCGTGGCAATTGGGATTACAGAGCGAGACTCCATCTCAAAAAAAGAAAAAAAAAAAGCATTGTCAAAACTTAATAACTGCAACACTATATCCTGAGCAGCTGAATCTGCAATCATCTTTTTAAGAGACTTCTGTAACCAAGCTATAAAATCAACGTATGGTTCTCTTGGTCCCTGTTTCATAGCACTAAAGGAAGGGTATTGTTCTCCACATGAAGTGATTTTTTCCCAAGCTCTAATGCACACTCCTCTAAGCTGTTCTATGGCATCATCCTGCATGACCAGTTGGGCACCTAAGCCAGCCCAGCCACCAACCCCCAAAAGTTGGTCTGCAGTTACATTAATTTGAGGTTGGGCCTGGGCATTGCGAGCAGCCTGAATGGAAGCTTCATCTGCCCACCAAGTTTTAAATTGTAAGAACTGAGCAGGAGTTAGATAAGCTCAAGTAAGACAGTCCCAGTCAGTAGGTATCATCTGACTGGAAATAGCAACATTCTTTAACAGTCCCATTACAAAAGGAGAACCTGGTCCATACTGATTTATAACTTGTTTAAATTCTTTGAGTAACTTAAAAAGAAAAGGCTCAAATATAGTTGTAATATTTCCCTGTTGATCTGGGGGGTGTATTCTAACAGGGAACTGCCAAGTCTCTAAATCACCCTCTCTTCTAGCTTGCTGAATTCCTGCCTGAATAGAACTAAGAGCGATTGCTTGAGGCACTGATCAAACAGTCACTGGGGCAACTCCTTTTCACCCAGTGTTCTCCAGAAAAGAAAGATCTGGAAGGTCATTTTCTTCAAAATAATAATGAGGGGGTGCAGAAAGGTAGGGATGAACCTCTTCCTCTTTTGCCGCTTTAGCTTTAGCTGGCAAATAAACCTGCTCTGTAACCTCTTCTGTCACTTCCTCCTCATCATAACTGTGAATAAGTTCCAAGGTGGAACGAACCAGACCCCACACCTGTCCCATTGTTACCCTGAGGCTTCTGAGCTCCTCTTGTTACTCACCACAGGGATTGCTTTAAGAGTACTTGGGTGTCCTCCAGCTAGTTTTCCATTCCAACTGTCGCTCCGGTGACCCTTCAACCTGGATTCGAGCCCCCATGAAGGTACGCCACTTGCCGAGACCAGCTCAGTCAGGGAGACCCTAACCCAGTGGTGCTACAGGAATGAAAGACACACACACAGAAAGATAGAGGTGTGAAGTAGGAAATCAGGGGTCTCACAGCCTTCAGAGCTGAGAGCCCCAAACAGAGATTTACCCACGCATTTATTAACAGCAAACCAGTCATTAGCATTCTTTCTATAGATATTAAATTAACTAAAAGTATTCCTTATGGGAAACGAAGGGATGGGCCAAATTAAACGAATAGGTTGGGCTTCTTAACTGCAGCAGGAGCATGTCCTTAAGGCACAGATCTCTCATGCTATTGTTTGTGGCTTAAGAATGGCTTTAAGTGGTTTTCCACCCTGGGCTGGCCAGGTGTTCCTTGCCCTCATTCCCGTAAACCCACAACCTTCCAGCATGGGCGTTAGGGCCATTATGAACCTGTTACACTGCTACAGAGATTTTGTTTTTGGGGGGCTTGCTCCCAACAAGTTTGGCCTTCCCACCTCTATACAGTCCGATAACGGACCAGCCTTTATTAGGCAAATCACCCAAGCAGTTTCTCAGGCTCTTGGTATTCAGAGGAACCTTCATACTCTTTACCGTCCTCAATCTTCAGAAAAGGCAGAATGGACTAATGGTCTTTTAAAAACACACCTTACCAAGCTCAGCCACCAACTTAAAAAGGACTGGACAATACTTTTACCACTTTCGCTTCTCAGAATTAGGGCCTGTCCTTGAAATGCTACGGGGTACAGCCCATTTGAGCTCCTGTGTGAATGCTCCTTTTTATTAGGCCCCAGTATCATTCCAGACACCAGAGCAACTTGGACTGTGCCCCAAAAAACTTGTCATCCCTATCTTCTATCTAGTCATACTCCTATTCACCCTTGTCAACTACTCATAAATGCCCTGCTCTTCTTTACACTGCCAGTTTACACTGTTTCTCCAAGCCATCACAGCTGGTATCTCCTGGTGCTATCCCCAAACCACCACTCTTAACTCTTAAAGTAAATAAATAATCTTTGCTGGCAAGGCTATGCTGAACCTCCTTAGGCACTCTCTAATTGGATGTCCTGGGTCCTCCCAATTCTTAGTCTTTTAATACCTGTTTTTCTCCTTCTCTTATTCTGTTTAGTTTTTCAATTCATACAAAACCATATCCAGGCCATCACCAATAATTCTATATGACAAATGTTTCTTCTACCAACCCCACAATATCACCCCTTACCACAAAATCTTCCTTCAGCTTAATCTCTCCCACTCTAGGTTCCCACGCCGCCCCTAATCCTGCTCAAAGCAGCCCTGAGAAACATCGCCCATTCTCTTTCCATACCACCCCCAAAAATTTTCGCCGCCCCAAGACTTCAACACTATTTTGTTTTATTTTTTATTTATTATAAGAAGACAGGAATGTCAGGCCTCTGAGCCCAAGTTAAGCCATCATATAGCCTGTGACCTGCAGGTACACATCCAGATGGCCTGAGGTAACTGAAGAATCACAAAAGGAGTGAAAATGGCCTGTTCCTGCCTTAACTGATGACATTACTTTGTGAAATTCCTTCTCCTGGCTCAGCCTGGCTCAAAAGCTCCCCCACTGAGCACTTTGTGACCCCCGGCCCTGCCCTCAAGAGAACAACCCCCTTTGACTGTAATTTTCCTTTATGTACCCAAATCCTATAAAACAGCCCCACCCCTATCACTCTCGCTGATTCTCTTTTTGGACTCAGCCTGCCTGCACCCAGGTGAAATAAACAGACTTGTTGATCACACAAAGCCTGTTTGGTGGTCTCTTCTCACAGACGGGAGTGAAATTTACTGCAGAATATTTCCCAAAGTCTCATAATGATGCAGAAATACATGTGTACAAGACTTGTTCTGACACCTGGCACAGAACTGACAGTAGTGGCTCCCCAGGGAGGCTGGAAGGAGGGTGGAGGACGTGACAGGGAAGTGACAGGGAAAGGAGATGCTTTATGGACAAGGGCCTAAGCTGCAGCTTTGCTTGGAGCGTTACCACAAAACAAATACATACATCATGTGATGTTTAAATATCACAATATATATTTAATAATAATTGGTGGGGCTGAGCACGGTGGCTCGTGCCTGTAATCTCAGCACTCTATGAGGCTGAAGCAGGCAGATCACCTGAGGACAGGAGTTCAAGACCAGCCTGGAATCCCAGCACTTAGAAAGGCAAAGGCGGGCGGATCACGAGGTTAGGAAATCCAGACAGTCCTGGCTAACAAGGTGAAATTCTGTCTCTACTGAAAATACCAAAAAATTATCCGGGCGTTGTGGCACTCAACTGTAGTCTCACCTACTCGGGAGCCTGAGGTAGGAGAATCGCTTGAACCTGGGAGGCAGAGGTTGCAGTGAGTCGAGATCACGCCACTGCACTCCAGCTTGGCTACAGAGCAAGACTCCATCTCAAAAAAAAAAAAATTAACCAGCCATGGTGGTACGCACCTGTGGTCCCAGCTACTTGGGAGGCTGAGGCTTGGGGATGGCTTGAGCCTGAAGGAGGTTGCAGTGAGCTAAGATCATGCCACTGCGCTCCAGCCTAAGCAACACAGCGAGACCTTCTCTCAAAATAAAATCAAATATATGAAAACAGAATAACTCAAAGTACGAAAATCCATTTTGTTTATATAGGTCCGCAAAATAATAAAACCTACACAGACTCACAAGAAACTAGATGTTAACAAAAAAAGTTGTCATTTTCCCCAGATTTTCTTTTCTTTCTTTTTTTTTTTTAGACAGGGTCTCGTTCTGTCGCCCAGGCTGCAGTGCGGTAATGCAATCTTGGCTCACTGCAACCTCTGCCTTCTGGGTTCAAGTGGTTCTCCTGCCTCAGCCAGAGTAGCTGGGATTACCGGTGCCCACCACCATGCCCGGCTAACTTCTGTATTTTTAGTAAAGATGGGGTTTCACCATGTTGGCCAGGCTTGTTGTGAACTCCTGACCTCAGGTGATCCACCCACCTCGGCCTCCCAAAGTGATAGGATTACAGGCATGAGCCACCATGCCCAGCAGATTTTCAAAATATATACATATGTGTGTGTAAATATGCATGTATATGTATGTGCATGTGTATGTGTGTGTGTGTATATATGTATATATATATATATATATATATATAAAGATTTTAAAAATATAAAAAGTAACAAGATTTGTTTAACTGAAGAGGAATCTCATCTTGCTAGAAAATGACACTTTGGCAGTTGGGGGTAGGGGGGAATCTTGTCAGATCTAAGAAAACAGGAAATGCCCCATGCTAGAAGAAGCAATCACCCTTTCAACTGACTGACCTGGAGGAAGCTTCAGATATCTGTAGTAATGCAGGCATGTGGAGAGGCAGCCACTATGGCACTCCTTATACAAGGAAAAATCTCAAAGGATCCACATGTTGTCATTCAGCCAATTTCCAAAGCAGATGTCAAAGAGCAAGCTAGCCATGTTTACTAACTTGACAACATGTAAATTTTCGCAACTAGCAGGATCAAATATCAAAGTAAAATATTTACTAAAACACAAAGAAGAAAACAACAGACGCTGGGGTCTACTTGAGGGTAGAGAGTGGGAGGAAGGAGAAGACTAGAAAAAATAGCTATTGGGGGCTGGGCACAGTGGCTTACACCTGTAATCCCAGCACTTTGAGAGGCTGAGAGGCTTCGATCATCTGACATCAGGAGTTCAACATCAGCCTGGCCAACATGGTGAAACCCTGCCTCTACTAAAAATACAAAAATTAGCCAGGTGTGGTGGTGGCATGTGTTTGTAATCCCAGCTACTCGGGAGGCTGAGGCAGGAGACTTGCTTGAACCCAGGAGGCTGAGGTTGCAGTGAGCCGAGATCATGCCATCACACTCGAGCCTGAATAAACAAGTGCAAAACTTAGTGTCAAAAAAAGAAAAAAGAAAAAAAAAACTATTGGGTACTGGGCTTGATACTGGAGCAATAGAATAATCTGTACAACAAACCTCAATGACATGAGTTTGCCTATGTAACAAACCATCACATGTAGCCCCAATCCTAAAGTAAAAACATAAATATAAAACGTTTTATTTTTTTAATTTACTACAGAATTATTTTTAAAGTCTCATAATGATGCAGAAATACACGTGTATGAGACTTGCTTTGACACCTAACACAGAATTGCCAGTAGCGGCTCCCCAGTGAGGTTGGAAGGAGGGTGGAGGACGTGACAGGGAAAGGAGATACTTTATGGCAAAGGGTCTAAGCTGCAGCTTTGCTCGGGGTTTTACTAGAAAACAAATATATCCATCACGTGATGTTTAAATATCAAAATATCTATTTAATAATAATTGGTGGGGCTGAGCACAGTGGCTTGTGCCTGTAATCCCAGCACTCTGGGAGGCTGAGGTGGGCAGATAACCTGAGGTGAGGAGTTTGAGGCCACCCTGGCCAACATGATGAAACCCCACCTCTACTAAAAATACAAAAAAATTAACCGGGCCTGGAGGCACATACCTGTAACCCCAGCTACTTGGGAGGCTGAGGCAGGAGAATCACTTGAACCTGGGAGGCGCAGGTTGCAGTAAACTGAGATCATGGCACTGCACTCCAGCCTGGGTGACAGAGGCTGACTCCATCTCAAAAAATAAATTGTAACCATTTTTACCGAAAACACCTGTTTCACAAGCCTCTCCACAGTAACCCCACAGTCTCCATGAGCTTAATGTGCTAAGAATGGTTTAATGAATCTCCTGCTATTATTTAGGTTGATTTCCTATTCTTAAACTAATGATGGAATAAAACACCTTCTATCATTCATGTCTGTGTATGAACTTTCCATTCTAATTAGTACAATTTTTGGAGTCAGAAACACAGTAATTCACTAAATTACCTAAAAATGTAGTATAAAATCAGGGAGAAAAGATTTTTTCTTATTGGTCTCCTTTTCTAGAATTTAGACCTACTTTGTGCACATTAATACGTGACTTCCATTGGCAGCTGCTCTAATCCTGGTCCACAGAGAGATGACAGAGCATCCAGATGTGGCCCCTGAACAATCCCTGCTGCCCAACAGCACTGACACCATGGGACCCTCACTCCGTCTCCATCCATGTCTGGGTGTGAGCCCTTCCCAGGACCATGCCCAGTGCAGCCTCTCCTATGTTCATGTCACTGGATCATGAAAGATAAAATCTAAGCCAGATAAGAGGGAATGAGGGAAGGCATGGGTGAGTGTGAGCAAACCTGTCAGGAAGGATGCTTCAGACTCAGAGAAGACTCCCAACTCCAAGGCCCAGCGTTACTCAAAGGAAGGAGACAGAACAATCCACCGAGAATATCATCTCACCTGAGGAAGAGCCATCCCTGACTCCTTTGCTTTCCTCTTCCTCTTCTGGGTTTCTTCCTCACGTACCAAAAGTCTTTAGAAGTCAATCCTGAATGTTAAAAATATGTTATTTATTGCTCAGAATCAACACATGCCCTCCCTGTAACACAATCACACAAAGTGTAATGCACGTCCGTGTGAAGAGACCGCCAAACACAATTTGTTTAAATAATGAGGCTGTTTATTTCACCTGGGTGCAGCCGGGCTGAGTCTGGAAAGAGAGTCAGCAAAGTGTGGTGGGATTATCATTAGTTCTCATAGGTTTTGGGACAGGCGGTGGAGTTAGGAGCAATGTTTTGCGGGCAGGGGGTGGATCTCACCAAGTACATTCTCAAGGGTGGGGAGAATTACAAAGAACCTTCTGAAGGGTGGGGGAGATTACAAAGAACCTTTTTAAGAGTGAGGGAGATTACAAAGTACTTTGATCAGTCAGGGTGGGGCAGAAACAAATCACAATGGTGGAATGTCATCAGTTAAGGCCATTTTCACTTCTTTTGTGGATCTTCAGTTGCTTCAGGCCATCTGGATATATACGTGCAGGTCACAGGGGATATGATGGCTTAGCTTGGGCTCAGAGGCCTAACTAAAGACCTCACCCTGAGGAAATAGTCCCCCCTTCTGCCCTCCTAACCATGGATGATAAACTCCTACAGGGAAACTCCCGCTCCCCTTCTGGAGGAGTCCACACACAAGCTGCAGCAGTGGGGAGCTGGGCTGGAATGAGCTCCCCTTCAGGGCACAGACCCAGCCCTGACCGAACCCCACGCAGAGGCTGGGTGCGGTGGCTCATGCCTGTCATCCCAGCACTCTCGGAGGCCAAGGCGGGTAGATCACTTGAGCTCAGGAGTTTGAGACCAGCCTGGGCAACATGGTGAAACCCCATCTCTACCAAAAATACAAAACTTAGCCAGGTATGGTGGTGCATGTCTGTGTGTCTGTGGTCCCAGCTACTTAGAAGGCTGAGGTGGGAGGATCACTTGACCTGAGGAGTTTGAGAGCAGCCTGGCCAACATGGTGAAACCCTGTATCTACTAAAAATACAAAAATGGGCCGGGCGTGTGGGTCATCCGGTAATCCTAGCACTCTGGAAGGCCGAGGTGTGCTGATTACTTGAGGTCAGGAGATCGAGACCAGCCTGGCCAACATGGTGAAACCCTGTCTCTACTAAATACACAAAAAGTAGCCGGGCTTGGTAAGTGTCTGTAATCCTCACTACTTGGGAGACAGAGGTAGGAGAATCGCTTGAACCCGGGAGGTGGAGGTTGCAGTGAGCCGAGATTGTGCCACTACAGTCCAGTCTTGGTGACAGACAAAGACTCAAAAATAAAAGAAAATAAAAGTAAAAATACAAAAATTAGCCAGGTGTGGTGGCAGACACCTGTAATCTCAGCTACTTCGGAGGCTGAGGCACAAGAATTGCTTGAACCTAGGAGACAGAGGTTGCAGTGATCCAAGATCACGAGACTGCGCTCACAGCCTGGACGATAGAGTGACTCAGTCTCAGGAAAAAAAAAAAAAAAAAAAAGCGCATTTCTGATGTGATTGATGCAGAGATAATAAAACCTGAGTAACATGATGCAGACTGATGGGCAGAGGGAACTTCAGACGGGGGTGGGAGGGCATGGGAGACAGCTCTGAGCCTAGATCTGGAGGAGAAATGGACAGGGTACATAGGGTAAGAGCAGGGACAATGACAGGGTTTTGATGTTTGGGAAAAGAGAAAAGCAAATGTGACTGGGGCAAAGGGATTCATGAGATGAGGGCAAGCTCCCAGGAGGAGGCTGGACACTGGCAGGGGCCCTGGACACAGGGCTGTGGAGCCACAGTGAGGGGTTGGGCTTTTGTCCTGGGGAACACGGGAAGCCGGTGGAGGGTTCCCTGCCAGGGATTGACGTGACCTGCTTTAGATTTCGCTGTGATATCCTCATACAGAGAAAGGCCCCGAAGATGGTCTCTGTGTCTGAGTCTACCTCTGTTTCTTCCATTCTTCTGCTTTTGTTTTTTATTTTGAGGGCACTGCATCCCATTGAAAATTCTAATCACAACTGGGCACTCCTCTCCTCAAAAAAATAAAAAAAAAAAAGCCACACCCAGACACGCACTCCATTTTGCCAATCATTTCAGGGGCCAGGGTCACTCGGGTTGAGCTTTTCTGGTCTAGTCCCTCGTCGCCAAGTTGCAGGGAGGCTCACTGGGGCTCAGATCGGAAGACATTTTCACCAAGTTACCCTACGAATGTCTGAGAGGAGTGAGAAGGTGTGCCTGAATTCTTACATGGGGGCCTGGAGGGGCTAATAGGAAGGGTTGGTCTTATCATCCTCATCCTGGAAAATTAGAGAAGCCTCTTTCACAAACCTGGGCTAAAGAAACTTCTTTTGCAAGGTTCTGATGCCATTGATTCCTGACAGTTAATTCTTCCTTACAGGAAAATCACAGGAATATTTATAAAATGCAGAAGTGTGAACACACAGCTATTGACCTTGAAAACAGGGAAAGAAGGTCAACTGTAGCACTAAGAAATAAGCAAATTGTTTCAATCAAGAATACATGAGTGGTCAGGCATGGTGGCTCACGCCTGTAATCCTAGCACTTTTGGGAGGTCGAGGTGGGCAGATCACCTGAAGTCAGGAGTTCGAGACCAGTCTGGTCAACATGGTGAAACCCTGTCTCTACTAAAAATGCAAAAAATTAGCCAGGAGTGGTGGAAGGCACCTGTAATCCCAACTACTTACTTGGTAGGCTGAGGCAGGAGAATCGCTTGAACCCGGGAGGCAGATGCTGTAGTGACACGAGATCGCACCATTGCAGTCCAGCCTGAGCAACAAGAGCAAAACTCCATCTCAAAAAAGAAAAAGAAAAAGAAAAAAAAAACAGAGGCCAGGCGGGGTGGCTCATGTCTGTAATCACAGCACATTGGGAGGCCGAGTCGGGCGGATCACAAGGTCAAGAGTTAGAGACCAGCCTGACAAACATGGTGAAACCCTGTCTCTACTAAAAATACAAAAATTAGCCAGGCATGTTGGTGGGTGCCTGTAATTCTAGCTACTCAGGAGACTGAGGCAGGAGAATCACTTGATCCCGGGAGGCAGAGGTTGCAGTAAGCTGAGATCACACCACTGCCCTCCATCCAAGGCGACAGAGCAAGACTCCATTTCAGGAAAAAAAAAGAAAAAGAATACATGGGTGCTTTTGGAGGAGAGTTCCATGCCAATCCAGCCCATGTTTCAACATTTTTCCAGAATGGACCAGAGGGCCTTGAGGGAAACACGCAATAAATAGCTCCCAGCTCAAGATTTTAACAAATGACATAAGGAAAGAAAACTGAAAAACAGACTAACTGGTTAAACTACATTTTGATGTTTAGTTAAAAGGTCACTGACATCTATACCAAGTACACACTGAAACAATCAAACTTAAGTATTGGGTATGAAACGCTTCCAATAAATAACAAAGACCAGAAAGCATGCAGACTTCGATCTGAACTGGATGCAACTAATTTCAAACAGCAACTATTTTTTTTAATCTAATGAATTCTGGGGTCAACTGGAAAAGAACAGGAGAATATACAAGTACAGAAATGAATGATGTGAGCTGACTATACGATGCTGCAAAGGCATCTTTCAGATGTGATTATATACTATGAAAGAAATACAATTTTTAAAACTAAGATTTATCTCAAACTCAAACTGCAAAAAAAAAAAAAAGAGAGAAATGAAGAGGAATCAGAAAGGAAAAAAAAGGAAGTCTATTGAACAATGAGAACAAAAGCATTTTTAATGTTTTTTTTTAATATTTTTTGTTTGCTGGTTTCTTTGAGATGGAGACTGACTCTACTGCCCAGGCTGAGGGCAGTGGCACGATTTTGCCTCACGGCAACCTCTACCTCCCAGGTTTAAGCGACTCTTGTGCCTCAGCCTCTCAAGTAGCTGGAACTAAAGGTGCACACCACCACCCCCCGGCTAACTTTTGTATTTTTAGTAGAGATGGGGTTTCACCATGTTAGCCAGGGTGCTCTTGAACTTCTGACCTTAGGTGATCCACTCACATCAGTCTACCAAAGTGTTGTGATTGCAGGGATGAGCCACCATCCAGCTTTGATATCCTTTTTTTTTTTTTTTTTTTGAGACAGATTCTCACTGTCGCCCAGGCCGGAGTGCAGTGGCACGATGTTGGCTCCCTGCAAGCTCCGTCTCCAGGATTCACACCATTCTCCTGCCTCAGCCTCCCAAGCAGCTAGGACTACAGGCACCTGCCACCACGCCTGGCTAATATTTTATATTTTTAGTAGAGATGGGGTTTCACCGTGTTAGCCAGGACGGTCTCGATCTCCTGACCTTGTCATGGGCCCGTCTCGGCCTCCCAAAGTGCTGGGATTACTTACATGAGCCTCCGTGCCTGGCCTGATCTCCCTTTTATAAAGTACTATATCAAAAAAGTACTATCTCTTTAAAAAGTACTATCTCAAAAAAGAAAAATAGAAAATAAGAATCAAAAAACAGGCTGGGAAAAGTGGCTGACATCTGTTGGCCATGCTGGTTTCAAACTTCTGACCTCAAGTGACCTATGTGCCTTGGCCTCCAACCGTGCTGGAATTACAGGTGTGAGAAACCACACCTGGCCCAATCCTCTTAACATAAACACTTGAATGTCAATTAAGGGTTGAACTCAATGTTAAGTCAACACAAACTCAAGTCAATGCTGGACTGACTCTAGTGTCAATTAATGCTTGATGGTTTGCTATACTCACTGCATTGGGAACAGTTATCTCAAAAATGAATTTTCTGATGTTCTGCAAGGAGTGACCTCGGACTCAAGACCTTGCCACACTTCTGACATTTGTAAGATTTCTGTCCAGTAGGGATTCTCTGATGTCTAATGAGGTGTGAACATGAAGTAAAGGCTTTGCCACAATCATCACACATGTGAGGTTTCTCTCCTGTATGAATTCTCCTATGTTTTGCATAGGATGAAGCTTGACTGAAGACCTTGCCACAGTCATGACATTTGTAAGGTTTCTCTCCAGTATGAGTGTGTCAATGAACTGCAATGTATGAATGATGTCTGAAAAATTTGCCACATTTATTACACTTGTTAGATCTTTATTCATTATAGATTCTCCAATGATTTGCAATGGTTGTAGCGTTACTGAAGACTTTGTGACAATCATTACATTAGTCAAGTTTCCCTACACCATGAACTGCCTGATGGTGAATAAGTGTTGACTGCTTGCTAAAGGCTTTGCCACACTCATTACACTTGTAAGGTTTCTCTCCAGTGTGAAGTCCAGTATGTTGTTTCAGGTGTGAATCACTCCCAAAAGTCTTGTCACAAACCTTACATTTGTATGGTTTCTTTCCAGGATGAATTCTCCTATGTCTTTTAAGGTGTGATTTGCGACTGAAAACTTTGTCACATGTTTCACATTTGTAAAGTTTCTCCCCAGCATGAATTCTATGATGAAGTGAAAGTTGTGATTGTTGATTAAAAGCCTTCCCACATTCATTACACTTGTAAGGTTTCTCTGCAGTGTGAATTCTGGTATGTCTTGCCAGGTATGAATTACGCACGAAAGCCTTGTCACAAACCGTACATTTGTAAGATTTCTCTCCAGTATGAAGTCTACGATGGTGAACAAGGGATGGCTTGTGACTGAAGGTCTTGCCACACTCATTACACTTGTAAGGTTTCTCACCACTATGAAGTCTACGATGGCAATGAAGGTATGACCTCTGACTGAAGGTCTTGCTGCACTCATTACACTTGTAAGGTTTCTCACCACTATGAACTCTGCGATGGCTTGCAAGGTATGACCTCAGACGGAAGGTCTTGCTGCACTCATTACACTTGTAAGGTTTCTCTCCACTATGAATTCTAGTATGTTTTGCCAGATAGGAATGACACGCAAAAGCCTTGTCACAAACCTTACATTTGTATGGTTTCTCTCCGGTGTGAATTATCTTATGTGTCTCAAGGGTTGATCCACAACTGAAAACCTTTTCACATTCTTCATATTTGTAAGGTTGCTCTCCAGTATGAATTGACTTATGAATTAGAAGATCTGAATTTTGACCAAAGGTCTTCCCACATTCATTACACTTGTAAGGTTTTCCTCCACTATGAATTCTAGTATGTCTTACCAGGTGTGAATTCCACGCAAAAGCCTTGTCACAGACCTTACATTTGTAAGATTTCTCTCCACCATGAAGTCTATGATGGCATACAAGGGATGACTTGTGACTGAAGGTCTTGCCACACTCATTACACTTGTAAGTTTTCTCTCCAGTGTGAATTCTTTTATGTCTTGCCAGCTGAGAATTCCATGTGAAAGCTGTGTCACAAACCTTACATTTGTATGGTTTCTCTCCAGTATGAATTCTCTTATGTGACTCAAGGGTTGATTTCCGACTGAAAACTTTGTCACATTCTTCACATTTGTAAGGTTTCTCTCCAGTATGAATTCTACGATGACGTGCAAGGTTTGATTGCTGATTAAAAGCTTTGTCACATTCATTACACTTGTAAGGTTTTTCTCCAGTATGAATTGCCTTATGAATTACAAGGGCTGAATTTTGACCAAAGATCTTGCCACACTCATTACACTTGTGAGATTTTACTGCAGTGTGAAGTCTACGATGGCATGTAAGGGATGATACCTGACTGAAGGACTTTCCACACTCATTACACTTGTAAGGTTTCTCTCCAGTGTGACATCTACAATGGCATGTAAGGTATTGCTTGTGATTAAAGAGCTTGCCACATACATCACATTTATATTGTTTGTCTCCTAAATGGGGTATCTGGTGTTTCCTTAAGAGTGAGCTACAATTAAAGGCTTTGCCACTCTCATTACATTGGAAAGATTTTTCTCTCATGTATACTTCCTGTTTTTGTGGGAGTAGTGAAGAATTCGGGGAATTATTCCCATAGTTATTAGAAATATGGATTTGGGGCCTAGGAGAAATTCTTTGGGATGTTGAAACCGAGGGAGCATCACTGGTAGACTTCTCAAATTGATTACCAATTTTACCTTTGATCTGAATTATGTGGAGTTCAGGCAGATGTGAATAAAAGCTTGATCCAAGCTGATCTTTAATAGGCTTGTTTCCAGCATGCCTGTGATCATGTTGGTCTGTGCTACCAGTCAACTTTTTTATTTTTGTCATGGGTGCTTCATGGCCATTTCTTTCATCTTCTTGACACTGAAACTCAATATCATGAATTTCTTTCTCAATTTCCTGGAAGCAAAAATCTCCAATGTGATAACTTTGATATCTTTGCAATGTCCCTGTGTGGATCACTTCTGTATTGCCTTGCCCTGTTGACAAGACCTCCTTCATCATGCGTTTGGAAGAGATATCTACAAAATATAAACAACAATAGGTTTCCAATTAAGTACAGATGGTAAATCATACTGAAGTGTGTAAATATGACACAAAAAACAATACTTATTTTGAACTTCCCAAATATCATCTTCAAAGTTTAGGAACACAAAAGGAGTAAGATTCTTTAATAAACAAGGGGCAATTACATGTCCTTCAAATCAATTCTATGAAAGTCTATTTCCTATGTCATCACAAAACACTGACAGGGCACAAACGTGTAAGCCTAAGGTAAGGAGTATTTTTCCACTGTGACCCTAAAGTGTATCACAATTTGCAAAAAACATATCACTGTCACATCAATGAAGAGAAAAATATATATTTTTCATATTTAAACCATATTTACTGTGTACAAATGCTAAAAAAAAAACAAAGAAACCCACACAATATACTATATTGGTAAATAATCCACAAACTCATGTAAGGATAACCAAAATCAATGGAAATTCTGTATTTTCAAACAATTATAGCACCGAGAAGAGAAGATTACAAAAATTAACCAGGTGTGCTGGCCCGTGCCTGACAGTCACAGCAACTTGGGAGGCTGAGGCATAAGAATCACCTGAACCTGGGAGGCAGAGGTTGCGGTGAGGCAAGATTGCACCTCTGCACTCCAGCCTGGGTGACAAAGTGAGACTCCACCTCAAAAAAAAAAAAAAAGCAAAAAAAAAGTTAATTCAATATTTTTCTCAATAAATGTCATAAAATTACCTATATCCACACAGGACAGGCACTTAATGACTTTTCAAAAAATTTTTGTATTTTTATTTTTTTGAGATGGAGTCTTGCACTCCAGCTTGGAGTGCCATGGCATGATCTCAGCTCACTGCAACCTCTGCCTCCTGGGTTGAAGTGATCCTCCTGCCTCATCCTCCTGAGTACCTGGGGTTACAGGCATGCACAACTATGCCTGGGTAATTTTTGTGTTTTTAGTAGAGATGTGTGGGCAGCAAGCCAACTAGGTGCCAAGGCAAGAGTTCGAGGGCACAAGCTGTTCCAATATAATAAAATATATAAAATAACAAGAGTTATACTAGATCTAGATCATAGACATGATTATATATGAATGTCATTAATCATTAGTTGGTAGCAATTACTCTTTATTCCAATATTATAATAATCCTCGCTCTATAATCATAACCTAAGAAAAGCCAGGCCATACAGAGATAGGAGCTGAGGGGACACAGTGAGAAGTGACCAGAAGACAAGAGTGCGAGCCTTCTGTTATGCCCAGACAGGGCCACCAGAGGACTCCTTGGTCTGGCAGTGATGCCAGCGTCTGGGAAGATGCCCGTTGCCAAGCGGACCATGGTCTAGTGGTAGCATCAGTGCCAAGGAACAACACCCGCCACTTAGCAGACCGGGAAAGGGAGTCTCCCTTTCCCCGGGGGAGTTTAGAGAACACTCTCCTCCACCACCTCTTGCGGAGGGCCTGACATCAGTCAGGCCCACCTGCAGTTATCCGGAGGCCTAACCGTCTCCCTGTGATGCTGTGCTTCAGTGGTCACGCTCCTAGTCCACCTTCGTGTTCCGTCCTGTACACCTGGCTCTGCCTTCTAGATAACAGTAGCAAAATGAGTGAAAGTACTAAAAGTGTCTGATATGCAGAAATAATGGCGCAAGCTATCTCTCTCTCTCCCTCTCTCTGCCTCGGCTGCCAGGAAGGGAAGGGCCCCCTGTCTAGTGGACAGGTGACCCACGTGACCTTACCTATCACTGGAGATGGCTCACACTCCTTACCCTGCCCCTTTGTCTTGTATCCAATAAATATCAGCGCAGCCTGGCATTCAGGGCCACTACCCATCTCTGCATCTTGCTGGCAGTGGTCCCCCGGGCCCAGCTGTCTTTTCTTTTATCTCTTTGTCTTGTGTATTTATTTCTACAGTCTCTCATCTCCGCATAGAGAGAGCAAAACCCACCGACCCTGTGGGGCTGGTCCCTACAGAGATGGGGTTTCACCAGGTTGACCAGGCTGGTCTCAAACTCCTGACCTCAAGTAATCTTCCCGCCTCAGCCTCCCAAAGTTCTGGGATTACAGGTGTGAGCCACTGTACCTGGTGGCACTTTGTGACATTAATGAGTGGAGTGTGGCAGTTATATTGCATACCACATACCGAAAAGCCATATGCAAAATTATAAAAATTAATTAATAAAATATTGTAACCCATGATAAAACCAGCAAGCAAGTAAGTACATTTATACAGCCTGCAGAATTCTAAACAATTCCCTCTTAAGAAAAAAGCCACAACATCTACTTAACCACCAGCACACAATATAAGAACTGAAATACATGTTAAGATCACTACCTTCTCATGTATGAGGTCAAGAAAATACACAGCATTTTAAGAAATAAGAATTGACTAATGGCTGGTAACGGTGGCTGACACCTGTAATCCCAGTACTTTGGGAGGTGGAGACATGTGGAGCACGAGGTCAGGAGTTCGAGAACAGCCTGGCCAACATGGGGAAACCCCATCTCTACTAAGAATACAAAAAAAACAGCTGGGTATGGTGGCAGACACCTGTAATCTCAGCTACTCTGGAGGCTGAAGCAAAAGAATCATTTGAACCCAGGAGGCAAAGGTTACAGTGAGCCGAGATTGTGCCATTGCACTCCAGCCTGGTTGACAGGGCTAGACTCCATCTCAAATAAATAAATAAATAATTGACTAATAGTGTAGAAAAGTACAATTATGATGTCACAACTACACTTATGTAACAGCCAGGCAATACAGCAATTTTACATTTGTGCATTCCCCATAGTTATCTAGTTCACTATGCGTAAGATATAAAACATAGAATGTGTACTGGGAAAATTTATAAACAGATCAGAGAAAATATTGTATAAAACAAATTGCACAATAAGAACAAAAAATATGATGTATGTTCCCTGGCCCGAATGTTCACCTTGGCTAAAAGTCATTATCAGATTTCTTATTCTCCAATAAGGATGTTCCTGCAGTTGGGGTCTTTTAGAGAATTTGGTCATGGGTGTTGACTAATTGTGAATAGGACTAGGGCTTTTAATTGTATTTTTTCTTTCTTTATCTACTTTTGAGACAGAGTTTCGCTCTTGTTGCCCAGGCTGGAGTGCAATAGCATGATCTAGGTTCACCACAGTCTCTACCTCCCAGGTTCAAGCGATTCTCCTGCCTCAGCCACCCGAGTAGCTGGGATTACAGGCATGTGCAATCATGCCTGGCTCATTTTGTATTTTTAGTAGAGACATGGTTTCTCCATGTTGGTCAGGCTCGTTTCAATCTCCCGACCTCATGTGATTTGGCCGTCTTAGCCTCCCAAAGTGCTGGGATTACAGGTGTAAGCCACCACGACTGGCCAGGACTACTGTTTTTATAAAAAGAGACAGTAAAGAGCTCATTGCCTGCTCCTCTTTCCCCCATGTCAGGACACTGCAGGAAGGTGGCTGGGCTAAACCACGAAGAAGGCTCTCACCAGGAGCCAATCTAGCTGACATCTTGTTCTTGGATTTCCCATTTTCCAGATTCATGAGAAATAAATTTCTATGTCTTAAGCTTTCAAGTTTCAGCTATTTCTTTTTTTTTGTCTGTCATGCTTCATCACCCAGGCTGGAGTGCAGTGGCACGACTCTCCTACCTAAAGAGATTCTCATGCCTCAGCCTCTTGAGTAGCTGGCACTACAGATACATGCCACCATGCCTGGCTAATTTTTTTTTTGGAAACAGAGTCTCACTCTGTCACCCGGGCTGGAGTGCAGTGGCGCAATCATGGCTCACTGCAACATCCATCTCCCAGGTTCAAATGATTCTCCTATAGGTCTCAGCCTCACAAGAAGCTGGGATTACAGGTGTATACCAACACACCCAGCTAATTTTTGTATTTTTACCAGAGATGGGGTTTCACCATGTTGGCCAGGCTGGTCTTGAAATTCTGACCTGAGGTGATCCACCCGTCTTTGCCTCCCAAATTTTTGGGATTATAGTCGTGAGCCATCACGCCCGTCCAATTTTTTTTAATTTAGTAGATTCAAGGTTTCATTATGTTTGCCCGACTGCTCTCAAACTCCTGACCTCAAGCCATCTACCCACCTCAGCCTTTCAAAGTGCTGGAATTAGAGGCCTAAGCCACTGCGGCTGGCCAGTCTAAGCTATTTCTGACAGAACAGTGAAAAGAGTGAGATAGGAAAAGAGGCATCTCATCATCAACATCACTGAAGGCTGACAAATCTTATTAAACAAAGGAAGTTGAGTGTGTACTATAAAACTTATATGAAGCCATCTAATAGTATTCACTTGTTTTAAAAAGCAGGTGGACGAATCACCTGAGGTTGGGAGTTTGAGACCAGCCTGACCAATATGGAGAAACCCCATGTCTACTAAAATTACAAAAATTAGCCAGACTTGCACCAGGCATAATCCCAGCTACTTGGGACCCTGAGGCTGGACAATCACTTGAACCCAGGAAGTGGAGGTTGCGGTGAGCTGAGATTGAACCAATGTACTCCAGCCTGGGCAAGAAGAGGGAAACTCCATTTAAAAAACAAAAAAGGCCAGACACAGTGGCTCAGGCCTGTAATCCTAGCTCTTTGGGAGGCTCAGGCAGGTACATCACTTGAGGTCAGGAGTTCGAGACCAGCCTGGCCAACATGGTGAAACCCCATCTCTACTAAAAATACAAAAATTAGCCAGGCGTGGTGGTGCATGCCTGTAATCCCAGCTACTTGGGAGGCTGCAGAAGGAGAATCCCTTGAACCCGGGAGGTGGAGGTTGTGGTGAACTGAGATTGTGCCATTGCACTTAAGCCTGGGCAACAGGAGCAAAACTCCATCTCAAAAAACAAACAAACAAAAACCAAAAACCAACCCTGGAGGCAAATTAACATTATTTCTCAAATAACAAAAGCAGGCCCGCGGTGTTCATGGACATGACCCCAGTTTGCACGTACGGTAAGTGAGGGACAAGACTTGATCCTGGGCATGAAGGATCCCATGACATGTTCTTAGGCACAATAGTCAGCCCAGGCAGGACAGGAAATGACCAGACACAGAAAATACAAGGAGAACAGATAGAAGTACATCAAGGGGGATACAAGGACTGAGCTGGGACACAAGCGCTGAGCTGCGCTGCTGACAGTGGTTCTGAAGCCATCCCTCATGGATCATGTGCTGAGTCATGATGCCCTGCACACACTGATTTAAGCGGCCTCCTATAATTTTGTCCAGTGGATGAACAAGGTCTTGACTTACTCAGTGAGAGTAGTGTTGGAGGGGAGGGGCTCACGGGGAAATTGGGGTGTTCACTATTACAAAGTCAATAGGCTGGTATTTGCATCCAGATCAATGTATCATGTGAGGCAAGGCCAGGAAAGGAAGGGCAAGGGTGGAGAGCAGGAAGTAATGGGCATGTAGGAGTGAACTTTGTGCATGCATGTCTGTGGGAATATAATTCCACTAGGATAGACCAAATCTTGAGCTTGGAAGAAAGTGGAACTAATTTAGCAAATGGTAAAATATTGACCCAAGGTTAAATATTCAAATTACAATATGGGCAAGGGACAAGAATGAAAGAGATCCAAAAAAGCAGCAGTATGGTGGCCTGAGGTGAAAGCAATTTTACATCTCTTAAATTAAATGCCTCTGATTTCTAGTTTCAAGCATATACTCAACAATAATCCCCTGTGTAGATTCCAGAAATGTGTACACACAAAAAAATAAGTAAACCCTATGAAGAGTACAGTAGAGCAATGTAGGAGACCATGGGGTTGAAGAAGGATGCCCTGGCTGAGTAGGTAGAGATGTGTTTGTGAAAACAGAGCCAGGCTGAGTGCAGTGGCTCACGTCTGTAATCTCAGCTCATTAGGAGGATGGATGGGTGGATCACAAGGTCAGGAGTTCGAGACCAGCCAGGCCAGCATGGTGAAACACTGTCTCTACTGAAAAAATATAAAATATTAGCCCGGCATGGTGGTGCATGTCTGTAATCCCAGCTACTCAGAAGGCTGAGGTAGGAGATTGCTTGAACCTGGGAGGTGGAGGTTGCAGTGAGCTGAGATTGCACCACTGCACTCCAGCCTGTGTGACAGAGCAATACTCCATCTAAAAAAAAAAAGAAGAAACTATAACTTTAATAGAAATGTGGTTTCACCATGTTGGCCAGGCTGGTCTTGAACTCCTGACCTCAGGTGATTCACCCACCTCAGCCTTCCAAAGTGCTGGGATTACAGGCGTGTGCCACTACACCCAGCCTGGCAGCATTATTTATAATAGTAAAGAGAAGAAACCAACCCAGATGTCCATCAACAGATAAATATATGAACAAAATGTGGTATACACATACAATGGAATATTATTCAGCCTTAAAAACAAACTTGGATGGGTCCAGGGGCTGTGGCTCATGCCTGTAATCCCAGCACATTGGGAGGCCGAGGTGGGTGGATCACGTAAGGTGAGGAGTGAGAGACGAGTCTGACCAACATAGAGAAACCCCGTCTCTACTGAAAATACAAAATTAGCTGGGTGTGGTGGCACATGCCTGTAATCCCAGCTACCCAGGAGGCTGAGGCAGGAGAATTGCTTGAACCTGGGAGGCAGAGGTTGCGGTGAGCCAAGATCATACCATTGCTCTCCAGCCTGGGTAACAAGAGCGAAGATCCATCTCAAACAAAAAAACAAAACAAAAAAACAACCAAAAAAAAAAAAAAAGCCATGCATGGGGCAAAATCACAAAAGAGAACACAAAACCAGGAAGGGCCAAGATAGACAAGAGCAGACTCCTCATGTCTGGGGGACATCATTTTCCTCACCCACAGCTTCCAGGTTCCTGTAGTTCTCCAACATCACTTCCCTGTACAAAGCCCTCTGCGAAGGGTTCAGGCATTTCCACTCTGCCAATGAGAATTCTATAGCCACATCCCTGAAAGTCAAGCGTCCCTAAAATGAAACACACATTTCCACAAAACATTATGGAGGATTGAGTTATCACCTTCATGGGAAATGAGAAAAGAGAAAATAAGTATTTGATCAAAGACTGTGTTCTGACAAAATGTTAAGGTATTTTGAATATTTTTTCCCTATAGTTGCATTTTATTGTACTTTTCTTTGAAAGATTTTAAGATGCCATAAGTCACTATGGAAGTCTCAATTTCATAGACAACATAAAAAGTATAAAAATAAAAAGGAAACACAGGGCCAGGCATGGTGGTTCACACCTGTAATCCTAACACTTCGGGAGGCCAAGGCGGGCAGATTATTTGATGTCAAGAGTTCGAGACCACCCTGGCCAACATGGTGAAAACCTGTCTCTACTAAAAATATAAAAATTTGTCAGGCATGGTGGCAGGCACCTGTAATCCCAGCTACACAGGAGGCTGAGGCAGGAGAATCACTTGAACCCAGGAGATGGAGGCTACAGTGAGCCAAGATCGCACCACTGCACTCCATCCTGGGCAACAGACTGACACTCCATCTCAAAAAACAAAACAAAACAAAACAAAAAAACAATGCCGGGCAGTGACTGTCACCTGTAATCCCAGCACTTTGGGAGACCAAGACGGGCAGATAATGTGGTCAAGAGATTGAGACCATCCTGGTCAACATGGCAAAACCATGTCTCTACTAAAAATACAAAAATTAGCTGGGTGTCGTGGTGCAGGCCTGTACTCCCAGCTACTCAAGAGGCTGAGGCAGGAGGATCGCATGAATCCGAGAGGTGGAGGTTACAGTGAGCCAAGATCGCACCACTGCACTTTAGCCTGGCAACAGAGCAAGACTCCATCTCAAAAACAAACAAACAAACAAACAAACACAGGGTTTTTTCTACAGACATGTCAGATATTATGTTCAACATACCAGGTGATATTAAGTCTCTAGATGAGCTAAGATACAAGTGGTGTTTCAGAGAGGACAAAATCCAACGGCTTTGAATGAAAAGTCTGAATCTAAAAACTGTCATGACTGCGCAGGCACAGTGGCTCATGCCTGTAATTCCAGTACTTTGAGAGGTCGAGGCAGGTGGATCACGAGGTCAGGAGTTTGAGACCAGCTTGGGAACATGCTGAAACCCCTTCTCTACTAAAAATACAAAAATTAGCTGGGAGTGATGGTGGGTGCCTGTAATCCCCAATACTCGGGAGGCTGAGGCTGGAGAATTGCTTGAAACTGGGAGGTGGAGGATGCAGTGTGCCAATATCATGCCACTGTACTTCAGCCTGGGTGACAGAGCAATACTCTGACTCCAAAAAAAAAAACCAAAAACCAAAAACTGTTATGATGACAGCAATAGCCATGACTAACATTTTTGAATGCTTCCCACTGTTCTAAGTGCTTCCCATGTCTTAAGCCATAAAATAACATACTGTCCCATGAAGAAAGGTCTGTACTTGGAGACAAGTGCATCACACATACTAGGAAAATTACCACAAATCAAATAGCTAAAAATGTCAACACAAGCACTGAATCCAGATGTCTGGGATTCACATTTGAATATAAACGCTGAAGTAACAGATACAGCTTTAAACTAAACTGACATGGGTTTATCTAGTGGAGAGAATGTGACAAAGGTCCAAGGGTAAGAACACGGAGCATCCTACAAGGTCGCTGAATGGACACACACAGGCATACATATAATCCTTCCCAATACTTCTTACTTTTTTTTTTTTTGAGATGGAGTCTCACTCTATTGCACAGGCTAGAGTGCAGTGGCAGAATCTCAGCTCACTGCAACCTCGGCCACCCAGGTTCAAGCAATTCTCTTGCCTCAGCCTCCCCAGGAGCTGGGATTTGAGGCACCTGCCACTGCGTCCATCTAATTTTTGTATATTTAGCAGAGACAGGGTTTCACCATCTTAGCCAGGCTGGTCTCGAACTCCTGACATCGTGATCTACCTGCCTCAGCCTTCCAAATGAAAAATAGTTAAAATCATTACAATTATTATAAAAAATAAAACTTATTGCAAATGAAAAATACTTAAAATCATTACAATTATTATAAAAAATAACTTATTGCAAATGTTGTGTTTTCTACATAAACCATGGGCTTATCCACCCATGTATTCATGCACACACATCACATCACGGCGTTACCCACGTGGTGGCCCACCTCTAATCCAAGCTACTGGAGAGGCTGAGGCAACAGAATCACTGTAATCTGGGAGTCAGAGGCTACAGTGAAACAAAATCACCCCACTGCACTCCTGCCTGGACAACAGAGACTCAACTCAAAACAAATTAAAAAATAAAGTAAAATCAATGATGTAAGAAAGCATCCTGTACCACTGATGCCTATCTCCACTTTCCACTCCATCCCAAGTCATTAAAAGTGCAGAGTTTGGCTAAGCGTGGTGGCTCAGGCCTGTAATCCCAGCACTATGGGAGGCTGAGGTGGATGAATCACAAGGTCAGGAGTTCGACCAGCCTGACCAATACGGTGAAACCCCATCTCTACTAAAAATACAAAAAATTAAACAGGCGAGGCAGCAAATGCCTGTAATCCCAGATACTCGGGAGGCTGAGGCAAAAGAATTGCTTGAAGCCAGAAGGCAGAGGGGCAGGGAGCTGAGATCCCACCACTGCAATCCAACCTGGGCAACGGAGCGAGACTCCATCTCTAAAAAGTAAAGAGTCCAGCTGGGCTGGCTGTCTCCCATCTGGAATGCCAGCAATTTGGGAGGCCAAGGTGGGAGGATCACTGGAGGCCAGGATATCAAGGCTATAGTGAGCTATGATTGCACCACTGCACTCCAGCCTGGACAACAAAATAAAAATACGATATAAAAAATAAGGCCGGACACAGTGGTGCACACCTTTAATCCCAGCACTTTGGGAGTCCAAGACAGGCAGATCATGAGGTCAGGAGTTCGAGACCAGCCTAACCAACATGGTGAAACCCCGTCTCAAATAAAAATACAAAAATTAGCTGGGTGTGGTGGTGCATCCTGAAGTCCCAGCAACTCAGGAGGCTGAGGCAGAAGAATTGCTTGAAACTGGGAGATGGAGGTTGCAGTGAGCCGAGATCATTCCATTGCACTCCACCTTTGGGGACTGAGCGAGACTCCATCTTAAAATAAGTAAATAAATAGATAGAGAGATACATATATACATACATACGGTGACCCATGCCTATCACTCAGGCTCTTTGGGAGGCTAAAGCAGGGATTAGTTGAGCTCAGGAGTTTGAGGCTGCTGTAAACTCTGAATTGTACCATTGTACTCCAGAACTAAGCCACAGAGCGACACCTTCTCCCTCTCTCTCTCTTTTCTTTTGAGACAGAGTCTCACTCTGTCTCCCAGGCTGGAGTGCAGTGGCATAATTTCGGCATACAGTAACCTCCACGTCCTGGGTTTAAGTGATTATCCTGCCTCAGCCTCCTGAGTAGATGAGATTACAGGCATGCACCACCACCCCAAGCTAATTTTTGTACTTTTAGTAGAGGTGGGGTTTCACCATGTTGGCCAGGCTGGTCTCGAACTCTTGACCTCAAGTGGTCTTCCTGCCTTGGCCTCACAAATTGCTGGTATTACAGGTGTGAGCACCTGAACCAACATCCTGTCTCTTAAAAAAAAAAAAAGTTTGGAATCACAGACATCTTGATCTACTAGTGTGGCTTCAAATGCATTACCAAATCAGATACAAAATACCTCCCCTTATTTGTCTCCTTTTCCAGAATTTACTAGATATCTGTGTACACTAACATATGTATTTCATATGTAGTTTCTCTGATCTGGTCCACAAAGAGCTGACATCCAGATGTGGCCCCTGAACAATCCAGCCTGCCCAGCAGCACTGACATCAATGGGCCCACACCCCATGTTTATCCATGTCTAGGTGTGAGCCCTTCCCAGGACCATGCCCAGTGGAGCTTCTTCCCAAGTTCACATCACTGGGTCACAGGAGATGGAATCTCGGAGCAGCTGAGAGGAACTAAGGGCAGGCATGGCTGAGTGTGAGTGAACGTGTCAGGCAAAATTCTTCAAACTCAGAAAAGACTGGCTGCTACAATACCTGGCATTTCAGAAAGGAAAGAGACAGATTAATCCACAGAGGAATATCACTTCACCTGAGGAAGAGCCATGCCTGGCTCCTTTCCTTTCCTCTTCTGAGCTGCTTCTTCACATAACATGAGTCTTTAGGAATCAATCCTGTATGTGAAAAAAAATGAGACTTCTTGTTAGAAATGACTCACTCCCATCCTGTGACAAAACCACATGAACAGGGGAGACCTCACCCAGCAGAAAGAAGTCCCCCACCGCCCACTGCACCAGAGATCATGCAGAGATAAGAAAGTCCCACAGGACGACCTATAAGTGTGTTTGACCCCGGTCTTCAGATCTCACTCCCCTCCTGGAGAAGCCCCCACACACTAGGCAGCAGTGGGGAGCTGGGCTGGACTGATCTCCCCTTCAGGGCACAAACCCATCCTTCATCAATCCCCATCCAGAGGACAGCCCCTCACCTCTCTGTGGATCACAGGCTGAGCTCAGCCCTCAGAAATGGAGGACAAAGATGCTCAATGCTGCACACAGATGACAAGCACCTGCGCCACTGCAGGTATTACTGAGGGTGGGTTCCATCCCATCAGAATAAGAATCCCTGCTAAAGCAGCACAAAAGCTCTATTTGAAAAATGCCTCTAGACTCTAATGTGAAGCCAGGGTTGAGCTCCACTCAGAGGGGGCGAGCCCAGCACAGCCCCACGTTCTGGCTCTGCCCTCCCCTTGGGGCCTTGTTCTCACCAGCATCCAGAGAGTGGATGACAAAGGCACAAAAATAATCACACAGAACAGGCAACGTGGACCAGAGGTGGGGTGAATGATGGGCTGTGTGAAAGGAAATAAATCTTCGAGCCCCAACTCACTAAGCAAAAGGGAGAAGTCAAGCTGGGAACTGCTTAGTGAGCCAGACTCCCCTTCTATTCAAAGTCACCCCTCTGCTCCCTGACATAGATGCATGTCTGAGTGCCTCCTTCGAAAGACTAATCAGAAACTCAAAAGAAGGACCCAGCACAGTGGCTCAGGACTGTAATCCCAGCACTGTGGGATTACACAGGTAGATCACTTGGGGTCAAGAGGTGGACACCAGCCAGCCAACATGGTGAAACCACATGTCTACTAAAAATACAAAACTGATCCGGGCATCTACTTGGGAAGCTCAGGCAGGAGAATCACTTGAACCCAGGAGGCAGAGGTTGCAGTGAGCCAAGACTGTGCCACTGCACTCCAGCCTGGGTGACAAAAGGAGACTTCATCTCAAAAAAAAGGAAACTCAAAAGATTGCAACCGTTTGTGCCACATTTCTCTGTGACCTGGAAGCCCACTCCGTGCTTCAAGTCTTCCTGCCTTTGTTTAAAGTTCTCCCACCTTCCCAGACCAAATCAATGTACTTCTTACATATATTGATTGATGTCTCATGTCTCCATAAAATGTATAAAATTAAACTCTGCGCCGACCACCCTGGGCAAAATAAACTTTCTAAATTAACTGAGATCTCTGTAAGATTTTCTGGTTTCACAGCTGCAGTGTCAAATGAGGGCTGTGGGAGATCACAAAGGAAACCCGGAGAAGATGATATCAGAACAAGGACCTAGGAAAGAAAGGCTGCTTGTCACTTGCAGCTGAGGGGAAGAGAGTCCTAGAGAGAGGGACAGCTCAAGTGAGGGCCCTGAGACAGGAGCAACCTCAGCCCCAGGAAGAGGAAAGCGACCAGTGGGGCTGGAACAGTGGAAGAGAGGAGGGCACAGGTAGGAGATGAGGTCAGAGAGGTCCTGGGGGCACAGACCCATAGGAACATGTCTTCAAACATGTTTCTCCCACAACCTTAAAGAATTTTGAAAGTCGACTGTGATCCCAGCTACTCGGGAGTCTGAGGAAGGAGAATCCCTTGATCCCAGGAGTCAGAGGTTGCAGTGAGCTGATATCATGGCATTGCACTCCAGCCTCAGCCACAAGAGTGAAAATTCCTCTCAAAAAAACAAACAAACAAACAAAAATTGGAAGTGATGTATCTTCTCACTCTTTTCACGTATACATCTAAGTTTCTCTTTATATTATAAATTACAACACTTACAAATAAAGTAATTTATTTCACAAATTTAAAATACATGCTGTCAAGTTCGGCCGTTTCCGGAAGTACGTAGTCACCCTCATCTGAGATGTGCAGACTGCAAGGAAATGTGTTTGGGGGTTTAGAAAGCCACTCGTGGACACCTGAAGGTGGGGATGCCTGTTTGATGACCCAGGAGACAGCTGAGGAGACAACTGGACACAGGATTGTAGAGCTCAGGGGCGAGGCCTGCAGGGGACATGGAGTCATGTAGGTGGGTTAAAGCTGTGAGATGATAAGGTTCAAGGTGACTTGAGTCTAATTACCCCGTTTTTGTTCATCTTGTGCTTCTTTTTTTTTTTTTTTAATATTTGGAGAACTGGAATTCATTTAAAATTCGAGTTAAAACTGAGCACTACCCTCTCCCAGAAGAAAAGTCACACACTGTATTTTGTCAGTCATTTCAGGGGTCAGTGTCACTGACTGAGCTTTTCCGGTCTTATTCCTCACCTCTATGTTACAGGTGGGCTCACTGAGGCTCACAGTGGGAGACATTTCACCAAGTTATTCTGAGATGTTCTGAGGTGAGGAGGAAGGACGTGTGGCTGATTCCCATGTGATTGCCTGGAAGGCCCAATAGGCTGCCTTGGTCTTCCTCCTCTAGAAAATTCCAAGACCAGCCAGGATTGGTGGCTCACCCTTGTAATCCCAGCACTTTGGGTAGTTGAGGCAGGCCGATCACTGGAGCCGAGAAGTTTGAGACCAACATGGGCAACATATAAACCCCATCTCTACCAAAAATACAAAAAATT
The DNA here is from genome assembly GCF_000001405.40 of Homo sapiens. Taxonomy (NCBI): domain Eukaryota; kingdom Metazoa; phylum Chordata; class Mammalia; order Primates; family Hominidae; genus Homo; species Homo sapiens. The sequence continues at coordinate 52,781,619 of NC_000019.10, forward strand.
AGCCAGGCATCATGGCATGCATCTGCGGTCCCAGCTACCTGGGAGGCTGACGCAAGATCACTTGAGCCTGGGAGGCAGAGGTTGCAGTGATCCAAGATTGTTCCACTGCATTCCAGCCTAGGTGATAGGGTGACACTCTATCTTAAAAAAAAAAAAAACAGCGGTCAGGCAAGGTGGCTCACACCTGTAATCTCAACACTTTGGGAGGCCGAAGTGGGTGGATCACAAGGCCAGGAGCTCGAGACCAACCTGGCCAATATGGCAACATCCCATCTCTACTAAAAATACACAAATTAGCCAGGCGTAGGGGTGTATGCCTGTAATCCCAGCTATTCAGGATGCTGAGGCAGGAGAATCGCTTGACCCCGGGAGGCGGAGTTTGCAGTGAGACGAGATCGTGCCACTGCACTCCAGCCTGGGTGACAGAGAGTCTCAATAAATAAATATATATATCTAAACATTAGCCAGGCCTCGTGGGGCGTGCCTGTGGTCCCAGCTACTCCGGAGGCTGAGGTGGGAAAATCACTTGAGCCCAGGAGGTTGCCGCTGCACTGAGCTGTGATCCTGCCACTGCACTCCAGCCTGGACAGCAGTAAGAGTGTCTCAAAAAAATAAAAATTAAAGGCTGGACGCAGCAGCTCATGCCTGTAATCACAGCACCTTGGGAAGCTGAGGCGGGAGGATCACCTGAGGTCAGGAGTTCAAGACCAGCCTGACCAAGATGGAGAAACCCCGTTTCTACTGAAAATACAAAATTAGCCGGCCATGGTGGTGCGTGCCTGTAATCATAACTACTCAGGAGGCTGAGGCAGGAGAATCACTTGAACCCCAGAGGCGAAGTTTGTGATGAGCCAACATCACGCCATTGCACTTCAGCCTGGGCAACAAGAGCAAAACTGCATCCAAAAAAAAAAAACCGACAACAGCAAAAATAAGTAAATTTAAAGTAAAATTAAAAAATAACAACTAATGAGGCCCAGTGTGATGGCTCACGCCTGTAATCCCAACACTTCGGGAGGCCGAGGCGGGTGGATTACGAGGTCATGAATTCAAGACCAGCCTGGCCAAGATGGTGAAACCCTGTCTCTACTAAAAATACAAAAATCGACAGGACAGGTGTGGTGGCGGCTGGCTGTAATCCCAGCTGCTCGGGAGGCTGAGACAGAGCACTGCTTGAACCCGAGAGCCGGAGGTTGCAGTGAGTAAAGATCGCTCCACTGCACTCCAGCCTGCATGACAGAGAAAGACTCCATCTCAAAAATAAAAAATAAATAAATAAATAATCACACAAAAAACCAACTAAACTAATGAAGAGAGGAACTAGAAAAAAAAATTACAAAAAGAGAACAAAAGCACTTTTAATATTCCTTTCATCACGTTCCATATAGTAACAGAGACTCAGTCACTTCTTACTCTACTTCTCTCCCTCACTCCCCACCCCATCCATGAAAAGGGAAGAGGGTGATCCACAAGGAATGAGTCAAGTCACTGTCCTCTGGCTGAAGAGGGGTTGCAGAGGGAAGCTGCCTCTGACGCCATCATTATAAAATGCACCACACTTAGACACAGGAGTTTGGCAACTCTCATTCTCATCTGTATAATTTAAACTAATTTTAAATTTGTTACATTATAAACAGAGAAAACAACATGTCATCACTTCATCATCACATCCAATCAACTCACCACTCATCTGCACCCAGGGTCCCCCTTCGTCTTCATTACTTTTCCCCTCCATCATTCCTTTTTTTGTTTGTTTGTTTTGAGACCGAGTCTCGCTCTGTCGCCCAGGCTGGAGGGCAGTGGCGCGATCTCGGCTCACTGCAAGCTCCGCCTCCCGGGTTCATGTCATTCTCCTGCCTCAGCCTCCGGAGCAGCCGGGACTACAGGCGCCCGCCACCACGCCCGGCTAATTTTTAGTTTTCTTAGTAGAGACAGGGTTTCACCGTGTTAGCCAGGACGGTCTCAATCTCCTGACCTAGTGATCCGCCCGCCTCGGCCTCCCAAAGTGCTGGGATTACAAGCGTGAGCCACTGCACCTGGCCTCCCTTCGGCATTCTATACATAGCTCTTTCTCACCTTCTCTCTCCATCTGTTTCTTTTCTGCATTTCCCCCTGGACTTCTGCTCATTTTATGCCCCTCTCCTGTTTTGCTCCATTCTTTTTTGTTTTTTGTTTGTTTGTTTGTTTTTTAGACGGAGTTTCGCTCTTGTTGCCCACGCTGAAGTCCAATGGTGCGATCTCAGCTCACCACAACCTCTGCCTCCCGGGTTCAAGTGATTCTTCTGCCTCAGCCTCCTAATCCAAAATTAGCAGGGCGTGGTGGCGCATGCCAGTAATCCCAGCTACTCGGGGGAAGTATCACAAGAGAATCGCTTCAACCCTAAAGGCAGAGATAGTCATTAGCCAAGATCGTGCCAGTGCACTCCAGCTTGGGCAAAAAGAGCAAAACTCCACCTCAAAAAAAAATAATAATAATAATTAGTAGGTAGGCCCGGCATGGCGGCTCATCCCTGTAATCCCAGTACTTTGCAAGGCCAAGACAGGAGGAAACTTTGAGCCCAGGATCTTGAGACCAGCCTGGGAAACATACTGAAACCCTGTTTCTACAAAAAAACAAACAAACAAAGAAAAAAAACAACTAGCTGGGCTTGGTGTCTCACACCTGTGGTCTCAGCTACTAGAGAGACTGAGGGAGGAGGATCGCTTGAGCCTAGGAGGTCGAGGCTGCAGTTAGAGTAGAGAACGCTATTGTAATCCAGCCTGGGTGACAGAGCCAGACCCTGTCTCAAAATATAAACTAATTAATAAATTAAAAGTATTATGTAATAAGAGAAAGTGATTTTTTTTCCCCCACATCACTGTCCCACTTCCTACCCCACCCTGGGAAAAGGGAAGAGACTGACTCACAACTGAATAACTGGGATTCCAAGTAGAAGCTAACCTCTGATACCAAAATTTATAGAATGTACATGTCTCATAGACAGGAGTTTTAAAATTCTAAATCTCATCTGTATAATTTAAACAAGGTATTAGATGATATACACAGAAGTCAACATGTCACAACTAATCATATCCAATGAACTCACCCACTTATCTGTACCCAAAGTCCCCCACCCTTTTTTTCTTTTGAGACAGGGTCTTGCTCTTTTGACCAGGCTGGAGTACAGTGGCATGATCTCTGCTCACAGCAGCCTGGAGCTCCTGGGCTCAAGTGATCCTCCTGCTTCGGCCTAGAGAAGCTGAAACTGCAGGTGCACACTATCACACCCGGTTAAATTTTTTTTTTCCTTTTTTGACAGAGATGGGGGGAGCCTCACTATTTTGCCCAGGCTGGTCTTGAACTCCTAGACTCAAGCAATCCCTTTGCCTCAGTCTCCTAAAGTGCTGAGATTACAGGCATGAGCCACTGCGCCCAGCCCCTCTTTCTTCATTACTGTGCTTCCCTCCCTAATTCTGTGCATATCTCTCATTCTCCCCTTCTCTCTCTAGCTCTTGTTTTCTTTTCTTTTTCCCTGGGATTGTGCTCCTCATTTTGTACCCCTCTCCTCTCCTGCTGTTTATCCCCTTCTTCCCTCTATTACTTCTCTTCCACCTCTTCTGCTCCATTCTCACAGCTTATTTAACCTCTTTTTTTTTTTTCCTTTTTGAGATGGAGTTTCACTCTTGTTGTGCAGGCTGGAGTGCACCGGTGCGATCTTGGCTCTCACCGCAACCTCTGCCTCCCAGGTTCAAAGGTTTCTCCTGCCTCAGCCTCCCTAGTAGCTGGGATTACAGGCATGTGCAACCGCTCCCAGCTAATTTTATATTTTTAATAGAGACGGGGTTTCTCCCTGTTGATCAGGCTGGTCTCGAACTCCGGACCTCAGGTGATCCACCCGCCTCAGCCTCCCAAAATGCTGGGATTACAGGCATGACCCACAGCGCCCGGTCCTTATTTAACCTCTTGTTGTTCTTTCTCCCCAATCTTTCAATCTTCCTCAATGTCTATATATTACAGCCTCTTCTCTTATCTCTCCGTCTCCTCTGCTCTCCCTATTAAATTCTCTCTTCCCTGTTATACCCCTCTGTCCCCACTCTCCAGCACCTCAGATCCCCAGGTGTCCTCCCTGCTGTGGTTCTCCATCTGTTCTTGCCACCAGCACCACTCTGCTCTGTCTGCCCTGGCTCCAAATCCCTCCTCCTCTCCCTCACTCTGGTGAGCCTCCCTCTTTGCTGCCCCTCTCCCTACCTTGCTGTCCTTCATCTTTCTGTACATCTAGCTTTTCTCTACATTTCTCCAGTTGCTTTTCTCCTCCTGCTTTCTTAGTTTTTTTTCTTTCACTTTTGCTGTCTCTTGGCAAATTCCTAACCCATCCTCTACTTTGCCATCTGTTATGGGCCTTTCTCATTCTTCTTTTCTCTGTCTCTGGTTTTCTACTGCTCTCTCAGTCCCTCTCTCTATCTCCTGATCCCTTTGGCCCAGGCGGGTTTGGAGTAATCACAGGCGGGTTTGGAGTAAGACGCCTGCATCCCGTAGAAGCGCATTTTCCAGGGGGTGGAGCTGGACAGGAAAGAACACCTGGTATCATAGGACAAGCCCCTGCGACCCACCCCAACCCTGGCTCAGGGGAAGCGAAGACTTGGGGAGCAGCAGGGCCCGGCACCAGGAGGGACGTGGTGGGCGACGGCACCCTAAGACAAAGGTGGGACCTGCAGGATCCCAGGACCAGGCAGAGGACGCAGCCTCCCCGGGGCTGGGGCCGGGGCGCCGCGCTCCAGGTGCCAACTGGGGCGAGGCTGGGAGGCGCCCAGGGCTGGAATCCACCTCGCGGGTGAGGACTTTAAAAAGCACGGGGCGGGAATAGTCAGAAAAATGTTTTGAGCAGGAAAAATACGCGATAGGAAGTGTATACATTGCCCTATAGCAGAAAGACCGGGGACGGGACCAGCCTCCGAGCGACTTCAAACCCAAAAGCAAGCAACTTCCAGACTCTTACCGGGACGTCTCAATTTGCTCTGGGTGAAGGGAAGACAGGCGAGAATTTCCAGGTCCGTGGGGATCCCACGTCCCAGGGGCAGAAGCGCCGGGGACCTGGGAAGTGCAGACTTAATCCAAGGCAGAGCAAAACTCACGCGCCGTGGTAGGACCTTCACTCCACGCGATCCGCTTCCGGGTTTGTGCGCGCCCAGGACTGAAGCCAGGCCGGGGCAGGTTGGCTGGACCTGGGCGGGGTAGAGGCGGGGCCCCAGGCGGAGAGACCTTGCCCTTTAGAACCGGCAGAGGGAGGGCCCGGGGCGGGACCTGTGCTTCTCAGCCTCGCACTCAGCGCCTCTGTTTTTCGAGTTTTTGGAGGCGACAGCGGCCAGGAAGGCTGAGGCATGATTCAAAAGCCCTGGAATTATCTGGAACGGGAATGCAAACTAGAATGTGAAATGCAAAGCCCTGCCAGGGCGGAACATACGATTTCATGCTGATGGCCCACAGAACAGAACAGAAATCCTCTCCCTTTCTATTCTCCATTCACTCAGGAGGGAGGGTCCACCCCGTGCTCAGCTTCAAAGTGTTCCCTAGGGCCTCCGCCTGGGATGCGGGACGGAGAGCTCAGGCCAGGGAGGAGTGAGGTCACCACCTGCTGCCTAAACACAGCAGGGATGCGGGCACGAGGCGGAAGCCTGAGGTCCCAGCTACTCAGGAAGCAGCGGCGGGAGAATCCCTGAACCTGGGGGTCCAGGCCATCCTGGGCGACAAAGTAACACCCCCTAACTGCAGGGTCCTCTTCCTGATCTCTCTCTCGCTCTTTTACTTTTTTTTTTTTTTTTTTTTTTTGAGACGGAGTCTCGCTGTGTCGCCCAGGCTGGAGTGCAGTGGCACGATTTTGGCTCACTGCAAGCTCCGCCTCCCGGGTTCACGCCCTTCTCCTGCCTCAGCCTTTCGAGTAACTGGAACTACAGGAGCCCGCCTAACCCAAACAAAAACAAGACCGGGCGCGCTGGCTCACACCTGTAATCTCAGCACTTTGGGAGGCTGAGGCGGGCAGATCATGAGGTCAGGAGATCGAGACCATCCTGGCTAACACAGTGAAACCCCATCTCTACTAAAAAATACAAAAAAATTAGCCAAGCGTGGTGGTGGGTGCCTGTAATCCCAGCTACTAGGGAGGCTGAGACAGGAGAATGGAGTGAACCCGGGAGGCGGAGCGTGCAGTGAGCCAAGATCGTGCCACTGCACTCCAGCCTGGGCGACAGAGCGAGGCTACGTCTCAAAAAAAAAAAAGAAAAAGAAAAAGAAAAAGAAATATCTCCCCTAGTTTGTCTCCTTTTCCAGAATTTACCAGATACCAGTACACAGATACCAGTGCATACATTAATGTATGACTTTCATACATAGATTCTCTGATCTGATCCACAAAGAGCTAAATGTGCATCCAGATGTGGCCCCTGAACAATCCCTGCTGCCCAATATCACTGACACCTTGGGGTCCACACCCCATCTCCATCCATCTCTGGTGTGAGCCCTTCCCAGGACCATGCCCAGTGCAGCCTCTTCCCAAGCTCATGTCACTAGGTTATAGAAGATGGAATTTAAGTGAAGATGACAAGGACTGAGAAAAGGCATGGGTTAGTGTGAGCAAACGTGTGAGGCAGGATGCTTCAGACTCACAGAAGACTGGCTACTACAATACCTGGCATTTCAGAAAGGAAAGAGACAGAAGAATCCACCGAGGAATATTACTCCACCTGAGGAAGAGCCATCCCTGGCTCCTTTTCTTTGCTCCTCTTGGTGTCTTCCTCACGTAACATGAGTCTTTGGAAAATCAATCCTGTATGTAAAAAAAAATACGAGATTTAATTTTTAGAAATCACTCCCTCCTTTCCTGTGACAAAACACACACACAGGGGAGACCTCACCAGGGATAAAGATGGTTCTCTGCTGCCCACTGCACCAGAGATTATGTGGAGATAAGAAGGTGCCACAGGAAGACCTACAAGGGCAATTTTGACCTGTTTTGAGGTCTTGCTCCCTCCTGCAAAAGTCCACACACACGCTGCAGCAGGACACAGATCTTCAGGGCACAGATCTGGCCCTAACCAAACCCCATGCAGAGCACAGCCCCCTCACCTCCCTGTGGATCACAGGCTGATCTCAGCTCTCAACATGGAGGAAACTGCCTTGATGTTCAATGCTGGAGACAGATGAGAATCACCTGCACCATTGTAGGTATTATTGAGGGTGGGTCCCATACTGTGATAATAGCAATCTCTGATAAAACAGCATAGAAGCTATATTTGCAAAATGCCTGAAAACCCTAATGTGAAGCCAAGTTTGAGCTCCACTCAGGGCACCAGCCCCGCAGAGCCCCACCTTCTGGCTCTGCTCTCCGCTTGGGGACTTGTTCCCACCAGGATCCAGTGAACAGCGAAGGAGCAAAAAGGATCACACAGAACAGGCAACATGGGCCAGAGATGGGGGTGAAGGTGGGGCTGTCATGTCAAATGGGGGACTGTGGGAGAACACAAAAGTTTTCATAGAAAAAGTGATGTCAGAACAAAGACTTAGGGAAGAAAGGCTGCTTGTCACTTGCAGCTGAGTGGCCAGAGAGTCCTAGGCAGAGGGACAGCCCAGGTGAAGGCCCTGAGAAAGGAGCAACCTGAGTCCCAGAAAAAGAAAAGAAGCCTGCATGGTTACAGTAGAGGTAGGGAGGAGGACAGAGGCAGGAGTTGATGTCACAGAGCTCCTGGGACTCAGATATCTAGGGATGAGGTCTTGAAACATTTTTCTCTCACATCTCAACTCAAAAGAATTTTGGAAATGTATTTTCTCACTCATTTTATGTATACATGTAACTTTCTCTTCTATACTTTGTCTCTGTGTCTCTTTCTTTTCAAAGTGTCTCGTTCCACCTGACGAGAAATGCCCACAGGTGTGGAGGGGCAACCCACCTCTTCACCAATGCAATCCATCCTGGGCAATGGAGCGAGACTCTATCACAAAAAAGTACAGAGTCCAGCCAGGGAGGCTGTCTCACACCTGGAATGCCAGCAATTTGGGAGGCCAACATGGGAGGATCCCTTGAGGCCAGGAGATCAAGGCTATGGTGAGGTATGATTGCAGCACTGTACTCCAGCCTGGACAACAAAATTAAAAAAAATATGAAAAATACGGCCGTACACTTTAATGAGCATTCGTGTGAAGAGACCACCAAACAGCCTTTGTTTGAGCAACATGGCTGTTTATTTCACCTGGGTGCAGGCGGGCTGAGTCCAAAAAGAGAGTCAGTGAAGGGAGATAGGGGTGGGGCCGTTTTATAAGATTTGGGTAGGTAAAGGAAAACTACAGTCAAAGGGGGTTTGTTCCCTGGTGGGTAGGAGTGGGGGTCACAAGGTGCTCAGTGGGGGAGCTTTTTGAGCCAGGATGAGCCAGGAGAAGGAATTTCACAAGGTAATGTCATCACTTAAGGCAAGGACCGGCCATTTACACTTCTTTTGTGGTGGAATGTCATCAGTTAAGGTGGGGCAGGGCATATTCACTTCTTTTGTGATTCTTTAGTTACTTCAGGCCATCTGGGCGTATACGTGCAAGTCACAGGGGATGCGATGGCCTGGCCTGGGCTCAGAGGCCTGACATACATGTGCCCCACGCCTTTAATTCCAGCACTTTAGGAGGCCAAGAAGGGCAGATCATGAGGTCAGGAGTTTGAGAACAGCCTGGCCAACATGGTGAAACCCTATCTCTACTAAAAATACAAAAATTTTGCAGGTGTGGTGGTGCACACCTTTAGCCCCAGCTACTTGGATGGCTGAGGCAGAAGAATCGCTTGAACCCAGGAGGCAGAGGTTGCAGTGAGTTGAGATCGCATCACTGCACTTCAGCTTGGGCAACAGAGCGAGACTCCATTTCAAAATAAATAAATAAATAAATAAAACAATTACCCACATGTGGTGACCCATGCCTATCTTTCAAGCTCTTTGGGAGTCTAAAGTCGGAATTACTTGAACCTAGGAGTTTCAGGCTGCTGTAAACTCTAAATTGTGCCTTTGTACTCTAAAACTAAGCCACAGAGCAACATTATCTCTCTCTCTCTCCTTTTTTTTTTTTTTTTTTTTTTGAGATGGAGTCTTGCTCTGTTGCCCAGCCTGGAGTGCAGTGGCACAATCTCGGCTTACTGTAACCTCGACTTCCCGGATTCAAGTGACTCTCCTGCCTCAGCCTCCTGAGTAGCTGAGATTACAGGCATGAGCCATCACTCCCAACTCATATTTTTAGTAGAGATGAGGTTTCACCATGTGGGACAGGCTGGTCTCAAACCCCTGGCCTCAAGTGATCCACCCACCTTGGACTCCCAAAATGCTGGGATTACAAGTGTGAGCCACCACACCCAGACCAACATGCTGTCTCTTTAAAAAAAAAAGTTTGAAGTCAGAGACATGTTGATCTACTAGTGTGACTTCAAATGCACTACCAAATCAGATACAAACTATCTCCCCTTATAGGTCTCCTTTTCCAGAATTTACCAGATATCTGTGCATATTAAAGTATATGTTTCATATGTGGTTTCTCTGATCTCATCCACAAAGAGCTGACATCCAGACATGGCCCCTGAACAATGCAGGCTGTGCAGCAGCACTGACACCACGGGGCCCACACCCCATGTCCATTGATGTCTGGGTGTGAGCCCTTCCCAGGACCATGCCCAGTGGAGCCTCTTCCCAAGTTCATGTCACTGGCTCACAGGAGATGGAATCTCAGAGCAGCTGAGAGGAACTGAGGGCAGGCATGGGTGAGTGCAAGTGAATGTGTCAGACAAGATGCTTCAGACTCAGAAAAGACTGGCTGCTACAATACCTGGCATTTCAGAAATGAAAGAGACAGATTAATCCAAAGAGGAATATCACTTCACCTGAGGAAGAGCCATGCCTGGCTCCTTTCCTTTCCTCTTCTGAGTGGCTTCCTCATGCAACATGAGTCCTTAGAAATCAATCCTGAATGTGAAAAAAAAAAGACTTCATGTCAGAAATGACTCACTCCCTTCCTGTGACAAAAACACACAAACAAGGGAGACGTCACCCTCTGGAAAGATGGTCCTTTGCTGCCCACTGCACCAGAGATCATGCAGAGATAAGAAAGTCCCACAGGAAGACCTACAAGTGTATGTTTGACCCTGGTCTTCAGATCTCGCCCCCCTCCTGGAGGAGCCTCCCCCACGAGGCAGCAGTGGGGAGCTGGGCTGGACTGATCTCCCCTTCAGGGCACAGACCCATCCCTGATCAAACCCCATCCAGAGGACAGCCCCTCACCTCTCTGTGGATCACAGGCTGAGCTCAGCCCTCAGAAATGGAGGACTCAGAGCTTCGATGCTCAATGCTGCACACAGATGACAAGCACCTGCGCCACTGCAGGTATTACTGAGGGTGGGTTCCATCCCGTCAGAATAAGAATCCCTGCTAAAGCGGCACAAAAGCTCTATTTGAAAAATGCCTCTAGACTCTAATGTGAAGCCAGGGTTGAGCTCCACTCAGAGGGCGTGAGCCCAGCACAGCCCCACGTTCAGGCTCTGCCCTCCCCTTGGGGCCTTCTTCTCACCAGGATCCAGACAGTGGATGGCAAAGGAGCAAAAATAATCACACAGAACAGGCAATGTGGACCAGAGGTAGGGTGAGCGTTGGGCTGTGTGAAAGGAAATAAATCTTTGAGCCCCAAATCACTAAGCAAAAAGGAAAAGTCAAGCTGGGAACTGCTTAGGGAACCAGACTCCCCTTCTATTCAAAGTCACCCCTCTGCTCCCTGACATAGATGCATGTCTGAGTGCCTCATCCAAAAGGCTAATCAGAAACTCAAAAGAAGGACCCAGCACAGTGGTTCATGCCTGTAATCCCAGCACTGTGGGAGGCTGATGCAGTGAGCTGAGATCGTGCCACTGCACTCCAGCCTGGGCGACAAAACGAGACTTCATCTCAAAAAATACAAAAAAGAAACTCAAAAGATTGCAACCATTTGTGCCTCATTTATCTATGACCTGGAAGCACCCTCGCTGCTTCAAGTCCTTCTGGCTTTGTTTAAAGTTGTCCCGCCTTTCCAGAACAAACCAATGTATGTGAGCCACCATGCCCGGCTCAATCCTCTTTTTATTTATTTATTTATTTATTTTATTTTTGAGACGGAGTTTCACTCTGTCGCCCAGGCTGGAGTGCAGTGTTAGGATCTCGGCTCACTGCAAGCTCCGCCTCCCAGCTTCATGCCATTCTCCTGCCTCAGCCTCCCGAGTAGCTGGGACTACAGGTGCCCACCGCCACGCCCAACTAATTTTTTTTTTGTATTGTTAGTAGAGACAGGGTTTCACCGTGTTTGCCAGGATGGTCTCGATCTCCTGACCTCGTGATCCACCCACCTCGGCCTCCCAAAGTGCTGGGATTACAGGCGTGAGCCACTGCACCTGGCCCGGCCCAATCCTCTTAAACACTTTAACGTCAATTAATGCTCGAACTCAATGTTAAATCAACTCATCCTCAGGTCAATGCTGAGTTGACTGTAATGTACGCCTTGATGGTTTGCTATACTCAGTGCATTTTGAACTATTACCTCAAAATGTACTTCTTACGTATACTGATTGATGTCTCACGTCTCCATGTAATGTATAAAATTAAGCTGTGCCCCGTCCACCTTGGGCACATGTCATCAGGACTTCCTGAGGCTGTGTCACAGATGCGTCCTCAACCTTCACAAAATACACTTTCTAAATTAACTGAGATCTGTCTGAGATTTTCTCAGTTCAAAGCTGCAATGTCAAATGGGACAGAAAGGCTGCTTATCACTTGCAGCTGAGGGGCTAGAGAGTCCCAGGCAGAGGGACAGCTCAAGTGAAGGCCCTGGGACAGGAGCAACATCACCCTCCCAACAAAGGAAAGCAGCCCGTGTGGCTGGAGCAGTGGAAGAGAGAAGGGCACAGGTAGGAGATGAGGTCAGAGAGGTCCTGGGGACAGAGATCCATAGGGTTAAGGACTTCAAACATTTTTCTCCCACAACCCAAAAGCATTTTGAAAGTCCACTGTGATCCCAGCTACTCGGGGGGCAGAGGTAGGAGCATCGCTTGAACCCGGAAGAAGGAGGTTGCAGTGAATCAAGATTGAGCCACTGAACTCCAGCCTGGGTGAGAAGAGCCAAACTCTGCCACACACACACACACACACACACACACACACACACACACACACACACACACACAAAAGTGATGTATCTTCTCAGTCATTTCATGTATACGTGTAACTTTCTCTTTATATTATAAATTACAACATTTACAAATAAAGGAATTTATCTCCCATATTTCAAAAACATGCTGTCAAGTTTGGCTAAGTCCCCAGAAGTACACAGTCACCCTCATCTGAGACGTGTAGGACTGCAAGGGAATGTGTTTGGGGGTTTAGGAAGTCACTTATGGACACGTGAAGGTGGAGATGCCTGTTTGATGTCCCAGCAGAGAGCTGAGGAGACAACTGGACACAGGATTGTAGAGCTCAGTGGAGAGGCCTGCAGGGGACATGGGTAGGTGGGTTAAAGCCCTGAGATGAGATAAGGAAAAGCAGTGGGTGTGGACAGAGACAAGAATAAGTTCAAGATGATTTGAGTCTAATCCCGTTTTTCCATTCCGGTATTTGTGGGTTTTTTTACATTTTTGGAGGACAGGAATCCATTTAAAATTCAAATCACACCTGAGCATCACCCTCTCCTACAGGAAAAGCCACACACTTATTTGGCAAAGTATTTCAGGGGTCAGCGTCACTCTGACTGAGCTTTTCTGGTCTTATTCCTCACCTGTACATTACTGGTTGAGTCACTGTTGTTACGAGCAGGAGACACTTCACCAAGTTATCCTGAGAAGCTCCGAGTTGAGTCAGAAGGAGGTGTGGCTGATTCCCACGTGATGGTCTGGAAGCGCCAATAGGCTGTGTTGGTCTTCCTTCTCTAGAAAATTCCAGGATGGGCCGGGCATGGCGGCTCACCCTGTAATCCCAGCACTTTGGGAGGCTGAAGTGGGTAGACCATTGAGCCCAGGAATTTGAAACCAACGTGGGAGACGTGGTGAAACCGCGTCTCTACCAAAAGTATAAAAAATTAGCCAGGTCTGGTGGTGTGCATCTGTGGTCTCAGCTATTTGGGAGGCGGACTGGGGTGGATCACTGGGCCTGGGAGATGGAGGTTGCAGTGAGCCAAGATTGTGTCCCTGCACTCAAGTATGGGTGACAGAGTGACACTCTTGTCTCAAAAAAGGAAGAAAAAAGTTTCAGGACCATTCTATATACCTGAGCAAATGAAATGTCTCTTTCAATGTCTAAGGTTTTGATGGCATGAATCCTAAACATAATTATTTTCTGAGAAAAATGATTGTAATACGTTCAAAATAAACACAATTTTGAACACATAGCTATAAGTGTTTAAAACATTGAAAAAGAAGCAGCGGTACAAATGAGATCTGAGCAAATGTTTTCGTCATGAACATATGGGCTCTGCTGGAACAAGGTTCCAGGTCAATCCAGCCCATCCTTCAACATCTGCAAAGAATATTATGGACCAGAGGAACTTGAAGGGAACATTTACTTAAAAGCTCACAGCTCACTATTTAGTCAGATGACATAAAGAAAATGGAATAATAGGCTACATGAACTAAATTTTGATGTTAGCATAAAGAAAAAGTTCCTTGATATCTTTATCAAGTACACATTGAAACAAGCTAAAATCATTTATCAGGTACCAGAAAATGTTTCCAATATATGACACAGACTAGAAAGCATGCAGTCCTCAATGTAAACTAAACACAATAAATTTCAGAGAAAAACAATTTACAGTGGTTAAAAAAATATATATATATATAATAAAATGTGGGGTCAAAGAAATTTTTCAATACATATCATAGTTGGAAAACAATGATGTGACTTCGTAAGATTATACCAAAGCTTATTTGAGAAGCAGTTATTTACTTTATTTTTATTTTGTTGAGATGGAGTCTCACCCTGTAGCCCAGCTGGAGTGTAGGTGCGCCATCTCAGCTCATTGCAATGTCCGCCTCCTGGATTCAAGCGATTCTCCTGCCTCAGCCTCCTGAGTAGCTGGGATTACAGGCACTCGCCACCAAACCAAGCTAATTTCTATATTTTAGTCAAGACGAGGATTCACCATGTTACCCAGGCTGTTCTCAAATACCTTGCCTCTGGTGATCCGCCTGTTGTGGCCTCCCAAAGTGCTGGGATTACAGGTGTGAGCCACAGCACCTGGCTTTTTTTTTTTTTTTTAATTAAGAAACAAGCCGGGCTTGGTGGCTCATGACTGTAATCCCAGCACTTTGGGAGGCCGATGCAGCTGGATCGCCTCAGCCCTGGAGTTCGAGACCAGCTTGGGCAACATGGTGAAAGCCCATCTCTACTAGGAACACAAAAATTTGCCGGGTGCAATGGCGCATGGCTGTGGTCCCAGTGACTTTGGAGGCTGAAATGGGAGGATCCCTTGAACCCAGGAGGTTGAAGCTGCAGTGAGCTCTGATGCTGTCACTGCTTTCATGCCTGGGCAACAGAATGAGACCCATCTCCAATAAAAATGACAAAAGAGGAAACACATGCGTCCTGGGTCTGGGGACAGGGGGAATCTAAGGCCAATTAACACGAACCTCAGGAGGTCCTGACGATGTGTGCCCAAGGTGTTGAGGCTGCAGTTTACTTTCACACATTTTATGGACACGAGACAGCAATCAATACATAAAACATATACATTGTTCCGGTCTGGAAAGGTGGAATAACTGGAATTGGGGGGCTTCCGGGTCACAGGTAGATAACAAATGATCACATTCTTTGAGTCTTTGATCAGCCTTTCACTAAATACACAATTTATATGTGAGAGCGGGAGGAGGAATAGTCACTTACGTCTTAGACTGGAGTACAGTGGCATGATCACGGCTCCCTGCAGCCTCTACCTCCCAGGCTCAAGCCATCCTCCCAATGCAGTCTCCACAGAAGCTGAACCAGCAGACATGTGCCACCATGCCCAGCTAATTTTTGTATTTTTTGTGGAGACAGGGGTTTCACCATTCTGTCCAGGCTGGTCTTGAATACCGGGGCTCACATGACCCAGCTGTCTCAACCTCTGAAAGTGCTGGTATTACAGGCCTGAGCCACTGCATCTGGTCTCATCGCAAATTTGATATTTCTTCTTGTTTCAATTTTAGCAGAATTTACATTGCTTTGATTGAGTCTCTTTTCAAACTGATTTTACCCTTCTGAGTGCCTCAAACTAGACCCTGTTCAGACATGTTATAACAGATTTGTACCATTTTATTTTGGTGCAAAAAATGTGACATCATGCACAATTTTCTCATAACATGTATTTTTTCATGAACTTCGTGAAGACCCCTTGTACTAGCAAACTGTATTCAAGAGGATATAAAAAGGATTGTAGATATGCAAGTGCCACTTATTTCTGAGATACAAGGATGGTTCAACATATTCAAGCAAATCAATGTGATATACCACTTGAACATAATGAAAGATGAAAACCACATCATCTCAATACATGTAGAAAAAGCATTTCACAAAATTCAACATCATCATGGAAATCCTACCAAAAATAGTTAGAGAAGGAAATTTACCTCAACAGTACAAAGACAATCCATGAAACGACCACAGTGGAAATAAACAATCAGGGAAAATGGAATGCTTTTCCTGTAGGATCTCACATGATGCAAGAATGCTCTCACCCTTTCTATTCAATCAATGCTGGCTGTCCCAGCCAGAACAATGAAATAGCAATAGAAATCGAACTCATCCAAATCAGAAAGAAAGAAGTCAAATTTTATTTGTTTGTAGATGACATGATCTGTGAAGAAAATCACAGTCAACCAAAATACAACTGGAACTAATAAACATATTCAGTGTATTTGCAGAATAGAATAATAGCACCAAAAATTAGTTGAATTTCCATACATTAACATTAAATAATTTTAAAATAAAATTAAAAACCACTTCCATTTGCTAAAGAGCTTAAAGTAAGAAATATTTAGGAATAAACATATAAAGGTGAGAAGTTTGTACCTTGAAATCTACAAACATTGATCAAAATGATTAAAAACATATAAATACACATACAATCCATACTGATTGGAAAAATTAGTATTGCTCAATGATTATATAACCGAATGTGATTTAGATTCAACACAATACTCATAGAAATCCCCATAACTTTTTGTTAAAGAAACAAAAAACAGGCCAGTCACGGTGGCTCACGCCCATAATCTCAGCACTTCGGGAGGTAGAGGTGGGTGAATCATAAGATCAGAAAATCGAGACCATCCAGGCTAACACAGCGAAACCCAGTCTCTACTAAAAATACAAAAAATTATCCAGGTGTGGTGGCATGCACCTGTAGTCCCAGCTAGTCAGGAGACTGAGGCAGGAGGATCGCTTGAACCTGGGAGGCGGAGGTTGTAGTGAGTCAAGATCATGCCACTGCACTCCAACCTGGATGACAGAGCAAGAGACTCCATCTCAAAAACAAAAACAAAAAAAAGAAAAAAGAAAGAAAGAATAGAAATGAAAACACAGGCTGGGAAAAGTGGCTCCCGTCTGTTGGCCA
Organism: Homo sapiens; assembly: GCF_000001405.40. NCBI lineage: Eukaryota > Metazoa > Chordata > Mammalia > Primates > Hominidae > Homo > Homo sapiens. The sequence continues at coordinate 52,798,210 of NC_000019.10, forward strand.
GGCTGTTCTCAAACTCTTAACCTCCAGTGACCTACCAGTCTTGGCCTCTCAAAGTGCTGGCATTGCAGGCGTGAGCCACAGTGCCCAGCCCAGTCCTCTTAACATAAACAGTTTAATGTCAATTAATGCTTAAACTCAATGTTAAGTCAACTCAAACTCAGGTCAGTGCTCATTTAACTGTAATGTCAATTAATGCTTGATGGCTTGCTATACTAATGGCATTTGAAACAACTGTCTCCAAAAGGAATTGTCTGATGGTCTGCAAGGAGTGATCTCGGACTGAAGACCTTACCACACTGATGACATTTGTAAGATTTCTGTCCAGCATGGATTCTCTGATGTCTATTGAGGTGTGAATGTGAAGTAAACGCTTTGCCACAATCATCACACTTGTGAGTTTCTCTCCTGTATGAATCCTCCTATGTTTTGCATAGGATGAAACTTGACTGAAGACCTTGCCACAATCATGACATTTATAAGGTTTCTCTCCAGCATGAGTTCGATGATGAATAGCAATATATGAACGATATCTGAAAAATCTGTCACATTTATTACACTTGTAAGATCTCTCATTATGGATTCTCCAATGATTTGCAATGGTTGTAGCATTACTGAAAACTTTGTGACAATCATTATATTAGTCAAGTTTCCCTATACTATGGATTGCTTGATGGTGAATAAGTGGTGACTGCCCACTAAAGGCTTTGCCACACTCATTGCACTTGTAAGGTTTCTCTCCAGTGTGAATTCTAGTATGGTGTGCCAGGTGTGAATCACTCCCAAAAGCCTTGTTACAAACCTTACATTTGTATGTTTTTTCTCCAGTATGAATTCTCCTGTCTTTCAAGCTGTGATTTGTGACTGACAACTTTGTCACAGTCTTCACATTTGTAAGATTTCTCTGCAGTATGAAGACTATGATGACTTGCAAGGTGTGACTGTTGATTAAAAACTATGCCACATTCATTACACTTGTAGGGTTTCTCTCCAATACGAATTGCCTTTTGAATTACAAGGTATGAATTTTGACCAAAGGTGTTGCCACACTCATCACATTTGTAAGGTTTCTCTCCAGTTTGAATTCTAATATGTTTTGCCAGGTATGAATTATATTCAAAAATCTTGTCATAAACCTTACATCTGTGTGGTTTCTCTTCAGCATGCATTTTCTTATGTGTTTCAAGGTTTGATTTGCAACCGAAAACTTTGTCACATTCTTCCTATTTGTAAAGTTTCTCTGCAGTATGAATTCTATGATGACGTGCAAGGGTTGTTTTTTGATTAAAAACCTTGCCACATTCATTACACTTGTAAAGTTTCTCTCCAGTATGAATGGCTTTGTGACTTACAAGGGTTGAATTGTGATGGAAGGTGTTGCCACACTCATTACACTTTTAAGGTTTCTCTCCACTATGAAGTCTATGATGGTATACAAGGTTTGACATCTGACTGAAGGTCTTGCCACACTCATTACACTTTCAAGGTTTCTCTCCACTATGAAGTCTATGATGGTATACAAGGTTTGACATCTGACTGAAGGTCTTGCCACACTCATTACACTTGTAAGGTTTCTCTCCAGTATGAACTCTCTGATGCTGTGCAAGGTGTGCTTGTTGATTAAAAACCTTGCCACATTCATTACACTTGTAAGGTTTCTCTCCACTATGAAGCCTATGATGGTATACGAGGGATGACATCTGACTGAAGGTCTTGCCACACTCATTACACTTGTAAGGTTTCTCTCCAGTATGAAGCCTACGATGGATTATAAGCGATGATGTCTGACGGAAGGTCTTGCCACACTCATTACACTTGTAAGGTTTCTCTCCAGTATGAACTCTCTGATGTTGTGCCAGGTGTGAATCCCTCCGGAAAGCCTTGTCACAAACCTTACATTTGTACGGTTTCTCTCCAGTATGAATCCTCCTATGTCTTTCCATGTGTGATTTGCGACTGAAAACTTTCTCACATTCTTCACATTTGTACGGTTTCTCTGCAGTATGAAGTTTATGATGACATGCAAGGTTTGCTTTTGTACTAAAAACCTTGCCACATTCATTACACATGTATGGTTTCTCTCCAGTATGAACTCTCTGATGTTCTGTAAGGCATGAATCACTCCGGAAAGCCTTGTCACAAACCTTACATTTGTATGGTTTCTCTCCAGTATGAATCCTCCTATGTCTTTCAAGGTGTGATTTGCACCTGAAAACTTTGTCACATTCTTCACATTTGTATGGTTTCTCTGCAGTATGAAGTCTATGATGGCGTGCAAGAGTTGATTGTTGATTAAAAACCTTGCCACATTCATTACACTTGTAAGGCTTCTCTCCAGTGTGAATTATACTATGTTTTGCCAGGTATGAATTATATGCAAAAGCCTTGTCACAAACCTTACATTTGTATGGTTTCTCTCCAGTATGAATCCTCTTATGTCTTTCAAGATGTGATTTGCGACTGAAAACTTTTTCACATTCTTCACATTCATAAGGTTTCTCTCCAGTATGAAGCCTACGATGGCGTGCAAGGGTTGACAGTCGATTAAAAACCTTGCCACATTCATTACACTTGTAAGGTTTCTCTCCAGTGTGAATTATAGTATGTTTTGCTAGGTATGAATTACATGTGAAAGCTTTGTCACAAACCTTACATTTGTATGGTTTCCCTCCAGTATAAATTATCTTATGTGTTTCAAGGTGTGATTTGCGACTGAAAACTTTGTCACATTCTTCACATTCATAAGGTTTGTCTGCAGTATGAAGCGCCTTGTGAAGGAAGAGGGATGTATTGTGACCAAAGATCTTGCCACACTCATTACACTTGTAAGGTTTCTCATCAATGTGAGATCTACGATGGCATGCAAGGTATCGCTTCTGATTAAATACCTTGCCATATACATCACATTTACATTGTTTCTCTTCTAAGTGGGTTATCTGATGTTTTTTTAAAAGTGAGCTACAATTAAAGGATTTGCCACTCTCAATACATTGGAAAGATTTTTCTCTCATGTGTACATTCCGTTTTTGTGTGAGTAATGAAGAATGGAGGGAATTATTTCCATACTTATTAGAAATATGGGTTTTGGGCCTACAACAAATTCTTTGGGATGTTGAAACTGAGGAAGCATTGTTGATAGACTTCTCAACTTGATTACCAATTTTCCCTTCAGGCTGAAATATGTGCAGTTCAGGCAGATGCGAATGAAAGCTTAATCCAAGCTGATCTTTAATATGCTTGTTTCCAGCATGCCTTTGATCATGTTGGCCTGTACTACCAGTCAACTCTTTGATTTCTGTCATGGGTGCTGCATGGTCATTTGTTTCATCTTCTTTCCACTGAAACTGGAAGCCATGAATGTCTTTCTCAATTTTCTGGAAGCAAAAATCTCCAATGTGATGACTTGCTTGTCTTTGCAATGTCCCTGTGTGGAACGCTTCTGTATTGCCTTGCCCTGTTGAGAAGAATGTCTTCATCATGCATTTGGAAGAGATATCTACAAAATATAAACACCAATAGGTTTCCAATGAAGTACAGATGGTGTATAATACTGAAATGTGTAAATATGACACAAAAAACAATACTTATTTTAAACTTCCCAAACATGATCTTCAAAGTTTAAGAACACAAAAGGAGTAAGATTCTTTAATAAATAAAGGGCGATTATATGTCTTTCAAATCAATTCCATGAAAGTCTATTTCCTATATCATGACAAAACACTGACAGGGCACAAACATGTGTGAGCCTAAAGTAAGGAGTGTTTTTCCACTGTGACCCTAAAGTGTATCACACTTTGCAAAAAACACATCACTATCACATCAAAAAAAGAAAAATATATATTCTTCATATTTACAGCGTATTTAGTGTATACAAATAAATGCTAAAGAACCACACAATATACTATATTGGTAAATAATCCAAAACAAGCTGTTGTAAGGATAACCAAAATCAATGGAAATTCTGTATTGTCAAACAATCATAGCACTGACAAGATAACAAAAGATTATAAAAATTAGCCAGGTATGGTGGCCCGTGCCTGTACTCACAGCTACTCTGAAGGCTGTGTCACAAGAATTGCGTTAAGCCAAAGGCAAAGGTTGCTGTAAGCCAATATTACACCACTGCACTCCAGCCCAGGTGACAAAATGAGCCTCCATCTCAAAAAAACAAAAAAACAAACAACAAAAAAAGGCAGGGCATGGTGGCTCATGCCTGTAATCCCAGTACTTCTAGAGGGCAAGGCAGGCAGATCACCTCACGTCAGGAGTTTGACCAGCCTGGCCAATGTGGCAAAACCCCATCTGTACTGAAAATACAAAAAGTAGCTGGCATGGTCACAGGTGCCTGTAATCCCAGCTACTTGGGAGGCTGAGTCAGGATAATCGCTTGAACTTGGGAGGCAAAGATTGTGGTGAGTTGAGATCGCACCACTGCACTCCACCCTGGATGACAGAGTGAGACTCCATCTCAAAAAAAGGAAAATGTTAATACCATATTTTTCCAAATAACTGTTACAAAATTACCTATATCCATGTGGAACAGGCACGTTGTGACTTTTTTTTTTTTTTTTTGCGACGAAATCTTGCTCTGTCGCCCAGGCTGGAGTGCAGTGGCATGATCTCGGCTCACTGCAAGCTCCACCTCCCGGGTTCACGCCATTCTCCTGCCTCAGCCTCCCCAGCAGCTTGGACTACAGGCACACACCGCCATGTCCAGCTAACTTTTTTGTATTTTTAGTAGAGACAGGGTTTCACTGTGTTAGCCAGGATGGTCTCGATCTCCTGACCTTGTGATCCCCTTGCCTCAGCCTCCCAAAGTGCTGGGATTATAGGCATGAGCCACCGCACACGGCCGACTTTTAAAAAAAATTTTATGTATTTTTATTTTTTTGAGATACAGTGTCACTCTGTCACCCAGGCTGGAGTGCAATGGTATGATCTTGGCTCAATGCAACCTCTGCCTTGGGGTTCATGTGAGTCTCTTCCTTAGGTTCTGAGCACCTGGGAATGCAGGCACATGCCACTGTGCCCGGCTAATTTTTGTATTTTTAGTAGAGATGGGGTTTGGTGAAACCTGTTGGCCAGGCTGGTCTCGAACTCCTGACCTCAGATGATCCACACATCTCAGCCTCCCAAGACCTGGGATTACAGGCATGAGCCACTGCACCCTGTGGCACTTTGTGACATTATCTAGGGGAGTGTCAGTTATATTGCATACCACATACCGAAAACTCACATATAAAGTCATAAAAATCAATTAATCAAATATTGCAACCCATGATAAAACAAGCAAGAAAATAACAAGTAGATTTATACAGACTGAAGAATTCTAAACAATTCCCTCTTAAGAAAAAAGCCAAAACTTGTACTTACCACCAGCACACAACATAAGAACTGAAATAGATGTTAAGATCACTACTTTCTGATATATGAGGTCAAGAAAGTATACAGCATTATAAAGAATGAGAATTGACTAACAGCCAGGCACGGTGGCGCATGCCTGTAATCCCAGCACTTTGGTAGGCTGAGGCAGGTAAATCAGGAGTTCGAGACCAGCCTGGGCAACATGGTGAAACCCCATCTCTACTAAAAATACAAAAAAATTAGCTGGGTGTGGTGGAGGGTGCCTGTAATCCCAGGTACTTGGTAGTCTGAGGCAGAAAACATTTGTACCCAGAAGGTGAAGGTTGCAGTGAGCTGAGATCATGCCACTGCATTCCAGCCTGGGCAACAGGATGAGACTCCATCTCAAAAAAATAAAATAAGATAAATAACTACTTCTCAAATAAGCTTTGGTAGATGTGGTATTCTCTAATAGGATGTTCCTGCAGATGCAGACCTTGAGAGAATTTAGCATGGGTGTCGACTACTCATGAATAGGACTAGTGCATTTATAGAGACATTAAAGAGCGTGTTGCCTGTTCCTCTTTTCACTGTATTAGGACACAGCAGGAATATGGCTGGTCTAAAGCATGAAGAAGGCTGTCACCAGGAACCAATTTGGCTGGCACCTTGCTCTTGGATTTCCCACTTTCCAAATTCATGAGAAATCAATGTCTTTGTCTTAAGCCTCCCAGTTTAAGCAATTTCCTTTTTTGTTTGTTTTTGAGATGGAGTCATGCTCTATCACCCAGGCTGGAGTGTAGTGGCATGATTCTCCTACCTCAAGTGATTCTCCCTCCTCAGCCCAGTCTTACTCTGTCTCCCGGTCTGGAGTAGAGTAGCGTGATCTTGGCGCACTGCAACCTCCACCTCCTGGGTTCCAGTGATTCTCCTGCCTCAACCTCCCAAGTAGCTGGGATTACAGGCGCACGCCACCATACACAGCTAATTTTTGCATTTTTAGTAGAGACAGGGTTTCACCATATTGGCCAGGCTTGTCTCAAACTCGTGACCTCAAGTGATCAACCGATCGCAGTCTCCCAAAGTGCCAGGATTACAGGTGTGAGCCACTGCACCTAGCCCATTTTTGGCATTTAGTAAATTCGAGGTTTCACCATGTTGGCCAGACTGGTCTCAAACTCCTGACCTCAAGCGATCTACCCACCTTGGTCTCTGAAAGTGCTGGGATTAGAAAAGTGAGACATCACAGCTGGCCAGTCTAAGCTATTTCTAACAGGACAGTGAAATGACAGAGACAGGAGAAAGAGCATCTCATCATCAACATCACCAAAGGCTGACAAATCTTATTAAACAAAGGAAGTTAAGAGTCTGTACTGTAAAACTTGCAATACTTGAAGCCATCTAATAGCACTAACATGTTTTAAAAAACTTGAGACAGGCCAGGTGCGGTGGCTCATGCCAGTAATCCCAGCATTTTGGGAGGCTGAGGTGGGAGGATCACAAGGTCAGGAGATTGAGACCATCCTGCCTAACAAGCTGAAATTCTGTCTCTACTAAAAAAATACAAAAAATTAGCCCGCGGTGTTGGCACTCACCTGTAGTCCCAGCTACTTGGAAGGCTGAGGCAGGAGAATTGCTTGAACCTGGGAAGTGGAGGTTGCAGTGAGCCGAGGTGACACCACTGCACTTTAGCCTGGGTGACAGACCGAAAATCTGTCTCAAAGAAAAAAAAAAAAGAAATGAAAGAAGGCTAAAGAGTAACTCCAACCCACAAGCATATATAAAGTTCTCCAGGCCTGGTGTGGTGGTTCACGCCAATAATCCCAGCACTTTGGGAGGCTGAGGCTGGCAGATCACCAGGTCAGGAGATTGAGACTATCCTGGCCAACCAACATGGTGGAACCCCATCTCTACTAAAAATACAAAACTTAGCTGGGTGTAGTGGTGCACACTTGTAGTTGCAGCTACTCGGGAGGCTGAGGAAGGAGAATTGCTTGAACCCAGAAGGTGGAGGTTGCAGTGAGCAGAGATCACACCACTGCACTCCGGCCTGGGCGACAGAGTGAGACTCCATCTCAAAAATAATAATAATAAAAATAAATAAATAAATAAATAAATAAAGTTCTCCAGTAAAGGTAGTAAAAACAGATAGGCCAAGCATCGTGGTTCATGCCTGTAATCCCAACACTTTGGGAGGATGAGCTGGGCAGATCACCTGAGGTCAGGAGTTCGAGTCCAGCCTGGCCAACAAAAAGAAACAGTCTCTACTAAAAATACAAAATTAGATGGGTGTGGTGGTGCATATCTGTAATCCCAGCTTCTCAGGGGCCTGAGGCAGGAGAATCGGTTGTACCCGAGAGGCAGAGGTTGCAGTGAGCTGAGATCGCAGCATCGTACTTCAGCCTGGGTGACAACAGCAAAACTCAGTCTCATAAATACATAAAGTAATTAATTAATAAAAGGACAGATACAGAAACTGGCATATGTATACCTTCATAACTAAACTTTTTTCATATTTAAAATAAAAGGCATGAAAAACACTGTACATATATGTTAACAAAAATGCAACATACACAGAAATAATTCTGACAAATAAAAAAATGTTCTAGTGGAGAAGAAGAAGTCATTTTTGCAGGTTACAGAATTTTTTTTTTCTTCTTTTGAAACAGAGTTTCACTCTGTCTCCCATGCTGGAGTGCAACGGTGCGATCTCGGCTCACTGCAACCTCTGCCTTCCAGATTCAAGTGGCTCTCCTGCCTCAGCCTCCTGAGTAGCTTGGATTACAGCCACCCACCACGGCGCCTGGCTAATTTTTGTAACTTTAGTAGAGACGAAGTTTCAACATGTTAACCAGGCTAGTTTTGAACTCCTGACTTCAGGTGATATGCCCATCTCAGCCTCTCAAAGTGCTGGGATTACAGGTGTCAGCCACTGCACACGTCCAGGTTATGGTAATTTTAAGTTTCTTTATTATGCTATAACTTTAATATGTTTAACATACCTGCAACAATAACCTCTGCCCAAATATCTAAAGAACTACAAGACAAAACTATTTAAAATAATAACAATGGTTAGGCATGGCAGCTCATGCCTACGGTCCCAGTGTTTTGGGAATCTGAGGCAAGTGGGTCACTTGAGATCAGAAGTTTGAAACCAGCCTGGCCAACATGGTGAAACACTGTCTCTACTAAAAACACAAAAATTAGCTGGGCATGGTGGTGAGCGCCTGCAGTTCCAGCTACTCAGGAATCTGGGGCATAAGCATCCTTTGAGCCCAGGAGGCAGAGGCTGCAGTTAGCCAAGATCGTACCAGTGCACTGTAGCCTGGGCAACAGAGTGAGACTCTGTCATAAAAAAAGAGAGAAAGAAAGAATAGAAAGAAAGAGCAGAGAGATAAGCGGGGGCAAAGAAAGATATCTTTTCAGAGATGTGAGGATTTAAACTTTTCTTTTGCCACAGAATTCTCCCACTTGCAGAGAGTTTCCCCACACACTATTTGAAGGTGGAGCTTCCACTCTGCCCATCTGAGCTCTTACCTGCGTTTGCACCTGTAATACATTCCCACCCATCTGGATTTTTTTGTTATTTTCACTTAACTCTCCACAGTCCAGGGCTCTTTCCCTTGCTCCAACATGGAGACAGCAGGTCAGAAAGAGACTCCTGCTTATAAAAAGAAAGGACCATAACATGCTGGAGCTTTTCTAGAGTCCCAGCCCTATGTTTCTGTAGGAAAGAAGACATTACAGATGAATCTAGGAAAATATTTCACAAATTCCTCCACTGACTGCCTCATTCTGAATGCTTGGGGAGCACTGTAATATGTAGTATGTGGACATCGAGCTCTCTTCCAAGAACTACAGAATCGAAAGCACAGGAGAAGCAAACAGGGAACTGGATATCTTTAAAGTCTGCCATAAGGTTTGTTTTTGTCTTTGTTTTTTGAGACAGAGTCTTGCTCTGTCGTCCGGGCTGGAGTGCAGTGGTGTGTTCTCAGCTCAATGCAAAACTTGGCCTCCTGGGTTCAAGTAATTCTCTTTCCTCAGCCTCTCTAGGAGCTGGGATTACACATATGCATCACCATGCCCGGCTAACTTTTGTATTTTTAGTACAGACAGGGTTTCTGCATGTTGGCCATGCTGGTTTTGAACTCCTCACCCATAGCGATCCACACGCCTTGGCCTCCCAAGGTGCTGGGATAACAGGCGTGAGCCACCACGACCAGGCTGCCATAAAGTTTTATGCCTACTTTACTTCTGGAAGCTCCACTGAGCTATCATGAAGAATGCAGAACCTCTAAACAAAGGGGACAGTGAAAGTCCAGATGCTACATCATGAAGCTTTTCATTTCAAAATCAATACGGCTTCCATTTTAGTCAAGTAAGGATGTGGCTCCCAAGAGGCAACAAGAGAAAATACAAAGATACACAAGGGCACATCCCCAGGAGGTTATCCTCACCCAGGGAGACCAGGTTCCTATAATTCTCCAGCATCACATCCCTGTAAAGAGTCCTCTGAGCAGGGTCCAGGCATTTCCACTCCTCCTGAGAGAATTCTATGGCCACGTCCCTGAATGTCAATAGACCCTGAAATGGAAACACATTTTAACCAAATGGTTATGGTGGAGTTCTTATCTTTACAGAAAATGACAAGAGAGGGGGAAAGCATGGATTTAGTTGTAGTGAATGTTCTCACAAATCCGAGTGACGGATTTTTCACCACATGATGTTTTTATTATACTTTTTGAAGTGATCAAGACACACTTTCAGTATGAAATTCCTAAGTTTGTGAAAAATTCAAGAAATAAATAAAAAATCAGTGTTGGATTCCTGTTATAAAAATGTTTGAAACTTTTATAGACACACCAAGTGACATTCATTATCTAGATGAGAGAGAGCATGACTGATGTCTTAAAAGATGACAATGTCCACAGTAAGAGACAGGCTGGGCACAGTGACACATGTCTGTAATCCCAGCTACGCAGGAGGCTGAGGCAGAATTGCCTGATCCTGGGAGGCAGAGGTTGCAGAGATCCCAGACAGTGTCACTGCACTCCAGCCTGGGCAACAGAAACTCCATCTCAAAAAAAAAAAAATTAAAAAAAAAAACAAAAAACATTAGCTGGACCTGGTGGCAGGCACCTGCGGTCCCAGCTACTTGGAAGGCTAAGGAGGGAGGATGGCTTGACCCTGAGGGTGGAGGTTGCAGTGAGCTGTGATCCCACCAGGGCACTCAAGCCTGGGCAACAAACCGAGACCCCATCTCAAAATAAAATAAAATACGTGAAAACAAAATTACTCAAAGTACAAAAATCAATTGTGTTTCTAAATTTTCACAAAATAATAAAACCTAGAGACTCACAAAACACTAGATGTGAATACAAAGGGTTGTCATTTGTCCCAGATTTTCAAAATATAAAAGATTTTCAAAATATATACAGATGTGTGTATATATGTATTTGTATGTATATGTGTGTGCATGTGTGTGGGGATATATATGTACATATATGAAGTTTTAAAAAATATAAAAAGTAGCAAGTTTTGTTTAACTGAAGAGGAATCTCATCTTGCTGGAAAAGGACACTTGGGCAGTTGCGGGCAGGGGGAATCTTGTCAGATCTAAGAAAATGGAAATGCCCCATCCTAGAAGAAGCAATCACCCTTTCAACTGCCTGACCTGGAGGAATGTTCAGATATCTGTAGTAATGCGGACGTGCACAGAGGCAGCCACTATGGCACTCTTTATACAGGGAAAAGTTGCAAAGGACACATGTGTTGTCATTCAGCCAATTTCCAATGCAGATGTCAAAGAGCAAGCTAGCCATGTTTACTAACATGACAACATGTAAATTCACAACTAGCAGGATGAAATATCGAACTAAAATATTTACTGGAACACAAAGAAGAAAATAGACACTGGCGTCTACTTGAGGGTGGAGGGTGGGAGGAAGGAGAGAAACAGAAAACATAACTATTATGGGCCTGGCGCGGTGGCTCACGCCTGTAATCCCAGCACTTTAAGAGGTCAAGGCGGGTGAATAACCAGGTCAAGAGTTCAAGACCAGCATGGCCAAGATAATGAAAGCCCTTCTCTACTAAAAATACAAAAAATAGCCAGACGTGGTGTTGGCTGCCTGTAATCTCAGCTACTCGAGAGGCTGAGGCAGCAAAACGCTTTAACCCAGGAGGAGGGGGTTGCAGTGAGCTGAGATCATGCCACTTCACTGCAGCCTGGGTGACAGAGCGAAAAAAAAGGAGCCCAGTCTGAGCGGCGAAGGCGGCGGCGGCGGCGGTGGCGGTGGTGGCAGTAGCACTGGGCCTGCGGGCGGTCCGGGATCCAGGCCGGGGCGGCGCCATCTTGTGCCCGGGGCCGGTGGGGAGGCCGGGGAGGTTGCCCCGGGGGGCGCAGGGGACGATGGGAACGGCCTGGAGTCTGAGGAACTGGAGCCTGAGGAGCTGCTGTTGGAGCCGGAGCCCGAAGAGGAGCCGCTCCAGCCCCGCGCCCCATGCCTGGGAGCTCCAGGACCTGGGCCTCGTTCAGGAGCCACCGGCAGCCAAGAGGAGGGGGAGGAGCCGGGACTGGTCGAGGGTGACCCGGGGCTGGAAGCTATCGAAGCTGGAGTCAGGGAGGTGGAGGAAGAAGCTGAGAAGCTAAAGGAGCTACAGAACGACGTAGAGAAGCAGAGGAATATGAGTCTACCTCCAGGCAATGCTGGCCCAGTGATCACGTCCATTGAGGAGAAGATGGAGGCTGATGCCCGTTCCATCAATGCTGGCAATGTGGACTGCGGTGCAACAGCAGAAGAGCTGGAAGCTCACTTTCATGGCTGTGGTTCAGTCAACCACGTTACCATACTCTGTGACAAATTTAGTGGCCATCCCAAAGGGTTTGCATATATAGAGTTCTCAAAGAGTCAGTGAGGACTTCCTTGGCCTTGGATGAGTCCCTATTTAGAGGAAGGCAAATCAAGGTGATCCCAAAGCGAACCAACAGACCAGGCATCAGCACAACAGACCGGGGTCTTCCACGAGCCCGCTACCGCGCCCGACCACCAACTACAGCAGTTCCTGCTCTCCATTCTACAGTGGTTTTAACAGCAGGCTCTGGGGTCGCGTCTACAGGGGCCGGGCTAGAGCGACATCACGGTATTCCCCTTACTAAAAAAAATGTGTATTAGGAGAGAGAGGAAAAAAAGAGGAAAGAAGGGGAAAAAAAAAGAATAAAAAAAAACCCAAAAAAAACAGAAGATGACCTTGATGGAAAAAAATATATATATATTTTTAAAAAAAGAGTCCCTCTCCCTCTCCCTCTCCCCCTCCCCCTCCCCCTCCCCCTCCCCCTCCCCCTCCCCCTCCCTCTCCCTCTCCCTCCACAGTCTCCCTCTGATGCCGAGCCAAAGCTGGACGGTACTGCTGCCATCTCGGCTCACTGCAACCTCCCTGCCTGATTCTCCTGCCTCAGCCTGCCGAGTGCCTGCGATTGCAGGCACGCGCCGCCACGCCTGACTGGTTTTCGTTTTTTTTTTTGGTGGAGACGGGGTTTCGCTGTGTTGGCTGGGCTGGTCTCCAGCTCCTAACCACGAGTGATCCGCCAGCCTCGGCCTCCCGAGGTGCCGGGATTGCAGATGGAGTCTCGTTCACTCAGTGCTCAATGGTGCCCAGGCTGGAGTGCAGCGGCGTGATCTCGGCTCACTACAACCTCCACCTCCCAGCCGCCTGCCTTGGCCTCCCAAAGAGCCGAGATTGCAGCCTCTGCCCGGCCGCCACCCCGTCTGGGAAGTGAGGAGCGACTCTGCCTGGCCGCCCATTGTCTGGGATGTGAGGAGCCCCTCTGCCTGGCTGCCCAGTCTGGAAAGTGAGGAGCGTCTCTGCCCGGCCGCCATCCCATCTAGGAAGCGAGGAGCGCCTCTTCCCCGCCGCCATCCCATCTAGGAAGTGAGGAGCGTCTCTGCCCGGCCGCCCATCGTCTGAGATGTGGGGAGCACCTCTGCCCCACCGCCCTGTCTGGGATGTGAGGAGCGCCTCTGCTGGGCCGCAACCCTGTCTGGGAGGTGAGGAGCGTCTCTGCCCGGCCGCCCCGTCTGAGAAGTGAGGAAACCCTCTGCCTGGCAACCGCCCCGTCTGAGAAGTGAGGAGCCCCTCCGTCCGGCAACCACCCCGTCTGGGAAGTGAGGAGCGTCTCCGCCCGGCAGCCGCCCCGTCCGGGAGGGAGGTCGGGGGGGTCAGCCCCCCGCCCGGCCAGCCGCCCCGTCCGGGAGGTGAGGGGCTCCTCTGCCCGGCCGCCCCTACTGGGAAGTGAGGACCCCTCTGCCCGGCCAGCCGCCCCGTCCGGGAGGGAGGTGGGGGGGACAGCCCCCCGCCCGGCCAGCCGCCCTATCCAGGAGGTGAGGGGCGCCTCTGCCCGGCCGCCCCTACTGGGAAGTGAGGAGCCCCTCTGCCTGGCCAGCCGCCCCGTCCGGGAGGGAGGTGGGGGGGACAGCCCCCCGCCCGGCCAGCCGCCCTATCCAGGAGGTGAGGGGCGCCTCTGCCCGGCCGCCCCTACTGGGAAGTGAGGAGCCCCTCTGCCTGGCCAGCCGCCCCGTCCGGGAGGGTGGTGGGGGGGTCAGCCCCCCGCCCGGCCAGCCGCCCCATCTGGGAGGTGAGGGGCGCTTCTGCCCGGCCGCCCCTACTGGGAAGTGAGGAGCCCCTCTGCCCGGCCACGACCCCGTCTGGGAGGTGTGCCCAGCGGCTCATTGAGAACGGGCCATGATGACAATGGCGGTTTTGTGGAATAGAAAGGCGGGAAGGGTGGGGAAGAAATTGAGAAATCGGATGATTGCCGGGTCTGTGTGGATAGAAGTAGACATGGGAGACTTTTCATTTTGTTCTGTACTAAGAAAAATACTTCTGCCTTGGGATCCTGTTGATCTGTGACCTTATCCCCAACCCTGTGCTCTCTGAAACATGTGCTGTGTCCACTCAGGGTTAAATGGATTAAGGGCGGTGCAAGATGTGCTTTGTTAAACAGATGCTTGAAGGCAGCATGCTCCTTAAGAGTCATCACCACTCCCTAATCTCAAGTACCCAGGGACACAAACACTGCGGAAGGCCGCAGGGACCTCTGCCTAGGAAAACCAGAGACCTTTGTTCACTTGTTTATCTGCTGACCTTCCCTCCACTATTGTCCTATGACCCTGCCAAATCCCCCTCTGCGAGAAACACCCAAGAATGATCAATAAAAAAAAAAAAAAAAAAAAAAAAAGTTTTAAGTGTGCTGTGTAGAGAGTGGCATGCTTGGATGACATAAACTGGGCAAGCCTTTGAGGAAATGCATCACCCTGATTACTATAGTTTTAAGGCTACTTAAAAGGTCCCTATGTCCAAAGAATACCCTCTCTGCTCACTGGATAGCAGGTGAAATTCCACAATCTGAGCTTCAATCCTTGAGGTTAATGCTTAGTAATAAAGTTAAACTAAACTATCACCCAATTTAAGCAATTTATACATTGTGAAAAGAGAACAATGCAACTCAGATGAAATTTTCCTAAATCTCCAGTTGTGGTAATCTTGGTTAATGCTTTATTGTCACTATACCAATACTTTTGCATGTATTTAAAATGACGCTACTCATAGTAATTGCTTATCTGCTCAGTGGAGCAATTTAGGACTACCCAGCAGTCTTTTAAAACCTTGGCATTTATGAAGATTAAAAACTTGAATGGTGAAAAAAAAAAAAAAAAAAAAAAGACATACTGTGGAAGGACAGAGAATCCCTAACAAACTGCTGAGGAGGGACCTGTTTTGGGGAGCAGGGGAAGGCCCAGGGAGTGGGGCAGGGGGCGGCTTATTCACTCTGGGGATTCGCCATGGACACGTCTCAACAGTGCAAGCTGCTCCCCGTGTTTCCCTGCCCCACTTCGCCCCCGTAGGGGCTGCTCCAGGGTAGGCGGGCGGGGGTGGTAGGAGGTTTTTTTTTTTACCCAGGGCTCTGGAAGGACACCAGACTGTTCGGCTTGTCACCTTCCCTCCGTCTTCTCCTCACCTTTCACAGTCCCCTCCTGCCTGCTCCTGTCCCTCCAGGTCTACCACCCACCCCACCCCTCTTCTCTGGCCCCCTGCCCCTCCAGATTGCCTGGTGATCTATTTTGTTTCCTTTTGTGTTTCTTTTTCTGTGTTGAGTGTCTTTGTTTACAGGTTTCTGCAGCCAGAAGATCTCCGTTCCGCTCCCAGCAGCTCCACTGTAAATTCCCCTTCCCCATGGGGAAATGCACTACCTTGTTTTGGGGGGTTTAGAGGTGTTTCTGTTTTTCAGTTTTTTGTTTTGTTTTGTCTTCCTTTGCCTTTTTTCCCTTTTATTTGGAGGGAATAGGAGGAAGTGGGAACAGGGAGGTGGGAGATGGACTCTGTTTATTTTTTTAAGCTCATTTCCAGGGGTGGGAATTTTTTTTAATATGTGTCATGAATAAAGTTGTTTTTGAAAATAAAAATTGTTTGGACTTTTACAAAAAAGAAAAAACTTTTTTAAGTTACTACAGAATTTCTTCTAAAGCCTCATAATGCTGCAGAAATACACGTGTACAAGACTTGCTCTGACACCTGGCACAGAACTGACAGTAACGGCTCCCCAGGGAGGCTGGAAGGAGGATGGAGGACGTGACAGGGAAAGGAGATGCTTTATGGCCAAGGGTCTAAGCTGCAGCTTTCTTGGAGCGTTACCACCAAACAAATATACACATCGTGTGATGTTTAAATATAACCATATATATTTAATAACAATTGGTGGGGCTGGGCATGATGGCTCGTGTCTGTAATCCCAGCATTCTGTGAGGCTGAAGCAGGCGGATCACCTGAGGTCAGGAGTTCAAGACCAGCATGGCCAAAATGGTGAAACACCGTCTCTCCTAAAAATACAAAAAAAATTAGCCACGGGTGATGGCACGTGACTATAATCCCAGCTACTTAGGAGGCTAAAACAGGAGAATCACTTGAACCTGGGAGGCAGAGGCTGCAGTGATCCGACATCACACCACTGCATTCCAGCCTGGACAACCGAGACTTTGTCTCAAAAAGAAAAAAAAAAGCTGGGCGAGGTGGCTCACGCCTGTGATTTCAAAACTTTGGGAGGCTGAGGTGGGCAGATCACGAGGTTAGGAAATGAAAACCATCCTGGCTAAAAAGGTGAAACCCCATCACTACTGAAAATACCAAAAAATTATCTGGACATGGTGGCACTCGCTTGTATTCCCAGTTACTCAGGAGCCTGAGGCAGGAGACTCGCTTGAACCAGGAAGGCAGAGGCTACAGTGAGCCAAGATCACACCACTGCGCTCCAGCCTGGGCAACAGAGCCAGACCTTGTCTCAAAATAAAATAAATATATGAAAACAGAATTACTCAAAGTACGAAAATCTTTTTTTGCATATATATGCCCCAAAAATAATAAAACCTTCAAAGACTCACAAGAAATTAGATGTTAATAACAAAGTGGTCATTTTCCCCAGACTTTCAAAGTATACATGTGTGTATATATGTATGTATATGTATAGATATGTGTGTATGTGTGTGTATATATATATTTATATATATATATAAAGGTTTTTAAAATATAAAAAGTAGCAAGATTTGTTTAACCGAAGAGGAATCTTGCCTTGGTGGAAAGGATACTTTGGCAGTGGGAGGAAGGAGAGGAGCAGAAAAAATAACTATTGGGCCCGGGCACAGTGGCTCACACCTGTAATCTCAGCACTTTGGGAGGCTGAGGCTGCTGGATCACCTGAAGACAGGAGTTCAACATCAGCCTGGCCAACATGGTGAAACTCTTGTCTCTATTAAAAATACAAAAATTAGCCAGGTATAGTGGCAAGCACCTGTAGTCCCAGCTACTCGAGAGTCTGAAGCAGGAGACACACTTGAACCCGGGAGGTAGAGGTTGCAGTGAGCCGAGATCATGCCATAATACTCCAGTCTGGGCAACAAGATCATAACTCAGTCTCAAAAAAATAAATAAAAAAAATAACTGTCTGGGCGTGGTGGCTCACGCCTGTAATCCCAGCACTTTGGGAGGCCGAGGCGGGCGAATCATGAGGTCAGGAGATCGAGACCATCCTGGCTACCACAATGAAACCCCATCTCTACTAAAAATACAAAAAAATTAGCTGGGTGTGGTGGCAGGTGCCTGTGGTCCCAGCTACTCGGGAGGCTGAGGCAGGAGAATGGTGTGAACCCAGGAGGCGGAGCTTGCAGTGAGCCGAGATTGCACCACTGCACTCCAGCCTGGGCGACAGAGCGAGGCTCCATCTCAAAAAAAATAAATAACTATCGTGTACTGGCCTTGACAACGGTGTGATGAAATAATTGGTACAACAAACTCCAATGACGTGAGTTTGCCTCTGTAACAAACCTTCACATGTAGCCCCAAACGTAAAGTAAAAAAAAATACATAAAAATTTTTCTTTAATTTACAACAGAATTTTTTTTAAAGTCTCATAATGATGCAGAAATACACGTGTACGAGACTCGCTCTGACAGCTAACACAGAACTGACAATAGTGGCTCGCCAGTGAGGCTGGAAGGAGGGTGGAGGATGTGACAGGGAAAGGAGATGCCTTATGGCAAAGGGTCTAAGCTGCAGCTTTGCTTGGAGTTTTACCACAAAATATATACATCATGTGATGTTTACATATAACCATTTATATTCAATAATAATTGTTGGGGCTGGGCATGGTGGCTTGCACCTGTAATCCCAACACTCTTGGGGGCTGAGGCAGGCAGACCACCTGAGGTTAGGAGTTCGAGGCCAGCCTGGCCAACATGGTGAAACCCTGTTTCTACTAAAAATACAAAAAAATTAGCCAGGCAAGCCGGGCGCGGTGGCTCAAGCCTGTAATCCCAGCACTTTGGGAGGCTGAGGTGGGAGGATAACGAGGTCAGGAGATTGAGACCATCCTGGCTAACACGGTGAAACCCCGTCTCTACTAAAAACACAAAAAATTAGCTAGGCATGGTGGCGGGTGCCTGTAGTCCCAGCTACTTGGGAGGCTGAGGCAGGAGAATGGCATGAACCCAGGAGGCAGAGCTTGCAGTGAGCCAAGATCATACCAAAGCACTCCACCCTGGGTGACAGAGTGAAAACATCATCTCAAAAAAAGAAAAAAAAAATTAGTTGGGGATGGTGGCGCGCACCTATAATCCCAGCTACTAGGTGGGTTGAGACAGAGAATCGCTTCAACCTGGGAGACAGAGGTTGTAGTAAGCTGAGATCATGCCACTGCACTGCAGCCTGGGCAACAAAGCAAGACTCCGTTTCAGAAAATAATAATAATAATAATAATAATAATAATAATAATAAAACGTGGAATGAGAATACAGCTTTATCCTCTTAGATAAAAAAGCAGTACTCTCCAATATTAGAGAAAAATTGCAACCACTTTTACCAAAAACACCTGTTTCACAAGCCTCTCCACAGTAACACCATAGTCTCCGTGAGCTCGATGTGTTAAGAATGGTTGAATGACTCTCCTGCTATTATTTACATTGATTTCATGTTCTTAAAATAATGAAGGAATAGGCCAGGAACGGTGGCTCACGCTTGTAATCCCAGCACTTTAGGAAGCCAAAGTAGGCGGATCGCCTGAGGTCGGGAGTTTGAGACCAGCCTGATCAACATGGAGAAACCTCGTCTCTACTAAAAATACAAAATTAGCTGAGCATGGTGGCGCATGCTTGTAATGCCAGCTACTCGGGAGGCTGAGGCAGGAGAATCTCTTGAACCCAGGAGGCGGAGGTTGCGGTGAGCTGAGATCACGCCATTGCACTCCAGCCTGGATAACAAGAGTGAAACTCCGCTTCAAAAAAAATAATAATAATGAAGGAATCATTAATGTATTATTCATCTATGTATGAACATTCCATTCTAATTAGTAAGATTTTTGGAGTCAGAAACACAGGAACTCACTCAATTACCTAAAAATGTGGTATAAAATCAGGGAGAAAAGATTTTCCCTTATTGGTCTCCTTTTCTAGAATTGACCACGTACTTTGTGCACATTAATACTTGACTCCCATTGGCAGCTGCTCTAATCCTGGTCCACAGAGAGCTGACAGTGCATCCAGATGTGGCCCCTGAACAAACCCTGCTGCCCAACAGCACTGACACCACGGGACCCTCACCCCGTCTCCATCCATGTCTGGGTGTGAGACCTTCCCAGGACCATGCCCAGTGCAGCCTCTCCCATGTTCATGTCACTGGGTCACCAGAGATGGAATCTAAGCGAGATGAGATGAACTGAAGGAAGGCATGGGTGAGGGTGAGCAAACATATCAGGCAGGACACTTCAGACTCAGAGAAGACTCCCAACTCCAAGGCCCAGCGTTTCTGAAAGGAAGGAGACAGAGCAATCCACCGAGAATACCATCTCACCTGAGGAAGAGCCATCCCTGACTCCTTTGCTTTCCTCTTCCTCTTCTGGGTTTCTTCCTCACGTACCAAGATTCTTTAGAAGTCAATCCTGAATGTTAAAAATATGTTGTTTATTGCTCAGAATCAACACATCCCCTCCCTGTAACACAACAACACATACAAAGGAGACTTCACCTTGAGGAAATATGGTCCCCTATGCTGCCTACCGCACCACGAACAAAAAATTCCTACAGGAAAACTCCCACTCTACTCCTGGAGAAGCCCACACACACGCTGCAGCAGTGGGGAGCTGGGCTGGGATGAGCTCCCCTTCAGGAAATCTCTACCATAAATACAAAAACTTAGCCAGATATGGTGGTGCGCATCTGTGTGTCTGTGGTCCCAGCTACTTAGGAAGCTGAGGTGGAAGGATCACTTGAGCTCAGAAGTTCGAGACCAGCCTGGCCAACATGGAGAAACCCTCTCTCTACTAAAAATATAAAAATTGGGCTGGGCTCAGTGGCTCATGCCTGTAATACCAACACTCTGAAAGGCCGAGGTGGGTGGATTACTTGAGGTCAGGAGTTCAAGAGCAGCCTGGCCAACATGGTGAAACCCTGTCTCTACTAAAAATACAAAAAGTAGCCGGGCTTGATGCGCATCTGTAATCCCAGCTACTCAGGAGGCTGAGGTAGAATTGCTTGAACCTGGAAGGTGGAGGTTGCAGTGACCCAAGATCGCGCCACTCCACTCCTGCCTGGGTGACAGAGTAAGACTCAAAAATAAAAAAATACAAATACAAATACAAAAATTAGCAGGGTGTGGTGGCACACACCTGTAATCTTAGCTACTTGGGAGGCTGAGGCACAAGAATCACTTGAACCCAGGAGATACAGGTTGCAGTGAGCCAAGATCACAAGACTGCACTCATAGCCTGGAGGACAGAATGAGAGTCTGTTTGGGAAAAAAAAAAAAAAAAAAAGTGCATTTCTGATGGGACTGACACAGAGATAAGAAGACTTGAGTAATGTGATAGACACTGATGGGCAGAGGGAACTTCAGATGGGGGTGGGAGGGCATGGGAGACAGCTCTGAGCCTAGATCTGAAGGAGAAAGGGACAGTGCCATCTTCATTTAGAAACATTGAATAAGAACAGGGACAACAACCTGAGACAGGAAGGATTTTGATGTTTGAAAAAAGAGAAAAGCAAATGTGACTGGGGCAGAGGGAGTCAGATGAGGGTAAGCTCCCAGGAGGAGGCTGGACACTGGCAGGGACCCTGAACACAGGGCTGTGGAGCCAAAGTGAAGAGTTGGGCTTTTGTCCTGGGGAACACGGGAAGCAGGTGGAGGGTTCCCTGCCAGGCACTGACATGACCTGCTTTAGATGTAGCTGTGATATTCTAATACAGACAAAGTCCTCCGAAGATGGTCTCTCTTTCTGAGTCTACCACTCTCTTTCTTCCATTCTATTGCTTTTTTTTTTCATTTTTGGGGTACTGCATCCCACTGAAAATTCTAATTACAACTGGGCACTCCCCTCTACCAGAAAAAAAGCCACACCCAGACACCCACTCTATTTTGCCAATCATTTCAGTGGCCAGGGTCACTCGGGTTGAGCTTTTCTGGTCTAGCCCCTCATCTCCAAGTTGCAGGGGAGGCTCACTGGGGCTCAGAGCTGGAAACATTTTCACGAAGTTACCCTGAGAAGGTCTGAGATGAGTGAGAAGGTGTGCCTGAATTCTTACATGGGGGCCTGGAAGGGCTAATGGGATGGACTGGTCTTATCATCCCATCCTTAAAATTAGAGAAGCATCTTTCACATGCCTGGGTTAAAGAAAATTCTTTTGAAAGGTTCTGATGAAATTGACTCCCAACATTGAATTCTTCCTTACAAGAAAATCACACTAACATTTATAAAATGCAGCAGTGTAAACACACAGCTCTTGACCTTGAAAACAGGGTCAACTGTAGAACTAAGACATAAGCAAATTATTTCAATCAAGAATACATGGGTGGACAGCTGAGGTGGTTCACACCTGTAATTCCAGCACTTTGGGAGGTGGAGGTGGGTGGATTACCTGAGGTCAGGAGTTTGAGACCAACCTGGCCAACATGGTGAAACCCTATCTCTACTAGAAATACAAAAATTAGCTGGGCTCCATCCTTGCAACTTATTTAACCTCTTTTTTTTTTTTTTTTTTTTGAGACGGAGTCTCGCTCTGTCGTCCAGGCCGGACTGCGGACTGCAGTGGCGCAATCTCGGCTCACTGCAAGCTCTGCTTCCCGGGTTCACGCCATTCTCCTGCCTCAGCCTCCCGAGTAGCTGGGACTACAGGCGCCCGCCACCGCGCCCGGCTAATTTTTTGTATTTTTAGTAGAGACGGGGTTTCACCTTGTTAGCCAGGATGGTCTCGATCTCCTGACCTCATGATCCACCCGCCTCGGCCTCCCAAAGTGCTGGGATTACAGGCGTGAGCCACCGCGCCCGGCCCTTATTTAACCTCTTGTTGGTCCTTCTCCCCAATCTTTAGATCGTCCTCAATCTCCATAGATTTCCACCTCTTCTCCCCTCTCTGCTCTCCCTGTTAAATTCTCTCTTCTCTGTTATAACCCCCTGGACCCAGTCTGGCACCCCAGATCCCCAGGTGTCCTCCCCGCTGTGCTTCTCCCTCTGTTCTCCTTGCCACCAGCACCACTCTGCTCTGTCTGACCCGGCTCCACATCCCTCCTCCTCTCCCTCACTCTGATGAGCCTCCACATTTCTGCCCCTCTCCCTACCTTGCTGTCTGTCCTTCATCTCTCTGTACATCTAGCTTTTCTCTACATTTCTCCAGTTGCTTTTCTCCTCCTGCTTTCTTATCTTTTATCACTTTTGCTGTCTCTTGGCAAATCCCTCACCATCCTCTACTTTGCCATCTGTTATGGGTCTTTCTCATTCTTCTTTTCTCTGTCTCAGGTTTTCTACTGCTCTCTTAGTCCCTCTCTCTGTCTCCTGATCCCTTTGGCCCACACGATCACACGAGGGTTTGGAGTAAGACACCTGCATCTCGGAGAAGCGCATTTTCCCAGAGCTGGAGCTGGGCGGGCAAGAACACCCCGCGTCACAGGACAAGCCCCAGGCACCTCTCCAACGCGGGCTCAGGGGAAGCGGTGACTGCGGAGGGGAGATCTGGGGAGCAGCAGGGCCCAGCAAGAGGAGGAGGGAGGTGGGGAGCGACGACGCCTTCGGACAAGGGTGGGATCCGCAGGATCCCAGGACCACAGAACGCAGCCTTCCCGGGACTGGGGTCGCCGCGCTGTGCTCCAGGAACCCAGGAGGATGAGGCTGGGAGGCGCACAGGGTGGGAATACACCTCTAGGGTGAGGACTTTAAAAAGAGCCGTGCGGAAGGAGTCAAAAAAAGGTTTTGAGCAGGAAAACTACGAGATAGGAAGTGTATACATTGCCCTGTAGCAGAAAGACCCGGGACGGGACCAGCCTCAGGGCGACTTTAAACCTAAAAAGAAGGGGCTTCCGGACTCCCAGTAGAACATCTCCATTTGCTCTGAGTGAACGAAGAAAGGGGAGAACTTCCAGGTCTAGGGGGACCCCACATCCCATGTACAGAAGTGCCGGGGACCTGGGAAGCTCAGACTTAACACCACACAGAGCAAAACTCACCGCCCGCCGCGGCGTCACCGTCATTCCACGGGATCCGCTTCCTGGTCTGCGCGAATCTGCGCGCGCAGGACAGAAACCAGGCCTGGGTGGAGCCAACGAGGAGGCGAGCGGGGCCCGGGTGAGGTGTGGGCGGGGCGCGAAGCGGCGAGACCTTGCCCTTTAGAACCCGCAGAGGGCGGGGCCGGAGCGGGACCTGTGAGTCTCAGCCTCCTCCCAGGCCATGTTCTCAGGCTTTTGAACCCGGGAGATACAGCTTGCATTGGGCCGAGATCGAGCCACTGCACACCAGCCTGGGCAACAGAGCCAGACTCCGTCTCTAAAAAAAAATAAAAAAATAAAAAAATAATAAAAAAAAAATTTGCTTGTGCGAGACAGGGATACAACATTACTCTTTTCCGTGTGGATATCCAGTTAGTTGTCCCAGCACATTTGTAAAAGAGATCTATTACTTTCTCCTTTTTATTTACATTTTTTTCTTTTCTTTTTCCCTTTTTTTTTTTTTTTTTTTTGAGGCTATTTCTCTGTCGCCCTGGCTGGAGTGCAGTGGCGAGATCTTGACTCACTGCAGCCTCTGCCTCCTGGGTTGAAGCGATTCTTCTGCCTCAGCCTCCGGAGTAGCTGGCACTACAGGCACACCCACCATGCCCGGTTAATTTTTGTATTTTGTGTAGAGACAGGATTTCGCCATGTTGGACAGGCTGGTCTCGAACTCCTGACTTCAAGTGATCCGACTGCCTTGGCCTCCCCAAGTGCTGGGATTACAGGCCTGAGCCACTGTGCCTGGCCCAGGAAATACTCTTTACTTTGCTTTTTAAATGTTGAGAAAATACAACTGAAAACTAAAAAATCTTCCCCGAAATGAGAAATCATCTTCATGACAAAACAGGAAGAAATAAGAACTATTCTATTAATGAATAAGCCTTAGACCAGAATGTGTTGGGAAATAGAGGCAAACAGCTAAGAGGTTGAAAAGAGAGAAAGAAACTTCATTGTTCTATGCAACCCGTTAAGTACATGTTTTCAAGATAAACACTAATCAGTCCTCAGGGAAGATTAGTTGACAACAGCCTTGGTCGCACATAGTTCATCCTGGCTGTACTTGGTAATGGAGGTGACTATCTGTGTCAGCTAGTTAGCTTCATGCAGAGAGAGGGGAATTACTTTAACCCACGTCTTTTTGACAAGTGTGAGTTTTACAACATGGAGGCAGGTGCCGTCTCTAGTGAGGCTGCTACAGTCCGACAGAAACTGACGTCAGCAGTAAATAATAAAATTTAGAATACATAATTAACTATAGAGTTTATTGGAACACAAAGCTTGAGGATAGCCACCTGGAAACGTCAACTCCAAATGAAGGGGGCCCGTGTTCCCAAGTAGAGACGTTAAGGTTTCACACACAGGGAAAGACAGAGAAGCTTTACCAGAATCACATTTTCCATTCAAGGCCAGTGCATAGGCTGCAGCAAATTGATTGGTTATGGATTGATACACTTCAAGGAAGGTTACTTTATCACTCCATAAGAAGGGACAATGATGCCAACAGGTTAGTCTTCCTAATTATTTACAGGTAAACTTTTTTTAAAATTTATATTAGGAAACTAAATTTTATTGCACTTTTTGTTTTGTTTTGTTTTGGTTTGGTTTTTGGTACGGAGTCTTGCTCTGTTGCCCAGGCTGGAGTGCAGTGGTGCAATCTTGGCTCACTGTGACCTCCATCTCCCGGGTTCAAGCAGCTCTCCTGCCTCAGCCTCCTGAGTAGCTGGGATTACAGGCACACGCCACCATGCCTGGCTAATGCTTTTGTATTTTCAGTAGACACGGGGTTTCACCATGTTGGCCAGGCTGGTTTCTAATTCCTGACCTCAAGTGATCCACCCACCTTAGCCTCCCAAAGTGCTGAGACTACAGGCGTGCGCCACCGCACCTGGCCAGTAAAACTCTTAGAAGTTGCGCCTGCACACCACTGGACTCAGGTTGCATGACCACGTTCCTCTCAAAGCTCAGAATTATTTAAATGTCCGTAGCTTTAAATTTGAAATATTTGATGTTTGAATTATTTAACTTCCTACTGAGATATAGGTACTATCGCCCTTGTAGTTTGCCTTACAAGGATCGTTCCCAAGACCTTCAGAAATACATCCTTGGGTCATTAAACTGAAAAAAGGCTTAGTTACTTTCTAAAAAATACCACTTCAGGCCAGGCGCGGTGGTTCAAGCCTGTAATCCCAGCGTTTTGGAAGGCCGAGGAGGACAGATGGCCTGAGGTCGGAAGTTGGAGACCGGCCTGACCAATATGGAGAAACCCCATCTCTCCTATAAATACAAAAATTAGCCTGGCCTGTTGGCATGTGCCTCTATTCCCAGCTACTCGGGAGGCTGAGGGAGGTGAATCGCTTGAGCCCAGGAGACACGGAGGTTGTGGTGAGCCAAGATCACGCCATTGCACTCCAGCCCAGGCAACAACAGTGAAACTCCGTCTCAAAAACAAAAAATAAATAATAATAATAATAATAATAATAAATATGGCCGGCGCAGTGGCTCATGCCTGAGTGAGACTCCGTCTCAAAACAAAATAAAACAAAACAAAACAAAAAACAAAAAAAACACATTACCAGTTCCACAGTAGGGTGTCCTCAAAAACAAAGGAAATGCCTCCTCTTTAAGTTTTTCTTACATAGGCATCCAGGTAAATACAAAGATATGTCTACCTGCCGGTTGGCTGACAGTCTAACACAACTTATTACTTTGTTGATTTAAAGCTATCCATGACTGGTCGCGGTGGCTCATGCCTGCAATCCCGGCACTTTGGGTGGCCGAGGTGGGCAGATCACCTGAGGTCAGGACTGTGAAACCAGCCTGGCCAACAGGGTAAAACCCCATCTCTACTAAAGATACAAAAATTAGCGAGGTGTGGTGGTGCGCGCCTGTAGTCCCAGATACTCAAGAGGATGAGACAGAAGAATCAATTGAACCTGGGAGGCAGAGGTTGCAGTGAGCTGAGATTGTGCCACTGCACTCCAGCCTGGGTGACATAGAGAGACTCCATCTCAAAAAAAAGAAATAACTAACTTTAAAGACGAAAATAAAGAAAAATCTGGAGAGGTCTCAGGAATCTCTAGCCAGTCTGATTGGAGAGTGTTCTTCCTCACTGAAGTCAGACACCAAAAACCGTGAAAGCTGGCTGATTTCTGAACTGCTGAAGTTCCAACAGAACATAACCAGATATACAAAGAGATAACGTGGATGATCCCAAGAAATTATACACAAATTTATAAAACAGAGACTTAGAAATAACGGGACTAAAAATTCAAAATAAGCCTGGGCAACATGTTGAAACCATGTTTCTACCAAAAATACAAAAATTAGCTGGACACGGTGGTGCACACCTGTAGTTCCAGCTACTTGGGAGGCTGAGATGGGAGGATTGCTTGAGCCTGAAATGCAGAGGCTGCAGGGCACATGGTGCTCTCTCATGTTCTCAGAGAGGGCGCTTTTACACCTGGGGGTAGGGATGGAATCTTCCCAGATCTAAGAAATGAGGAAATGCCACGTCCTAGAAGAAGCAATCAGTTTCTCAATAGCCCCTCCTGCAGGAACCCTCCAGATACATGTAGCGAAGTCAGCACACTCACAGGCAGCCAGTGTGGCATTCTTGGTAACAGTGACAAACTGGGAAGGACTCACGTGTCTTCATTCAGAAAATGCTCCAAGGAGAATGAAAAACAGTAAGCTATCTTGCTTCCTACCTTGAAAACATGGAATATTTTAAGACTTGCAGGATAAAATACCACAACAAAACATTTATCATGTTGAGCTCAGTGGCTCACGCATGTAATCCCAGTACTTGGGAGGCCGAGGAGGGAGGATCACTTGAGGCCAGGAGTCTAAGACCAGCCTGGCCAATATGGAGAAACTCCATCTCTACTAAAAATATAACAATTAGCCAAGCATGATGGCACATACCTGTAACACAGCTACTCAGTTGGCTGAGGCTAGAGAATCATTTGAACCCATGAAGCAGAGGTTGCAATGTGCTAGTAAGTTCCAGCCTGTTGACAGGGTGAGACACCGGTCTCACAAAACATACAAAACAAAAAACAACAACAAAAAAATCATTTGGCCGGGCACAGTGGCTCATGCCTGTAATCCCAGCACTTCGGGAGGCTGAGGGGGATGGATCACTAGAAGCCAGGAGTGCCAGACCACCCTGGCCAACATGGTGAAACTCCATCTCTATTAAAAATACAAAAAACTTATCCAGGCATAGTGGCACACACCTTTAGTCCCAGGTATTCAGGAGGCTGAGGCACAAGAATCACTTGAACCTGGAGGAAAGAGTCTGCAGTGAGGCAAGATTGCGCCACTGCGCTCCAGTCTGGGTGACAGGCACATTCATCAAATAATTTTATCTAAAATCTCATAATGGTGTCTGAATACATTTCTGTAGGACTTACGCTGACTTGCCACAGTACTCTCAGCAGTGATTCCCCATTGAGCCAAGGGAACTGGTGGAAGGCTGGACAGGAAAGGGGATGCCTAAGTGAACTTTCTTTGTCCGGGAGTGGTTGCTCAACGCCTGTAATCCTAGCACTTTGGGAGGCCGATTTCTTGTTTTAAAAGCAATAATAGAACAAATTATCCTCTACCACTGATGTTACCTCCACTTTCCATTCCATTCTAAGTCATTAAAAGTGCAGAGTCAAAACTGGGAATTGCGGCAAATGCTTGTAATCCCAGCATTTTGGGAGTCCAAGATGGATGGATCACCTGAGTTCAGAGGTCTGAGACCAGCCTGACCAATGTGGTGAAACCCTGTTTCTACTAAAAGTACAAAACTTAGCGCTGGGTGGGCTGGCTCACACCTGTAATCCCAGCACTTTGGGAGGATGAGGTGGAAAGATCATGAGGTCAGGATTTTGAAAGCAGCCTGGCCAACAAGGCAAAACCCCATCTCTACTAAAAATACAAATATTAGCTGGGTGTGATGGTGCATGCCTGTAGTCCCAGCTACTCAGAAGGTTGAGGTAGGAGAATTGCTTGAACCCGGGAGGCAGAGGTTGCAGTGAGCCGAGACCACACCAATGCACTCCAGCCTGGGTGACAGAATGAGGCTCCATCTCAAAAAACAAACAAACAAAAACTCAGCTGGGCCTGGTGGTGCACACCTGTAGTCCCAGCTACTTGGGAGGCTGAGCCAGGAGAACTGCTTGAACCCAGGAGGTGGAGGGTGCAGTGAGCTGACAGATATTGTGCCACTGCCATCCAGCCTGGCGACAGAGCAAGACTCCATTCTCACCCACCTAAAAAAGAAAAAAAAGTGCAGAGTCCAGCCAGGCTGGCTGTCTCATATCTGTTATCTCAGCAATTTGGGAGGCTGAAATGGGAGGCTGAAATGGGAAGATCACTTGAGGCCAGGAGCTCAAAGCTATAGTGAGCTTTGACTATACCACCGTACTCCTGCCTGGACAAAATAGCAAGATCCCATAGCCACATAATAAAAAATGAAAGACTTAGCCAGATATGGTGACACATGCCTGTCATCCTAGCTCCTTGGGAGGGTAATGTGTGGATCACTTGAGACCAGGAGTTCGAGGCTGCTATAAACTAGAATTGTACCATTGCACTCCAGACTGGGCCATAGAGCAAAACCCTGTCTCTAAAAACAAAAAAAAAAAAAGAAAAAAAGAAAATTGGCTTCAAATGCATTACAAAATCAGAAACAAAATATCTCCCTTTATTGGTCTCCTTTCCAGAATGCACAAGATATCAGTGCACATTAATGTATGGCTTTCATATGTAGTTTCTGGGATCCAGTCCACAAAGAGCTAAACGTGCATCCAAATGTGGTGCCTGAACAATCCCAGCTGCCCCGCAGCACTGACACCATGGGGCCCATACCCCATCTCCATCCATGTCTGGTGTGAGCCCTTCCCAAGACCATGCCCAGTGCAGCCTCTATGGAAATTCACGTCACTGAGTTATAGAAGAAGGATTTTTTTTTTTTTTTGAGATGGAGTCTTGCGGTGTCTGCTCACTGCAAGTTCCGCCTCCCAGGTTCATGCCATTTTTCTGCCTCAGCCTCCCGAGTAGCTGGGACTACAGGCACCCGCCACCACGCCTGGCTAATTTTTTTGTATTTTTAGTAGAGACAGGGTTTCACCATGTTAGCCAGGATGGTCTCGATCTCCTGACCTCATGATCCACCCGCCTCAGCCTCCCAAAGTGCTGGGATAACAGGCGTGAGCCACCGCGCCCGGCCTAGAAGATGGAATTTAAGCGAAGATGAGAGGGAATGACAGAAGGCATGGGTGAGTGCGAGCAAACGTGTCACGCAGGACGCTTCAGACTCAGAAAAGACTGGCTACTGTAATACCTGGCTTTTCAGAAAGAAAGGAGACAGGATAATCCACAAGGAATATCAAGTATATCCATGCAAAACAGGCACTTTGTGATTTTTTTTAATTTTCTGTATTTTTATTTTTTTGAGACAAAGTCTTGCTCTGTCACCCAGGCTGGAGTAAAATGGCGCGATCTCACCTAAATGCAACCTCCGCCTCCTGAGTTCCAGCAATTCTCCTGCCTCAGCCTCCTGAGTAGCTGGGATTACAGGCATGCTCCACCATGCATGGCTAATTGTTGCATTTTTAGTAGAGATAAGGTTTCACCATGTAGGCCAGGCTGGTCTCGAACTCCTGACCTCAAGTGATCCACCCACCTCAACCCCCCAAAGTCCTAGGATTACAGGCATGAGGCACTGCACCCGGTGGCACTTTGTGACATTAACAAGTGAAGTGCCATTTGAACCCGGGAGGCAGAAGTTGCGCTGAGCCGAGATCATGCAATTGCACTCCAGCCTGGGTAACAGGGAGAGACTTTCTCTCAAAAAAGAAAAGAAGAAATGACTAACAGTGTCAGAGGGCTCAATTACGATGTTACAACTACAGTTAAATAACAGCCAGGCCATACAGCAATTCTATATATACGCATTTCCCTTAGTTATCTAGTTCACCATGCATAAGATATAAAACATAGAATGTGTACTGGGAAAATTGATAAACTGGGATCAGAGAAAACATTGTATAAAACAAATTGTACAACAAAAACATTAAAAAAATGATGCAGGCTCCCTGGTCTGAATGTTTGTATTGGCCAAAAGCCATGTTCAGAGTTCTTATTCTCCAATAGGATGTTCCTGCAGATTCGGCCTTTCAGATAATTTGATCATGGGTGTTGACTACTCATGAATAAGACCAGTGCCTTTATTTTTATTTTTATTTCTTTATTTATTTTTTTGAGACGGGGTCTCCCCCTGTCACCCAGGCTGGAATGCTGTGGCAGGATCTCGGCTGAATGCAAGCTCTGCCTCCCAGATTCACGCCATTCTCCTGCCTCAGACTCCCGAGTAGCTGGGAACACAGGCGCCTGCCACCACGCCTGGCTAATTTTGTTTCTGTATTTTTAGTAGAGATGGGGTTTCACCATGCCAGCCAGGATGGTCTTCATCTCCTGACCTTGTGATTCACCCGCCTCGGCCTCCCAAAGTGCTGGGATCACAGGCGTGAGCCACCTCACTCAGCCTTATTTTTATTTTTTTCTTTTTTTATTTTATTTTATTTTATTTTATTTTATTTTATTTTATTTTATTTTACTTTAAGTTTTAGGGTACATGTGCACATTGTGCAGGTTAGTTACATATGTATACATGTGCCATGCTGGTGCGCTGCACCCACTAACTCGTCATCTAGCATTAGGTATCTCTCCCAATGCTATCCCTCCCCCCTCCCCCCTATTTTTTTCTTTATTTTTGAGAAAGAGTTTCACTCTTATTGCCCAGGCTAGAGTGCAATGGCCTGATCTTGGCTCACTGTAACCTCTGCCTCCTGGGTTCAAGTGATTCTCCTGTCTCAGCCTCCTGTGTAGCTGGGATTTCAGGCATGTGCCACCACACTCAGCTAATTTTGTATTTGTAGTAGAGATGGGGTTTTACCATGTTGGCCAGGCTGGTCTCGAACTCCTGACCTCAGGTGATCTGCCCGTCTCGGCCGCCCAAAGTACTGGGATTACAGGCTTGAGCCACCGCACCCGGCCATCCATTGTTTTGTGTTCAGTAGATTCGAGGATTCACCATGTTGGACTGACTGGTCTCAAACTCCTCGCCTCAAGCGATCTACCCCCCTCAGCCTCCCAAAGTGCTGGGATTAGAGGTGTGAGCCACCATGGCCAGCCAGTCTAAGCTGTTTCTGACAGGACAGTGAAATGACGGAGACAGGAAAAGGAGCATGTCATCATCAACATCGCTGAAGGCTGACAACTCTTATTACACAAAGGCAGTTTACAGCCTGTCATATAAAAGCTGCAATGTGTGAAGCCATCTAATAGCACTAACTTGTTTAAAAACCTGGAGGCAGCTGGGAACGGTGGCTCATGCTTGTAATCCCAACACTTTGGAAGACCGCAGTGGGTGGATCACCTGAAGTTGGGAGTTTGAGAGCAGTCTGACTGACATGGAAAAACCCCGTCTCTACTTCAAATACAAAATTAGCTGGGTGTGTTGGTGCATGCCTGTAATCCCAGCTACTTGGGAGCCTCAGGCAGGAGAATAGCTTGAACCTGCGGGCAGAGGCTGGAGTGAGCTGAGGTTGCACCACTGCAGTCCAGCGTGGGCAACAAGAGCGAAACTCCATCTCAAAAAACAAACAAACAAAAAATCTGGAGAAAAATTAACATTATTTCTCAAATAAGTTCTCAAATAAGTACAGCAGGCCCACAGTGTTCACGTACATGACCCCAATTTGCACATACAGTAAGTGAGGGACAAACTTGATCCTGGGCCTGAAGGATCCCACGACATGTTTCTAAGCACAATAGTCCACCAAGAAAGTACAGAAAACAACCAGTCACAAAAAATACAAGGAGAACAGAAAGAAGTACATCAAGGGGGATACAAGGACTGAGCTGGGACACAAGCGCTGAGCTGCGCTGCTGACAGTGGTTCTGAAGCCATCCCTCATGGATCATGTGCTGAGTCATGATGCCCTGCACACACTGATTTAAGCAGCCTCCTATAATTTTGTCCAGTGGATGAATAAGGTCTTGACTTACTCAGGGAGAGTAGTGTTGGAGGGGAGGGGCTCACGGGGAAATTGGGGTGTTCACTTTTACAAAGTCAATAGGCTGGTATTTGCATCCAGATCAATGTATCATGTGAGGCAAGGCCAGGAAAGGAAGGGCAAGGGTGGAGAGCAGGAAGTAATGGGCATGTAGGAGTGAACTTTGTGCATGCACATCTGTGGGAATATAATTCCACCAGGATAGACCAAATCTTGAGCTCGGAGGAAAGTGGAACTAATTTAGCAAATGGTAAAACATTGACCCAAGCTTAAATATGCAAATTACAATACAGGCAAGGGACAAGAATGAACGAGATCCAAAAAAGCAGCAGTATGGTGACCTGAGGTGAAAGCAGTTTTACGTCTCTTAAATTAAATGGCCTCTGATACCTAGTTTCAAGCATATACTCAACAATATGCCTTGTATAGATTCCAGAATTTCATACACACACACAAAATGAGTAAAGTCTACGAGGAGTGCAGCAATGAAGGAGACCATGGATGTGAAGAATTCCCTGGCTGAGTAGGTAGAGATGTGTCTGTGGAAACAGAGACAGACTGAGCGCAGTGGCTCATGCCTGTAATAACAATCATAATAATAATGACAGGTTTTTTCTGTTTTCTCTTTTTTTGAGATGGAGTGTCACTCTATTGCTCAGGCTGGAGTGCAGTGGTGTGATCTCGGCTCACTGCAACCCCTGCCACCCAGGTTTAAGCAATTCTCTTGCCTCAGCCTCCCGAGTAGCTGGGATAACAGGCGCCTGCCACCAGGCCTGGCTAAAAGTTTGTATTTATTTTTGTTTTTTTGTTTTTTTGTTTTTTTTTGAGACAGAGTCTTGGTCTGTCTCCCAGGCTGGAGTGCAATGGTGCGATCTCGGCTCACTGCAAGCTCCACCTCCCAGATTCACGCCACTCTCCTGCCTCAGCCTCCCAAGTAGCTGGGACTACAGGTGCCCGCCACCACGCCCAGCTAATTTTTTTTGTATTTTTATTAGAGATGGGGTTTCACCGTGTTAGCCAGGATGGTCTCGATCTCCCGACCTCATGATCTGCCCACCTCGGCCTCCCAAAGTGCTGGGATTACAGGCATGTGCCACTGCTCCCATCCTAAATTTTGTATTTTTAGTAGATACAGGGTTTCCCCATTTTGGTCAGGCTGGTCTTGAACTCCTGAGCACCCGACTCAGCCTCCCAAAGTGCTGGGATTACAGGCATAAGCCACCATGCCCAGCCCCTTCTTACTATTAACTCATTATTGTGATAGTTGACAACAATGAAAAATCTTAAAATCATTACAATTATTATAAAAAATAAAACAATGCAAATGTTGTGTTTTCTACATAAACCATGGGCTTATCCATCCACGTATTCATGCACACACATCACATCACAGTGTAATCCCAGCTACTCGAGAGGCTCAGGCAAAAGAATCGCTGTAATCCAGGAAGCGGAGGCTACAGTGAGAAAATATCTCACTACTGCACTCCAGCCTGAGTGACAGATTGAAACTGAACTAACAAAAAAATAAGTAAAATCAATGATGTGATAAAGCATCCTGTACCACTGATGTGTATCTTCACTTTCCATTCCTTTCCGAGTCATTAAAACTGCAGAGACAGGCCGGGCACGGTGGCTCAGGCTTGTAATCCCAGCACTTTGGGAGGCTAAGGTGAAAAAACACAAGGTCAGGAGTTCCTGACCAGCCTGACCAATATGGTGAAATCTCATCTCTACTAAGAATACAGAAAAATTAGTCAGGCAAGGTGGCACATGCCTGTAATCCCAGCCACTCGGGAGGCTAAGGCAGAAGAATTGCTTGAACCCAGGAGGCAGATGTTGCAGTCAGCTGAGATCCCATCACTGCACTCCAGCTTGGGCAATAGAGCGAGACTCCATCTCAAAATAAATAAATAAATAAAACAATTAGCCGCTTGTGGTGACACATGCCTATCATTCAAGCTCTTTGGGAGGCTGAAGTGGGGATTACTTGAGCCAAGGAGTTTCAGGCTGCTGTAAACTCTAAATTGTGCCATTGTACTCCAGAACTAAGCTACAGAGCGACATTTTCTCTCTCTCTCTCCTTTTTTTTCTTTTGAGATGGAGTCTTGCCCTGTTGCCTAGGCTGGAGTGCAGTGGCACAATCTTGGCTTACTGTAACCTCCACCTCCCGGATTCAAGTGATTCTCCTGCCTCAGCCTCCTGAGTGGCTGAGATTACAGGCATGAGCCACGACTTCCAGCTAATTTTTGTATTTTTATTAGAGATGAGGTTTTACCACATGGGCCAGGCTGGTCTCAAACTCCTGACCTCAAGTGATCCACCTGCCTTGGCTCCCAAAGTGCTGGGATTACAGGCATAAGCCACCACACCCAGACCAACATCCTGTCTACTAGTGTGCCTTCAAATGCATTAAGAAATTGGATACAAAATGTCTCCCCTTATTGGTCTCCTTTTCCAGAATTTACCAGATATCTGTGCACATTAATGTATGTATTTCATATGTAGTTTCTCTGATCTGGTCCACGAAGAGCTGACATCCAGACATGACCCTTGAACAATCCAGGTTGCCCAGCAGCACTGACACCATGGGGCCCACACCCTGTGTCCATCCATGTCTAGGTGTGAGGCCTTCCCAGGACCATGCCCAGTGGAACCTCTTCTCAAGTTCATGTCACTGGGTCACAGGAGATGGAATCTCAGAGCAGGTGAGAGGAACTGAGGGCAGGCATGGGTGAGTGTGAGTGAACCTGTCAGGCAAAATGCTTCAGACTCAGAAATGACTGGCTACTAAATACCTGGTGTTTCAGAAAGGAAAGAGACAGATTAATCCAAAGAGGAATATCACTTCACCTGAGGAAGAGCCATGCCTGGCTCCTTTCCTTTCCTCTTCTGAGCTGCTTCCTCATGTAACATGAGTCTTTAGAAATCAATCCTGTACGTGAAAAAAGTATGAAACTTCACGTAGAAATGACTCACTCCCTTCCTGTGACAAAAACACACAGACAGGGGAGATGTCACCCTGTAGAAAGATGGTCCTCTGAGGCCCACTGCACCAGAGATCATGCAGAGATAAGAAAGTCCCACCGGAAGACCTACAAGTGTATGTTTGACCCCAGTCTTCAGATCTCGCCCCCCTCCTGGAGAAGCCACCACACACGAGGCAGCAGTGGGGAGCTGGGCTGGACTGATCTCCTCTTCAGGGCACACACTCATCCCTGATCAAACCCCATCCAGAGGACAACCCCTCACTTCTCTGTGGATCACAGGCTGAGCTCAGCCCCCAGAAATGGAGGACTCAGAGCTTCGATGCTCAATGCTGCACACAGATGACAAGCAACTGCGCCACTGCAGGTATTACTGAGGGTGGGTTCCATCCCATCAGAATAAGAATCCCTGCTAAAGCAGCACAAAAGCTCTATTTGCAAAATGCCTCTAGACTCTAATGTGAAGCCAGGGTTGAGCTCCACTCAGAGGGGGTGAGCCCAGCACAGCCCCACATTCTGGCTCTGCCCTCCCCTTGGGGCCTTGTTCTCACCAGGATCCAGACAGTGGATGACAAAGGCACAAAAATAATCACACAGAACAGGCAACGTGGACGAGAGGTGGGGTGAATGATGGGCTGTGTGAAAGGAAATAAATCTGTGAGCCCCCAAATCATTAAGCAAAAGGCAAAAGTCAAGCTGGGAACTGCTTAGGGAACCAGACTCCCCTTCTATTCAAAGTCACCCCTCTGCTCCCTGATATAGATGCATGTCTGAGTGCCTCCTTCAAAAGGCTAATCAGAAACTCAAAAGAAGGGCCCAGCACAGTGGCTCATGCCTGTAATCCCAGCACTGTGGGAGGCTGATGCAGTGAGCTGAGATCATACCACTGCACTCCAGCCTGGGCAACAAAATGAGACTTCATCTCAAAAAAACAAAACAAAACAAAACAAAAACTTAAAAGATTGCAACCATCTGTGCCTCATTTATCTGTGACCTGGAAGTCACCTCCCTGCTTGAACCTGGGAGAAGGAGGTTGCAGTGAATCGAGATCTATAGGGTCCAGCCCTTTGGGGCTTAGTGGGTGTTCTCCCCATGTGCAGAGACAAGAGATTGTAATAAATAAAGACAGAAGACAAAGAGATAAAGAGAAAACAGCTGGGCCCGGGGGACCACTACCATCAAGACGTGGAGACCAGCAGTGGCCCCAAATGGCTGGGCGCGCCGATATTTATTGCATACAAGACAAGGGGGCAGGGTAAGGAGGGTGAATCTTCTAAGTGATTGATAAGGTGAAGCAAATCATGTGATCACAGGACAGGGGGCCCTTCCCTCTTAGGTAGCCGAAGCAGAGAGAGAAGGCAGCATACGTCAGCGTTTTCTTCTATGCACTTATAAGAAAGATCAAAGACTTCAAGACTTTCACTATTCCTTCTACCGCTATCTACTACGAACTTCAAAGAGGAGCCAGGAGTACGGGAGGAGCATGAAAGTGGACAAGGAGCATGACCATTGAAGCACAGCACCACAGGGAGGGGTTTAGGCCTCCGGATGACTGCGGGCAGGCCTGGATACTATCCAGCCTTCCACGAGAAGCTGGTGGAGCAGAGTGTTCCCTGACTCCTCCAAGGAAAGGAGACCCCCTTTCGTGGTCAGCTAAGTAACAGGTGCCTTCCCAGACACTGGCGTTACCGCTTGACCAAGGACCCCTCAAGCGGCCCTTATGCGGGCGTGACAGAGGCCTCACCTCTTGCCTTCTAGGTCACTTCTCACCATGTCCCTTCAGCACCTGACCCTATACCTGCCGGTTATTCCTAGGTTATATTAGTAATGCAACAAAGAGTAATATTAAAAGCTAATGATTAATAATGTTTATAATAATGATTGATAATTGTCCATGATCATCTCTATATCTAATTTGTATTATGACTATTCTTATTCTAACTATTTTCTCTATTATACTGAAACAGTTTGTGCCTTCAGTCTCTTGCCTCAGCAGCTGGGTGATCCTCCACCCACAGAGATAAAGCCCTGCACTACAGCCTGGGCGAGAAGAGCCAAACTCCAACACACACACAAAGAAAGAATTTCAGAAGTGATGTATCTTCTCAGTCCTTTCATGTATACATGCAAATTTCTCTTTACATTACAAATTACAACACTTACAAATAAAGTAATTTATTTCCCATATTTAAAATACATGCTGTCAAGTTCGGCTAAGTTTCCGGACGTACACAGTCACCCTCATCTGAGATGTGCAGACTGCAAGGGAATGTGTTTGGGGGTTTAGGAAGTCACTTTTGGACATGTGAAGGTGGAGATGCCTGTTTGATGTCCCAGCAGAGAGGTGAGCAGACAACTGCACACAGGATTGTAGAGCTCAGTGGAGAGGCCTGCAGGGGACATGGGTAGGTGGGTTAAAGCTGTGAGATGAGATAAGGAAAAGCAGTGGGTGTGGACAGAGACAAGAATAGGTTCAAGACAATTTGAGTCAAATCTCTTGTTTTTTCCATTCCGGTATTTTTGTTTTTTACATTTTTGTAGGACAGGAATCTATTAAAAATTCAAATTACACCTGAGCATCACCCTCTCCTAAAGGAAAAGCCACAAACTATTTGACAAAGTATTTCAGGGGTCAGTGTCACTCTGACTGAGCTTTTCTGGTCTCATTCCTCACCTGTACATTACTGGTTGAGTCACTGTTGTTTCGAGCAGGAGATACTTCACCAAAAGTACAAAAAATTAGCCAGGCGTGGTGGTGTGCATCTGTGGTCTCAGCCATTTAAGAACTGACTGGGGTGGATATTTGGGCCTGGGAGGCAGAGGTTGCGTTAAGCCAAGATCGTGTCACTGCATGCAAGTATGGGTGACCGAGTGACACCCTGTCTCAAAAAAAGAAAGAAAAAAAAACATTCCAGGACAATTTTATACACCTGAGCAAATGAAATGTCTCTTTCAATGTCTAAGGTCCTGATGGCATGAATCCTAAACATGTAATTATTTTCCCAGAAAAATGACAGTAGTACATTCAAAATACACACAACTGTGAACCCCTAGCTATAGGTGTTTAAAACACTGAAAGAGAAGCAGCATTACAAATGAGATCTGAACAAATGTTTTCTTCTTGAACACACGGGCTTTGCTGGAACAAGGTTCCAAGTCAATTCTGCCCATCCTTGAACATCTGCAAAAAATATTATGGACCAGAGGAACTTGAGGGGAACGTTTACTTAGCAGCTCACAGCTCACCATTTTATCAGGTGACATAAAGAAAGAAAATGGAATAATAGGCTACTTCAACTAAATTTTGATGTTAGCATAAAGAAAAAGTTCCTTGATATCTTTATCAAGTACACATTGAAACAAACTAAAATCATTTATCAGGTACCAGAAAATGTTTCCAATGTATGATACAGACTAGAAAGCATGCCGTCCTCAATGTAAACTGAACACAATAAATTTCAGAGAAAAACAGTTTTAAAATGGTTAAAAAATATATCTAATGAAATGTGGGGTCATAGAAGAATATTTTGAACACATATTATAGTTGCAAAACAATGATGTTACCTCATAAGATTATATCAAAGCTTTTTTGAGAAGCAGTATTTTATTTATTTTATTTTTTTTATTTTATTTGAGACAGAGTCTTGCTGTGGCCCAGCTGGACTGCAGTTGTGCGATCTCGGCTCACTGCAACCTCTGCTTCCAAAATGAAAGCCATTCTTCTACCAGCCTCCCGAGTAGCTGTGTTACAGGCACTCGCCACACCAAGCTAATTCCTACATTTTAGTCAACATTGTCTTGTCCCAACTTAAAATGACTTATGCATTTACAAAACAGTGATTTCTTTGGGGCATCGCCCCCATAACCTTTTCATAAAGCATTAATGATTTCATTGTTCCTCTACCCAAATTTCACCATATTCATTTTTTGAGACACTGTCTGTCTCTGTCACCCATGCTGGAGTACAGTGGCATGATCACGGCTCCCTACAGCCTCTAACTCCCAGGCTCAAGCCATCCTCCCACTGCAGTCTCCACAGAAGCTGAACCAGCAGGCATGTGCCACCATGCCTAGCTAATTTATGTATTTTTTGTAGAGAAGGGGGTTTCAACATTCTGCCCAGGCTGGTCTTGAATACCGGGGCTCACGTGACCCACCTGTCTCGGCCTCTGAAAGTGCTTGGATTACAGGCCTGAGCCACTGCATCTGCTCTCATCATAAATTTGATGTTTCTTCTTGTTTCAATTTTAGCAAAATTTACACTGCTTTCTTTTTTCAAACTCATGTCTTCCCCTTCTGAGTGCCTCAAACTAGACCCTGTTCAGACATGTTATAACAGATTTGTGCCAGTTTATTTTGGTGCAGAAAATGTGACATCATGTGCAATTTTCACATAATATGTATTTTTTTCATGAACTTCTTGAAGACCCCTTGTACTAGCGAACTGTATTCAAGAGGATATTAAAAGGATTGTAGATATGCAAGTGCCACTTATTTCTGGGATGCAAGGATGGTTCAACATAGTCAAGCAAATCAATGTGATATACCACTTGAACACAATGAAAGATGAAAACCACATCATCTCAATACATGGAGAAAAAGCATTTCACAAAAGTCAACATCAAGTCATCATAGAAATCCCACACAAAATAGATACAGAAGAAAATTTACCTCAGCAATACAAAGACCATCCATGAAATGACCACAGCAGAAATAACCAATCAGGGAAAACGGAATGCTTTTCCTGTAGGATCTCACATGATGCAAGAATGCTCTCACCCCTTCTATTCAATCAATACTGGCTGTCCTAGCCAGAACAATGAAATAGCAAAAGAAATCAAACTCATCCAAATCAGAAAGAAAGAAGTCAAATTTTATTTGTTTGTAGATGACATGACCTTCTGTAAAGAAAATCACAAAGAGTCAGCCAAAATGCAACTGGAACTAACAAACACATTCAGTTTATTTGCAGAATAGAATAACAGCACCAAAAATTAGTTGAATTTCCATACATTAACAATAAATAATTTTAAAAGAAAATTAAAAACCAATTCCATTTGCTAAAGAACTTAAAGTAAGAAATATTTAGGAATAAACATAAAAAGTGAGGTTTGTACCTTGAAATCTATAAACATTGATCAAAATGATTAAAAACATGTATAAATAGATATAAATCCCATACTGATTGGAAAAATGAATATCGCTCAATGATTATATACTCAATTGTGATTTAGATTCGGTACAATACTCATAGAAGTCTCTATAACTTTTTGTTAAAGAAACAAAAAACAGGCCAGGCACAGTGGCTCACTCCTGTAATCTCAGCACTTTGGGAGGTGGAGTCGGGTGGATCATAAAGTCAGAAGATAGAGACCATTCTGGCTAACACGGTGAAACCCAGTCTCTACTAAAAACACAAAAAATTACCCAGGTGTGGTGGCACACAACTGTAGTGTCAGCTACTTGGGAGACTGAGGCAGGAGAATTGCTTGAACCTGGGAGGAGGAGGTTGCAGTGAGCTGAGATCGTGCCACTGCACTCCAACCTGGGCGACAGAGCAAGACTCCATCTCAAAAAAAAAACAAGAAAAAGAAAATAAAGGCTGGGAAAAGTAGCTCCCATCTGTTGGCTAGGCTGTTCTCAAACTCGTGAGCTCCAGTGACCTACCTGTCTTTGCCTCTCAAAGTGCTGGAATTACAGGCATGAGCCATGGCCCCCAGTGCAATCCTCTTAACATAAACAGTTTAATGGCAATTAATGCTTGAAATCAATGTTAAATCAACAAACTCAGGTCAAGGCTGATTTGACTCTAATGTCAATTAATGCTTGATGGTTTGCTATACTCACTGCATTTGAAACAACTGTCTCCAAAAGGAATTGTCTGATGGTCTGCAAGGAGTGACCTTGGACTGAAGACCCTTCCACACTGATGACATTTGTAAGATTTCTGTCCAGCATGGATTCTCTGATGTCTAATGAGGTGTGAATGTGAAGTAAACGCTTTGCCACAATCATCACACTTGTGAGGTTTCTCTCCTGTATGAATCCTCCTATGTTTTGCATAGGATGAAGCTTGACTGAAGACCTTGCCTCAATCATGACATTTATAAGGTTTCTCTCCAGCATGAGTTCACCAGTGAAATGCAAGGCATGAACGATGTCTGAAAAATTTGCCACATTTATTACACTTGTAAGATCTCTTCACTGTGGATTCTCCAATGATGTGCAATGGTTGTAGCATTACTGAAAACTTTGTGACAATCATTACATTAGTCAAGTTTCCCTATACCATGGATTGCTTGATGGTGAATAAGTGGTGACTGCCCACTAAAGGGTTTGCCACACTCATTGCACTTGTAAGGTTTCTCTCCAGTGTGAATTCTAGTATGGGGTGCCACGTGTGAATCATTCCCGAAAGCCTTGTCACAAACCTTACATTTCTATGGCTTTTCTCCAGTGTGAATTCTCCTATGTATTTGAAGCTGGATTTGTGAATGAAAACTTTGTCACATTGTTCACGTTTGTAAGATTTCTATGCAGTATGAAGTCTATGATGACTTGCAAGGTGTGATTGTTGATTAAAAACCATGTCACATTCATTGTGCTTGTAAGGTTTCTCTCCACTATGAATTACAAGGTGTGAATTTTGACCTTTTAATTACAAGGTGTGAATTTTGACCAACGGTCTTGCCACACTCATTACACTTATAATGAGTTTCTCTCCAGTGTGAATTCTAGTATGTTTTGCCAGATATGCATTATATGCAAAAACCTTGTCACAAACCTTACCTCTGTATGGTTTCTCTTCAATGTGAATTTTCTTATGTGTTTTAAGGTTTGATTTACAACTGAAAACTTTTGTCACATTCCTCCCATTTGTAAGGTTTCTCTCCAGTATGAAGTCTATGGTGATGTGCAAAGGTTGCTTTTTGATTAAAAACCTTGCCACATTCATTATGCTTGTAAGGTTTCTCTCCAGTATGAATTGCCTTATGACTTACAGGGTTGAATTGTGATGGAAGGTCTTGCCA
Organism: Homo sapiens; assembly: GCF_000001405.40. Classification (NCBI taxonomy): domain Eukaryota; kingdom Metazoa; phylum Chordata; class Mammalia; order Primates; family Hominidae; genus Homo; species Homo sapiens. The sequence goes on from NC_000019.10 coordinate 52,840,711, forward strand.
CACTCATTACACTATTAAGGCTTCTCTCCACTATGAAGCCTATGATGGTATACAAGGGATGACATCTGACTGAAGGTCTTGCCACACTCATTACACTTGTAAGGTTTCTCTCCAGTATGAAGCCTACGATGGATTATAAGCGATGATGTCTGACCGAAGGTCTTGCCACACTCATTACACTTGTAAGGTTTCTCTCCAGTATGAACTCTCTGATGTTGTGCCAGGTGTGAATCCCTCTGGAAAGCCTTGTCACAAACCTTACATTTGTATGGTTTCTCTCCAGTATGAATCCTCCTGTGTCTTTCCAGGTTTGATTTGCGACTGAAAACTTTGCAACATTCTTCACATTTGTAAGGTTTCTCTCCACTATGAATCCTCCTATGTCTTTCAAGGTGTGATTTGCGACTGAAAACTTTGTCACACTCTTCACATTTGTAAGGTTTCTCTCCAGTATGAAGTCTATGATGGCGTGCAAGGGTTGATAGTCGATTAAAAACTTTGCCACATTCATTACATGTGTAAGGTTTCTCTCCAGTGTGAAGTATAGTATGTTTTGCCAGATATGAATTATATGCGAAAGCCTCATCACAAACCTTACATTTGTATGGTTTCTCTCCAGTATGAATCCTCTTATGTCTTTCAAGGTGTGATTTGCGACTGAAAACTTTGTCACATTCTTCACATTCATAAGGTTTCTCTCCAGTATGAAGCGCTTTGTGAATGAAGAGGGATGAATTATGACCAAAGGTCTTGCCACACTCATTACACTTGTAAGGTTTCTCACCAGTGTGACATCTACGATGGCAGGCAAGGTATCGCTTCTGATTAAAGACCTTGCCACATACATCACATTTACATTGTTTCTCTTCTAAGTGAATTATCTGATGTTTTTTTAAGAGTGAGCTGCAATTAAAGGATTTGAAGCTCTGTATACATTCAAAAGATTTTTCTCTCATGTGTACTTCCCATTTTTGTGTGAGTAATGAAGAATGGAGGGAATTATTTCCATACTTATTAGAAATATGGGTTTTGGGCCTACAACAAATTCTTTGGGATGTTGAAACTGAGGAAGCATTGTTGATAGACTTCTCAACTTGATTACCAATTTTCCCTTCAGACTGAAATATGTGCGGTTCAGGCAGATGCAAATGAAAGCTTGATCCAAGCTGATCTTTAATACGCTTGTTTCCAGCATGCCTTTGATCATGTTGGCCTGTACTACCAGCCAACTCTTTGATTTCTGTCATGGGTGCTGCATGGCCATTTGTTTCATCTTCTTTCCACTGAAACTCGAAGCCATGAATGTCTTTCTCAATTTCATGGAAACAAAATTCTCCAATGTGATGACTTGCTTGTCTGTGCAATGTCCCTGTGTGGATCACTTCTGTATTGCCTTGCCCTGTTGACGACAACGTCTTCAACATGCATTTGGAAGAGATATCTACAAAATTTAAACACCAATAGGTTTCCAATTAAGTACAGACGGTATATAATACTGAAATGTGTAAATATCACAGAAAAAAAACAATACTTATTTTCAACTTCCCAAACGTGAGCTTCAAAGTTTAGGAACACAAAAGGAGTAAGATTCTTTAATAAATAAAGGGCGATTACATGTGCTTCAAATCATTTCTATGGAAGCCTATTTCCAATATCATGACAAAACACTGACAGGGCACAAACACGTGTGAGTCTAAAGAAAGGAGTGTTTTTCCACTGTGACCCTAAAGTGTGTCACACTGTGCAAAATACATATCACTGTCACATCAGAGAAAAATATATATTCTCCATATTTACAGCGTATTTAGGGTATACAAATAAATGCTAAAGAACCACACAATATACTATATTGGTAAATAATCCACAACAAGCTCTTGTAAGAATAACCAAAATTAGTGGAAATTCTCTATTGTCAAACAATCACAGCACTGACAAGATAACAGAAGATTACAAAAATTAGCCAGGTGTGGTGGCCAGCACCTGTACTCCCAGCTACTCCAGAGGCTGCGTCACAAGTATTGCATTAAGCTAAAAGGCAAAGGTTGCAGTTAGCTAAGATTGCATCACTCCACTCCAGCCTTGGTGCAAAATGAGACTCCATCTCAAAAAAAAAAAAAAAAAAAAAAAAAAAGACATGGCATGGTGGCTTGTGACTCTAATCCCAGTAACTCCGGAGGCCGAGGAAGGTGGATCACCTCAGGTCAGGAGTTCAACCAGCCTGGCCAATGTGGTGAAACCCCGTCGCTACTAAAGACACAAAAAGTAGCTGGTATGGTCACAGGCACCTGTAATCCCAGCTCCTTGGGAGGCTGAGGTATGATAATCGCTTGAACTCGGGAGGCAAAGATTGTGGTGAGTTGAGATTGTGTCACTTTGCTCCACCCTGGACAACAGAGTGAGACTCTGTCTCAAAAAAAAAAAAAAAAAAAAAGAAAATGTTAATACCATATTTTTCTGAATAACTGTTACAAAATTACCTATATCCATGTGGAACAGTTATGTTGTGACTTTTTAAAAAATTTTTTGTATTTTTGTTTTTTTGAGATAGAGTCTCACTCTGTCACCCAGGCTGGAATGCGATGGCACGATCTTGGCTCACTGCAACCTCCACCTCCTGGGTTCATGCTAGTCTCTTGCCTTAGGTCCTGAGCACCTGGGATTACAGGCATGTGCCACCATGCCCAGCTAATTTTTGTATTTTTAGTAGAAATCAGGTTTCACCATGTTGGCCAGGCTGGTCTCGAACTCCTGACCTCAGGTGATCCACATGTCTTGGCCTCCAAAAGTCCTGGGATTACAGGTGTGAGCCACTGCACCCTGTGGCACTTTCTGACATTAATGGGGGGAGTGTGTCCGTTATATTGCATACCACATACCGAACACTCATATATAAATTCATAAAAATCAATTAATCAAATATTGCAACCCATGATAAAACAAGCAAGAAAATAATAAGTACATTTATACAGACTGAAGAATTCTAAACAATTCCCTCTTAAGAAAAAAGCCAAAACTTGTACTTATCACCAGCACACAGTGTAAGAACTGAAATAGATGTTAAGATCACTACCTTCTGATATATGAGGTCAAGAAAATACACAGCTTTACCAGGAACAAGAATTGACTAGCGGCCGGGTGCAGTGGCACATGCCTGTAATCCCAGCATTTTGGTAGGCTGAGGTGGGTGAATCATGAAGTCAGGAGTTGAAGACCAGCCTGGACAACATGGCGACACACCATCTCTACTAAAACTACAAAAAAATCAGCCAGGCATGAAGGAAGACGCCTGTAATCCCAGCTACTTGGGAATCTGAGGCAGGAAACATTTGAACCCAGGAGGCGGAGGTTGCAGTGAGACGAGATCATGCCACTGCACTCCAGCCTCAGTGACAGGATGAGACTTTGTCTCAAAGAAATAAAATAAGATAAATAACTACTTCTCAAATAAGCTTTGGTAGATGTGGTATTCTCTAAGAGGATGTCCCTGCAGATGCAGACATTGAGAGAATTTAGTCATGGGTGTTGACTACTCGTGAATAGGACTAGTGCATTTATAAAGGGACATTAAAGAGGTCCTTGCCTGTTCCTCTTTCCACCGTATTAGGACACAGCAGGAAGATGGCTGGGCTAAACCATGAAGAATGCTCTCACCAGGAAGCAATTTGGCTGGCACCTTGCTCTTGGATTTCCCACTTCCCAAATTCATTAGAAATAAATTTCTGTCTCTTAAGCCTGCCAGTTTAAGCTACATCCTTTTTTGTTTGTTTTTGAGATGGAGTCACGCTCTATCACCCAGGATGCAGTGTAGTGGCATGATTCTCCTACCTCAAGTGATTCTCCCTCCTCAGCCCAGGGTCTCACTCTGTTGCCAAGTCTGGAGTGCAGTGGCATGATCTTGGCTCACTGCAACCTCCACCTCCAGGGTTCTAGTGATTCTCCTGCTTCAACCTCCCAAGTAGCTGGGATTACAGGTGCACACCACCATGCACAGCTAATTTTTGCATTTTTAGTAGAGATGGGGTTTCACCATGTTGGCTAGGCTTGTCTCTAACTCCTGACCTCAAGTGATCAACCTGTTGCAGCCTCCCAAAGTGCTGGGATTAGAGGGGTGAGCCACCGCGGCCAGCCAGTCTAAGCTATTTCTAGCAGGACAGTGAAATGACAGAGACAGGAACAGGAGCATCTCATCATCAACATCACCAAGGGCTGACAAATCTTATTAAACAAAGGAAGTTAAGAGTCTGTACTGTAAAACTTGCAATACTTGAAGCCATCTACTAGCACTAACATGTTTTAAAAACCTTGAGACAGGCAAAGTGTGGTGGCTCATGCCAGTAATCCCAGCATTTTGGGAGGCTGAGGCGGGAGGATCACCAGGTCAGGAGATTGAGACCATCCTGGCTAACAAGCTGAAACTCCGTCTCTACTAAAAAAATACAAAAAATTAGCCTGGCATGTTGGCACTCACCTGTAGTCCCAGGTACTTGGAAGGCTGAGGCAGGAGAATTGCTTGAACCTGGGAAGTGGAGGTTGCAGTGAGCGGAGATGACACCACTGTACTTTAGCCGGGATGACAGACCAAAACTCTGTCTCAGAGAAAAAAAAAAGAAATGAAAGAAGGCTAAAGAGTAACTCCAACCAACAAGCCTATATAAAGTTCTCCAGACAGGGTGCGGTGGCTCACGCCTGTAAACCCAGCACTTTGGGAGGCTGAGGCGGGCGGATCACCAGGTCAGGAGATCGAGACCATCCTGGCAAACCAACATGGTGAAACCCCATCTCTACTAAAAATACAAAAATTAGCTGGGTATAGTGGTGCAGGCCTGTAGTCGCAGCTACTGGAGAGGCTGAGGAAGGAGAACTGCTTGAACCCAGAAGGTGGAGGTTACAGTGAGCTGAGATCACACCACTGCACTCCAGCCCGGGCAAGAGAGTGAGACTCCATCTCAAAAAACTAACTAACTAACTAACTAAATAAATAAAGTTCTCCAGTAAAGGTAAATAAAAAAACAGTCTAGGTGTGGTCGTTCATTCCTGTAATCCCAGCACTTTGGGAGGATGAGTCAGGCAGATAACCTGAGGTTGGGAGTTCGAGATCAGCCTGGCCAACAAGGAAAAACCCTGTCTCTACTAAAACACAAAATTAGATGGCTGTGGTGGCGCATGCCTGTAATCCCAGCTACTCAGGAGGCTGAGGCAGGAGAATCAGTTGTACCCGAGACGCAGAGTTTGGAGTGAGCTGAGATCGCAGCATTGTACTTCAGCCTGGGTGACAAGAACAAAACTCTATCTCATAAATACATAAGGTAATTAATTAATAAAAGGACAGATACAGAAACTGGCATATGTATACCTTTTCTTCATAACTAAACTTTTTTCATATTATTTGAAATAAAAGGCATGAAAAACACTGTACATATATGTTAACGGAAATGCAACATACACAGAAATAATTCTGACATAAATAAAAAAATTCTAGTGGAGAAGAAGTAGTTTTTGCAGGTTATGGATTTTTATTTTTTTCTGTCTCCCAGGCTGGAGTGCGATGGTGTGTTATCAGCTCACCGCAACCTCTGCCTCCCGGATTCAAGTGACTATCCTGCCTCAGCCTCCTGAGAAGCTGGGATTACAGCCACCCACCACCGCACCTGGCTAACTTTTGTAATTTTAGTAGAGTTGCAGTTTTCACATGTTAGCCAGGCTGGTTTTGAAATCCTGACCTCAGGTGATCTGCTCAACTCGGCCTCCGAAAGTGCTAGGATTACAGGTGTCAGCCACTGCACACGTTCAGGTTATGGAAATTTTAAGTTTTGTTATTATGCTATAACTTTAAGATGTTTAACATACCTGCAACAATAACCTCTGCCCAAATATCTGTACAACACACTTCACTTCTACGTACTGAAAGGAATGGACACTAATGTTGTTATATTCACACTGGAATCATGCTTAAACCACTTATATGTTTACAAAGAACTAAAAGACCAAACTATTTAAAATAGTAACAATGGTTAGGCATGGCAGCTTACATCTGTAATCTCAGCACTTTGGGAATCCGAGGCAGGTGGATCACTTGAGATGAGGAGTTTGAGACCAGCCTGACCAACATGGTGAAACCCCCCTCTACTAAAAACACAAAAATTAGCTGTGCATGGTGGTGTGCGCCTGCAGTTCCAGCTACTCAGGAATCTGGGGAACAAGAATCCTTTGAGCCCGGGAGGCGGAGGCTGCAGTTAGCCAAGATCATATCACTGCACTGTAGCCTGGGTGACAGAGTGAGACTCTGTCATAAAAAAAAGAAAGAAAGAAAGTAAGAGCAGAGAGATAAGTGGGTGCAAAGAAAGTGTGGGGAAAAGAGAGTTCAGATTGTTACTGTGTCTATGTAGAAAAGGAAGACATAAGAAACTCCATTTTGATCTATATTAAGAAAAATTGTTTCGCTTTGAGATGCTGTTAACCTGTAACTTTAGCCCCAACCCTGTGCTCACAGAAACATGTGCTGTATTGAATCAAGGTTTAATGGATTTAGGGCTGTGCAGGGTGTGCCTTGTTAACAATATGTTTGCAGGCAGTATGCTTGGTAAAAGTCATGCCATTCTCCATTCTCAGTTAACCAGGGACACAATGCACTGCGGAAAGCCGCAGGGACCTCTGCCCTAGAAAGCCTGGGTATTGTCCAAGTTTCCCCCCACTGAGACAGCCTGAGATATGGCCTCATGGGAAAGGAAAGACCTTACATCCCCCCGCCTGACACCTGTAAAGAGCCTGTGCTGAGGAGGAGTAGTGAAAGAGGGAGGCCTCTTTGCAGTTGAGATAAAAGGAAGGCTTCTGTCTCCTGTTCATCCCTGGGAATGGAATGTCTCGGTGTAAAGCCGACCATTCCCATTCATTCTCTTCTGAGATAGGAGGAAAGCACCCCATGGCTGGAGGCGAGATATGCTGGCAGCAATACTGCTCTGTTACTCTTTCCTACACTGAGATGTTTGTGTGAAGAGAAACATAAATCTAGCCTACGTGCACATCCAGACACAGTACCTTTCCTTGAACTTATTCATGATACAAATTCCTTTGCTCACATGTTTCCCTGCTGACCTTCTCCCCACCTGTTGCCCTGCTACACTCCCCTTGCTAAGATAGTAAAAATAATGATCAATAAATACTGAGGGAACTCAAGAGACTGGCACCGATGCAGGTTCTCGCATGCTGAGTGTGCTAGCCCCATGGGCCCACTGTTCTTTCTCTAAACTTTGTCTCTGTGTCTTATTTCTTTTCTGAGTTTCTCATCCCACCTGACGAGAAATACCCACAGGTATGGAGGGGCTGGCGCCCTTCAGAAAGATGTCCATTCAGAGATGTGAAAAATTAAACTTTCCTTTTCCCACAGAATTCTCCCACTTGCAGAGTTTCCTCACACACTATTTGAAGGTGGAACTTCCACTCTGCCCATCTGAGCTCTTACCTGCATTTACACCTGTAATACATTCCCACCCATCTGGATTTTTTTTGCTATTTTCACTTCACTCTCCACAGTCCAGGGCTTTTCCTTTGCTCCAATATGGAGATAACAGGTCAGAAAGAGACTCCTGCTTATAAAAAGCAAGGACCATAAAGTGCTGGAGCTTTCGTAGAGTCCCAGCCCTAGGTTTCAGTAGGAAAGAAGACATTACCAAAGGATCTAGGAAAACAGTTCACAAATTGCTCCACCTACTGCCTCCTTCTGAATGCTGAGGGAGCACTGTAATATGTAATATGTGGACATCAAGCTCTCTTCCAAGAATACTGAGTCAAAAGCATAGGAGAAGCAAACAGGAAACTGGATATCTTTAAAGTCTGCCATAAGGTTTTGTTTTTGTTTTTTGAGACAGAGTCTTGCTCTGTCACCCAGGCTGGAGTGCAGCAGTGTGTTCTCCACTCACTGCAACCTTGGCCTCCTGGGTTTAAGTGATTCTCTTTACTCAGCCTCTCTAGGAGCTGGGATTACACGTACGTGCCACCACACCCAGCTAATTTTTGTATTTTTAGTAGAGAAGGGGTTTCTCCATGTTGATCATGCTGGTCTCGAACTCCTCACCCATAGTGATCCACATGCCTTGGCCTCCCAAGGTACTGGGATGACAGGTGTGAGCCACCACGACCAGGCTGCCATAAGGTTTTATGCTTACTTTACTTCTGGAACCCCCACTGAGCTATCATGAAGAATGCAGAACATCTAAACAAAGGGGACAGTGAAAGTCCAGATGCTACATCATGAAGCTTTTCATTTCAAAATCAATATGGCTTCCATTTTAGTCAAGGAACAATGGGGTTCCTAAGAGACAATAAGAGAAAATGCAAAAATACACAAGGGCACATCCCCAGGAGGGAAGTTATCCTCACCCAGGGAGACGAGGTTCCTATAATTCTCCAGCATCACGTCCCTGTATAAAGTCCTCTGAGCAGGGTCCAGGCATTTCCACTCCTCCTGAGAGAATTCTATGGCCACGTCCCTGAATGTCAATAGACCCTGAAATGAAAACACATTTTAACCAAATGGTTATGGGAGGAGATCTTATCTTTACAAAAAATGAGAGGAGGAGAGAGGGGAAAGCATGGATTTAACTGTAGAGAATGTTCTGACAAATCCAAATAAGGGATTTCTCACTACATGATGTCTCCCCAGATGTATTTTATTACACTTTTTGAGTATTATCAAGACATACTCTCAGTATAAATTTCTTATGTTTGTGAAAAATAACAGAAATAAACAAATAAAAAATCAATGTAGGGTTCCTGTTATAAAAATGTTTGAAACTTTTATAGACACACCAAGTGACATTCATTATCTAGATGAGACAGAGCACAACTGATATCTTAAAAGATGACAACGTCCACAGTAAAAGATAGGCTGGGCACAGTGACACATGTCTGTAATCCCAGCTATGCAGGAAGCTGAGGCAGGAGAATCACTTGATCCTGGAAGGCACAGGTTGCAGTGATCCCAGATCGCATCACTGCACTCCAGCCTGGGCAACAGAAACTCCATCTCAAAAAAAAAAAAAAAAAAATTAGCCAGGTGTGACGGCAAGCACCTGTGGTCCCAGCTACTTGGAAGGGTAAAGAGGTAGGATGGCTTGACCCTGAGGGTGGAGGTTGCAGTGAGCTGCAATCCCGCCAGGGCACTCAAGCCTGGGCAACAAAGCAAGACCCCGTCTCAAAATAAAATAAAATAAATGAAAACAAAATTACTCAAAGTACAAAAATCAATCGTGTATATATATGTTCACAAAATAATAAAACCTACAGAGACTCACAAAACACTAGATGTGAATACAAAGGGTTGTCATTTGTCCCAGATTTTCAAAATACAAAAGATTTTCAAAATATATACATATGTGTATATATGTATTTATATGTATATGTGTGTGCATGTGTGTGGGGATGTGTATGTACATATATAAAGTTTTTAAAAATATAAAAAGTAGCAAGTTTTGTTTAATGAAAGAGGAATCTCATCTTGCTGGAAAAGGATACTTTGGCAGTTGTGGGCAGGGGGAATCTTGTCAGATCTAAGAATATGGAAATGCCCCATCCTAGAAGCAGTAATCACCCTTTCAACTGCCTGACCTGGAGGAATCTTCAGATATCTGTAGTAATGCGGGTGTGCACAGAGGCAGCCACTATGGCACTCTTTATACAGGGAAAAATCGCAAAGGACCCACGTGTTGTCATTCAGCCAATTTCCAATGCAGATGTCAAAAAGCAAGCTAGCCATGTTCACTAACATGACAACATGTAAATTCACAATTAGCAAAATCAAATATCAAAGTAAAATATTTACTGGGACACAAAGAAGAAAACAACAGACACTGCAGTCTACTTGAGGGTGGAGCGGGGAGGAAGGAGAGGAGCACAAAAAATAACTATTATGGGCCGGGCGCGGTGGCTCACGCCTGTAATCCCAGCACTTTGGGAGGCCGAGGTGGGCGGATCACGAGGTCAGGAGATCGAGACCATCCTGGCTAACACGGTGAAACCCCATCTCTACTAAAAATACAAAAAATTAGCCGGGCGTGGTGGCGGGCGCCTGTAGTCCCAGCTACTCGGGAGGCTGAGGCAGGAGAATGGCGTGAACCCGGGAGGTGGAGCTTGCAGTGAGCCGAGATCGCGCCACTGCACTCCAGCCTGGGCGACAGAGCGAGACTCCGTCTTGAAAATAAAAATAATAATAAATATATATATATATACACACACACATCATGTGATGATAAATATAACAATATATATTTAATAATAATTGGTGGGGCTGGGTATGGTGACTCGTGTCTGTAATCCCAGAATTCTGTGCGACTGAAGCAGACAGATCACCTGAGGTCGGGAGTTCAAGACCAGCATGGCCAAAATGGTGAAACACTGTCTCTTCTAAAAATACAAAAAAAATTAGCCACGGGTGATGGCACGTGACTATAATCCCAGCTACCTGAAAGGCTAAAACAGGAGAATCACTGGAACTTGGGAGGCAGAGGTTGCAGTGATCTGAGATCGTGCCACTGCACTCCAGCCTGGGCAACTGAGAATTTGTCTCAAAAAGAAACAAACAAACAAAAAAGCTGGGTGAGGTGGCTCACGCCTGTACTTTCAACACTTTAGGAGGCTGAGGTGGGCATATCACGAGGTTAGGAAATGGAAACCATCTTGGCTAAAAAGGTGAAACCCTGTCGCTACTGAAAATACCAAAAAATTATTCAGGTGTGGTGGCACTCGCCTGTATTCCCAGCTACTCAGGAGCCTGAGGCAGGAAAACTGCTTGAACTGGGAAGGCAGAGGTTGCAGTGAGCCGAGAACACCACTGAACTCCAGCCTGGGCTGCAGAGCAAGATTTCGCTCAAAAAATAAAAATTAAAATTAATCAGGCATGGTGGCACCCACCTGTGGTCCCTGCTACCTCAGAGGCAGAGGTCAGGATGGCTTCTTGAGCCTGAGGGTGGAGGTTGCAGTGCGCTAAGATCACGCCACTGCACTCCAGCCTGGGCAACAGAGTGAGACCTTCTCTCAAAATGAAATAAAATATATGAAAACAGAATTACTCAAAGTACAAAAATCTGTTTTGTATATATATGCCCAAAAAATAATAAAACCTACACAGACTCACAAGAAATTAGATGTTAAGAAAAAGGGTTGTCATTTTCCCCAGATTTTCAAAATATATGTGTTTGTATATATGCATGTATATGTATAGATGTGTGTGTATGTATGTATGTATATATTTATTTATATATAAAGGTTTTAAAAATACAAAAGTAGCAAGATTTGTTTAACTGAAGAGGAATCTCGCCTTGGGGGAAAGGATACTTTGGCAGTGGGAGGAAAGAGAGGAGCAGAAAAAATAACTATCGGGCCCGGGCACAGTGGCTCACACTTGTAATCTCAGCACTTTGGGAGGCTGAGGCAGGTGGATCACCTGAGGACAGGAATTCAACACCAGCCTGGCCAACATGGTGAAACTCTGTCTTTACTAAAAATACAAAAATTAGCCAGGCATGGTGGCTGGCACCTGTAATCCCAGCTACTTGAGAGTCTGAGGCAGGAGACTCACTTGAACCCAGGAGGCAGAGGTTTCAGTGAGCCGAGATCATGCCATTATACTCCAACCTGGGCAACAAGAGCAAAACTCAGTCTCAAAAAAATAAATTTTTACAAAAATAACAGCCAGGCATGGTGGCTCACGCCTGTAATCTCAACACTTTTGGAGGTTGAGGCAGGTGGATCACGAGGTCAGGCATTCAATACCAACCTGGCCAAGGTGGTGAAACACCGTCTCTAGTAAAAATACAAAAAAAATTAGCTGGGCATGGTGGCGGGTGCCTGCAATCCCAGCTATTCAGGAGGCTGAGGCAGAGAAATGCTTGAACCCAAGAGGCGGATGTTGCAGTGAGCCGAGATCACACCACTGCACTCCAGCCTGGGTGACAGAGTGAGACTCCATCTCAAAAAAAATAAATAAAGCAAATAAAACAAAAATAACTATTGGGTACTGGACTTGATACCGGAGTGATGAAATAATTGGTACAACAAACTCCAATGACGTGAGTTTACCTCTGTAACAAGCCTTCACACATAGCCCCAAAAGTAAAGTAAAAAAATATATAAAATTTTTTTTTAATTTACAATGGAATTTTTTTTTTTAAGATGGAGTCTTCCTCTGTTGCCCAGGCTGGAGTGCAGTGGTGCAATCTCAGCTCACTGCAAGCTCTGCCTCCGAGGTTCAAGTCATTCTCCTGCCTCAGCCTCCCAAGTAGCTGGGACTACAGGTGCCCACCACCACACCCGGCTAATTTTTTGTATTTTTTAATAGAGACAGGGTTTCACCATGTTAGCCAGGATGATCTTGATCTCCTGACCTTGTGATCCACCCACCTCAGCCTCCCAAAGTGCTGGGATTACAGGTGTGAGCCACCGCGCGTGGCCCAGAATTTTTTTTAAAGTCTCATAACGATGCAGAAATACACGTGTACGAGACTTGCTCTGACAGCTAACACAGAACTGACAGGAGTGGCTCCCCAGTGAGGCTGGAAGGAGGGTGGAGGATGTGACAGGGAAAGGAGATGTCTTATGGCCAAGGGTCTAAGCTGCAGCTTTGCTTGGAGTTTTACCACAAAACAAATATATATATCATGTGATGGTGAAATATAACCATTTATATTTAATAATAACTGGTGGGGCTGGGCATGATGGCTTGCGCTTGTAATCCCAACACACTGGGGGGCCGAGGCGGGCAGACCACCTGAGGTTAGGAGGTTGAGGCCAGCCTGGCCAGCATGCTGAAACGCTGTTTCTACTAAAAATACAAAAAAATTAGCTGGGCGTGGTGGTGCACACCTATAACCCCAGCTACTAGGTGGGCTGAGGCAGGAGAATCACTTGAACCCAGGAGGCGGAGGTTGCGGTGAGTTGAGATCGCGCCATTGCACTCCAGCCTGGGTAACAGAGCGAAACTCCATCTCAAAAAATAATAATAATGAAGGAATGATTCATGAATTATTCATGTCTATGTATGAACTTTCCATTCTAATTAGTAAGATTTTTGGAGTCAGAAACACAGTAACTCACTCCATTACCTAAAAATGTGGTATAAAATCAGGGAGAAAAGATTTTCCCTTATTGGTCTCCTTTTCTAGAACTTACCACGTACTTCGTGCATATTAATACGTGACTCCCATTGGCAGCTGCTCCAATCCTGGTCCACAGTGAGCTGACAGTGCATCCAGATGTGGCCCCTGAACAATCCCTGCTGCCCAAGAGCACTGACACCACAGGACCCTCACCCCGTGTCCATCCATGTCGGGGTGTGAGCCCTTCCCAGGACCTGCCCAGTGCAGCCTCTTCCCAAGTTCATGACACTGGGTCACGAGAGACGGAACCTAAGCGAGATGAGAGGGACTGAAGGAAGGCATAAGTGAGGGTGAGCAAACATGTCAGGCAGGTCATTCAGACCCAGACATTCCCAACTCCAAGGCCCAGGGTATCTGAAAGGAAGGAGACAGAACAATCCACCGAGGATATCATCTCACCTGAGGAAGAGCCATCCCTGACTCCTTTGCTTTCCTCTTCCTCTTCTGGGTTTCTTTCTCACGTACCAACAGTCTTTAGAAGTCAATCCTGAATGTTAAAAATATGTTGTTTATCACTCAGAATCAACACACCCCCTCCCTTAACACAATGACACAAACATAGGAGACCTCACCCTGGGAAATACGGTCCCCTCTGCTGCCCACTGCACAATGAACAAAAAATTCCTACAGGAAAACTCCCACTCTCCTCCTGGAGAAGCCCACACACACGCTGCAGCAGTGGGGAGCTGGGCTGGGATGAGCTCCCCTTCAGGAAATCTCTACCAAAAATACAAAAACTTAGCCAGGTATGGTGGTACGCATCTGTGTGTCTGTGGTCCCAGCTACTTAGGAAGCTGATGTGGAAGCATCATTTGAGCTCAAAAGTTTGAGACTAGCCTGGCCAACATGGTGAAAGCCTGTCTCTACTAAAAATACAAAAATTGGGCCGGGCACATTGGCTCATGCCTGTAATACTAGCACTCTGAAAGGCCAAGGTGGGTGGATTACTTGAGGTCAGGAGTTCAAGAGCAGCCTGGCCAACATGGTGACACCCTGTCTCTACTAAAAATACAAAAAGTAGCCGAGATTGGTGGGTATCTCTAATCCCAGCTACTCGGGAGGCTGAGGTAGGAGAACTGCTTGAACCTGCGCGACCCGAGATCGCGCCACTGCACTCCTGCCTGGGTGACAGAGTAAGACTCAAAAATAAAATAAAATACAAATACAAAATTAGCAGGGTGTGGTGGCACACACCTGTAATCTTAGCTACTTGGGAGGCTGAGGCACAAGAATTGCTTGAACCCAGGAGATACAGGTTGCAGTGAGCCAAGATCACAAGACTGCACTCACAGCCCGGAGGACAGAGTGAGAGTCTGTTTGAAAAAAAAAAAAAAAGTGCATTTCTGATGGGATTGACACAGAGATAAGAAGACTTGAGTAATGCCATAGACACTGATGGGTAGAGGGAACTTCAGATGGGGGTGGGAGGGCATGGGAGACAGCTCTGAGCCTAGACCTGAAGGAGAAAGGGACAGTGCCATCTTCATTTAGAAACATTGAATAAGAGCAGGGACAACAACCTGAGACAGGAAGGATTTTGATGTTTGAAAAAAGAGAAAAGCAAATGTGACTGGGGCAGAGGGAGTCAGATGAGGGTAAGCTCCCAGGAGGAGGCTGGACACTGGCAGGGACCCTGAACACAGGGCTGTGGAGCCAAAGTGAAGAGTCGGGCTTTTGTCCTGGGGAACACGGGAAGCAGGTGGAGGGTTCCCTGCCAGGCACTGACATGACCTGCTTTAGATGTAGCTGTGATATTCTAATACAGACAAAGGCCTCCAAAGATCCTCTCTGTTTCTGAGTCTACCGCTCTGTTTCTTCCATTCTTCTGCTTTTTTTTTTTTCATTTTTGGGGTACTGCATCCCACTGAAAATTCTAATTACAACTGGGCACTCTCCTCTACCAGAAAAAAAGCCACACCCAGACACCGCCTCTATTTTGCCAATCATTTCAGGGGTCAGGATCACTCAGGTTGAGCTTTTCTGGTCTAGCCCTTCGTCGCAAAGATGCAGGGAGGTTCACTGGGGCTCAGAGCTGGAAACATTTTCACGAAGTTACCCTGAGAAGGTCTGAGATGAGTGAGAAGGTGTGCCTGAATTCTTACATGGGGGCCTGGAAGGGCTAATGGGATGGGTTGGTCTTATCATCCCATTCTTAAAATTAGAGAAGCATTTTTCACATGCCTGGGTTAAAGAAAATTCTTTTGAAAGGTTCTGATGAAATTGACTCCCAACATTGAATTCTTCCTTACAAGAAAATCACACTAACATTTATAAAATGCAGCAGTGTAAACACACAGCTCTTGACCTTGAAAACAGGGAAACAGGGTCAGCTGTAGAACCAAGACATAAGCAAATTATTTCAATCAAGAAATACATGGGTGGACAGCTGAGGTGGTTCACACCTGTAATTCCAGCACTTTGGGAGGTGGAGGTGGGTGGATTACCTGAGGTCAGGAGTTTGAGACCAACCTGGCCAACATGGTGAAACCCTATCTCTACTAGAAATACAAAAATTAGCTGGGCTCCATCCTTGCAACTTATTTAACCTCCTGTTGGTCCTTCTCCCCAATCTTTAGATCGTCCTCAATCTCCATAGATTTCTGCCTCTTCTCCCATCTATGCGCCTCCTCTGCTCTCCCTGTTAAATTCTCTCTTCTCTGTTATAACCCCCTGGACCCAATCTGGCACCCCAGATCCCCAGGTGTCCTCCCCGCTGTGCTTCTCCCTCTGTTCTCCTTGCCACCAGCACCACTCTGCTCTGTCTGACCCGGCTCCACATCCCTCCTCCTCTCCCTCACTCTGATGAGCCTCCACATTTCTGCCCCTCTCCCTACCTTGCTGTCCTTCATCTCTCTGTACATCTAGCTTTTCTCTACATTTCTCCAGTTGCTTTTCTCCTCCTGCTTTCTTATCTTTTATCACTTTTGCTGTCTCTTGGCAAATCCCTCACCCATCCTCTACTTTGCCATCTGTTATGGGTCTTTCTCATTCTTCTTTTCTCTGTCTCAGGTTTTCTACTGCTCTCTCAGTCCCTCTCTCTGTCTCCTGATCCCTTTGGCCCACACGATCACAAGAGGGTTTGGAGTAAGACGCCTGCATCTCGGAGAAGCGCATTTTCCAAGTGCTGGAGCTGGGCGGGCAAGAACACCCCGCGTCACAGGACAAGCCCCAGGCACCTCTCCAACGAGGGCTCAGGGGACGCGGTGACTGCGGAGGGGAGATCTGGGGAGCAGCAGGGCCCAGCAAGAGGAGGAGGGAGGTGGGGAGCGACGACGCCTTCGGACAAGGGTGGGATCCGCAGGATCCCAGGACCACAGAACGCAGCCTTCCCGGGACTGGGGTCGCCGCGCTGTGCTCCAGGAACCCAGGAGAGTAAGGCTGGGAGGCGCACAGGGTGGGAATACACCTCTAGGGTGAGGACTTTAAAAAGAGCCGTGCGGAAGGAGTCAAAAAACGGTTTTGAGCAGGAAAACTACGCGATAGGAAACGTATACATTGCCCTATGGCAGAAAGACCCGGGACGGGACCAGCCTCAGGGCGACTTTAAACCTAAAAAGAAGGGGCTTCCGGACTCCCAGTAGAACATCTCCATTTGCTCTGAGTGAAGGAAGAAAGGCGAGAACTTCCAGGTCTATGGGGACCCCACATCCCATGTACAGAAGTGCCGGGGACCTGGGAAGCTCAGACTTAACACCACACAGAGCAAAACTCACCGCCCGCCGCGGCGTGACCGTCATTCCACGGGATCCACTTCCTGGTCTGCGCGAATCTGCGCGCGCAGGACAGAAACCAGGCCTGGGTGGAGCCAACGAGGAGGCGAGCGGGGCCCGGGTGAGGTGTGGGCGGGGCGCGAAGCGGCGAGACCTTGCCCTTTAGAACCCGCAGAGGGCGGGGCCGGAGCGGGACCTGTGCATCTCTCAGCCTCCTCCCAACCCGTTCTCCGGGTTTTGGCGGCGAGAGCCCCCAGGAAGGCAGACGGATAATTCAAAAGCCCTGGAATAGTCTGGAAGGAGGATGCAAACTAGAATGTAAAATGCAAAGCCCTTTCTGGGCGGAACGTAGGATTTCATGCTGATGGCCCACAGGACAGTATAGAAATCTTCTCCCTTTCTATTCTCCATTCACTCAGGAGGGAGAGTCCACCCAGTGCTCAGCTTCAGAGACATCCCTAGGGCCACAGCCTGGGATGCCAGACGGAGTGCTCAGGCCAGGGAGGAGTGAGGTCACCACCTGCTGCTTAAACACAGCAGGGATGCGGGCGTGGGAGCCTGAGGTCCCAGCTACTCAGGAAGCAGCGGCGGGAGGATCGCTCAGCCTGGGGGTCCAGGACAGCCTGCGCGACAATGTAACATTCCCTCCCGCAGTCTCTCTCTTTTTTAAATTTTTAAAATAAAATTTTTATTAGGCCGGGCACGGTGACTCACGCCTGTAATCCCAGCACTTTGGGAGGCTGAGGCGGGCGGATCACGAGGTCAGGAGATCGCGACCATCCTGGCTTACACGATGAAACCCCGTCTCCACTAAAAATACAAAAATTAGCCGGGCGTGGTGGCGGGCGCCTGTAGTCCCAGCTACTCAGGAGGCTGAGGCAGGAGAATGCGGTGAACATGGGAGGTGGAGCTTGCAGTGGGCCGAGACCGAGCCACTGCACTCCAGCCTGGGCGACAGAGCCAGACTCCCTCTCTAAAAATAAATAAACAAACTAAATTTGCTTGTGTGAGATAGGAATACAACATTACTCTTCTCCATATGGATATCCAGTTAGTTGTCCCAGCACATTTGTAAAAGAGATCTGTTACTTTCTCCTTTTTATTTACATTTTTTCTTTTTCTTCTTCTTCTTCTTTTTTTTTTTTTTTTTGAGACTGAGTATTTCTCTGTCGCCCAGGCTGGAGTACAATGGTGACATCTCGGCTCACTGCAGCCTCTGCCTCCTGGGTTGAAGCGATTCTTCTGCCTCAGCCTCCGGAGTAGCTGGCATTACAGGCACACCCACCATGCCCGGCTAATTTTTGTATTTTGGGTACAGACGGGGTTTCATCATGTTGGACAGGCTGGTCTCGAACTCCTGACTTCAAGTGATCCGCCTGCCTCGGCCTCCCGAAGTTCTGGGATTACAGGCGTGAGCCACTGTGCCTGGCCCAAGAAATACTCTTTACTTCGCTTTTTAAATGTTGAAAAAATACAATTGAAAACTAAAAAATCTTCCCCAAAATGAGAAATCATCTTCATGACAAAACAGGAAGAAATAAAAACCATTTTATTAGTAAATAAGCCTTAGACCAGAATGTGTTGGGAAATACAGGCAAAGAGCTGAGAGGTTGAAAAGAGAGAAACTTCACTGCTCTATACAACCCATTAAGTACATGTTTTCAAGATAAACACTAATCAGTCCTCAGGGAAGAGGACTTGACAAGTCTTTGGTCGCACATAGTTCATCCTGGCTCTACTTGGTAATGGAGGTGACCATCTGTGTCAGCTAACTAGCTTCATGCAGAAGGAGGGGAAATACATTAACCCACGTCTTTTTGACAAGTGTGAGTTTTACGACATGGCGACAGGTGCCCTCTCTAGTGAGGCTCCTACAATCTGACGGAAACTGACGTCAGCAGTAAATAATAAAATTCAGAATACACGATTAATTATAGAGTTTATTGGAACACAAAGTTTGAGGATAGCCATCTGGAAACATCAACTCCAAATGAAGGGGGCCCGTGTTCCCATGTAGAGATGTTAAGGTTTCACACACAGGGAAAGACAGAGAAGCTTTAGCAGAATCAACACATTTTCCATTCAAGACCAGTGCATAGGCTGCGGCAGCTTGACTGGTGATGGATTGATACACTTCAAGGAAGGTTACTTTATCACTCCGTAAGAAGGGACAATGATGCCAAAAGGTCTTATCTCTGGGGCTGGGTAGTCTTCCTACTTACAGGTAAACTGTTTTTTTTTAAATTGATATTAGGAAACTAAATTTTATTGCACTACACGCTACCAGTTACAAAGTAGGGTGTCCTCATAAACAAAGGAAATGCCTCCTCTTTAAGTTTTTCTTTCTTTTTTTTTTTTTTTTGAGACGGTGTATCGCTCTGTCACCCAGGCTGGAATGCAGTGGCGCAATATCCGCTCACTGCAAGCTCCGCCTCCCGGGTTCACGCCATTCTCCTGCCTCAGCCTCCAGAGTAGCTGGGACTACAGGCGCCCGCCACCACGCCCGGCTAATTTTTGGAATTTTTAGTAGAGACGGGGTTTCACCGTGTTAGCCAGGATGGTCTCGATCTCCTGACCTTGTGATGCTCCCGCCTCGGCCTCCCAAAGTGCTGGGATTACAGGCGTGAGCCACTGCACCTGGCCTGTTTTTCTTACATAGGCGCCTAGGTAAAAACTAAGATATGTCTACCTGCCGGTCTGCTGACAGTCTAACAAAACTTATTATTTTGTTGATTTAAAGCTATCCTTAGGCGGTCCCGGTGGCTCACTCCTGCAATACTAGCAATTTGAAAGGCTGTACCAGGGGGATCACCTGAGGTAAGGAGTTCCAGACCAGTCTGGACAACATGGTGAAAGCCAGTCTTTACTGAAAATGCAACAATTAGCCAGGCCTGGGGGCACATGTCTGTAATCCTAGCTCCTCAGGATGCTGAGGAAGTAGAATCGCTTGAACTTGGGAGGCGGGGGTTGCAGTGAGCCAAGATTGTGCCATTGCACTCCAGCCTGGATGACAAGAGTGAAACGGCATCAAAAAAAAAAAAAGAAAAAGAAAAAAAAGCTATTCTTGGTATTTTAGTGTGCAAGTACTTGAAAGCATGACTGTAATTATTTTAGAAGCATAGATTGTCATGGGATATTGAGTCATCTGGACATTGTTTTTCTGTAGGAGTTTGTTCTTGCAGGTACTATTAAGCTGCTTTCCTTAACTGTAAACATCTTAAGATCATGACTCATGCGTGAGCAGTAAGGACTACGTCTTGCTAGTTTTAGTAGACTAAAACTTTGTCATTCTAGCTCTCCTAGGATCCTGTTTAACAGTTTTTCCACTCATGCACCACAGCGTTCTAAGCACAATTATGGAGACACCACTCTTTTGTAATGCACTGACACCATGTCACTGCACTTTAGTCTGGGCGACAGAGTGAGATTCCGTCAAAAACAAACAAACAAACAAACAAACAAAACAAAAACGAAAACTCATCCAAATCAGAAAGAAAGAAATAAAATTGTATTTGTTTGTAGATGACATGATCTTCTGTGGAAAAAATCCAAAGAGTCAACCAAAATACTACTGGAACTAATAAACACATTCAGTGGATTTGCAGAATACAATATCAGCAGCAAAAATTAGTTGAATTTCCATACATTAACAATAAACAATTTTAAAAGAAAATTAAGAAAACCGTTCCATTTGCTAGAGAAATTTAAGTAAGAAATACTAAGGAATAAATGTAAAGAGGTGAGACGTTTGTACCTTGAAATCCACAAACACTGATCAAAATGATTAAAAACATATATAAATAGAGATAGAACCCATATTGATGGATTGGAAAAATTAATATTGCTAAATGATTATATAACCTAATGTGATTTAGATTCAACACGGTACCCATAAAAATCCCTATCAGATTGTGTTAAAGAAACAAAAAACTGGCTGGGAAAAGTGGCACACGTCTGTTGGCCAGGCTGATCTCAAACTCCTGACCTCAAGGGATCTAACTGCCTTGGCCTCCCAAAGTGCTGGGATTACAGGCATGAGCCACCGTGCCTGGCCCAATCCTCTTAACATAAACACTTTAACATCAATTAATGCTTGAACTCAATGTTAAATCAACTCAAACTCAAGTCAATGCTGAATTGACTCTAATGACAATTAATGCTTGATGGTTTGCTATACTCATTGCCTGTGCATCAATTATCTCAAAAATGAATTTTCTGATGTTCTGCAAGGAGTGACCTCAGACTGAAACCTTGTCACACTTATGACATTTGTAAGATTTCTGTCCAGTAGGGATTCTCTGATGCCTAATGACTTGTGAACGTGAAGTAAAGACTTTGCCATAATTATCACACCTGTGAGGTTTCTCTCCTGTATGAATTCTCCTATGTTTTGCCTAGGATGAAGCTTGACTGAAGACCTTGCCTCAATCATGACATTTGTAAGGTTTCTCTCCAGTATGAGTTCGCTGATGAACTGCAAGTTATGAACGATGTCTGAAAACTTTGCCACATTTATTAACACTTGTAAGATCTCTCTTCATTACGGATTCTCCAATGATTTGCAACAGTTCTAGCATTACCAAAGGCATTGTGACAATCATTGCATTAGTAAACTTTCCCTACACCATGGATTGCCTGATGGATGGTGAGTAAGTGGTGATTGCCCACTAAAGGCTTTGCCACACTCATTACACTTGTAAGGTTTCTCTCCAGGGTGAATTCTAGTATGTCCTGCAAGGTGTGAATCACACCCAAAATCCTTATCACAAACCTTACATTTGTATGGTTTCTCTCCAGTATGAATTCACCTATGTCTTTCAAGCTGTGATTTACGACTGAAAACTTTGTCACAGGTTTTTCTCCAGTATGAGTTCACTGATGAACTGCAAGGTATGAATGATGACTGTAAAATTGGCCACATTTATCACACTTGTAAGATCTCTCTTCATTATAGGTTCTCCAATGATTTGCAAGTGTTGTAGTTTTACTGGAGACTTTGTGGCAGTCATTACATCTGTGAGCTTTCACTATACCATGGATTGCTTGATGGTGAATAGGCGATGCCCTCACCCTAAAGGCTTTGCCACACTCATTACACTTGTAAGGTTTCTCTCCAGTGTGAATTTCAGTATGTTCTGCAAGGAGTGAATTGAGCCCAAAAACCTTTTCACAAACCTTACATTTGTATGGCTTCTCCAGTGTGAATTCTCCTATGCATTGCAAGGTGTGATCTGCAACTGAAAACGTTGTCACATTCTTTACATTTGTAAGGTTTCTCTCCAGTATGAATTGCCTTGTGAACAAAATTACAACAAATTAGCTGGGTATGGTGGATTCCGCCTGTAGTCTCAGCTGTTCTGGACCCTGAGGCAGGGGAATTGCTTGAACCCAAGGCAGAGATTGCAGTGAGCTGAGATCGCACTGCTGAAAAGACACAAACAAGTTGAAAGCCACTGTGACTCGGCTCATTGCAAACTGCCTCCTGGGCTCAAGCGATTCTCCTGCCTCAACCTTTCGAGTAGCTGGGACTGCAGGTGCACACCACCATGCCTGGCTAAGTTTTGTATTTTTAGTAGAGACAGGGTTTTGTGATGCTGGCCAGACTGGTCTCGAACTCCTTACTGCAAAAAAATGAATATATAATACATAGAAGTATATGTATTTCTATGAAATATATAACACATAGAAATGAATAAGTTGAAAGCCTCTGTGTCTTAAACAAATGACAGTAGAACTAAAATATGGGAAGGTCGGGCATGGTGGTTCACACCTGTAATCCCAGCACTTTGGAAGTCCAAGGCAGGTGGATCACGAGGTCAGGAGTTCAAGACCATTGTGGCCAACATGGTGAAAACCTGTCTCTACTAAAAATACAAAAATTAGCTGGGCATGGTGGCATGTGCCTGCAATCCCAGCTACTCAGGAGACTGAGGCAGGAGAATTGCTTGAACTGGGACCTGGGAGGCAGAGGTTGCAGTGAGCCGAGATGGTGCCACTGCACTCCAGCCTGGGCTACAGAGCAAGACTCCATCTCAAAAAAGGAAAAAAAAAAAAAAAGAACTAAAATATGGGAATCTCATTCAACCTCACAAGCTCCCTCAATAAGAATGATGAAAAGTGTAACTGTTACAGGGTTGATCCCACAACAAACTGAACAAAGCTTTTCTTGTTAAAAATGAACAATGCCAGGTGCGGTGGCTCAAGCCTGTAATCCCAGCACTTTAGAGGCCGAGGCGGGTGGGTATGGAGGTCAGGAGTTCGAGACGAGCCTGGCCAACATGGCAAAACCCTATCTCCACTAAAGATACAAAATAACATGCTGGGCATGGTGGCACGTGCCTGGAATCCCAGCTGTGTACATCAAAAGCACGTATGGGGCAAAATCACAAAAGAGAATACAAAACCAGGAAAAGCCAAGATACACAAGGACAGATTCTTCATGTCTGGAGGAACATTTTCCTCACCCACAGACTCCAGGTTCCTGTAGTTCTCCCACATCACAGCCCTGTATAAAGCGTTCTGTGCAGGGTCCAGGCGTTTCCACTCCAGCAAAGAGAACTCTATAGCCACATCTCTGAAAGTCAAGTATCCCTAAAATGAGAAACACGTTTAAATAAAACATTATGGAGGCGTTATCACCTTCACACGAAATGAGAAATGGGAAATTAAGTATCGATTGGGCCAAAGAATATGTTCTGACAAACCCGTATTAAGGTATTTTTGAACATCTTTTCTCTATCGTTGCATTTTATTGTACTTTTCCATGAGAGATTTCAAGATCCCCTAAGTAAAAAATTTACAAATAAAAACTAAATATAGTGTTTTCTCTATAAATACGTTAGATATTATGTTCAGCCTAACACTTGATATTCATTATCTGGATGAGCTAAAATACAAGTGCAGTCTCAGAGATGACAAAGTCCAGTGGCCTAAAGAAAAGAAAGTCAGGGCCAGCCATAGTGGCTCAAGCGTGTAATCCCAGCACGTTGAGAAGTGGAGGGAGGCAGATCACAAGGTCAAGAGTTTGAGATCAGCCTGAACAACATGGTGAAAACTCCTCTTCTCCCAGGAGGCAGAGGATGCAGTGAGCCAAGATAACATCAGTGCACTATAGCTGGAGCAACAGAGAGACACTCCATCTCAATAAAATAAAAATAAAAATTGGCCAGGTGCGGTGGCTCACGCTTTCAATCTCAGCACTTTGGGAGGCCGAGGCAGGCAGATCATGATGTCAGGAGATCGAGACCATCCTGGCTAACACAGTGAAATCCCGTCTCTACTAAAAGTACAAAAAATTAGCCAGGCGTGGTGGCAGGCACCTGTAGTCCCAGCTACTCAGGAGGCTGAGGCAGAAGAATGGTGTGAACCTGGGAGGTAGAGCTTGCAGTGAGCCGAGATCGGGCCACTACACGCCAGCCTGGGTGATAGAGCGAGACTCCTTCTCAAAAATAAAAAATAAAATTTTTAAAAAGGTGGGGCACAGTGGCTCATGCCTGCAATCCTGGCACTTTGGGAGGCAGAGGTGGGCAGATCACCTGAGGTCAGGAGTTGGAGACCAGCCTGGTCAAAGTGATGAAACAACGTCGCTACTAAAAATACAAAAATGAGCTGGGTGTGGTCGTGGGCACCTGTAATCCCAGCTACTGGGGAGCCTGAGGCAGAAGAATCGCTTGAACCCAGAAGGCAGAGGTTGCAGCAAGCTGAGATCGTGCTACTGGACTCCAGACTGGGTGAGAAGAACGGTACCCCATTTCAAATATATATATATGGTCTGGAGGGACATTTTCCTCACCCACAGACTCCAGGTTCCTGTAGTTCTCCCAAATCACGGCCCTGTATAAAGCGTTCTGTGCAGGGTCCAGGCTTTATATATATATATATATGTAATACATATATATATATTACATATATATATAATACATATATATTATACATATATATTTATATATTATACATATATATTTATATATGATTATACATATATATTTATATGATCATACATATATATTTATATGATTATACATATATTTATATATGAGATTATACATATATATTTATATATGATTATACATATATATTTATATATGATTATACATATATATTATATGATTATACATATATATTATACATATATTTATATATGATTATACACATATTTATATATATGATTATACACATATATTTATATATATGATTATACACATATATTTATATATATGATTATACACATATATTTATATATATGATTATACACATATATTTATATATGATTATACACATATATTTATATATTATACATATATATT